>NC_000002.12:67292625-67917625 GCF_000001405.40 Homo sapiens | reverse complement strand
CCCAGCTGACCTGCACCATTCTCTGGAGATCATGTTGATTCCTATGGAGCTGAGTCCTCAGAGATACATCTGGATTGCCCTGAGGAAATAGTCTCATGTCTCATATTTGCCAAAGGAGATTCCATTGTTCTGATTTTTTTGAATGTTTTTGGAAGCCAAAAACATTCCTCATGAATGACTTCTTTCTGAATTGACTACAAACCAGTGGCCTCTGGCATTATTGGAAGACAAATGTGTGTGTGTGTGTGTTTTTTTTTTGTCAAGTATCAGAATATATTTTAGGGGATATATTTCCTGTCGTAATAGGTTTTTATTGTTGTTATGAATAGACCCAAATAAGTATTTTAAGAATGTATTAAGGCTGAATCACAAGATTGTGAAGAAATTGTATCACCATTTCACTTCAGGTTATTGTGACCGGGAACTTGGAATGTCAGCTTAAAAATCCAATCATTTTTGTTTTTTTTTTTGAGACGGAGTCTGGCTCTGTTGCCCCGTCTGTAGTGCAGTGCGCGATCTCAGCTCACTGCAAACTCTGCCTCCCAGGTTCAAGCAATTCTCCTGCTTCAGCCTCCCCAGTAGCTGGGATTACAGGTGTGTGCCACCACACCCGGCTAATTTTTGTATTTTTAGTAGAGATGGGGTTTCACCATGTTGGCCAGGCTGGTCTTAAACTCCTGACCTCAAGTGATCTGCCTGTCTCAGCCTGCCAAAGTGCTGGGATTATAGGCATGAGCCATGGCACCTGGCCTGAAAACCCCATTTTATAAACTGTTAATTGATCAATGTGTGCCACTTTTTTATCCTCTGACTGTATCCTTTATGTAGTGGAATTTCCCTCTGTGGCTGAGTTTGACTTTTGTATGTTGATGGACAGCTTCTTTCCTCTCTTCCTTTCATAGATGTGAACTGGGCTGCACATACACTCAGGGCTCAGTGTTAGCCCTGTGTGGAATGCAGAGTGGTATCACAAATATACCTCTTTTTAAATAGTTCATCATAGAGTTCAGGTCTAGACACAAAAAGAGTTAAATAGTAGAACAAGACAAGGTGTCACGCAGTATAGACCGTACCTGCTATGTGCTCACAGGAGAAAAAGGAAGAAGGAGTTGGCAGAGACAGTGTCAAGGAAAAGACATCCTTGAGCTAGGCCATGCATGGTAAAGAGTGTGCACTTTCACACTGCGCTTTCTCCTGGAACACTCAGACAGCTGGAGACCTTGTTCTGCTCCAACCCACATGGGCACATGGGCTTGCACAGCTACTGTAGTTTCACCATTTTCTCCTTCCTTGGCCGTGGCTGGGGGCTAGTGCTTGCCTTTTTACAGTTCTCTACTTGGCTTACAGTCGGGGGATACCTGCCCAGAAGGCACCTGGGCCCTTGTTTGTGGCCAGACTACACCTTTTGCATTTTAGAGGCGGAAAAACTGGGTCATCCTACCATGCGTGGGTTGGGGATCAGGGAGGCTGCCCTGGGAACTTGTGCTGAATCTATCACATATGTGGCTTCTGGGTCTAAGTAAATCGGGCCCTTAAATGACGGCCAACTTTCTGGGTAATTAACCCGGTTTTGCCTTGAGAAATATAACTGAAATAGACTGAGAGACAGGGAGGCAGCCTTCTGAATTTTCAGTGAAAAGGGGAAGCTCAGAATAGACTTTGGCTGATCGGGGAGGAAAGGAGGACTTTTTCATGGAGACCAACAGCAAGGGTCACTGAGAAGGTAGTGGGTGGCTGCAGACCCTCCCTACCTGCCTTGGAGTCAGAGAAAATAACCCTGACCTCAGGCCCTTTACAAAGATTTGCCTAGAAAGCAAAATTAACTGAAAATTGACTGCAAATAGGCCCAATGCATAGAGAAAGTGGGTTAGATAGAGTAATGGCTTCTCTTTATATAATGTGATTTATGCATTGTTCTACATACTTTTTGGGTTTATATTTAATACCACTTTCTCTTTTCTACCCTAGTGCCTCAAAGCCTCAATGACATTGCTGGCTGTTGCTCTGTCAAGAGTGACAAACTCCTAATCTGAAAGCTGAGTTAGGATCACAGCCCACAGTCATGACGTCCTATAATTGAAAGAAAATTAAATTGTGCCACTTAAGAGCTAGATTATTTCACATAAAATTTTAAAGTTTCTGGAATCTCTTGAAAATATAGCAACACTATGTTCCTGCACAGAACCAATGGTCTCAAGCTTGACATGGGCTTCTCCTTGTTAAAGGGACTTAAAGGGACAAGCACTCCCCTGTTGAGCATAGTCTCAATGTCTATTTCTCCTAGCTCACTTCACCCATTTAAGTTACCTGTCTGTCCTCTATTGGTATTTGAATTTGTGATCTCCACTGTAACCAGAAAAACCATCAAGTTATTGGTGATAGGGGACAAGAAAAGGAATAGTTCAAAAAGAATTCAATGCATCTCTTTGGGACTTACCTCTACCTTAAAATAGATGGAATGTCCTTTCTACCCATATTGGATTCAAAATAAATACCTGCGATTGTTTAATACTTTCACTTAGTCTTTGGCAAGGGTAAAGAAATGTTCCAATACCTCTAGGGACATTAGTCTGGGGTTATGGCTCTCTTGGAGAAGGTTTAAATGTGTGAGCCCTGTTTAGCCTTGATAAGTGGAATGGGAATACCTGCCTAGAAACATTTGCCATTGTCTTCCCTCTACCACTCTCAAAGTCAGAACAGTTATTTCATTTCTCATCATTTCTAGCATGCGGTGGCCTCCTATATCCCAAGACCTTTTTATTTCCCTAGGTATGTGGCTAAAGGGAGTGGGTAGGACCAAATCTTTATTTCAGCATTCAGCTGCAGAATGACATATGGATCTGATTAATTTTCATATTTTGTTTTATTCAAAATGTCTTATTGCTCCCTCCCAACTTTTTTTTTTTTTTTTTTTTGCTTAAACTTTGGATTTGAAATAACAAAATATTACAGTGGAAGTCTGATCATTGCCCTTTAAAGTTTTTTCTTTTTTATTCTTCTATATGACCAGGCTTTACAGAAAGCTATTTTACTCTAAGAAATTAGGTTTCTGGTTATCAGGAGCCCTAAATAGACATGAATTACAAGAACGTCCTTTGAAAACCCCATGCAGCACTTGTTTCATTAAATTCCATGAAGCGACCTTAATTTAGTGGAACACTGGATAGGCTGTTCTTTTAACCTATTATCACTTTGGCCAGGCCCATAAACCATATTCATGGATGATTCCATCAAGAAGGACAACAGTGGGATTAATATTATTTCAGGATACAGTAAATGCCACAATGATGAAGCTGTTTAAGATCTGGTGCTCACGGTGTCACACTGAATGCATTGACATTTACTCTGCTATCACTTCATTTCCAATATTCCTTCCAAATCAGCCGATGCTAATGCTTCAGCATGTGTGCAGAATACAATTTGTGCGGGGGTGGGGAGACTGGAAAAAGATTGTACAAGTCTTTTGCCTTCTTTTTTTCCTTTTGGTACTGAGAATGGGGAAATATACTTGGATGGTATTTTACATACACTAGGACCCAAGATATTAGGATTGTAGGTTCCCAGGCACTGGGTTTCCTCCTGGAGTTGGATCAAAATAAGTCATGGGGCCCCTTTTAGCTGTGACTGAACATGTGGTATTGGTCAGATATGAACCAAGAAAGCATTGCTTGGAGTCCTTAGCGTGTTGGTATATGAAATTGAGTACATATGAAAATGAAATGTCTATAATGGCACACCATTTAGAAGGTCTAATTTATAACATTTCCTGAATCTCCTTGGTATTTAAATTTGATGCTCCCAACAACAGTAAAGATACTGGTAGTTTTTGGGAATCTCTTTTAGAGAAATAGCAAAGATGTTATCTACAAGAACATTACTAATGTCTAGTCTCTTAAGGGGTTCTAGCTCCTCATTTTGAAGGTGAGAACTCAGGTTTGAAAGGAAATTCAAAAGTTGTCTAGTTCACGGTTCTCAACTTTCAATATGGCTACGAATCACCTGGAGCAATTTCAATAACTAGATTCTGGGAGATTCCAATCCAGTAATTCGGATGTGAGGACTGAGAATCTGCATAGCATCTAACTCCCAGGTGAAGTAGATGCTGCTGGTCTGTAATCATATTTCTAATTACAGACCAATCACTTTAAATATCAACCATTGCCTACATTCTGTTAGATGAGCAGCTAGTATATATTTAAACCTCTCTTAGTAGGAGGCTTCTCATATTCTCTTAAAGTAGTCTGTCTCATCTTTGAACTCTGAATATGAGTTCTTTTTTACATTGTACCTAAAGTCTCACTCCTTGGACTTGTCAATCTCTGGCCCTGGTTCAAGTCCTTGGTCATCTACAATACATATGGCAAGGTAAGGAGACATCTCTCCTGTTGACAGAAAGTTTAGATTCTCTAAGTTTCTAACCTGAGGGAAACTCTCCAGGTGGGAAGGGGATCGCCTATCCAGCTGAACCAGGGGTAACTTTTGTCTCTTTGGGGTTCATCGTTAACCTGATCATACTTTGTTGAGCCCCAAGGAACTCTGGTTCTTAGTTTGGCTCTCCCTCCCTGCCCAACTGGATGGGACATTTCCCCTATTTGAACTCTCACATCTGTCTATCTATCTATCTATCTATCTATCTATCTATCTATCTATCTATCATCTATCTGTCTATCTGTCTAAAATATAGTGCATCATAAAAATTAATGTTTCTATTTCTACCAGATTGTAAATCTGTGAAAACAGATTATGTCTTAAGCCTCCTCAGACTCCTTTAGTACCTTGCACATACTAAGAGCTCAAACCATGTGTATTAAATTGAGTAACACACATAACCTGCCTCAAGGAGTTTATAGTACTAACACAATAAAACATAAAGACACAATGTAGTAAATTAACACACTAGCGAGTAGTACAACAGGTGGATTTCAGAGAAAGAAAAAGTTCAGCATAGGTAGGAGGAATCGCACGGGCTTTGTGGGCAAAGGGAATGGGGGCTGTAAATTTAAATTGGGCTTTACATAACCCATTTAATTTAAGGATCCTGGAACTGGGTGGGAAGAGAGTCTAGCAGATGGCTTAGGAGTGCATATGGTTTCTTCCAAAGAAGTTGGGGGTGGGGAGGGGTGTAATTCAGGTGGATTTAAGGCAGGCGTCAGCAAACTTTTTCAGTAAAGAACTAGATAGTAAATATTTTAAGATTTGTGGACCTGCTGTTGTAGTGTGAAAGCAGCTACAGAGAATATGTAAATGAATTGGGTTGGCTGTGTTCCAACAAAACTTTATTTATGGACACTGAAATTTAAAGTTCATATAATTTTCATATGTTATAAAATGCTATTCTTGTTTTAACTTTTTAAAAAACCATTTAAAAATGTAAAAACCATTCTTAGCTTGAGTGCCATATAAAAACAGGCAGTCAGTTGAATTTTGCCTGTGGTTGTAGTTTGCAGGTACCCGGTTGATGGCCTGTGTGTCCAAGCAGAACATCCCTAGTAAGGATTTCATGGATGGGAGGTTTGAGATAGACACTGCCCCCGGGAAGGGAACTATCAGTAGTTTTCACTAGAGAATGACTGTTTCAGAAAGATTTGCAGGGCTGGGAGTGAGATGATAAGTTTACAGGCATAGTTAATTATCCAGAATCTATTTCCTATGTGAGTTGGCTCTCAAGATATGGAGAGATTTTGATACTTATTCTCTTCCCCTCCCAACTCACCCTGCCTCTTATTGTTTTCTGTCTTATGACCTTTCTGATGTTACTTTGCCATAGCATCATTTCTCTACCTCATCAAGTTGTCTATGGCATACCCTCAGGCCTTTAGAGTTACTGTTTCTTCCTGAGAAAAAAAAAATCTCCCTACAATTTTGGAATGTGAACATCATCCTTACCTGATGATATGTGGTTTTACTGTATGTCCTAGTGACATAAGAAATGAACAGTCTGCATGAAACACTTGGGAAAGCACATAAGTTTGGGGAGAAAAAGAGACAGTTGTGTGTCTAGAGAGAGTGAAACAAACTTGCTTTGTGACTGGGAAGAGCCGCTTTCTCCTTGGAGGAGGAACAGGGTAGATACAGTGAATTCAGGATGGGACATGTGGAGCCTGTGCTACCTGGGTGAGGTTCGTCAGGTAGACATAGGTAACAGGAGGTTGGGTGATCAGACCCAGAGTCTAGGAGAGAGGAATGGGCCGGAGATACAGGTTTGGAAATTATCATTCTCATATTGCAGTTGAGACTCTTGACAGTGAGAATAGAGAGATTAACAAGGCAAGCCCCTTGTAAGCCAGGGGCAGAGCAACATATGAGAGGAAAGTGGAGGCAGCCCGAGAGGCAGAGAGAACTGGGACAATGGTGCCAGTCAAAACACCAGGGGAGTGGAGGGGAGACCTTGAAGGAGACAGTAGCCATTATCGTTGAATGCCTCAGGAGTCAACTAAGAAATGTCTGAAAGTTAGCATTGGATTTGGCAATAAGTAGATCATTAGTACTTTAGGCTAATGTTTGGGGAAGAAACAGAATGTGATGCTTTGGGCAACATGAAACCCAATATTGGACATTAAATAAAACTGATATTAACAATGTGAAGCAATAGAGAAAAGCTTCTTATTGTGGACTCTCAAGTTAAGGTTTAAAGGATTGTTTGAGGAGGTGTGGGGAAGAGTTCTCCCTGCAAGCCTCCCATGTGTCTGTCTATAGGGCCTCTCTGCTGTAATTTGGACAGCCTTGTTGGATTTCCAAATGGGTGAAGCCCATACAAGGCCGGGCCTCAGGGTGCATCTCTGGTCCTTTGCCTGGCAGAGGCTGGGAGCACCTGCCCCCTGCATCCCAGCTGCTGTCCTGTTTAGAGCCCTTCACAGGGCTGCTTCTGTGAGCAGAGAGGTGGCACAGTGTAACTTCACTTTGTAGATGAGGAAACTGAAATCCAGACAAGTGAAGTGACTTGTTTAATACAACTTGGTGAATTGGAGCTGGCTCAAGTGGCTAGTGTCTTAGTCAAAGGGGATTTCTATTCTACCACACTCTCTGAGTTGAGTGACTGAATAAATGATACTTTTTTGGTGTGTCCAGGTACATATAACATAACATTTGCTGTATCTTAACCATTTTTAGGTGTGCAATTCAGTGGCATAAAATACATTTGTAATATAGCACAACGTTCACTACCATCCGTCTCCAGAAGTTTTTCATCTTTCCAAACAGAAACTCTAATCTCATTAAACTACTTCTCATTTCTCCTTCCTCTAGCTACTGGTGATCTCTATTCTGCTTTTTGTCTCTATGAATTAGCCTAGTTTAGGTAACTCATAGAAGTGCAACCATACAGCATTTCTCCATTTGTGACTGCCTTATTTTACTTCATGTAATATCTTCAAGGTTCGTCCATGTTGTAGCATATGACAAGATTTCATTGCTGTTTAAGGCTGAATGATAGTCCATTGTATTTATATACTGTATTTTGTTTGTCCACTCATCTGTCCTTGGACATTTGAGTTGTCTCTCCCTTTTGGCTTTGTAAATAATGCTGCTTTGCACTTGGTGTAGAAGTATCTTTTTGAGTTCCTTCATTCAATTGTTTTGGCATATACCTAGGAGTGGAATTGCTGGCTCATGTGGTAATCAACTTTTTGAGGAGCTGTCAAACTGTTCATAGATATTTCTTGAGCACCTAGCATGTCCAGTAGTACCTTGAGCCTTAGGAATACAGTGGTATTGAGAAAAAATCTCTACAATTAAGGAGCTCACAGTGTGGTTGAAAAGGCAGTAGTATAAATATAGATTATGACAGAATGTTGTAAGAATGATGAAGAATAACCACCCCAAGAACTGTGAAAGTCCACAGCAGAGTCAGACTACCTCTAGGGGAGTCAGGGAAAGCTTCTTATCAGAGGCGACCTTGGAGGAGCAGCTAGTGAAGGATAAATAGCTAGAAAGGATACCAGGTTTGAGGGCAGTGTTATTCCATTCCAGTCACAGGGAACAGCATGAGTGTAGTTATGGCAGGTGCATAAGACAGGCTTGGGAAGTGTACAAATAGCTGTTTCTAACTCCTACAGAGCAGACTCCTGAAGCTGTTGCCGACATTGCTGTGGATACAAATGGTGAACATGGGCCACCCAAAGCCAGTCCTGTTCTGAGTCGTGTCTTGGGAAAAGGCTGGCCCATGAGGGAGAAATCCTGGGTTCTAGTCTTTGATCCCCCAATAAGCCAGATCTTTCATGTGTCACTCAACCTTTTTTGGTATGCATTTTTCTTATATGAAAAATAAGAATAGCATTAACTGCCTTCCCTTGTACATGAGTGTTTTGTGAGCATCTGATATTGTAAGTACTTTCAAGTGTTTGGAAAAGTGTAAAGCATACATTAGCCATCTGTTATTATGCTGTTTGGGGAAAATACTGTAAGTGTATGAGGCAGATTCTATTTTCTTTTTTCTTTTTTTTTTTTTTGAGACAGAGTTTCACTCTTGTTGCTGAGGCTGGGGTGCAATGGCTCCATCTCTGCTCACTGCAACCTCCACCTCCTGGGTTCAAGTGATTCTCCTGCCTCAGACTCCCGAGTAGCTGGGATTACAGGTGCGTGCCACCACATCTAGCTAATTTTTTTTTTGTTTTTTGTAGAGATGGGGTTTCACCATGTTGATCAGGCTGGTCTCAAACTCCAGGCCTCAGGTGATCTGCCCACCTCAGCCTCCCAAAGTGCTGGAATTACAAGCATGAGCCACCGTGCTCGGCCTCTATTTACTAAAGATATAAAGATAGACATTTTTTTTTTTTTGAGACAGAGTCTTGCTCTGTTGCCCAGTCTGGAATGTTGTGGGATGATCTCAGCTCCCAGGTTCAAACAATTCTCCTGCCACAGCCTCCTGAGTAGTTGGGATTACAGGTGCCTGCCACCACACCCAGCTATTTTTTTTTTTTTTTTTTTTTTAGGAGAGATGGGGTTTCACCATGTTGGCCAGGCTGGTCTTGTACTCCTAACCTTATCTGCTCGCCTTGGCCTGGCCCCAACATTTTTTTAAAAATTATTTTTATTTATTTATTTTTTCTTTCCAACTTTGACTTTAGGTTCAGGGGATACATGTGCAGGTTTGTTACACGGGTAAATTGCATGTCTCTGGGGCTTTGAATACAAATGGTTTTGTAATCCAGGTAATGAGCATAGTAACTAATAGGTAGTTTTTGATCCTTATCCTCCTCCCACCTTCCACCCTCAAGTAGGCCCTGGTGTTTATTGTTCTCCTCTTTGTGCCCATGTGTATTCAGTGTTTAGCTCCTACTTATAAGTGAGAAAATACAGTATTTGGTTTTCTGTTCCTGTGTTAATTTGCTTGGTATAATGGCTTCAAGCTCCATCCATGTTGCTACAAAGGACATGACTTTATTCTTGTTTATGGCTGTGTAATATTCCATCGTGTATATGTACTACATTTTCTGTATCCAATCTATCATTGATGAACACCTAGATAAATTCCATGTCTTTGCTATTGGCCACAACATTGATGATTCTATATGCTGTTCTCCATCAAGAAGGAAAGTCCATTTCTCTTCCCCTTGAAACTGGTGATTATCTTGATGAATAGAATGTGGCAGAAGACAAGCTGTGTGTCTTCTGAGTTAGATCATAAGGTGATCTGGCTTCAGACTGGCTCTCTATGAGGTGCTGTTCATCCTGGGAACCCAGACACAATGCAGGGAGGAAGCCCAGGCTAAATGGAGAAACCATGCATAGGTGGTGTGGCTGACAACCTGGAGCTAAGGTCTCAGCATCAACCACCATCATCTGCCAGGCTCTGCATGACTCCAGCCCCCAGGCTTTGGGTCTTCCAGCTGATGGCTCAGTCATCATGGAGCAGAGACAAGTTGTTCTCGTTCCACTCTGAATTCCTGACTCAGATAATTTGTGAGCATAATAAATGGTTGGTTGACATCACTAAGTTTAGGGTAAATTTGTTTGGCAGCCATGGTCATTTGAAAGATTATGTGAATGTATTCTATGTATTTAGACACATACAGACACACAAGTATGGCCCATGGCCCTAGGAGACCTCCTGGGTGGGGAGATCTTGTATATATCACTTTGCATTCCTGTGCAATCAGATAAGCCAATTCATAGGAAAGCACCAGTAACTGACGAATAGTAAATTGTAGAATTTCTGGCAAGGTGGCAATTTGCTAAGGGTGGAAATTTAGTGTGGGGTTGAAACTGCTGGAATCTTCCTCTCAAATCTTTTCTCTCCAGATGAAGGAGAACTCTGGACGACAGGGCTGCTTCACACCGGTCTTATTTAATTTCTTCCTTTACTCCAGTTTTCTGCAGCTCTCAAGAAGGCACTGGTAGCGGTGGTCTCCTGCAATGTCCCAGAGAGGCAAAAGCTATGGGGAGATCCTAGTGGCAGGAAGTCAGTGAAAAGAACAAGGGAAGATCCTAAAACAATGTGCGACCTAAAAGGGAGGAAGTCTAGGGAATGACATCAGTCCCTTCTACGCAGTCTTGACCTGTCCTGGATGTGGAGGTGAATGTCCAAGCTACCTGCCTCTGCCCTCGGGCCTCAGGCTCCCCCAGAGCCCTGCCCGGGCCCCTCCACTCCCCCCACCCAGGGCTGTGATGGAAGGTACTTCTTTCCTGCTTCTCTCCTTTGTTCCTGCCTGAAGCTCAGAGGCTGGAATCCTATGGCCCCTGGACTGCCCTAGTTGGAAATGTCTCTGCCTTTTGTAAGTTAAACTGTTTTGATTCTCAGGAGGAATGAGATAAGGGAGACAGTGATTTAGATTTCCCTCTGTTTTTCCTCTGTCAGCCACCCTCCCCATCCCATCTTCTTCCCCTGACTTTCTCCTTTGCCTTTCTCTCCCTTTCCATTGTCATTTCTTTCCCATTTTCCTCCAGCCTTCTCCTTTCCTTTCCTTTCCTTTCCTTTCCTTTCCTTTCCTTTCCTTTCCTTTCCTTTCCTTTCCTTTCCTTTCCTTTCCTTTCCTTTCCTTTCCTTTCCTTTCCTTTCCTTTCCTTTCCTTTCCTTTCCTTTCCTTTCCTTTCCTTTCCTTTCCTTTCCTTTCCTTTCCTTTCCTTTCCTTTCCTTTCCTTTCCGTTCCGTTCCGTTCCGTTCCGTTCCGTTCCGTTCCGTTCCGTTCCGTTCCTTTCCTTTCCGTTCCTTTCCTTTCCCTGCTTTTATTATCCCTCAATCTCTCATCAATCCTTTCCCTCTTGTTTCCCTTTTTAAACTACTTATTTTAATTTTGGCCTAAATTGTGGTAAGCTGAGGCAGGGGGTGGTGATTGCTGTTTTCTTTGACAGCATCATCTTTTCTAACTGGCTAAGATGACTAGGAGGGGGAAAGTGTGAAGTAAGAGTTTTTCTCGGGGTGGGGCTGGGTGGGAGGAGATGAGTATAGAAACTTCCTAGCCAAACTTGGTACCACTAGCGAAACAGGCGGTAGGAACCCCAGCCTTCTGGCTTCCTTCATCCGATCCAGGAATTCTCTGACGATTCATCTGGAAGGGCCTAGCTGAAGCTGAATAGAACTTGTGGGCACCATCACAGCTTTAAAAGACTTGCTTCTCTGCAATGTCCTCTGGGAAACCCAGTCCGAATGGATTGCTGTTGAGTTTGTAGGTTATCTGCTCAGGGCAGGTCCCTCACCAAAGCACAAAAATATACACTTCAAACTTCTTTCTGATTCATTTTCCATTTCCAGGTGGTTAGTGGAATAAAGTTGGACTTTTGGCTCCCTGGCCTCTCTTGAGCAGCTGACAAATAGCTATTTTCTGTGGGACGGCTACCCAGAGCCATCCTATTGTAGCTGAACCAAGCTGGCTGCTTGAATAGATGGGAAATGAATCAGTCTATTTTCAGCTCTGCTGATTTGCAAGCCCATCCAGCTCTTCTCTTCAACTTGGTCTGAGCTATGGGGTCCATGGGCTTAGACTCCAGCTGCTCAGCATCTAGTGCTATGGAGCCAGAAAATGGGGCTTTTGGATCACGTGCCCCTCACGAGCCACCCTCTCCTATTTCCCATTCTGCCTGTTTCATGGTAGATTTGGTTGTTTGCAGGTTGGACTGGATCCCCTCTCCCTCCCCTCTTTTTAGCTCCTCTCCATCAGGGCCTTTCCTCCACTGCCACCCTCTTTGTTCTTTGGGATGTCCTGGAGGGGTTCAGAGCTGGAATGCCCACCCAGTTGACAGGCCAAGCAGCTGGGTGGTGTCGGCTTACCGCAGCACCAGATGCGATGCACAGTGTCTATCATCAGTCCTTTGAAGAATGACGCTCAGGTGCAGCAGACCAGTTTTAAACAGGGACTTGACACGGGGAGAGCCAAGGGAAATGGGATGGGCGTTTCCAGGCTTGCTTCATTTTCTGTTTCCTTTTTTAAGACCATTTTCCTTTGGAAGCTTTTAAAACATTCACAATTTGGCTGAGTGGAGATGGTCTGCCTCCCTCAGTAGGCTGAGCTGGTGAGAAGCAAGCATCTGGCTTATACTGATGAAAGGCAGGAAATTCAGAATTTCTGCTCCAGTACTTTCTGCTTCAGTGCAGGATTCGCTAACTTGGCAATGTGGTGAGCCAGCGGACACAGGACCTGCCAGGCCATGAAACAGACTCCATTTTTGAGTTGAAGGTGCAGTGTTTAGGGCTGGGGCTGGGGAGACAGACCAGAAGATGGGGCCTCTTCTCCCCATGAGATGGCACAGGCAGAGTTGTGTGTTTTGGATGGGAGCAGTGAGGTTTTGCATGAATCCTTTTCTGATTGGATCTTAGGTCTTTTCTCCAGGGAACACCTATGGTCTTTGCTTATTTTCTAACAAGATCCCTGATCATGGAGACCTGGGCCTTGCCCCTGGCTGGCTGTGCAGCCAAATATAAACAAACGAGGGGAGTGCCTGGTGTCAAACATTATGTTTACTAAATAAAACTGACAAGTCCTCATTGTTGCGTGAGGAAGCCCTGCAGCTCTCAATCCCCCAGAGCTGAAGAGGATCCATTTTATTGAGCTCTGTAATGACAGCCCCACTGGAACAGCTGGGTAGTTTGTATTAGCTCTAAGAGACTCGGGAGGGCAGTTTTTCTTTAGAAAAATTATGTTTTTCATTTAGACCAACAACAGCCTGGCTGTCTCAGCATACCTTCCTATAATCTTCAAAAGATTGGGAAAATCATAGCCCAGGCTGTTTCCTCAACACTTAGGGTGACTAGAGTTAGCAAGTGGCAATAGGAGAAACCAAGTTAAATTCAAATTTCAGATAAACCATAAATGCTTTTCTCACGTAAGTAATATTTGGGACATACTTCTATGAAAAAAGTATTTATAATTTATCTGAAATTAAAATTTAGCAGGCATCCTGCATTTTACCTGGCAATATGTGACATCTCTCTAAATATCTCTACTTGTATACTTCTGGTGACAGGACACTTATAACCTTTTAAAACAATCATTCTGTCATTAGACAGCTGAAATTACTTAAAACTCTTCTGCACATTAAGATGACATTTCCTAGCATGAACTTCTGGGGTCCCTTGGAATACGTCTAATCCATCTGCCATGTGACAATTCTTCAAATGTTTACTAACAGCTCTGTGTCTCCTTGAATTTTCTCTTCTCCAGCCTGAACATCTCCTACTCCTTCTATTTCTCCTCCAGTGATGTTGTTTCAGAACTGCAGGCCCTCCTATGAATGTGCTGTAGCTTGTTTAGAGCCTTTGTAATCAGGTGGGATCTGGCGACCTGGACAATGGCTCTGATCAACATGGCTTTGTGCCTGTTGTTGAGAGTCTGTGTCTACTCTGCCAGGGGAGTTCTGTCCTCATGAGCCTGGCTTCCCTGTACCCTGCAGTACTGCTGCCTGTCAGACTGGAACTTGTGGGCCACTGGAGAAGTGCACGCTCCTGTACATGCCAAATGCAACTTTGGCAGCTCTATTCTTATTTATTTATTATGTATTTATTTATTTTTTGAGATGAAGTCTCACTCTGTCGCCCAGATTGGAGTGCAGTGGTGTGATCTTGGCTCACTGCCACCTCCGCCTCCTGGGTTCAAGTGACTCTCCTGCCTCAGCCTCCCGAGTAGCTGAGATTACAGGTGCGTGCCACCATGCCCAGCTAATTTTTTTTTGTATTTTTAGTAGAGATGGGGTTTCACCATGTTAGCCAGAATGGTCTCGATCTCCTGACCCGTGATCTGCCCGCCTTGGCCTCCCAAAGTGCTAGGATTACAAGCGTGAGCCACTGTGCTCAGCCGGCAGCTCCATTCTTAAGCGATAGTTGGAAGTTAAGACAATTAGCATTACCAAAAGTCATCTTAGATTCTTCTGAAACAGACTTTTTTTTTTTTTTTTAATGACTAGATTACATGTTTCTATATCGGGTCACATTGGAGTCATGGACAAAGACATCAAGCTGGATTCAGAAATTTGCAACAAACCAACTGTGGAATTTTGGGAAAGTCACTTCACCTCTTTGGCTTTCAGCATCTTCATGTGTAAAATGAGGAGTTTGAGTTAATTCTCTAAGGCAGAAGAATGTCTCAGAAAGACCTGTGGGTGTGGTTATTAACCCATGAAGTAGGTCAGTATGCAATAGATAAAGACATAGTTTTTGAAAACCAATAGAGAAAAACTGTAACTGTCTTAGATCTAAAGTGATATTTAGGTCCTCAACTTCCCTCTGACAGAAAATAGTCTTAAAAAAATTACACGTGGACTACTTACTGATGCCAGTCTGTGAACTCTTTGTCGTTGGTCTGTGTCAAGATAAATACAGAGACTGAGAAGTGTTTAGAGATGTGTACATCTACTGGGCATTGCTGTGACATCCAAGTGCATGAGCCTGTTGAATGGGTACAGACCAGTGTGGATGCTGCTGAACATGTGGGTGGTGAGTGGCAGGTGACATGAGCTGTGCACCAGTCAGTTCCAAACAATCTGGCCTAACCCAGTGGTTCAGACAGGAATTCTGATCCCAAGCAAAAATGTCAAAACTCTTCTTTCTCTCATGAGTAACTTTCTTTTAAAATTAAATTTATGTTGAGCATAGAAACACATAGGTATGACCTTTAAGATCAGTTAGTAGTAAAATATTAAAAACATGAGTCATTTGCACCCTCCTTCCCGAAGCCTCATGCAGGTTCCCTGGCAGCAGCCACATTAAATTGGGAGCTTCATTGTTTATAGAGAAAGGAGTCTCTACCTGCAGAGAGAAGCCCAGGAGGCTCAGTGCTGGGAGGCACCAAGCGCCATGAAGTGACGTGGGGGAGGCTGGGTGAAAGTCTGAGCACAAGCAGTTGGACCATGACCCATCCCAACACTTGCTCACCAATCCAGCATAGCTGACCAACTCCCTCATGCCACTTTCATTCTCACTATACCCTTTCCTTCACCCATCCCACCTATATTTAATCTCTGGCAAAAAGGAATCTGAGAGGCTCTGGACTCTGGGATGCTGGGCATAGCAGAGGGCAGAGGTGAGGCTCAGGGCTGAAAACTAGAGTTTTCTGTGAATATCTATATATTGAACTGCATCACTGACAGCCCCTCCCTCTGACTTTCTCTAAAAATTATCAGGGGCTAGACCTCACCCTAGGGAGGAGATCAGAGTGTTTTTCTCTGGAGAAACTAAACTTCCTCAAAAAGAGACCCATATAGTGACATATGGAGACCTCTAATGAAAAGGCCAATTCTTTTCTGATTATCCTACAGCAATCTCCTGCTGTCAACAAGCCTTGCACCTACCCTCATCCCCTTGCAAATTTTCAGGTGACTTTCCATTGCCTCACTCTTATA
Source organism: Homo sapiens (assembly GCF_000001405.40). Classification (NCBI taxonomy): domain Eukaryota; kingdom Metazoa; phylum Chordata; class Mammalia; order Primates; family Hominidae; genus Homo; species Homo sapiens. Next base: position 67,901,857 of record NC_000002.12, on the reverse strand, counting down.
ACATATGAATGGACAGTCAAAGATCATAAGACATTTGAGAGAGTTTTCCCATATGAAAGATATATGCTATTGATTGATTTATTAATGGTCATAATTAATGTCCTTACAGTCTCTATGCCTTTTGCCCTGTAAGTTTGCAGACTCCTCTTACCTAATTCTTAGCTTGCCTGTGTGTCTTAGTCCATTCTGTGCAGCTATAACAGAATACCACTGACTGGTAATTTATGAACAATAGAAGTTTATTTGGCTCATGGTTTTAGAGGCTGGGAAGTCCAAGATCAGATTGAGGGTCTGCATCTGGTAAGGGCCTTCTTGCTGCATCATATAGCGAGTGAGCGAGCGAGAGAGAGGGAGAGAGAGAGAGAGAGGGAGAAAAGGGGATCAAACTCATCCTTTATGAGGACATCACTCCTGTAATAATGAACCCATTCCTGCAATAATGGCACTAAACCATTCATAAGAGCAGAGCCCTCATGACCTAATCACCTCTTAAATGTCCCACCTTTTACACTGTTGCATTGCGGATTAAATTTCCAACATGTGAACTTTGGGGGACACATTCAAACCATAGCACCACATGACTTGCATTGGCCAGTGGGACAATAGCAAACTTGATTTAAGTGGAGACTTGAAAAAGTACTTGTATATTTCCTTTTTTTCTCTTGCACCTGTGCCACTCACATGAGAGCACACTTGAGCTAGCCTTCTGAAGAAATGTGGGAAACATGGGTAAAGCCAGGTTCTCCCAGTTGAGCCCTCATTGGCCAGCCAAACACCAGTAGTCCCACTAGCTGAACACAAATGCATGAATGAGCCCAGCCAAGATCAGCTAAGCCTGACCTGGCTGACTCATAGGCAAGCACTGTCCTCTCTGAGAAAATCAAAATGCCATGGCATCAAATCTGTAACATGTTAGTGTAAACAAACACACCTTCTGCCTTCTGGTGTACCACCAAGTTCTATCTCTCTACTGCTTGAGATCCGAGAACACTTTTTTGGCCTTGAAATCCAACTGTCTGCAGGAATGATACCTTGGAGGAAGCCGTTGATATAAGCTGGGAAAACAGATTGTCAAATAGGCCTTGCTGGACACAGGCTTCCTCCTCTGGTTCCTGGTCCTGCCTTATAATAATCTCATCTGGCCTATGGCTCAGTGGTTTCTTCTGCCCTGGGGTTAGTAAAAAGTCTCAGAATGCCATATAGCCCAAATTCATTAGCTGGGTCCTCAACTCCAGTCTCTGTCCTTTGGGCTTATCAGTAAAGCTGGAGGCAGAAGAAACTGTGATTTTGTTTCTTGTTTTCTGGTTTTTTTTTTTTTTGCAAGACAAGGTCTTGCTCTGTCACCTAGTATCAGTGCAGTGGCATGATCACAGCTCACTGCAGCCTCCATGTCCCAGGCTCAAGCAATCCTCCCACCTCTGCCTCCAGGGTAGCTGGGACCACAGGCACGTGCCAGCATGCCTGGTGAGTTTTTTATTTTTTGTAAAGGTGGGTCTCACTACATTGCCAGGCTGGTCTTGAACTCCTGGACTCAAGCAATTCTCCTGTCTCAGTCTCCCAAAGTGCTGGGATTATAGGCATGAGCGACGTACCTGGTGAGAAATTGTGAAGTCAGTAAAAATAATCTACCACACCAGCCCCGCCTGTGCCTTTCTATGGGCCCTTTCTTCCTTCCCTATCCCCAATTCACATACAGCTCTCTCCTTCAGGAGAGTCTGCAGTCTGCTTACACTCAGGGACCATTTTTTTTTAAATTTTATTTTAAGTATAGGGGTACCCGTGCAGGTTTGTCATATCAGAATGGAGACAGAAAATTAATGAAGATATTCAGTATCACAGAACATTTAGACATTACCTTTCTCAGTGTTTCTTACAATTCAAGTCTTTTTTTTTTTTTCTTCTTTTTTTTTTGAGATGGAGTCTTACTCTTGTCACCCGGGCTGGAGCGCAATGACATGATCTAGGCTCACTGCAACTCCGCCTCCCAGGTTCAAGTGATTCTCCTGCCTTAGCCTCCTGAGTAGCTGGGATTACAGGCACCCGCCACCAAGCCTGGCTAATTTTTGTATTTTTGGTAGAGATGGAGTTTCACCATGTTGGCCAGGCTGATCTCGAACTCCTGACCTCTGGTGATCCTCCTGCCTTGGCCTCCTAAAGTGCTGGGATTACAGGTGTGAGCCACTGCTCCCGACCACAATTCAATCTTACTTCCAACTGGAATGAGAAGCCTTTTGCTCATTTTAAACGAATTTTCTCTAGAAGGCAAAACTCCTTTAGAGGGGGTGGGTTTGTGTTTTTCAATGATCTTTAAGTGGTAACCCATGGCTAGGTTCCGGTGGTTGAAGCCCAGCGCTGGCACTGTTCTTTTGCCAAAAGCATTCTGGACATGGTCATTAGCTCACCGGGGACCCAGGGAGAGAAAGTAAATAAGGAAATTGTCTTGCAAATGCTTATTGTGTTTTGTAATTTGGAAGCCCTCCCTGCTGATATTCAAACCACACACACAGCCACGTGCTGTTACCTGAGTAACAGTTCTTGAGTTGGCATTTTAGGATCAAACGAGGTTCAGAGGAGCAATTTTATTCTTTCCTGGGCCTTTGCCATCTTGCTGGGGGATGTCTTCCTCTTTTTGATGCTAAAACAGGACTTACAGTCTCCTGGGAAGATGAAGTCTGATAAATCAGTTGTTATTGCCCTGGGCTTTTCATCTAAAGCAAAGGGAGAGCTGAGGTAATTGTCCAAATAATTTCGGCAAAACAATCAACCATTCTCAATGAATCACAAAGTTTGGAGTTATCCAAATAATAGCACAGTACATAGCATCTGCTTAGCACATTTTAGTTTCTAGGAAAGGCAAACCCCCTCTTTTTGGGGGATACTTTGCAAGGACTAAATCAGCATTCTCAGTTGTCCCAGTGCCCCTCCCTGGGGGTGGCATGCAGAAGGAACCCTGTGAAGGTAACAACAGGGAATGTTGACTGAGCTTTTGCATGTTCCAGGCACCGTGCTAAGCAACCCAAGTAGATCTCACTTAGACGTCGTCACAAGCCTGTTACCATCTCCACTCAGCAGATGTTGAACATGAGGCCTGCAAATCTTTAAGGAACTTGGGTGAGGCTCACAGCTGGTAAGTTGCAGAGTTGAGTCAAGCCTACTCAGTCTGACTGCAGAGCCTGTCCTTTCAAACATGAAACTTCTAAGCAGGATTATAGCACGAGGATCCTGAAACCCAGAGAAACTGTGATCAGATCAGCTTCCTTAGCAGAAGAAGAAGGATAATGAAAAGCACCACTAAGTAGCTGGATGATATAAAGCAAGAAATGTCCCCACTCTGGGCCTCAGATTCCTGTGGGCTAAATAAAGGGACCGGCCTGGGTAATTTGTAAGGTCTATTTCAGGTCTCGCTGTCCATGATTTTTAAAGTAGTCTGGGTCTGTGATCTCAGTATACTCATTTCCTGAGCTCTGATTGAAGCTGAGACCAGCACTGTTTGAACCCTGGTATACTAACAAGGAGGGAAGCACTAACAGGGTAGGCTGAGCCTTTAAATCTCAGTGTCCTCAGTAGCACAGGGTTATATCTTTTGTGCTTACATAATTATTTCAGGTCTTGGAGTTGGGGTGTGTGTGTTTAATAGTCAACCAGAACCCAGGCTGATGGGGTAGCTACCGTCTCTAATGTCTTATGTCATTCTGCCAGAGGAAAAAAAAGTTCTGGGAGGTATTAAACAGGAAATTAAATGTGCTGGCCTAGAAAATGACAAGAGTCATGGTCTCTTCTAACTTCTTAACCAGAACTAGATCCTTAGGCCTATCCAACCAGAGGGAGTGAGGAGATACAAAACCTACATATGCTCCAAACATGGAAAACGGAATTTTTGGAGGACAGCATTAATGACCACCTAAAATAGGAATGCTGCAATGTTTTATAAGGATCCTACACTATTGGATCCTACAAAAGGCAGAGCTTCTCACGTTCCACTGTGTTCAGAGGGACAGAATGGACGAGAGAATGCTTCATTTTCAACAAGATCCTGGAAACCAGGTTGGGGAGAGGGCCCTGGGGTGGGGAGAGGGCCCTGGGGTAAGGAGAGGTCACTCAGGGTCAGGTTTTCTCTAGGGTTTACCTTGATCACATTCCTTTCTTTAGTATTTCTTGTAACCCACTAATTCAGATAGCTGACAAAGTTACCATGAGCTAAAGTCCACATCAATTAAAAATCCAATATATATTTCATGGGAAAACACATGGTCTTCAAACATGTGTGATTTTCATTGGACCTCCTCATCTGTTTGCCATTTAAGGTTCAGGCCATTTTCCATATTTCTATCAAATGCTGGCTGCTGCAGATGAAAGCCTGGCAAATTACTGTGCAAAAGAAACTTTCTGAAGTTATAAATAATCAAATGCCTGTGGGGCGTTGACTTCATACACAATAATACACAGTAATGATCAGAGCTCAGAGGAAAAATGGAGCTAAATGATGGCCTTAGTAGTAAGGAGAAGGTTGTGGCTTTGCTTAGAGTAACATGAGTTCCATCCTCCTGGCTTCTCATCCTCTGGCACAAGTGGAACAGTTGGAGCTATGAAGAGAGTTGGTGAAGTAGCTGAACACAGGCAGGGACAGTGGTGTGCCGGTAAATGTTTAATAATTGGCTGTCTGGGGAAAAAAGCCCTGATGTGTAGTGTTTGCAATTTTCCTGGTGTAAATACTCCCACCATGGCTGATTTCAAGGTACCGACATGATGTCACTGAACATGGATTTGGGAAGAGATGTATACCGTTGGCTCTTGCAAACCAGTGCCGCCTGGCTCCTCCACACCACTGAGCAGGGAAATTGGGACGGTCATCTGTCTTTTGTCCCCTACCCTCCTCTAGTCCCAGAATAGGGTGTCTGGAGCTTAAATGGCAGGAACTGTTCAGAGGAAGGCAATGGCAGGAGGAAGGAAGATGTCATGGAGAGGAAGATTGGCAGCTCACATATTATATTGATTTTCAAGGGCTGTGGCAACGAATTACCAGAAAAAGTGTTTTAGAACAACAGAAATTTATTCTCTCGTGGTTCTGGAATTTAGAAATCAGGGCTCACCATATTGGTGGGGCTGGTTCCCTCTGGAGTCTTTATGGGAGAGACTGTCCCATTCCTTTCTCCCAAATTCTGGTGATTTTTAGAAATACTTGTCATTCCTCAACTTGCAGACACATCACTCCAATGTGATCATCTTCTTCTCTGTGTGTCTGTGTCCTCTCTTCTTATAAGAATGCCATTTCATCTTGAGATCCTTAACTAACTACATCTGCAAATACTCTCTATTTCCAAATATGGCCACATTCTGAGGTTTCAGGAGGACATGAATTTTGGGGAGACACAATTCCATTCACTACACATTCTCACACACAGTACAGAAAGGGGTGGGCAGGACCAGCGTGGGCTGCCTGGCTGTAATATCCCCCTGACTTTCTTGAACCTCCCTAGGCTGTGATCTGTTTCCTGATTTATGATTGTGGGTCGGCAGGGGAAGTGGTCTGTGATGGGCGGGTTGCCTTTTCACTTAGTCACGCTCCTCACCTCCAAACCTAGGTGGGTGCGGAGCGGAGTGACCCTGCCCTAGTTCTCTTTTAAAGCTGTGTTTGGGCAGTTGTCTACTTATATCATCTTCTAACTCCTTTGAAGGCAATTTGGGCAAAAATAAACACAAACCTCTAGGAGAGTTCCGTTCTTTAATTAGTTTCATGTACCCTACCTGTAATATAGGCCATTAATCGATACTGAAAGAGTGAATGGACAAATGAACACAGTCAAGGGCCTCTTGGGTTGATTAGAATGGGCCTTCTCTGGAAGAAAACATATGAGCTCTCAAGTTCAAAAATATTTTTTCAATCTGAAAGACTTATTCCGGCCCATTAGGTCAGTGGAAGACAGTGACTGAGGATCAAGTGTCAAAGACTCCCAGGGGGGACATTAAGTAAGGCCTTCCTTGGCCCTGTAATAGGAGCTGCTGCCAGTGGAGCCATGCACCACTCCTCCCTGGGGCCCTGATGAGAAAGCCAGCTTGGCTGGGCCTCTAAGGGCAGGGAGAGGTCACTGAGACTCCGGTGGCAACTTTAAACTACATCGTGTGGACCTTTCAGTTCGGTGCAGGAAGCTCTTCTCTCAGCCTGGAATGCAGAGGAAGGGGTTGGGGGTTGGGGGGTGGGTTCAGGTTTCCAGGAAAGAATTTGGCTTCAATGTTTCCTTGATTGAGGCAAGCTCATATCTGGGGAAGCACCATGGCTTAGGGAATCTGTTGCACCTGTGAGATTTTCACATCTCAGGCCCAAGTTCCTTGTTTCCACCAACTGTTTTTGAGATTAATTGGATTTACGTGCCGTGGCTTAAGAGTCCGTAACGAACCTCTTTCCCCCCTGTTGCAGCTCCTCCTCTCCTCCCACTAGGTGCTCTCACTCCTGGGTTTCAGGTATGCAGTCATTTGGCTGGCCTGTGATCACATGAAACAATGACCACATAAAACACACCTCCATTTGGAGATAAGCACTGATGCATGCCCTGCAGCTGAGATTAAAATCTGTCCCATAAATCTCTCCACAATGCTGTGTATTCCACACACAATGATGAGGAGTGAGCTGGTAAATAAATGGCTGAGAAAAAAAAAAAATTCTCCCAAAGTGCCTTATGATTAAGAGGTTTGTTTCCATATTGCTAGAAACTACAGGAGGGGCAAGCTTTGTCACTGATGTGAGTTCTTCCCTATGGCATTGGCTCGAGGGTTCAATTTCATTCATCACACATTTTTTAAGAGCCTACTATGTGTATAACTGGGGTATAACCAGGACATAACTGAAGATATGCATAGGTTTAACTGGGAGTTCATAGATATAATTAATAAGGTAATGGAATTTGAAAACATATTAATTTGAGATCTAGTTATAAAAAATTCTATGTGTGTGTATTCGTGTGCTTTGGAGTTTAATTTTACCATTGTGTAGAGATATTTGATAGAATTTTTGACATACAGTGGAATATTTTAAGTCCTAAGGTTCAAAATAAATAATAATGGAATAAACCAATCATCTCCATGTTTTTTTGTGACTTTATCATGATGATAGATTTTCTAGAAAAGGATTTGAGGATTCACCCTGTTCCTTGGTCTGTTAGTAAACCAGGATAATCTGAATCTCAGTGCTACCGTTTTCCCTTATCTGAAGTAAGAAGGAGTGTGCGTATATGTGTGTGTCCATTATGTGCGCATGACTGGGTGTGGTTGTGTGGGTATTAAGGCTAGGAGGCACAGGGATTGCTGAGGAAAACTAAATTCAATAAGGATACATTCCGAGATCTCAGATCAACCATTTTTATCCTTGGAAATCCCTAGCTGCAAGTGAACCCACAGTTGACGAGCCACTACATTTGTAGAATTTAGATCATTGAGGTGCTTCCATATGCAAAGAAGTTGCCCCTTTTGCCATGGTGGCTAAACCTTGAGGTTGCAACCTTAGGCTAGGGGGAGGACATGCTGAATAAAAGGAAAGGCCTGCCCCTCTGGGTCAAGTAAGAGTGGGAAGAAGAATGGGGATAAGCAGAGGAGAAAAGCAGACTTAAGCATCTTTGTTCCTCTTGGCCCCTTGGGTCTTTGCCCTTTGTACCCAGATAAACGTGGGGAAGAAGAACATTGGGCTATTGGGCTGGGAGATGTGCTTTATTGAGTGATTGTGTGTGTGTGTGTGTGTGTGTGTGCGTGTGCATGCATGCGTGCACTTGTGAGAGAGAGAAGAGTGAAGAGATCCAAGTCTCCAGATCTCCATCATGGCTGGGGAGGCATGGCGAAGAAGAGGCCAGGCAACAGAAGGATAGATTGAAAAGCCAGTAGGCCATGCTTCTGGCTACCATAGTCTAGTGGTGACTTGCAAGGAATTCAGAAGGGCCCATCTACCTGATGAGGGGATGAGGAAGGGCTGAGGCAGCCTGTGGACTTGCAGGAGGCCTGTGGTCAGAGTGAAGAGGCTGCATGTGCAGGGCCTTAGAGATGGAGGCAAGTGGCAGGGAACATGCACTGCCATGGTGAGTGCCAGCACACTGACCTCAAAAGACAGTGCCCCTTCACTCCCTGCCCTAACCAAAAAGGAAGCACACCATGAGTCATGGTCATCTTCATTGTCACTACTGTAGGGAGCATATCTGCTCCAGGTGATATGCAGCTGGGACTGGGGATATCCAGAGAAATGTCTCCCCTGCTGGCAAGAGGATAAAATAACCCTTCATATATCAAGATGGCATCTTAGAGAACAGAAGGGGAGGTGAAATCCAAGAGACCAAAGTTCATCTACATACCTGGACTCATTTGAAAAGGAATGACTTTTGATAGGGAATTCAGTTTTGAAAAGACTGCCTTTCGAAGGGGACATTTTCCACGGGACAGGACTAAAATACCACTATTGGTGAGTCAAAGTGTTCCCAGCCACCCAGCTAATATGGGCTTTCTGAGGAAGAGCAGAGCCTTTCGGGGGAAAAAAGAAACTTTATTTTCCCTCCACAACTGACTGTGGTGTGAGTAACAAGCCAGCCCTGATACAGATGGATAAAAATAAAGTCGGGAATTTTCAAGTACTTTCATCTTAAGTAAACAACCTTAAAATAGTCATGAAGGCTTTTGAAACTTTTCAGTGGTCTTCTAACTCTTTTATAAAAATACTCTGGGAACAAGAAGCTGTGTTGTGCTATCTCTCTGGCATTCCACAAGGAGAGAATAAAAGACCCTGAGAATGCCTATGGCACAAGTGTCTCCATGGAACCCAGCAGGAGAAACTGACTTGGGAGTGTTGGTACCATCTGGGGACACCAACCCAAATACTGATGAGAAAAAAAGGCCCCGAAGAATTTAGCCTTCAGGGACCATTTCCCAATGGAAGGGGAAGTCCCTGGAATTCCACGCTTCTGCAGACAGGAAAATTGCTTTTCCTGGGGACGCTTTCTGAATAAGGGAGGTAGATACTCCTGTGACTGGGATGGTTCTGGGGCAGATTGTTTCGGACACAAGGGAATGGCCTAGGTGACCTTCTAGGGGTCTCGTACCTAATCTGCGATTCTGTAAGTAATGAGTTGACAGAAAATTGCATTCTGTCTTTGGTTGGCCATCTGCTGTTTCCCTAATGCTGGCTGATAAAGGCATGGTGATGTGGGGAGAAGGTGAGCTGTAATTAATTATCTATGGCATTGATGAATTTCTTGTAGGATATTCCCCTGCTAATCCAGCAGTATAGCTGCATCCCTCCCCGCTCCCAGCGTTAATGGTCTATTTATGGACTTGGCTCCATAATGAAATGTTTCATTTGCAAGAAAATGGTTCCTAGGAAAATCCAAGCTCTCTTTATGTGCCTGCAATGGGCTCTTGCAGACGTTACATAAGAGACTTGTCCATGTTGGCCTGCTGCTCTTAGCTTTCTGGATAATCTAATGAATTATGTTTCCAGTGTATGTAAATTACTAAATGTAATATTCTTCAGTATGCCTGCTGAATGAAGCCAAATGTATTGTGGGCATACTTTTAATTATTTTTATGCTATAAAAATGGAAGAAATCAGAAGTACAGAAACAGTGTTCTAAAAAACCCCTCTGGTTTTCTTTTGGGCAACAGTTTAATCAGATTAAAACCATAATTGTTTTTCAACTCTTGCCTCACACTTGTTTTGGCCATTGCTTTTGTCAGCATGCGGCTATGCCCCATGAAGGCATTTAATGTCAATACCGAGTGTTTGCCTTATTAGAAAACAGCACACATTAGATGTCTGGGTTCAAGGCAGGGCGCCATTGGGAAAGCTCAAGGCTCACTTCTGAGCTTTGCTTTTTGTTCTTGAAATTGGTCCCTGGCAATTCCTGACCCATTTTCTTCTGAGTCAAGAAGGTGGTAGCAAGGTAGGTAAGGCTGTAAAGTAGAACTGGCAAGGAGCAAAGGTGAGAGGCCTGTGCTTATCTCTAGGTGTTGCAACATGAAAAGAATAAAAACCAGCCACTTTGATTACCTAGCTAGAGATCTGGAGGCCAGACGCAGTTCAAGATAAAGATAAAAGGGGATTTGGGTATCTAGCTATTCAAGCCCCTTGGACTATTATCTGAAATATGTTTACCCAGTGGTTTCTATCACATTGTGACATGGTGGTAGGGGATGGAGTCTAGAATCAAAGCACTGGCTCTAAGTTCTGCTCTAGTGTTTTGGGTGAATCACCTTGGGCAAGACCTTACTTCTCAAAGCCTCGATTTTCTCATCCATCAAGTAGGATGCATACTAATGCTGCTTGATTGAGATGTCATGAAGAGCAAATGAAATGGTGCATAGGAATGTGATTTATAAATGCTAAAGGGTGGCATAAATGGACGTTTTTGTTATCATTACATCCTTCTCCTGCCCCATAAGCTGCAATGACTGGTAAATCATGCGTTGATTTTTTATGGCTGATGGGGAAGAAAAAAAAATATTTTCTGAGTTAATCCAGTTGCCCTAGGAGAGCAGCAGAATTCCTTAGGGTGGGAAAACTTCTCTTTTCTTTGGGAATACACAGTAAAGGGATATTTGGACTCCATAAAGCAGGCCTTTTGGGTCAGTCTAGATCAGTGCTTCTCAAAGGATCCACGTGAAGAATTAGCTTTTAAAACTCTGTTCTTTCCTGGACTGGTACTTTTGTAAAATACAATGAAATACATTATTAAAAACATGAAATAAAAAAGACATATAAAGCACAAGTCTCATTTTTATTTTATGATTAGATTCAGCAGACATAAAAATTACTGTGTCAAGTTGCTATAAAACCTTAACATCTGTACTCATCTCATCGTGCACTGGCAACCAAAGTTCGTGGCCTGGCACCACACTCTGCAGACCCCATTTTAAGGAATGCAGTTGTAGGTGTAGGAGATTTCCAACAAAAAGAGAACAAACCTGATTTCTGTACTATAATAACAGGTGTTCTGAGTTTTTGGCAGATGAGCTGATACATGGATGCAAAAATCAGAGAAGAAGGGATAAGGGTAAAGGGCCTATTTTGAGCGGGGGGGTGTCCAGGAAAAATGACAACAACTGGCCAAAGTGTAAAGAGAAGGACAGTAGTACATAGTCCTGTGTGCTGGGAACAATGTCCAGTGACAGTTTTATCTTGTGTTCTCTGGTAGGCTCTACTCATTCCTGAACCTTCAGTAAAATTTGTTACACACAACATCTGCCTGCTCATGATGCTTGGGGATCGAGGGAGGGTACGTGTCTACACCTGGAGGGAGAGCAGAGAGCAGGAGAGCAGCCGCTGCAGTCTCAGTGGTAAAGGGGGATCAGAGTTGAGTCCAGCGGGGGAATTTAGAGCCAGAGCTGTCTGGGAGGAAGTCAGCCTTCTCCTGAGTGTCTGCAGATATGTTGAGGTGGGCCCTGGATTTTCCATATTACATGGGAAGGAAATATTTGTGCCTAATAGCTATTAAGAGGAAAAGGGACCCTGGAAGTTTGGAGGGTACAAAACACTCAGGTCCCACCACAGTCTCAGATGGAGGAAACCTTTGTCCATATTTTGCCACCGCATCTCCTGCTCATTAAACGTGGAGCCCTTTCTCCTTAAGGAAGGAAGAATGTCCTTCCTCTGGCTGGATCTGTACAGATGAATCAGAAGTTGGGTTGAGAAATGTGTTCTGCCTATTTCTTAGTGCCAATTTTACATTTTCAATAATTATCATTACATTTTTAAGAATTTGTTGTGCTAGGCTTAGCACTTTGCATTTGTCATCTCAAATCCTTATGGTAGTTCTGCAGTTGTATAGATCTTTAATATCTTAGATTTACTATTATTATTTACTATTACCATGACCAGGTTGTTTTACCTATCCGAGTCTCAGTTTTCTTATCTATAAAATAGACATATAAAGAGATACCACCTCATGATGTTATTGTAAGAATTAAACAATATCTTCAAAGTACACTGCCTGATGTGCAACAAAAATAGTAATAATAACAATAGTGATGATAATATTAACAATAACTAACATTGGAGAGGGTATGCTATGTGCCAAGCACTAATTAAAGGACTTTACTCTTGTTATCTCATTTAATGCTCACAGCAACCCTATAAGCTAGGTACCACTGTCATCCTCACTTTACAGATAAGGGATCTGAGTATCAGAGACATTAAGGCACTTGCTCATGTCACATGGTCAGTATGTGATGCAGCCAGGTTACAACCCAGGCTGTTTAACTCCCAAGCACTTACTCTTAATTATGATACTATACTTGCCACTCAAGAAATAGTTTATTATTATTGCTATTGTTACTATTACAGATGAATACATTGAGTCCCAGGTAGGTGAATAACTTGCCCAAGCCAACACAGCCATGGTCAGAGCTGAGATTGAAAGCTTCTGGCTTTCTGTGGCCCCAGTTGGTAGTGTGGCTGGGTCCTGGGAATTTGGATGGATTAAATGGCCTCAATCTGTCTAGGATGACCACACCAAGAGCCATGCCCAATGCATGGTGGATGAGGATGGAGGCAAGCAGGGTTCGTGCCCTCTGATGTCCCCTGGAGGAGCCCAGGTCTCTGCAGTGAGTCTGAGTTATGAGGTTGGACAGCAGACTTGTTGGAGCCCAGAACCCATCCACACCCAGTCTTGATTTACATGGGAATGTTTCCTCACTGTTGGCATTTGGAAAGGGAAATAGCAAATTTTGGGTGTTTGCTTATTTCCGTCAGTAATTTCAGCTAGGAGAGGGGTGAAGGCTGATTAATTATACAGCAGCTTATTAAAACATAATATCCCTTTGAAGCCCAAAGCAGCAAGTGGAGAGCTGTTTTGCAACGTTGGTAGGACACTGGGTGGTCTCCAACTCATCCCTTTGATGCAGCTGGATAATATGGCTACTCTAGAGTTGTACCTTTCAGCACAGTTGAGGCAAACTTGGAGCTGGGCTTGTGGGATTGTGGTGTAAGGAGAACTTTGGGAATACATGGCTACTAAAGAATCCCACAGAAGGAACTCCCAGGCTGAGGCTGGGCTTAGCCCATATCCTGTCCCCAGGCTCCTGATGGGGCCCCCACTGGGCAACTGCTACCTTCTGCAATGAGCCAAACCACCCCAGGGAGGCTGGGGGCCACAGCTGGCTGAGAATGCTTGTGGCCATCAATGTCTCCACCTCAGGAAGATACCATAGGCCAAGGAAAACACTTGGTAAACTTAGCCTGTGCAGCTCTCAGTAACTCATTTAGGATTTAATGTTTCTTTTTAAACAGAACACAGAAGGCTTGGAAAGCAAGCTCAGTTACTCCTGAGAGGATAGCCTAATTCCATGTCTTATTCATCTTTGCTTTTGGCACCTAGAAGGTGCTCAATAAATGCCTGTTCAATTTCAATCATCTTCTGTGGTTTTTTTAAAAAAAAGTTTGGAAATCCCCCAACCATCATTTATTAGATTGCTTGGAGTTTGGCTGTGGCCAAGTGTTGAAATAGTGGGTTGCTTAAGACTGATTATTCCCAATTAAACAAATAGTCAGTGAACATTTATTGGTCAGGCATTGAGCTGGATGCTGTGGTAGGAGAAAGACTTGCCAATTGAGTTGGTAAAACGCAGAACAGGAGCTGCCACAACAGGAATATAGGTAGGTTGGCTGCAGTGAGAAGACAGAATAATGGAATAAGTTAGATTAAGAGATCGGGAGAGACTTCATAGAGAGGAGCCCTGTGAGAAGAGCTTTGGAGGATGAATAAGAGTGTGAAAGATGTTGGGTCAAAATAAGATGTTTTAGCTGGAGTGAATGGCATGAGCAAAGGCCTTAAGGCATGAAGCTGCCCTGGCAGATACTCAGTGTGGCTGAGCTTCTGGTATAAAAGTATAATTTTAAAAAAAGTTTAAAAATAAATCATACAAGTGTATGGTGAGTGCATGTCAAAGATTTTCTTAAAAGTTCATTAAGTAGTCATAAACTGGTTCAAAGCAGAGCTTGAAAGACCAAAGCATATCTAATCAATAAAAGAAGGAATACTGAAAGAAGACAACACAGTTAGATAGGAATCTGGTTAAGGCTCTACAGAGCAATAAAGCCATAACCTGTGGAGCTATCATTTCTATTGGACAGAATTCATTTGCAATCATACTGGACAAAAAAAAAAATCACTTGTAACTTGCCAATTTTATAAATGTTAACACCCAATTTTACAGAATCTGGGCCCGAATCAATGGTAAATAGTAAGTCAAACAAGTTACATTTCTCTAGAGCATTCAATGATCCCAAATCAGGCCTTTTTTTTTTTTTTTTTTTTTTTTTTTTTACAACATTCTAGGACGACTTGGAAAAGGTATGCAGTCATCTCCTTCCTAATGTTTATGGTTTGGATAATTTGGCTAAAAGAAAAATGTTCTGGCGAGATTTGGAGGACCTCATGTTGGAGTTGGGCTAGATTCTGTCTGTTTTAGCAGGTGCTATGCTCTGTACCAAGATCTAGGAAGATGGGAAAGACGGAGTGGAGAGAGGAGAGAATAGTGAAAGAAAGCCTAGGTAAAAGGTTATGGTAATAATAGTTCAGGTAGAGATGACAAAAACTTAAATTTCATGGTGTCAGTGGGTTTAGGAAGGAAGAGGCTGACATGAGATGCCATGAGAAGATGAAGGGATTTCATGGGAGCTGGGAGGAAGAGGTCCACAAATGTTTACTGGGCATCCACCAGGAGTCACATACTGTGATAAACACCAGCAATTCAAAGAAGAGTAAGGTATTACTATTGTCCCCCCAGGAGCTTATAGACACGTACAAATTATCCTCAATTTCACGAGGAAAGGCCAGTGATAGAGATATGCATAGGGTGAGTGGAGTCAAGGTTGGATCAGGGGAGGATTCCCAGAGAAGTCTTTAAGGGCCAACAGGTATTACTAGGCCAAGAAAGAGGTTAGAGGAAGATGCGCCAGCATTGGCTGCACATTGAAATCACCTGGGTAGTTTAATCAATTCCTGGGCTTGCCTCCCCCACCCAGAGATTCTGATTTAAGGGACGGGGTGTGGCCTGGTCTCAGGGAACTCCAAAATCTCCCCAGGTGATTCTAATGTGCAGTCAAAGTAGAGAATGCTTGAGGTGGAAGAACTAAGAGGAGCATAAACAAGGAGGTATTAATCAGCCTAGAATGTGCTGGGGAAGGAAATGCAGTACTTCAAAACTACTGTGGTGATATGGAGAAAGTTGGGAAGAGAGGCTGACTGGCTGGAGCTGGTGGCTGTCACAGAAAGCCCTGCCCTGTCAGCTTGGAAGCTCACATTACACTACGTATTTTCTACACTGGGAGATTTGAGGAATGGATATCATTAAGGACACAAAATAAGGATGGAGAATTTGAGTGAATATTCTAGTCCCAGCTCTTCCTTGAATTTGCCTTGTAAGTTTAGTTTCCTTATTTGTAAAATGAAATATTGAACTACATGGCATCTGCTACGGTCTGAGTGTTTTTGTCTCTGCCCCCTGCAAATTCATGTGTTGACACTTAATCCCTAATGCAGTAGCATTAAGGGGTGGGGTCTTCAGAAGGTGATTAGATCACGATGGCTCCACCCTCATGAATGAGATTAGGACCCTTATAAAAGAGGCCTGAGAGGACGCCGCTTTTTAAGCCCTCCCGATGTGTGAGGACACACAGGAGCCACCACCCAGAGGAACAGGCCTTTAGCGGACACTGAATCTGCTGGTGCCTTCATCTTGGAATTTCCAGACTCCAGAACTGTGAGCAATAAATTTCTGTTCTTTATAGGTACCCATCAAGATATTTTGATATAGCAGCCTGAATGAACTAAGACAGCATCTAAGTTCCTTTCAGTTCAGGAATTGCAAATTCTTACATTTCTGTCATCACTCTGATATTACTAATGTTGGGTTGAGTTGTACTTGAGATCTTCATGGTCAGAACCTGGGGAAATATCTTTATTTTCATTTTTGAGACAGGTTCTCGCTCTGTCTGCCAGGCCGCAGTGCAGTGGTACAATCACAGCTCACTGCAACCTTGAGCTCTTGGGATCAAGTGATTCTCCCACCTCAGCCTCCCAGGTAGCTAGGACTACAGGTGTGTGCCACCATGCCTGGCTAATTACATTTTTATTTAATTAATTTATTTATTTATTGTAGAGACAAGGTCTTGCTTTGTTGCCCAGGCTGGTATCAAGCTCCTAACCCCAAGCAGTCCTCCTGCCTCAGCCTCTCAAAGTTCTAGGATTACAGGTGTGGGCCACTGCTCCCGGGCAGAATATCCTTTTAATAAAAATTATGTTGTTTTTTCATTTAATTAAAAGAGTACTACATACTTGTAGTAAATATGAAACAAAACTTCCCCTTCCGGCATCCTGTGTCCCATTTCCCAGAGCCTCCTGGCATGGTTTCTTGTGTATACATGCATAAACATTTTTTCTTTTTTCTTTATATATTCATTTTTATTTATATCTATGTACAATATGTACATTTAACGTTTACACAGTGGGGCCCTATTGTACAAATTGTTCTGTGATTAGTGTTTGAGTCACAGTATTTTTGACATCTTTCTATGTCTGTGTATCTAGAAATATTTTGTTTTTTATTGTCAGTTGTACTGTATTCCATGATATAACACCATTATTTACCTAACCTATGATAGGCAATCAGGTTGTATCAGTAGTTTGCTATGTCAATATGTTCCAGAGAACTTTCTCATATATATATATATACACACATATCTCCAATGGTGCAAGTATTGTTTATTGACAGGACAAATCCTGAGACATAGAATTGCTAGGTCTAAGGTTAAATCCATTGGAAATTTTGATAGACACTGCCAAATTGTCCTCCAAAATGGTTGTCCTAAATTATATGCCCAAAAAGTATCAGTGTGCTTTTTTCTCACTGCCTTATGAATGCTATGTATTTTTCAATTTTTAAATTGTATTATTGGGGATGAAAAATGGCATCTCATTGTTTGAATCTGCATTTAATATGAAAGAAATTGTTCATTTTTTCCTATATTAATTGGCCATGTGTGACCTTCACGTTCAAACTACCTATTCATGTCCTTTGTTCCTATTGCGTTTTCTTGTAATTTGGGATGCCTTCTTTATCATATACTAAATTTCTATATGTATTTGAGTTTGCTTCTGGGCTCTCTATTCTGATCCAATCATCCACTTGCCTATTCAAGTATTAATAGGTACTGTTTTAATAACTAGCTTTGCAATGCATTTTAATATCTAGTAAGACAAAGTCATTCTCAATTGCTCTCCCTATTCAGAATTTTCTCAGGTGTTTACTTTTCCAGATGGACTTTAATATTTTATCAAATTAAAAAAACTGTTAGAATTTTAAATAATTGGAATGAAATTTATTAGATAAATCAGAAGTGACATTCTTATAATAATGACTTTTTGTTTAAGAATATGGTTTCAAAATTTTTATTCAATTTTTTTGTTAATATGGTTTTCAAGTTTTCTTCATATAGGTCTTGCACAATTCTTAAGTTTATTGTTACGTATTTTACATTCATCTTTGCAATTGGACAAAGTTTTTTTCTTCTATTTTTTATCTGGTTTGCATGTAAGAAAGCTACTGATTTTTGTACATTCTGGAAGAACTGTGATAAGACGTAGGCAGAGGAAGAGAAGGAGAAGGGTGGGGGAAAGAATTAGGACATGACAGTGGAAGCTAGGAGAGGATGCATTTCAAGCAGGAGGATGTCAACACTGCCAAATCATGTGGGAGGGCATGGGTCCTGTACTAGGAGCTGGTTGAGAGAGGGATGAAGTAAAGGTGTTGAATGGTTAGGGATCATGCAGCAAAGAAGAACATGCCATTCCTCTTGCCTTTTATATGCTATTCATTGTTGTAGACAGCCCTCCACATCCTGGTTAGAGAAACCAGGAGCTTGGATGCATTTGTGGGGTGTGTACATGTTAGTATATGCGTGAGTGTGTGCAGCTGGACGAGGAGATCAGCTATCAGTCTCAGAATCTGTGGAGGTCATGTGGGAGCTGATGATCCATGGTTTCATTCACAGTGGGTATGCATCAAACCCTAAATTGGCATGCAAGGCAAATGAGAGGAAGTTAGTTTTCTCTGATGCCACAATATAGTGGGGAAAACTAGGACATAGATTTGCTTTTCCTGGTAAGAGAGAGAAGCAGAGGAATAGCAAGACATTGTTTTTTTTGTTTTGTTTTGTTTTTTTTTTTTTCCAAAACTCATTTCAAGTGAAGATTTGTTTGAATGGCACCAGAGTTCCCCCAAATGGCCATAAATCTCTGACTTGGCTGAAGTCTAGCCTCCCTTTTCCTGCCCAGGCTTAGCAGCCTTGCTGCCAGCCATAAAGGTTCTTTTGGCAACAGCAGAGCAGGAAGAACTGCATGATTGGCTTATGGTGTTGCCTTCTCCCTGTTGCTTTCTGTTTGTTCAGCCTCTTGCTTTAGCAACATGGGCACTTTCATTAGCTGCGGTGTTAGAATAGGGTAAAGATTTACAAATACCTTTCCATTTATAAAAATATCCTTTCCAATAACTAGATCCCAAGGGCAAGCCAATGAATTACAAAGAAAGCTGACTTCTCCAGTTGGAGAACCTGAGTTGTCCTTCTCTGAATAAAGAAGGAATATTCCTGTAGATGCAGATGGTCAATCCATGGTATTTGACTTTAAGACTGGAGAATAAGGATGGAATTTACCCATATTTGGAGGAAAGGCTTTTTGAAACAATGGAATGGACTCTCAAATTCTAAAGGAGCACTTCTCAGGTTGCCAGATAAAATACTGGACACCCAGTTAAATTTGAATTTCAGATAAACAATAAATAAAAATTATTTATATTTTTATTCACAAACTCTGGCAATACTAATCAGCTAGTCTTTCTAAGATAGAGATGTCCCTATAATGTAGGAAATGCATAGCAATGCCCAGCTGGTCTTGGCTGGTTACCCTGTGGATTAAAGGGCCTTTGGAAAGTATTCTTTCTACGCGCCTGACATGTAATGGATTCTAGTTTCTATCCACTCTTTGTACACTGTGCTTCTCACATCCAGCTTGTCCTCTCCATTCCATCACCCCCAAGGGGTTTCCAATTATTTTTTGTTTTATTTTTTAATTTTGAAATGGAGTCTTGCTCTGTCGCCCAGGCTGGAGTACAGTGGCATGATCTCAATTCACTGCCACCTCCGCCTCTTGGGTTCAGCCGATTCTCCTGCCTCAGCCTCCTGAGTAGCTGGGACTGCAGGCACGCCTGGCTAATTTTTTTTATTATTATTTTTTATTTTTTAGTAGAGACAGGGTTTCACCATGTTAGCCAGGATGGCCTCGATCTCCTGACCTTGTGATCTGCCCGCCTCGGCCTCCCAAAGTGCTGGGATTACAGGCGTGAGCCACCATGCCCAGCCAGGGGTTCCAATTATTAATAACATTAACCCAGAATGTTTGTGTGCTCGGTGATTTAGTTTAGTGGTTCTTTCCTTTGCAAGAACCCTCTGTTGGTGTCTCGGCAAGGTTTCTCTCCCTCAACACTCCCTTCATGCCATACCAGTTCACTCTGAGTGTAACCATCTGAAAAATGATCCCCAAACCCCATTTTATCACATCTTGTAGGGACGTGCTGCAGATCACACCCACCTACCACATCCATATATGAATTTGAATCACATCCATATGTGGCCTGAGATTTTCAGCTGTGTAATTTTATCTAGCTCAGTTACATCTGTGAGTCTTGTTCCCTGAGTTCTTGAGAGCTGGATTTTCATACCTCGTTACAGCTCCTTGCTCAAGAAACACGGGCTGGTTGATTGGTTCCAGTGAATCCTATCAGAATTAGCCAAATTTATGGAGTGGAAAAGTCGCTTTAAGCCCAACGTTCTTGTGCTGGAGAGATTCAGGGACACCAGAAGATGCCAAATCCTGCTCTCACTTACATGAGCCTCTCTCTTCCTGTTATTTCTAGTTCTGGGGCCAAAAGGCAGAAATCTCTGCATTTAAACTCCCAGTTAAGGTAGTGCAATTGGCAAATGATCCTCTAAGCTCCCAAAACAGTTTAAACATAGAGAGACTCAATAAATGCTGGTGATGGAACTGAATTTAGAAGTTTACTCTTTGAGCCACCGAATTCCAGATTTCTAGGTTGAAATCTATGATATACTTCTCTTTGGAATTTACCATTTGTGTCTACAGGTCTTGTTCAACAGAATAATCTCTTTGACTGCTCTAATCAAGAATATTATAGAGCCCTGGAAGAAATGAGGAAGGGAGATTGGAATACAATATAGTCGCACTGTTAATAAAAATAGCTGGAAGTTATATTCACAATAAAAATGACAATAATATAAAGTGTCCACTGTGTTTCAGGTGATTTATAGAAACTTTTACTTATATAACTTCCCCAGAAGGTGTTTTTGTTACCACTTCACAGATGAGAAAATTGAACCCCGGAGTGATTAAGCAATTCGCCCTCGGGTAAAAACCTATTATGTCCTGGGCCAGGTGTGCTGGTTCATGTCTGTAATCCAGCACTTTGGGAGGCTGAGGCAAGAGGATCATCTGAACCCAGTTCAAGACCAGCCAGGGCAACATAGTGAGACCCTGTCTCTACAAAATATAGAAAAAATTAGCAGGGTATGGTGGTTCACGCCTGTAGTTCCAGCTACTCGGGAAGCTGAGGTGGGAAGATTGCTTGAGCCCAGGAGGTTGAAGCTGCAGGGAGCTCTGATCATGCCACTGCCCTCAAGTCAAGCATCTGATCCCCGGGAAGTTAAAGAGGCTCAGCTCATCTGTTGTTCCAGTCTGGGTAACAGAGAGAAACCTTGTCTCAAAAAACCCCCCACAAGCAATAACAACAACAAAAACTTGTATGTACTGGAGCCAGCATTTGAATAAATGTCCACCTGGCTGACCTCCTAGGTTTACCCAATATACCAGGTCACACTTCTCTTCTTGTTGGTTGTTAGGGACTTTTTGTTTTGTGATTACAGACTCCAGAGTTTGAAGGGAAATGTGAGGGCCAAATGGTAACCTGGTGCCCAGAGCTGAATGACACCCCATTCAGAGGATTATGTGACTCCCATGACCAAGAGGAGTAAGACAACTGGACCCAGCTCCTGAGGGTCTGGAATGTGATGAGGATCCCCAAGCAGGCTTCTCTGAAACCAGACCCTGCCTTGACCCTGGTTAATTATTCTGTAGTTACCCACACAACTGAATTCCTGCTGTCTGTGGGTGCTGTGAGGCATGTCAAGGCTGTCAATGAACACAGGGCAGCGCTAATCCTGGCAAGCTTGCCCCGGGGCTGGGCAGGCCGTCCTATCGAATGATTATCATGTGATGAAGCTCCAGGGCTCCCGGGCCCATCCTGGCTTTCCGGCTGCGGTGTTAACAGGCTTTTCTTCTGGGACATCCTGGAGCTGGAAATCTCTCACGTGGATCACACACATGCTGTTGCCAGCCCTATTGAAGGCCTCCCTCACTCTGGCTTGATAACAATCAAGCCCTCCCAGCTGGAGCTTGTTATCTGGGAGCTGTCCAGATCAACTGATGAAAACTGGCTAGGGTGTCGTCTTTACGGTCAATTACTGGCAGCACATTAAATGAGGGCTGGCAAACCTAGGCACCAATGAGCTCCATTTCCAAGGCGTTTTGGGTTCATTGTTTTTCCAGCCTCTCTTCTCTTAGCCTACCTTGGCTCCTTTGTTTTCTTTCGTGGTGAAACTCATGGGAATATGAAAGGACACGGAACCCCTAGGTTTCTGATTCACAGTGTTGTGACTCACAGATGGTAGTGGTGTGGTATGAGGACGCTCTGCACTCAGAAGGTGGGCTGAGCCTCTTTAGCTTTCCAGGGATTAGATGCTCAACTTTGTTGAGGGCCAGTGAATGGAATCACTAGAGAGGCTAGAATGTGCCTAGAAACCTATTTCTGCAGGCTTCCTCTGGGCCTTCCTTTGGAGAAGCTACTTTTTTCTTTATAGACTCTGAGCATTTGTCACAGGAAGAGAGGATGCCTACTTCTAAAGGAAGTCTCCATCAGGCCTTTCCAGCAGTTGTTAGCTCTTCTCAAGTAGAATCACCCAAAAAAGTAGCTTGTACTCATCAATTTGGACTGGGCCTCATTCCAGGATTTCTTTCTAGGGAATTCTAGCATTTGCATCATGAGAATTTTAGTCTGCTAAATAGGGCCCATTTCTCCTAAAGGCTAGGCTCTTCCATGCTAATATTTATACCAGTGGTTTAAAAGATGTAATCCCCACCTGAGGTCAGATGTTTGAGACCAGCCTGGCCAACATGGTGAAACCTCGTCCATACTAAAAATACAAAAAATTAGCTGAGCGTGGTGGCAGGCGCCTGTAATCCCAGCTACTCTGGAGGCTGAGTGAGACAGGGGAATCGCTTGAACCCAGGAGGCGGAGGTTGCAGTGAGCCTGGGTCATGCCACTGCATTCCAGCCTAGGTGACAGGAGTGAAACTCTGTCTCAAAAAAAAAAAAGAAAGTGATCCCTGGACTGGCAGCATCAGCATCACCTGGAAACAGGTTAGAAGTACAGTTTTTCCAGCTCTACATGAGATCTGCCTGCCAAATCAGAAACTCTGGAGGTGGGGCCCAGCAATTCATCTCAGCAAGGATTCCAGGGGATTAGGAGGAATGCTCAAATGTAAGATCTACTTCTTTAGACCTGTGTTACTCAGAGCATGGTCTGGGGACCACAGCATCAGCATCTCCTAGGAGATTACTAGAAATGCAGGACCTCAGGCCCATATCCCAGATTTGCTGAATCAGAATCTGCCTTTTAACAAGATCCCCAGGTGATGTGATTTTATTTTAAAGCTTAAGAAGTGCTACTTTAGAGCAATGGTTCTCAACCTTGGCTGCAGGTCAGACTCACCTCATGCCCAGGCCGTGCCCCAAGCCAATTAAATCAGAATTTCTTGGGGTGATGCCCAGGCACTGGTGTTTATTAAAAGTTTCCCTGGTGATTCTAATATACAGCCAGGGTTGAGAACAATTGCTTTGGGCCACCATAGGCTCCAGAGTCACAAGGAGCTAGTCTGTTGAATAAAAAAACCCCAGCCAACCAACCAACCACCAGAACAAAACCAGTGATGTAGACCTGAGCTTCCCAACAGTATGGAGGGACACGTTGGTGACTCCTGGATGTGTGTAGGTCAAGTAGAATTATTGATCCCACTAGCCCTTGGGAGACAGGATGGGACCTGGGTTGCCAGGAGCAACCAGTGACCCTGGGCACTATTACAAATATTATAATTTTCTTTGTGTGCAGTGACAGAAAAAAAGGTTGCAAAACATGCTGTAGAGAACCTGAATAAGTCTATCATTGCCATGTTAATGTGATAAATGTGGTGATGGAGTATGGATGAAGATCATTGGGACTGGGAGGGCAGGAATGTGCCTTTAGATATTTGATGACTTCAGTAATTCAAATCCAGTCAGAGACTGGGTGTAGTGGCTCATGCCTGTAATCCTAGCACTTTGGGAGGCCAAGGCAGGAGGATGGCTTGAGCCCAGGAGTTCAAGACCAGCTTGAGCAATATAGTGAGACCCTGTCTGTATGAAAAAATTAAAAAATTAGCCAGGTGTGGTGGCATGTAACTGTAGCCCCAGCTACTCAGGAGGGTGAAGTGGGAGGATCTCTTGAGCCCAGGAGGTTGAGGCTGCAATGAGCTATGTTCATACCACTGCACTCCAGCCTGGGCGATAGAGAGAGGTCCTGTCTCTAAAAAACAAAACAAAAAACAAATCCAGACAGATCCTTTCTAGGCCATCATTGCCACCTGGTATTTATCCAGCATTCTTGCTGTTTAGAGATTTCCTAGCTTTTATCTGATTGTTTCTTCCAATAGCCTTGTGCAATCTGTTGGGCATGGATTATTTTCTTTTCTTTGTTGATGAGGAAATTGAAGTCCAGAAAAGTTGAACTTCTTTAAGTCCAGTTAAGAAGAGAGTTAAGGAGTGAAGGAGTATTTCCTTGATGCCCATTGGAAACGATCTAGAGATGTCATTTCCCACTTCACAATGGCAAGTGCCACCTCCAGAATGGGGGACCCTCAGCTCCTTGCTTTCTAGTTAGGGACTTGGTCTTGCTGCTGCTGCTGCTGCTGCTGTTGCTGCTGCCTTTGGTCCTGAAGATGCTGCCTGGAGCCTGGGGCTTTCTGGGAATATCCCAGGAAAGCTCTAAATGAGGAACTGTTTAGCTAATTACGAAGGACTGTTATTTAGCTGGCTTGTGTGTTAACACTTCCCCTCTGCACAAGTTTTCATCCTGGTGCTGGATGAACATATTGTAATTATGCTAATCATGCTGGCTGGGCAGCCCAAGGCCAAGAGGGAGGGGCTCCCTCTCCCTAATTGTTTCCCTCTCCGGGAGCAGTTGGTTGTCTGCCTGATTCTCCAGACAGGCAGAGGGAAGGTGTGGGGCGAGCTGGGCTAACAGGAGGTCTGAGCAGGGTTTCCTGCCCTTGAGGCAGCCAGATCCACCTGGTTTGAGGGAGGGAGGTGACAGGGGTAGCTACTAAGGACTGAGTAAAGGGACTTCCTGCTGGATTCAGTATTCAAGACTGGCCCTTGCCAGAATGCGAAAGAGGCAAATTGATCTTTGGTATCCTTCACCTTCTTGGTGTTGGTGTTTCCTCCTCCTCCTCCTTCTCTTCTTTCTTCTCCTCTTTCCTCTTTGAGCCTTTTCTGAATCTTCAGGCACACAGTGTTTTCCTACTGGTTTGGACTTTGCTGGCAGGCAAATTAATGATATAATTGTAGCTGTGGACAAGATACAGATATGGTTATAGATATATAGACATAGATATAAGCATACTCATGTATAGGCAACTTAATGAGCATTTAACTACTGAAGACAACTTGTTATAAAGGACAATGCTTAATAAACCTAAGGCCATGAATGAGGGGGATATTTTCAGTCAAGGAGGCCTGTCCAGTATTCTTTATTTGATATGGGTTATAACAAGAAAATGATTAACAATTGGCAACAAAATTTACCTCTTTAGGAAAGAATTGACTTTGTTTCATGAAGTAAGGTGGGGGGTTATTTGAAGGCAAAAAGAGAGGTCTCAGGGAAATTTCTAGGAGAAGGCAGAAAAAAATGGGAGTTGTTAAGACAATGGGAGAATTTGTCGTTTTGGGGTCAGGAAGGAGGGGAAGTAGGAAAAGGAGCAATAGGTTAGAGCCTGATGGATTTTTAGATCTAGAACTGATAACGTATGTTGTATTTATTATTGTTTGAGCTCACTTGTTATGTTGCCATCCATCTTCCTAAAATCTTCAGTGAATTGTGCTTCACACAGACTTCACTGGTGAGTGTGGCTCTATGTGCCATGTAAATATGTTTCTATCCAGGGAGAGGAGTGAGTCCCATGTCTGAGTTGGTGTGGACTGCAAAGGGGCTCCTACCCAGAGGTGATCGTGAGACAGTCAGCCTCTGGTCATCCACATGGGTTATTAGGGGATGTGGGATGCTGGCCCAAGGCAATTCTAACCAGATTTTATAGGACAGCACAGACACAGTCATCATTCTGGATTGCGTTGAAGTAACACTTAAGAGGGCAAGTCCTTATCCATCTGTCACTGGTTAGAGCTATGCAATGGCTCTATTTTCCACTTACATTCACTTTTCTATATTTCCACTGGTAGTCTCATATCCAGCTGTCAGGAAGACCGTGGAAAGAGTTCTTTCTTCTTCTCCTTTTTCCCTTAAGCATCATCCAGTTTTTTGGTGTCTTTTTTTTTTGGTTTTTTTTTTTTTTTTTTTTTTTTTTTTGAGGCTGGAGTGCAGTGGCGTGATCTTGGCTCACTGCAACTTTTACCTCCTGGGTTCAAGTGATTCTCGTGCCTCAGCCACTCAGGTAGTTGGGACTATGGGGCGTGTGCCACCATGCCTGGCTAAAGTTTTTTTTTTTGCATTTTTTAGTAGAGATGGGGTTTTGCCACATTGGCCAGGCTGGTCTTGAACTCCTGGCCTCAAATGATCTGCCAACCTCAGCCTCCCAAAGTGCTGGGATTACAGGCATGAGCCACCACACCTGGCCTATCCTGCAGTTCTTTATAGCTGCAAAGAATTCCAGGAAAATGCTTAGCTCTGTGTAACTGGCAATGGGTTTCATTTATCACCACAATTCTATGGGATTCTTGTTCAGCGTCAACCATGTAACTCATGATTTGATCCAAAATTTCCTAGCCTCAACTAGACTGGTTGATGGTATTGTGAACCAAATATGGAAAAAACATTATTAGCTTACTTAATGTTGTCTCTCTGTCAAGGCCGAGCTGCGTCTTCAGCACTGGGCTAGACTTTAGAGGAGTGGGGATGCACAGAATAGAAAACACAATTCCTGTGCACAGAGGAGCATATTTTTGGGTGCATCTAATCTGTTATCCTTAAGTATCTCTCTGAGTTTTTCTTGCCTTGATCTTCTCCCCCTTTTCCCTTTCTTTTGTTTTTTTTCCTTCTTTTGTCTCTCCTTTTTTTCTTCTGTTTCTATTTCTGTAACATTTGTCTTCGCTCAAATTTTCTACAACTACGTATAACTGCCGTTTTCCTTCACTTTTATGGCCTTATACATTTTTTTGGATCATCTGATTATAGATTTTAAAGCAAGCAAACAAATAGTTAAACAACAAAGACATCTCTCCAAAGCCTGATGCCTGAACAGTCACCAACTGGTTAAGCAGAACTTCCCTCTCCTCATCCTGTATAACCTGACCTGAGTAGCATAGCCCAAATGGTCCATTATCTGAAGGATCTTCATAACAGTGGGCGTTCTGACCTAGTAAGCAGTATGAACATTCCCATAACCATACACAACAGGCTCAATGCAGGGCAGAATTTCAATCCTAAATCAGAATTATCCTGGATTCCTGGCACCGTAAACCAGATTGCTAATACTCAGTGATTTTATTAAAGTATCTCTTGTGGGCGTGAACTTTTTTTTTTTTTTTTCCATTTTAAATGCTAGTTAAAAGGGAAAAATGAAAAGCTAATTTCTCTAAAAAAGAATTTTGGCAGGCAGGCAGTATGATTCTGGAACAGACTGTTTAAATATTATTTACATGTTGTTTAAAGCCACAACATAGTCTTGTGCATATTCCTAAAATGTTAAATAGCTTGTCAACTTGCTATTCTTATAAAAATTAGACAAATTCAATCAGAAAAAGAGAAAAATTAGAGTGGGTTGTTATTGCTAGGAAAAGCGAAGCCTACTATAATTAGTACAGTATTTATGCAGTTGGTGAAAAGAGAATTAACCAGGGCATTTTCTCTACCAGGACAAACAGCCTGCAGAAGTAACTTGGGCTAGAAAGTGCTGTCCCCCAATATGTGCTTACTGACCTGTTTAAATAATTGCTTTTATTTGCTTCTTCAGACAAAATCATTGACTATACTGGGGACTATTTTTGTTTACCATTTTGAATAACCAACAATATTTTCAACTTTAAGGCTGGGACAGGGAGGTAATTAAGCAAAATGCAACAATAATGCAAAACATCATGTAATAAGGCAAATCTCATTCTACTTTTTAATTATTATTTTAAGAAAAATGGAATGTATGCATTTACCTGAGAAAACATGAGGAAAAGTCCTTGCTATGTTGAATCACCTTTTGCCACATTTTGGCCAACAAAAAATTTGGATACCTAACATGAAACTCATATGTAACAAACAAACACGAAGAAGACAAAAAAGGATGGTTCACAAAGATGTGTAAGTCAGGATAGGTTAGGTTATGCTGTGGTAACAAACAATCCCCAGATACCAGTGGCTTAACATATAAAGCCTTATTTCTTCCTCATGCTAATTCTACTAGTAGGACTTTGAGTTCTCCAGGAAGTTCCTTTCCAAGGGATTCAGGTGGCTTACATCTTGTGGCTACGCCATCTGGAACACGTCTTCCATTGTAGTCACTAATGCATGGGAAGAGCATTGCATTCTGGCTCTAAATGGCTTCATCCCAGAAGTAACACACTTCACTTCTGTTTCTAGCTTATTGGTCACAACTAGTCACAGTGCCCCTCCTAACTGTGACTGAGCTGAGGAAAGGGAGGAACACAGATAATGACTGGTAAATGTCTCTGCCACAAAACATAAATGGGACCCATGCTATGTTAAAAGGGTCTTGTTTTGCTGAGTGCCAATATTTGTGTGGTGCCAGTGTTTTTGAGAAGCTTGCAGAGGGCTGGACAGCTGGGAGTGGCAATGGTTAAGGCTGTCTCAAAGGCAGAAGAGCTGGAGTTAGAGCTAGACTTGCTCCCACTGATGAGTTTAAGTACATGAGATTGCGAGAGACCTCAAAAGAGGGCTCTGGGACAGGGTCTGGTTGACCTTAGGGGGCCCTAACATACAAGTGTAGCCTGATGATCTGGGGGGTTCTGAAGCTTACCACTTCAAGTCTTTAGGTTTGTGAGGGCCCTGAGGTTGCTTTAATACCATGCAGATTCTAAACATTCCTGTTTGTAGTCCTTCCAGATGCTGAACTCTCCAAAGGTAGGGGACCAAATCTTACTGGTTGTTGCGTCTGTAGTAGCGTGTAATGTGGTGATTTACCCAACTGGTGACTAGCCAGATAAACTGGGCAGTCAGAATGTAGGTCAATATATACTGCTTCTGTGGTACAAACCAGTGCTTCTTGAACTTTTTGTTTACAAATGACCTGGCAATCTGGTGGAAATGCAGATTCTGATTCAGGAGGTCTAGGGTGGGGCCTGAGATTCTGCATATTAATAAAGGTTTCACATACCAGGTAAGAGTATTAACACCAAGGATTCCAACTGGGTGCATTAATCTACAACAGGCTAAATTGTCTGAATACAATGGAAGATTTCAGATGCCTCCACTGTAGGAGACAATAGTCTCAATTTGGTGATTCCCACTGCTCAGGTTCATTGATGGGAAACACATATGGGCCATAGAAAAAAAGGGGCCTTACTGAGTTGAGCTATTTGAGACTATACACATTCTCAATACACCTGGTTTTGTTTTCCCCTCTTAAGGAATCTGACAGGCAGTTAATAGCTCATGAAAAAGCTATATCCAAACTATTTTGAAAGAATCAGAAAATGCTGCTTTTGAATGATTTCCTTCCCCTTGCAACTCCCAAATCTGGTTTAGCAAGAGACCTGGACACTGAGTGGCTTCTCAGGCATTCAGATGTGTCTGAGAAAAAACAAGAGGCAATCAAATTACCCTCACACCGGCCACTTCAGAGTGCTCACTTGAGATGACAGTTTCAGCTTCAAAAGAGGTATGCAAACCGGAATAATGAAATGTTCCATTTTATTAAGTTCCTGGCCAGAGGGAGGGATTGTATTAGAAGTAAGAAAAGGTGGGGAGGTTTTAGCTTGATTTCTGTGATGCTGATAAGCAGTAATTTTTGCAGAGGGGGGAAAAGGTAATCCACTGCAATAAAACCATTTTCATAATACGATGGGAGTGAGTTATTGCTCAGAGTAAGGCATGGCTCCTAATGGCTGCTCGAGCTTCCATCTCCATCTTTCATGGGTCAGTCCGGCGTTTTTATAGTGCTGACACAAGAGAGAGCATTTATGTGGCTTCCATTCTCCATCTGTCAACAGTTAGGGTAGAGTGCCACTACCTCAGGTTCACTCTTGATCTGATTTCCATGTCAGCTTGGCGCAGGACTGCGGGCTATGCTGTGGGAGCAGGGCGGCTCTGGAGGTCAGTTGCCCCACGTTTTCAGACCATTAATGGTTAGAAGGCTGGAGAGTAAATCGTTTCTGCATGACTCAGAGGAAAGTGCCATTTCCTCTCCTTTATGGTTCATCAGAACCTTGGCCACGCTGCGTTGGCCTTACTTTCCCTGGGCCTCACAGAACTTTGTCCAAGTTCCATTTCGAGAAAGTGGGACTTTCTGTCTCTCACTGGATCTGGTGTTTTCCTGGCCCTGAAACAGCAACCCAGAGAGCTGGTTAAATGATGAATGAGAAAGAAATGCTTCTTTTAGTGTGTGCCTCCACACTTCTGCCCTTACCAGTAGCGTCTGTGTGATTTGTGGTGTAACAAGCTTGCTTTTCCTGTCACTTCAGCCCCCACAAAATCTGTTGGAACTGAGAAAAATCGCAGAGATGTACAATCTGGGAATGAGGGTGACTTGATGTGAATGAATGGAAGAGATTTGCTTCTTCCCACTCTCCTGATGATAGAATCTGTGGGTTCTATTGATTTTTTGGTGCAATTGGTCTTGGTGAATCATTATTAATGGGAAAATAGAATCTCTTCAAGATAATTTCTTCTACATAGAATCATTTATAAAGAGGCCATATGGCTAGCCATAGGTCAAAGGTGGGTGAAGCAAACTCAAAGATGAGCATAGATGCAAACTTTGTCAGGGAAGTTTCTAAGAGAACAGGGATCTATGGAGCATCCAGGGGGAGGTTTTAGTTTGGTCAGTTTCTCCTAGTTTCTTAATGCCTGTTGTTGTGTTTTATCTTTTTCCTCTTGAGAATGTAAGATGAAATAAAGAGAAGCAGAGTTTTGAGCTTTGTTTGCTATTGTGGGTGTCTTGTGAGCTGAGGGTCCTGTACAGCAGAGTCAGGAACTTATTCCACCATGGAAGGGAGATGAGGAGAGTGAGCTGGACGATTTTTGTTGAACAGAGTAATGGGAATGGATACAGTTTATTTAGCACTTTTATGTGTCACTGCATGCTTTATTTACACTATTTCTAATCTTGACAAAAATCTTGCAGAAGAGATGGCTTTACTCCTGTTTTTCAGGGGAAGACACAGACTCAGGTTAAGTAACTTGCTCAGACTTTATAACTAATAGGCGGCAAAGCTGGAAGCCTAACCTCTGTCTGTGTGACCCCATCCTTCTCCAACGCTGTGACATTTCTACCATGTAAAATCTGCTGTGCTAAATCTCATAAGTTGTGAGGAATCAGCATCTAAGCTACTTGCAAGGAGGAGATTTTCTGAAAGAAATAACGTCAATTCAAGAACATGTCCTACATGTAATACATGTGTTAGCATTTATTTGTCAGCATTTATGAGGCACCCACTTCGTGCACAGTTCTGTTCTTAATTCTGTCAGAGGAATGGTGATGAGGATGGGGTGGGAATTGCTTAACATTATTTTTGAGATCCCTAAACTCAGAAGTGACCATCTCCTTTCTAGTAATTTTTGACACTTAACTATTTGAGCTACCTCATTAGGATCCACTCACCTGTGTTGTTGTTAGTTACTTCAAGTCTTTAAGACCACATAATGTGTTTTCTTCTTTATGTTTGCCCATGTTGAGAGTCCTGACACTGTACCAAGTAGGTACTTGATATATATTTAATCAATTGATTGATTGATTGACAGTGTCCACTTAGATCTGCTTACATTTGAAAAGCCAGGGTGCTTTGAAGGGGAGACAGGACAGCTGCAAATGCATACACAGAAAGCTAGAAAATATCATCTGAGGCAGCTACAAAAGTCCATCCACAAGCTGGTGGAGAAAATTCCAGCATGAGAAAAAGTTGTTCGTGTACAAATGCAAATTGCACATAAAACGGATTGAAGCTTGATTGTGGAGCCTAGCTATGTCTCTGAAGAAGCCACGAGTACCTTTCGGAGCTTCTTACTCCTAAGGATCTCTTTCAGCCTTAGTTTAGGGTGGTAATAACTTAAACTCCAACACTGGATGGCCATTGATCAATGAAATGAGCTGGCAGTTTTCACAGACAGATTCGTGAAATGAAATATCTCAAACTGACCAGCCTGAGAACATTTTTCACAGCCTATCCATCCCTTCTGAGCTATTCAGAGAGCAAAGAAAAAGAAATTAGAACTTTGAAATTGCTGCTTGTTCAGTGGCAAACTCTCTGGGACACTGAATGAGTTGCAATTTATCCTGTTTTCCCACTTAGAGAATTGGCAACAGAAGCCACACCAACCACACTTAATGAGTGTAGATATGTCAGGTGCTGTACTAAGTCTCTTGATCTCATTTAATTTTCACTAGGGACCAGCAAGGTAGCGACGGTTATCCTTATTGTGTGGATGAGGAAACTAAGGCTCAGAGAAGGCAGTGAGTTACCAGAAGTCACACAGCTAGGAGGTGGCAGAAGAAGAACTTGAACCTCAGGTCTCTTTAATCCAAAGCCATGCTCTTAAATGTTTGATAAACTGCATTTTCTCTTTTCTAACATTTCTTCTTAAAAGAGAAAATGCTTTTCTTTTCAGAGTGGAATTTGAAGACAGTGGGTTGTGATCCTTGAAGTGTGTTCTTGTGATTTGGAAGATAGGAAACAAAAACAATTTTCTGCTATTTATCAGTTTGGTAGCCATTTCAACTATTGAAGAGACATAAACTAACAACTGGAACTGTTTTGTTGGGGAACTCCATTCCCCTTTGAGGCCTATTGTAACAATGCCACTGGTAGGGTTTAAATTTCTCTTAGGGGTCAGCCTGCCAAGGTTACCAGCCCAGATGGCCAGGAGCTGGGCAGTAAAATCAGGTGGGTCTGAGGGAGAAGTGATGAGGGTTGAGGGAGAGGAAGATGGGTTTGGTTCAACATGTTCCAATCACTTGAACATCCAGATGCAAATGTTGTGCTAGAAGATGGAAGAACATGGCTGATGCTTTGAAGCGAAGCCAGGATGGGGCAAAACAAATATAAACACAGGTAAATGTGTAAGAATAAGTGAGGTCACTGGAGGGCACAGTGTGGAGAGGGAAGGAGGAAATCAAGAAGACTCCATAAGGGACAGTGAAGGTGTTTGTAGCTGGGAGAGGAAGAATTGTGCAGGATAATTGTCCAAAGAGTCTACTACATTGTGAGATTGCTAAAAGCAGTGTGTACTTACTGCAGTGGAACATGTATATACGGATGACCGTGGACTTCCTCCTTGCTGTGTGGTCCACAGGAATGGGTAGGAACAGTCTCCATAAGCCACATATAAGAATATTCATGGGCTGAATGCAGTGGCTCACACCTGTAATCCCAGCACTTTGGGAGGTTGAGGTGGGAGGATCACCTGAGGTAAGGAGTTCAAGACCAGCCTGGCCAACATGGTGAAACCCCATCTCTACTAAAAATACAAAAATTACCCAGGCATGGTGGCATGTACCTGTAATCCCAGCTACTCTGGAGGCTGAGACAGGAGAATTGCTTGAACCTGGGGGGCAGAAGTTGCAGTGAGCCAAGATCTTGCCACTGCATTCCAGCCTGGGTGACAGGGTGAGACTCTGTCTCAAAAAAAATAAATATTCATGGCAGTTTTATTTATAATTACCAAATGTACAGAAATAGTACAATAGAGAAAACATAGTTGCATATTCACACAATTATAATAGCACACAGCAATTAAAAAATGATCTAGTACACATGCAACCACATGAATTCATCTCACAGACACCATGTTGAGTGAAACATTTGAAAAAAGAATTCATAGCGATAGTAAAAACTGAGAAGGATTGATTTTATTTCCTGCTTTCAAGAGACATTTGGGAGTATCTCTAGCAAATCTATCCTGCCAGCTGCTTTTGAGATTTTTTTGAGCAGTGTTAGAGTAGAAAATTGGCTTCTTTCATTTAGTTTGCAGCTCCTCTTGCTTTCTGACCCACAGGAGTTAACACAAGTGTTGATGTAGCAGATATTTTAGATGGGTCAGCCATGACCCTGGCTCTTTGGACCGGGCTTTTTGGCAAGCATTTGCTCACAGAGGGCTAGTCAGTCTTCTTGATCACATATTGAGATTTTGTTCTTGGTCTCTATTTTTCAGTTTGACTTTCACGTTTAGCTCAAATCAGTCATTCTTGGTAGAAGATTCCAGATGAGATACAGAAATAACAGTTTCCCAATAAAAGGTTTTTTTTTGGTTGTCCTTGAGTGTGAATTCGTACATATGTTTACCTTATATATCCCAAAGAGTAATGAGCGCTGATCTAGGAATCCTGTTTGATGTGGTTTGATTATGAGTCATGTCTTAAAAATCAGCATAAAGTTCTCTCTGAACAGGAGATAGCAAGGCCGCTGTCTTTTTTTCTCTTGCTTCTAACAAGGCAGACTCCACAGGGTTAAATAATGCCAGCTATCATGTGACAAAGATTGAGCCAGCTGAATGCATTAATTGATTAAACAGGATGAACAAATCAGCGGTTGAGGAGGGAGAAAGAAGAAGCATCCTTCAGCAGGAAAGTGAGGCAGAAGAAAGTTTTCTAAGATTGGGGGTGACAGAGGCTGGAGGCTGGGGTGGAAGAACTGTGCTGGAGGGGGTTAGTAATAAGAGGCTAAAAGTGAAGCTCTGAGAAATGAGAATGGCGAAGTCTGTGAAAGATTTGGAAAAAAGATGAGAGTCTCAGTTGAGTATGGATGCCAATTCAGACCATATCCACCTGCCATCAAGACTTGGAAATGAAAAGCAAAATTCAGTTTAGTAGCAATAGACTTATTCCCCTGACAAGTAGAAGCAAGTGAAGCCGTGCATTTGTGTTGGGGTGGGGGTGGGTAAAACCATCTAAGGAATTGAGTTGTTTATTCTCCAATCATTCATTTTAATCCAGTGGAATTAATTCAGTGGAAATATATATATGTGTGTGTGTGCATATATATATGTATATTATATATGTATATGTTTGAGATGGGATCTTGCTCTGTTGCTCAGGCTGGAGTATAGTGGTGTGATCATGGCTCACTGCACCCTTGAACTCCTGGGCTCAGGAGGTCCTCCTGCCTCAGCCTCCCTAGTTGCTGGGACCATAGGTGTGCCTACCATGCCTGGCTAATCTTTAAATTTTTAGTAGAGATGAGGTCTCACTATATTTCCCAGGCTGGTCTCAAACTCCCAGGCTCAAGGGATCCTCCCACCTTGGCCTCCTAAAGCTCTGGGATTACAGGCATGAGCCATCACACTTGGCCAGAAACATGTTCTTTTATAAGTGATTATTGTTTCACTTTCTTTCGGGATATTTAAAAGCATCTGCAAGGGGGGAGAGAATATTATGATCCTCAAGGTACCCATTACTCATTACCAAGTTCTAATAATTATCAGTAGTTTGTCATTCTTGAGACATTATTTTTGGAAGATGAGCTCAGGGGAATTTCAGCCACAAAATATCCAACATAGAAATATTTTTAGGATTGTTTTTCTTTCTGGGGAAGGACAAGTTGGCACCATTATGACAATTATGAGAGTGGGCAGAAAGACCTTCTGGGGTCAGCATTTGTTGGCTTCTGTTATAGACTAGACCTCAGCATCAGATGGTATCCAGCAGAATGCGAAGGATCCCAGCAGGTTTTGTTACCCCCAACCCTTTTCTCACCCTGTTGGACACTTCTACAGATATCCTGGAGCTCAGGATCTCTTTACCTGTCTTATCAACAAAGTACCTTTGGAAAAAGTTTTGCTATGCTTATTCACAATGACGATGGATGGGTGGTAATATTTCATGTCTCATTGTGATGGAGATCTTCCTTTTAACTGAGAACAAAGAACTGGATGAAACAAATCTGTAATTGCAGAATTGCAGATGTTAGGCAGCAGCTTGGGGATTTATTTCTTCGGGATGCAGGCTTGGACCCTGAAAATCTCTTGGTGTAGGCAGCCACCTACGTCTATTTACAGCATGGCCCAGCAAGTTGGTGATGTCCCTAGCCCAGGTGGGCCAGCTCACTTTCAAAGTTCCCTGGGCACGGCTCCCTCCTCAGAGGGCTGGTCTGCCTCCTGCTTGTGCCTTTAGGGGCCCTTTCCCTGGGCAAGGTAAAGAGCTTGCGGCTGAGGTAACTACTGGGCTTTGAGAGAGGAATGTGCAGCTGTTCACTTTATTTTTACTCCCTCCTGCTCTTTTCCTTGCAAGGTTTGTCCACCCTCTACTGCCCTCTGAAGTGATTATTAATGCAATCCTGTTTGCTTTTTCTGAACTCTTAGTTTTTCCTTAGTTACTGATTATTTTAACTCTGCCAGGCTCTTTTTCATGTCCTTTGCCTGATGGCCCTTGATTTACAGGCTTTTCTCCTACTGGGGTCCTTCCTTTTGCTCCTATGCTCCCTCTGTTCCTATATGCTCTCCCTCTCTTCCCTCTTCTTTGAGCGTGCACAGACTGGAGCAAATGAAAATGTACTTTTCAAATTTTACTGGCCCAGTCATTCTCTTTTAAATGAAGCTATGCCAGCAGTCACACTGATTCTGAAACCCAGGCAATGTGAGGACAGAATAAAGGTAGCAGCTCTATTCTTTCTTTGATATGATTTTATCTCAAATAATATTATGGATTAAAACATGTTGTATGTTCCATTAACATTTTCTTCTCAACTATGAAAAAGGTAAATAACTTATATGTACATATATGTGTGTATGTGTATGTATATATGTATATGTATGTGTATATATATATATATAAAGTTTTGTGAAGACAGTCTCCTTATGTTACTCAAGCTGGTTTTGAACTCCTGGGCTCAGGCAATCCTCATGCCTCGGCCTCCCAAAATGCTGGGATTACGGATGTGAGCCACTATCCCTGGCCAATAACTATTATTTTTGAATGAATTAGTGCTAGTTATCCACTGTGTGCCTAGAATTATGCTGATCAGCCAAACCTTGTGACTGGTATGTTTTCCAAAATGTTAATGTCCCGTAAGTCATTTACTGGGAATAACAAAAAGAATGAAAGTATTATGCAAGCATTAAACCATAAAATTGTCACATGGCTTATCTTTAATATAATAGCTTAGCTTGATCCTCATCATCTCCATGAAGATTATCCTCAGTCATCATTGCCAGAAGATCCACACTTGAATTAATCTACTCCTTTATCCATCCATCTAGCCACCCACTCTCCCATCCATTCATTCATGCATCCATCCATCCATCACCCCACTCACACATCCACCTGGTGCTCACTTTTTGCCAGATACTGTGCAAATGCTGGTCACACAAAGAATGGTATAGTCATGTCCTTAAGGGTCTCACAGTTTGGTAGGGGAAAACTTATAATAATAATAATAATAGCAGCTGACATTTACTGAGTGCTAACTATATACCAGGTATTGCAATAAGCATTTTAAATACATTATTGCATTTAATCCTCAGAGAAATACCTGAAGTGCCATTTTACAGATGAATAAAATGATTGCTAGGCTGGAAATATCAGACAAGATGTCTAGTTTGACTTTAGGAAGTGCTTATCTGGAGTCCATAAGCCTTAAATCTGATATACTCAGCCTCATAAAATCCTAAGTACTTATGTATTTAATTCCTACACACTTGTACTCTTCTTTCTTTGCTAAGATATAGGAGAGGCCTTGGGGGACACCACTGGATGCCCAAACATGGGCAGCTTCTCTGCAGGGATGCCTTCTGAAACAAAGGATTAACCAAAATGATTTTGCTACTCAGAGTCACTCAGGGAATGAATTCAAGAATGGAGGAGAACCTGACTCCTGAATCTGGGTTTAGGAAGAAGGGACTTCTCTGTTGATCTCCTTTTGTTTTGACCTCTGCGGTATTTTAATAATGTGAACTTTTTTTTCCTTTTTTTTTTCTTATTAACATCCCAGCTTGAAGATTTTTCTTGATTATCTGCGAGTGACAATGACAGTAGTTGTAAGGCGCAGCAATTTTGGAAACCACAGAAATAACTTGCTCAAGTTTACAGAGTTAGGAAGTGCCAGAGTGATATTTAAACCCAGGTCTCCTACACTTAATCTATTCCACAGGGTGCTTATTGGATATGAGCTTGCAGTACAAAAAGCAGATGCTTAGAGTCAGATTGGCCTGGGTGTGAATGTGTCCTCTGTCATTTGCCAATGCTACCCTTTTGGTCAAGTTGAAATTCTATAGCCCCAGTGGCCTCATCTGCAGAGGGGATGGTGGTATCTACCTGGACAGGCTGCTTTGGGGACCAAATGAGATGATGGCTGGAAGCACCACTGTGGTGCCTGGCACACTACCCTTGTTGTGGTGAACCCCTATTCATCTCAATAGGGAAGGCACGTGGTTCAAGAGGCTGCAGAAGAGACCCAGAGCCAGCAAACAAGACATGGGGTTTTATTAGGGACTCACATACAGGGGAGAGAGTCCAGTGGTGGCAGGCTGGACAAGATATCTGCCTTACCTACAGAAATGGTTGAGTGGCAGTGGGCTGGACAATGTATCCACTTTACCTACAGTCCAGTGGCGATGGATTGAGCAGGAAAAATGCAACCAACTTGCAAACAGCACGTAGTTTATAAAGCATTTTCACTTAACAGCCTCCCCTTAAGGACCTCTATCTGGCAACCTTCATCCAACTCAAAACTCTCAATCCCCTGTACGGTGTGTGCTCCACAGGCCGGGCTGGGGTCTCAAATGTTACTCAAAGACAAGGAATCAATCTCTGGCCACTCCCAAGTTCCCTAGCTTGGAACACACATTTCAGGTGCATCTGACATATATGGTCATTCTAAGGGTATGCTTAAGTTATTGCTATCAGGTGCATTTACCCTACAACCCTCCATAAATGTCTGTCCTCCTTTAAATTCCATTCTCAGCTCTCTATTCGATTTTGGGCCCCACAAGGGCAGGGGTCAAGGACATCACTGCCCATGGTGGGAGCTCAGGAACTATCTGAAGAATGAATAAGGGCTTTGCTGAACCTTGTGAGACCAACCTTTGTCAGCTCTTAGTTCACCAATCAACTTTCTACTTTCCTTTTAATTTTAGGGGTCACATGGACATATCGTAGAACTCTGGATGCCTCATACTGGCTCATCATTATCACTGTCATCATTATCTTCAAAGCCTTCAATCAGCTTTCAACAAATTCCTTGGTCACAGTCTTCAAGGGGTGGAATTTGGTAATCTGTATTCTCTTTCAGGTGATTCATGATCCACGAGTTTGGGGAACTACTAGCCCCAGAGTGTTTCCTTTCCTCCAATAGCCAAGTGTCCTATATAGAGTTGATAGATAAAATATGTAATGCCCAGTTAAATTTGATTTTCAGATAAACAGTGAATAATTTTTTTTAGCATAAATATATCTCAAATATCACACAGAATATACTTATGCTAAAAAGTATTCACCTGAATTATCAATTGAACTGGGCATCCTGTGTTTTTATGAGCTACATCTGACAATCCAGTCCCATGATGATCCAGGTATGTGGGGAAAAGAGACCAACATTTTCACGTACTTTCTAGCACTCTCTGAGATGCACGTGGTGCTCCTTTGGTTGACTTTCCCCTTCATAAAAAACAGGAATTCTTAACTGGGGTTAGCTGAGGCTCCTGGGATTTAATTTCTCCTACCACAGACTTTTTTTTTTTTTTTTTTTTTGCATAATCCACCAATGAAGGTGGATTTAGGTGTTGTGATAGAAAAGATTCTTTCTTTGAGAATTCCTGGCCCTTTGACATTCCAGGTGGCTGCCCTTTTGATGATGATCCTGGGGCAGCCAGTGACAAATAATACTCCCCGTGACTCCTCTCCATGACTCAACACCAGTCCCCAGTTCCCTAAGTTTGTGTCACTGTGAATTCTCCATCCTGTCTCCTCTTATTTCCTTTTTTTATCTGCAAAAGGCGAAAAGATGAAAAAATGTTCTCAGCTTAATCGAAAGTCTATCTAATAATAATGAGTCCTGCAGCAGGCTTGTAAAGAACGCAGAACAGACCCACTTAAACATAATGGTCCTACAAAGTAATGAAGACTCAAGTGGTCCTTATTAGGTATCCAGCTGTGAATCAGAACTCATCTAACATTCTGATTGCTGAGGGAAATAGGTAATTGATGCAACAGAATGGCCATGATGATTATTTTTAGTACTTATTTTTTTATCCAGACATAGCAGCTAGAAGAAACCTGCTCCCAGCCTCCTTGGGGTATACCAGGTGTGCAGGGTGAGGGTTGCCTTTCCATTAAATCTTCAGATGGGGGCTCTAATAAATTTTTCATTGAAATAAGTAATGACCACATTTAACGACCAGTGTGTCTGAGTGTTAACAGCTTGTGAGCCAACAAACGAGTCATTAACAGGTGTTAACTTCTGCTTTCTGGTTTAAACAATTCATTTTCATCTCTCTCCTGTTTGGACTGGGGGCTTATGCAAATTCCTGGCTGGGTTTTCATTTTTCTTCTGATAGGCAAGTCTTATTAATTGGTTAGCTACATCTCTGCTAATGCCTCCTCTTTTCCAGGAGTGTTTCTTATGGAGTCAATGGATGAATGAATTTTATTTTTAATCCATTTTTTTCCCCCTGAAGGTTGAGTGTATCCTGGAATAGTTTGGTCCTGGAATGAATTAGGTAAAAAGTCCTGGAGAAAAATCCACTCTTGAAACATGAAGTCTCCTACTATGGAAAAGGAATGCAAATAGGTTGAAGATAATACAGGGTTTGAGGCAGCATTTATGTCCGCAGAGGAGACATGACAAAGATGATTGTCTGTGTGCTAGAAATGTACAGACCCACTATGGGTCCAACATGTGCCTGTGATGGGGCTGAGCCCTCCTGGGAAATCCTCTTCTCATAGTTGCCCCCTTTTTTCCCTTCTTGCTTTTTGACAGATTATAAGCCAGTGGAAAGGACACACTTTCCTCTCTCAACTTACCATTGGGGGGATGGGGTTGGGGTGATGGGATGAAGAGTGGGTTTGGGTCTTTGGTCCTAGAGCACCCCATTTCATTGCATGAGCTTCCTGTAGATAGAAGCAAAGTCAGGAAACGAGAATTCCAAGTTCTGTCCAGTAGGGACCATCTTGTGGGTGTGGAGGGTGCACTGGATTATATATACTTGTCTCTCTAAGGCAGTGCTTCTTAAACCCTGTGTGGCAAAGGAACATTTAAGAAAATTCAAATAGATTACAGATTGATAATCAGTAAAATACAAAATCATGCAGCTTGGATGTCCTGGGGATGTTGAATTGCTATAAACTTTCTAAATGCTTTCTGTCACTTTCATACTTATCCTACCCTGGTAACTGTGAATCAGTATCAGTCCAGATTTTGGGCAACACTTCTTTCATGAGCTTGGGTCTTGCCTTTTTACAGCTATGAAAGCTGGTGAGAGAAAACTGCCCTCGGCTACTCCTCGCAATGGTCATTCCTTTGTGATACCTTGCTGAGCAATGACTAGATGAGGTTTTGAACAAGGAACATGTGTCTCAGCTCCCAATATTTTTTAGCAGAATCTTCTATAATCTTTGGCTGACATGAAAGAAGCAGCTTAGTTATCAAAATAATTTTCCCTCCTGGGTGTTCTGCAGACCAGGGTGGCCAGAGTCCTTGTTTTGATTAATCAAAGCCAGGCACAGAGATGAAGGCACCTTGCCTGGCAATGGTGTGAGTATCTGGAGAAGAAAGGTAAGACTAGGCTGGGTCCTTTTACACATGGAAGTGATTCAGAAAATGGGGTCTTTATGAAGTTCTGTATACTTTATAAATGTTAGAATTTTAAAAAAATGTAGCTTGTAGTGATGATGGAAACAATCTGTAAAATAGCATTTAAAAGCAAATGAAGTTTTTTTTTTTTTTCAAATGCTGTGAAGTTAATTGTATTAGCTATAAGAAACCA
Organism: Homo sapiens; assembly: GCF_000001405.40. Lineage (NCBI taxonomy): Eukaryota > Metazoa > Chordata > Mammalia > Primates > Hominidae > Homo > Homo sapiens. The sequence continues at coordinate 67,860,357 of NC_000002.12, read as the reverse complement.
TTCACCTTCTTGTTTATGGTTATTTCCAGTTTGCCACAGGATCTGAAATAAAAGAGCACTGTTTAAAATTGTGAGTGGGGTCTGACACTTTAATTCATTGCTTTAGAGGTCATTTACATATTGTTCATATTGGAAAGCAAAACTATTCAAGTTAAAAGCAAACATATATTTTCTGAAGACTTGGTATTGCTTAATGTCCCGCAATAATTATATGAACATCAAATTTATATAACAGGGTTTGCTGAGTTTGAAATACAAAGTCCCTGTGTTCGAATTCTAGCACTGTAATTCGTAGAGTTCTTTTTCTTGCCTGTTCTTTTCTCATTCATACATTGTAGGTCTCAGGAGTTGTCTGTGTTTTCTTCTAGCGTCCACTGAATACTTACTATTAATGTTATGAGCCAAGGTGCTGGACACTGAGAACCCAAAAGAAACAGGAAACATGCCCTGCCATCCCTGGTGCTTAGAGTGGAGTAGGGAAGATGACATGGGATCTTACCGCTAGTCTGACATCCAGGAGACATACAACTAGGTACTGCAGGAATGCAGACAAGGGGAGAATCACTTCTGAGCAGTGGCTTGTGGGGAAGGTGGAAGCTTGGGGACAGGAGAGATGATATTCTAGACAGAGGTCAGTAAACTTTTTTTTTTTTTAATCAATATCTAGATAGTAAAGATTTTAGGTTTTGCAGATTAGGTGGTCTCAGCTGTGGCTTCTTAACTCTCTGGTTGTGGCATGGCTGTGTTTCAATAAAATTTTTATTTACAAAACAGTTGGAGGGCTGGATTTTGCCTATGGGCTGTGATCTGTCGATCCTTGATGTGGACCTTAAAGGGAGACTAGACAGTGGACAGGCTGAATGTTGGAGTGGAGCTGTGTGTGTGCACATGGAGGGTGGAGACGGGTAGGTAATGGAGACAAATAAGTGTCAAGAAGAATTATGAAAGGCTAATGGCCAAGGTATGATAGGGCAGAATGGTTTTAGGGAAATAGAAGAACCTGGAAGGAAATGTGGGTCAGTTCTAAAGAAATTTGGATACAAAACTAAATAATCTAGACTTGAGGGTAGTAGGAAAAAATTACTATATTTGCCAGGACAAGTCAGGCTATTTGGCAGTAAAAACAAATAAAAACAAAAAAGCGAAAGTATTTTCAGAATATTTTCACACTATAGCTTACTTCTAGCACACACAAACTCTAACATCAGTGAGACTACTCTCCAGGCTGACAGCAGGCCATCCTCCATATGGTGATTCAGGGATCCAGGTGCTTCCGTCTTTGGCTCTGCCATCTCAACATTTGGTTTCCAGGGTCACCACAGCAGGGAAAAGAGAGCCTGGAGAATGCAAGAGAGCCTGGAGAATGCATGCTTGCTTCTAAATGCCTTTGTCTAGAAGTGATATTGTTCCTTTCACTGACAGCCCAATCCGAAACTCATTGCATGGTTCTATGCAGCTACAAGAGGGCTGGAGAATGAAGTCAGAATAGGTGAGTACTAGAAGTCTCTACTACAATAAAACCAATGAAGGGTTGAAAAGTAGGGTGGCAGAAGTTAAAAGATCATGGTGTTACTCTCAGAAGATTAATTTAGCAGTAGGTGGAGGATGACTTGGAGCAGGGAGAGGCAGGGAAACCAGTTCAAAAGTTGCTTAGAAAATATGCTCAAGAGTCAATAAAGACCTGAACGAAGATGGTGACACAGGAAATGGGAACGAAATGAAAGATGTGAGGAAATTCAGGTCTGCTTGGGCATGAGGACAAGGAAAAGACAGGAGTGAAAGTTGTTTCCTTTTGTTATAGCTCAGGAACATGCTCAGACAGGGAAGTTAAATTGAGGGTTAAGTCACAGAAGAAGAAATATAATTCCGTTTTTGGGACATATTGGTTTTGGAGTGCTGGGTGGACATCCAAGTAGAAAGTTCATTCAGAGTTGGAATTTGGGAGTGAGTGATTTTAGATGTGGTAATTAAAGCTGTAAAGCTAGTTGAGTCACTACATGACCAAAATAGAGATATGGGGGCAGCTGGGAGGGAAATGGGGACAAAGCAAAAAGAAGCAGAGTTAAGAGAGGAACAGCAAGACAGGGGTGTCCTCTTCACAAAACCAAGGTGAGGAAATTTCATAAGGGAGCATGTTTGACACTGTCAAACACTGCAGAAAGACAGAAAGCATGAGGTAACGGACACTGCTGGCGTACCATGAATTTCCCTTGGATCTCCTTTAGTATTTCTGGCTGTCCCTCGCCCAGCCTTGTTGTGTTTTTGGCTCCAACTGACTACACCTGCGACTCTTCTTGTGAAGACTGCCTGCCTCTAGGCTACTGGAGTGATTTGGCTGGTGAGTACAGAGAGGAGGAAGTGCCTGGAGTTTACTTCCTGACCTCCTATGTGAGCCCTTAGCCTGTGACTGCCTCTGGGGGAGTGTGAAAGTCCAGCTCCCTTGCCTTAGGTTGGGACAACTCTGAGGTGTAATTTACACACTAGAGCTCCCTGGCAGGACTTTGCTTGGCTTCTTCCCCTGCACTGCCCTGCTCCCCAGCTCCCAGGGGCACTGCCTTCATAGACCACTTGCTTATGAACTGTCATCTCAGGCTCTGCTTCTGGAGAATTGGATCTATGATAGTGTGGTATTCGAAGAACAGTCCTGATGATGAAGCAGCCACTGGTAAATCTTGAGAGGGTGGAGTAGTGAGAAGCAGATGTCAGCTTGCAAAGGGCTGAGGAGTGAGTGGATGATAAGGAACTGGCTGGAGATGTCAGCAGAGGATATTCAATCAAGAAGTTTGATGGTGAGAAGCTCAAGAGAATGACTGGGTAGTATGGTCAAATGAGGTCGCTTGTTTGGTTTTGGATGAGAAGAAATCTGAGCATGTGGATAGTCAGAGGGGATGAATTAAATGAGAGGGGGATACTGAAGGTAGGGGTAGAGGTAACTATGGAGGGGGCAGTAGAGAAAGACCCCAGGATGTAGATAGGAGATGAGGGTTACAAAGGAGCAGGCACGGTGTTTCCCTTGACATACATAGGCGGGGCAGAGCAAGAGAATTGGCGGTGGAAAGTAACAAAATGAGTAGTGAGGATGGTCGAAGCCAGGGCTGGGAAGGACTTAGAGATGATGTAGTGTAGCTCTTTCTTTTTACAGATCATAAAAACGTCCAGAGAGCCAAAGACACTCAGCTAGCAAGGAGCTGAGCTGAAAGGCTGAAAGCAGAAGCAGCTTTCCTCATGACTTCTGCTACCGTATTTTCCTTACTGTCCTAAGCAGCCAGGTCACCTGCAGAGACAAAGACACATGAGAAGGAGGATTTTGGACAGTGGAGGGGATGCCATGAACAGCCTGTGCTAGCAACAGAACAGGGTAGAGTCTTGCCTCTCTTAGAACAGGACCTCCTGAGTGCCACAGGACACAGGCAGTGTGAAAACAAAACGAGTTGTTGTACAGGCAAAAATGTTACTGTGCAGACAACTGTGGACTTGGGAGAAAATACTCTATGGAGGGGAAACTGGATTCTGTGTCCCAGGATAGTTTTCAAAATAATCTGAAAAGGTGTGTTTGTTCTAATGCTATTAATATGGACGTAAGCACCCCCTAAAAATGTTCATCAACCACCTACAGAAAGCCTAGCAACCTTTCTGCCTCTGGAAGGGGTGGGAGTCAAGGCAGCAAAGAGGTGGAAGGGGTCTTACAAAATTTTTTGCAAGGGTCTGGAATTTAACTTAAGCCATTAACTATTGGGCATTAAAAAGGAGCCTTTATTTTTGCAAGGGGATTTATGGCTTTTTATATGTTTATTTTTCCTTCACCATTGGACATCCAAGGAAGAAAGAACATAAGGGTCAGAGACTCCTCTCATCCAGTAATAGGCCACATCGCCCCTGATTCCTGAACTTAAGATGTTCCATGGGGAGTGATGGGGGAAGGATGTGCTTCCACTGGTCTGGGTGAAGAGTTCGCCTCACTTCGTATCTGGCAGTCAACTTTCCAACCTCATTCTCACTCCATTCAACTTGGTCCCACCTTGTCCACCCATGCCTCATGTTGCTCATTGACTCTCTTGCTCATATTTTCATGGAACTCACTGTGTTCCAGGCCCACTGCTTGTTTGGAGCTAGAGATCTTTAAGCTGGTGTTCTGTGAAGGCTTGTTAGTTGAAGTTGGGGGACAGCTCAGCCTTGTAGGGTGGGCAGAATTTGGATAGGGAAGCCGAGAAGAGGCTAGAGGGCCTCTGCCTGGTGCAGGAGCATTTACTTTCATGCACACCATATGTATGTATCATCTGCAATGTATGCTTAAGCAAATTCAGTGCATAAAGGGGGCATCGATTTGTTTTCATTCCCAAGGCAAATGAGTTTGTGTGGGCAGCACGGGAGCTCATTAACTGCTTGGTGAATTTAGTACAGGCAGTCCCTGAGAGATTGGAAGCTGAGCCTGGCAACACTGAAAGATCACTCCGTCAATATTTAGTGAGGGCCTCTGAGTTGCAAGGATTCTATTAAGAAGATGCTGTAAGACACAGGGAAAAAGATGTCCCTGCCCTTGAGAAACATACAGTCAATGATGGGAGATGGACACAAGCAGAAATTTAACAGTTCAAGACTCTAAAAGGATCAATATAAATAAGTGGTATATCAAATTACTAGATGATTTTGGAGTAGCTTTGGATGGAGGAGTGTTGATTATACTGAGCATGACTTTGTTGTTGTTTGAGACAGGGTCTTGTTCTGTTGCCCAGGCTGGAGTACAGTGGCATGATCATGGCTCACTGCAGTCTTGAACTCCTGGGCTCAAGCGGTACTTCTGATTCAGCCTCCCAAGTAGCTGGGACTACAGGCTTGGGTCACCACTCCTGACTAATTTTTCTTTGAGTTTTAGTAGAGGTGAGGTCTCACTATGTTGCCCAGGCTGGTCTTGAACTCCTGAGCTGAAGCAATTTTCCTGCCTCGGCCTCCCAAAGTGCTGGGATTACAGGCATGAGCCACCATTCCCAGCCTACTTTTTTTTTTTTTAATTAAACTTTTGGGTCTTTTGGGGAAAAGTTAAAATAAAAAGCAGTGATAGTAAAAATATCTGAAGGGAACAATAATTGCTCTCAGATTCAACTGCCCTTTTGAATTTGAACATCACCTTAGTTTTTCCATTTTTTGTCAACATTTTGCTTTCATCTAGTGTCATGGTAGAGTAGATGAGCATAGAGCAGTAATTCCTATAGTTACCTCCTAAACCTGTGTTGAGTCATTGATTTTTCTCTCATTTCTCACTATTCTTATGTCAGAGCCAAAACTGCTAATGTGCTCTCATAAACCTCCTGTTTGAGTTTTACCTCCTTCCTCAGCATGTGGTCATCCACCTGTGGAGGCGCTAATGAGCAATGGAGTGGTGCCAGGGTACACCTTGCAGGGCTGGGGAGGTGATGAAAAGAGGTAGAGGGATTGTGGTAAATTGGAAAGATTGAGTCTGTATTTCTGAAATTAACAAATGTCCATCAATGGGCAGGAAGACATTTCATTAATTGATGGATGGATCTTCTATCTCCCCTTCTAGGGATCATCACTTCTTGGCCTCAGACTTAGCTCTTTGTTTCTTGACCCTAACCTGGGTATGGATAAAAGTCCTTCTATGGTTGGAAAGAGAAATTTCAGAGATAACCTAGATGTAACCCAGCCAGACAGCAAAGAGTTGACTGTGCCATACCTAATTGACAGTGGAAGGGTAACCTCAAATTACGTGCCTTTTGACTCAAGTTCCATATTAACTGTTTGCTTGGAAGGAGCAGATGTTTTGGCTCTGGTGGTCACTGCTCACCTCTGTCTGGGAGGTGCATCAATCACTTTAATTATAATGGAACGTGGGGCCAGGAACTGAAGGAGAAAAATCAACCCAATCCCAAGAACAATCTTTCTTGATGAATTCTCCCCTAAATCGAAACAATTCACTGGGTATCCCAGCTGGGGTTCATATGCTTTTGATTACTGTGGGCTATTTAGCTCTACAAACTGACAGGCTGCTTAATGGACTTTTAATGGTTATAGGTTTCTCTCTCTTTTTTTAATGAGCTTCACCAGTTTGTTACTAATGCCCTGTAGAAATTTGGCGAGGGGCCAGACTTGATGTTACACATTTCTGGTTTCCAGGCGGCATACATGCAACCATCGTAGCCAGTGGGGAAGAATGTTGCCAATTTTAGGGTAATGCCATCAGGACAGGGAGAGGAGGAGAGCTAATTGAGTGCCTGTAGTTCTAATAATTATGTCATCTTAAAGAAGGTGGTTTCACTTTGTACCTAAAGTTACCCTGGAGGCTTCTTGCTTCCAAGGCCTTGGGATACCAGGTGGCAGAAGGGTTTGTGCCGTTGGGAACAGCTTTTGCCTTTCTTTGATTTCCACATTGTTGGTAAAAGGTACCCTTCCCAGACTCAGTTGTATCCTGTCCATCAAAGGGTTTCTGAACTTCTCAAATCTAGGGGCAAGTTTTATTCAATCGTGTTTGTATCTGCAATGCCTGGTGCCAGATTGGGTGCAGAGTAAGTATTCAATTCATATCTGCTGAATGAGAGGCCACAAGCAAATAAGAGTTGGGTAGAAAAGCCTTTTACTGCAGGGGCATGCTCTCTGGATCTCCAGAAAGTAGCATAAGATCTGGCTTATGAGAAGAGTGGTAAGAGTAGCAAGAAATGAAAAGACAGAGGGCATCCCTGAGTCACTAATAGCTACAATAATAACAGCTCCCATTTCTTGTCATGCACCAAACATTGTGTTAAACACTTTGTGTACATCACCTCACTTCATCCTTACAACAGTGCTGAGAGGTAGGCAGTGGTGTGATGAAAATGTTTAAAACCCAGTTCTGGAGGAGTACCAGGGGAGATGCCTGGATTTGTAGCATTGGCTGACTTCTGTGGCAAATACTCCCACCACAGCTTATTTCAAACCACCAATGTGGTGTCAACCAGCTGGTAAAAGGCCACAGAATTTTACCATTGGCTTTTGTGAGCCAGTGTGAGTATACCACCAGAAGTAGATATCGTTATCCCATTGCACAGATGCAGAAGTTAAGGTTTAAGAAATAAATAACAGGCCACGGTCATGGAGGATGTAAGGGACAGAATCCAGGTCTAGAACCACTCCAAAGACTTGGTCCTAACCGTTGCTCTGTTCTACTTTCCTAAGCTCGCTCCCCACACCACTATTGGAGTAGCCACAAAACTAGGAACCACGCAACATGGCCTGTGCTTATGTAAAGCTCACTCTGATATTCTGGGGTTTCTTCTTTAGGTTACATATTCATGAAGAACTATAAATTCTTGAGAGGGCCATCCCCTCCTCATTCACCCTGTAGCCGCCACACTCACTCTGTGCAGGTTTTGCTTCTTAACTTGCATCAATACAAGCTCTAGTCTTAGTGTGAGGTATTTATTATAGTGCCACCTCCTCATTTTATAAATGACCAACCCAGAGGCCAGAGACATTAAATGATTTATTAAATCCACACAGCTTGTCAGTGGCAGAGCTAGAAGTAAAACTGAGATCTCCTGATTCTGAATCCAAGGCTCTTCTCTCTAAACTACATTGCCTTCCATCTCTTAAGAATAACAAACAGGACTTAGAGTTTTACAAAGAGTAGATGGGGGTGGATTTTCCTGCCCTGCTGCTGATGTGCTTACCCACTGCTGGCTCCCATTTTGAAAGATTCAACTTGACTTCCCTTGATTCAGGAGCAATGAGCCGAGAATTCAAGGACAGGCACCAGGAGCACGTTGTGAAGTGAATGCAGCAAACATGAAAGACATTCTTTGGAAGCTTTAGTGGATGGTTGGTGAGGGGGGATAGAAAAGGTGGGGGCTCCTTGCTGAAATACCCTCATGTTTCTGAGTCCCGAGATACTACTAAATCAGACCCAGGTCATATGGTGCCTATACTTGTCTCTTGGCCCAGGGTGAAAACAGTTCATGTTGTAAAATTAACTTTCCACATTTGGCTGGCCCACGCGGGCCAGCTTTCTTTCAAAGTGAGTTTGCGAATGAATGAATGAATGTGTTGACTGGGTTACTGTTCTTAGGGGAGCCTTCTTTGCATCGGACTTGGAGAAAGATTAAAGCTGGTTTTGAAAAGTGTTGGTGCTCTCCCAAACACAGCATGCTGATAGAATTCTGGTCGCACTTTTATTTGCTATGGAACAAAATGCTCTAGTTTCATGGAAGAAATAGCCCAGCAGATGGTGTTTGGTGGATGGCATGAATGTAGCCTTGTAAATAAACATTCAAAATAGACTAGCCTCCCCCCAAATTTACCATCTGCCCCTTACCCCATAAGGTCCACAGGTGGTAAAAGAAAGAAAGGAAATTGGTGTTTTTAGTTGTTATTGTTACTATTTCAGTATCTGCAAATTATGGAATTTCCCCAAAAGTTGGCATTCTTAAATTTGGTTATAAAAAAAATGAGAGTGATGCTTCCAATTTAATGGATTTTCAGGGTTTAATCTGGTTTAAGAATAATTGTCTAAATGGCATTCCTGTGCTTATCCTCTCCTCCTTAGGGGTAGCTTCTGATGCGATCCTGTTTCTGCAGCTCTCACTCCTGAGATTCTTCTTCTACACCCTCTCCTGGCTCTGCACAATCCCCTCAGTTTCACTATTGCCTCCCGTCTCTGAGAAGTAGGAAAGTCAAATGTTTGGAGGATTTAGAATCAAACATATCTGGGTCTGAATTCTGTCTTTCAGCTCCAGAGCAATGGACAAGTTACTTAACTTCTCTAATTCTCAGTTGCCTTATCTGTGAAATGAGGAAACTAATAGGTTTAATAATACTAGTGGAGAAAGTTGTTAAGATTAAATGGAAAAAATAAATCTGTAGCACTTAGGACAGTGTAGATAATGTTCAAAAATGTTCATTGTTATTGCTCACATCATCATCATTGTCATCAATGTCATCATCATCATCTCCCACTATAATACATAGTTATCTAAAACTAGAGAAGAAGAGGGAATTCTGGGCATTGGTGATTTATTTCAAGGGTGGTATGAGAGTGGCTGACTACTCTCATATTTTTAGTTTTCTTCTCTTTTTCCTTAAAAGGGGATTTCCATGGGCCATCAGCCAAAACATGACTTGGAGGATAGAATGCTGTGTGAGGCTTTTGCTGGGTTGGGTTGACTACTGAGGCAGGAAAGACCTGTGTGAAAATTTTCTTACATTTTAAATGATGGATGATTCAATGGGATGGACTGAGAATTGGGATTTGAAATCTGACGTCAGAATCTTTTGAAGACACGGCTATTTTTAACACGGAGGCCATGAGAATTCTTGAGTTTTGATTCTTTGATTCTCCCACATTTCTGGAGAGATAGAAAGATTGGGTTTAACCTAAAGAATTAGTTTGCTCAGATCTGGGGCAAGGATTTACAGAGGGCTGGATTTAGAAGATCCTACCTTAAAAAAAATGTCTTTCAGCATCAGTGATGGCAGAGACTTAGAGATAAAGGGTGTAGGTGGAAGTAGGAACCTGACAGGGAGACCTCCAGAGAGTGTATTTGTGGAGCTTCTCACTAGGGTGTAGTTGTCTCTCTTTTTTGGTGATTGTGCTTACATTGAGAGAATAGGGATTTGCATGGGCACAACTTATTAAGAAAAGGCAGAGCAGATATTTTGAGACTTAAAGCTTTTCATAAAGAACCAGAGAAGATTTGAACCGTAGTACCTTATCTCTCTGCCATTCACATGGTTCTTTTCTCAGGAACTTTCAAGTGGCGATTAGAATCATGGCATTCTAATAATGAAGGGTCTCACGGAAATTTTCCAGTCCTATCTCCTTATGTTATAGATAAAATGACTCTGGCACACTGAGGTCAAATTTTGATCACCCTCTCCCACCCAAGATCCAGACACCAAAGGTAGAGACAGTGTCCTTGTGTTCTTGGTAGACTGAGGTTAGGCTCACTTTCATTTTTTCCAGCCCCTTCTTATGCTAATAGATGTTGCTGATCTCACCATATGCTGAGTCCATATATCATTATCTTTAATAAACATTAATTGAGAGTTTCTCCTATTGTATACAAGGTTCTGTTCTGCGCACAGGCAAATTCAGTGACAAAAAAGACATAACCCATTCATTTAAAGACCTTAAAATCTTCAAGAAATAACATCAGGGTTCAAAAACATAAAGTAGTTTAAAGCTTATGTGTTCTGCTCGAGAGGTATAATTCAGAGTCCCAGCCTACAGGCAAGGGTGGGGTTTTAGTGCTGGCTTTCTGCCTTTATCCACTGTGACAACTTGAATATGTCACTTGCTATTTTTGAGCTTCTATCCCATCAGTTTAAAAACACTACTATTAATAATGTCTGTCCTTCCGAGTTTTGAGGCATAGATGAGATAAAATTGCCTGAAAACTGTGAAGCGTAGTAGAAATTAAAGGGATCCATATAAATTGAAGATCCCACTCTTGTGGGCATGTGCCCACGGAGTGAAGAGTTAAAGTAATTTATCATCCACTTATCATCATCATGATTCATATCTTCATTATTATAATCCAATTCCTTTTATTAAATACCTCCTTATACGTGGTACTTTATTATTCTCCAGTATCCTAAAACCAAACTGCTACTTTCACTTGACATTTCCAGGTGATCGTGACAAATCAGGGTCGACATGATCTGGTTAGATGTGGCAGTTGCCCATGTCACTTTTTGTATTTGTACATTGGCCACTTGTTTAGCACTTTGTTTGATTTTAGTCACACTATGTTCAACAGAGTGAGACAGTTGAATCTTAACCCAATAATGGGACTTAATTTCTTTATCAAGTTCACAGATGATGACTTGTAAATGTTGACAGTGATGTGACCCAGGAACAATGTCATTCCTATGGAGGAACTTTATGGAGAGATAGCACAAGTTTCAAATAATCTTAAAGAATTCCTCCATCCAATCAAAGGCAGGGGTCCCGAGAGTGTACTGTGACCCAGTGGTTATGATGCTTATTGTTAATGTGGTTGTCAAGGCTGAAATAAACATTCTAAGCTGGAAGTAACTCTCCTTTACAGATGTCTTTGCATGATTCTGAAGCAACCCAGGGATCAACCTGATGTTCATTTTATTCTTCCTACTGTTCTTTTACAACAGGAACTGGATTTTATTTGAGGGACAATGTGCTCAGCTTCTCTTGTAGCTAGAAGTTAGCAAATTAAATTAAGAAGTGGCTCAGTGGGATGTCCAGGAAAGCTTGAGAAGGGAACAATAGCTGACATGTACTTCCTTTTGTTCTTCCCATTTTTTTCTGCTCCATGCCTGGATATAAATGTGACTACTGGAGGCCCAGCCAACAGCCATCTTAGACCATGAGACAGTGTTGCAGATGGAAACCATGTGCTAACTGTGATGGAGCATAAAGATAGAAGGATCCTGACACTCCAGCACTTCCATGTCCTCCTGGACTGCCTTGCTCAGGACTTCCTTCACACGAGGAGGAAGCACATTTATTTAATCACTGTTATATCCAGCCCCTGCTACTAACAGTCAAATGCAATTCCTAACTGATACAGATGCCTTCCCCTCAATGAGTAGCGTCCTTGTTTCTTTGCAGCTAGCTCCTGGAAACGCTGTCTGTTGGTCTATGCTGATTCACAAGCCCCTACAAGAGCAGAGTTGGACTCAGCTTCTGCTAATGAGCAGAGGAATTGCTTGCGAATACAATGCTGGGATTATAAGGTGCTGGCAGCCATGCCAGAATAATAAGGCCAGATGGAAAATCATACTAGTAAATATCTTCGGTGAATATCCTGTCCCACTCCAGTGCCCTCCAAATACCGTAGCCCAGATCTACAGTTCATGTGGTGGGATTGCAGCCTCTCTTTCCCAGAGCCATCATTTCTGTCTGTGGGGAGAATGATGAGGGTCTTGGGTACTACTCCAAATTTTTCTCTGTGTAGCTATTCAGCAGGAGCCCATATTTGTTCCAACTTGTGACCAAAATCCTTGTTTGCTTGAGTTTTTTTTTTCCTCTAGCAATTTCATCTGTAATCTCAAAGATGAACGTTGCAATTTGCTGGGCTAATCTAATCCACCTTTGGCTTAACAATACCCTGTACTGGAAGAGGCCTAGAGGGCACCAGGCACTTGTTGGCTCACTGTGTCTTTATATTATAGGAGCACCCTCTTGACATTTGCCTTTGGGCCTTGTAGAGTTATACCCACTTTTGACATAATTTTAAGGCTAAATTTCAGGGAGAAATTTCAGAAAGATTCCTATAATCCTTGAATTGCTGTCCCTTCAAAGAGGTAGTTAATCTTTCAGTGGTATCTTGGCACATTCCTGGGACCAAAATAAGCAGGACAGATCTGAGACAGCAGACCCAGGGAAGAGGAAAATTCTCTGCTGGTCTTCCTCTTATGGGTGGGTGGGTTTGGTGGTCGTGGGCCAGATCTGAGTATGTTTATCAAAGGCAGCTGCTGGTGCAATTTAAACTGAATTCAGAAATTAGGATGGCAACGTTGCCACCATTAGTGAGTTTTCAGTGGGTTGTCTAAATGCTATGGTAAGTTGGTGGTCTGACTATATTTAGGGCCACATATTACTCACATAATCCTATTTATCTTACATATCCCAAATTTGCTTAAAAACCGGGATTGAGTAGGTAGGTGAAGTTGTGAGAGGAGGGAAAAAGTAAATGTCTTCTGTCTAATGACCTGAAAACAAATTTGCAAGATGGTTCTGGTAGAAGGAATTTTTTCCTCTTGGAATTACTTGTAGTTAAATACACAAAGAGTATAGCCAGAAGGAAGGGGTTTGTAAAGATAAAATACATATTTCCTTTTGAAACCTTTTTTTTTTTTTTCAACATATGTGACCTTAACCCAAACCCTAGTCTTTACTTCCATTTTGCTGAGATTTAAATAAAACAAACTAAAATTTGCAGGGAAGCCTGCCATAGTGTGTGTGTATTTTTTTTTTTTTAACTTTCCCCTTTTTTCAGGAGATTCTGGTAAATGAATTGAATAAATGTACTTAAGAAAAAAATCAACTCAGCTGGCACAAATCACTAATATCATGGGCTAAAGATTTCACTATTTTTTACAAGCCTTAATAATTATATAACTGTCTAGACAGCACTGTCCAGTAGAAATATGATCTAATGTGTATGATGCATAATTTAAAATTTTCTAGCAGCCACATTAAAAAAGGTGAAATTGACTTTAATATATTTAATTTACCCCAATTTATCCCAAATACTATCATTTCAACATGTGGTCAATGTGAAAAATCAATGAGATATTTTATACATTTTTTTTTTTTTTTTTTTTTTTTTTTTTACAGAATATCCCAATTTGGACTAGCCACATTTTAAGTGGCCAATAGCCACTCGTGGCTGGTGACTCCTGTATTGGACAGAGTAAGTCTAGAGGGCAGAGATCGTATCTGATTTACTCTATTCCCTTCCCAGTTTAACAAACCAGTGCCTAAATAACTGATTATTATTATTATTTTTTAAAGGACTGATTTTTGATCATGAGTGTTTTAGAGTGCTAATGTCTCGTTAGACGTTCTGGGAATAGAGCTGGTCAACTAGAAAAAGGAAAAGTTGTTCTCCAGAGACCCAGGCTTTTTGAATAGAAGAAGAAATGTCCCTAGAAGAAATGTCAGGCTGTGGGTTCCACGTTTTCTGGAAGTTACCCCCTTGCAAACAGGCAGGTTCAAGGCATCCATTTTTTTTTCTACCCGTAGGGGGAGCTCTTGGCCCTTTACTCTTAATAAATTCCAAGTCTGGTTCTCAGAGGCCGGCAGTTTGGAGTTCTTTCACCTGGGTCTGTGGAGAGGTTGTTTTTGGCTTCAAACCAGCAGTGCTTTCGCAATCTCCACACGTTACGGCTGCTGAAATGCGAGGACACCAGCCGGGTGGCGGCTTGAGTCTTGTGATTCCCAGGCAGTCCGGCGAAATGATAAACAAAAGTCTTTTGTGCAATATTAATAAGCTTTAAGCACTCCCCAGCCGAGCCCCTTGTCATCCAAGTAAGTCATGTGTATCAAAAGCCCTTATATGTGAAAGTTTGTTTTCATATCTGGCCAGCGTTGAATGGGAGCCCCCTTTGCCATGTTGTAAAACAAACATTTGTTTATTTTGTGAACAGTGCTGGCAGTATGATACAGGAACTGGGGGCTGAATGGAGAGACCCCTTTCCAAGGAGGCGCCTTTGAAAACCTTTTTGCTGGACCATTCCAACTGTCAACTGATCTTGAGTTCTGTTTACATTAAGACAATAACAGTGTTTCCTAAATAAATAAGTTAGGGACACCCGTGGGCCTTAATGAAACCCCATAAATGGGATGGAGGGGTGGGAGTGGGGAAGGAGTTTTTGTGCTGTGCAGAAACAATGGCCAGTTCATCTTACGGTGTCCCCAAGGCTTGTGTTTTTAAGACAGAAGGGGGCCTTTGTGTTAATTACACTGATAAAAACTCCCCTGGCAGGGCTTCCCCTGGACCGGTGGCATAAAAGATGTGACATTTCGCCCGTGTGAATGCCACACTGCCAAACAGACATTTTCTTAAGCAGAGAAGGCCAGCCCCCACCCCCTCTTCCTCACCAGTTGATCAGCTAACCTCTCCTGGTGTGTAGAGAAAATAAATAAAAACTGTAAGACTAAACCATCTGCTGCTGGGGGTGTCTGGCTTCTTTCTTAGTTGGGTTGGAGCTTCCAGGAATCCATCCATTTTGGTTTCTGAACGGTCCAAGTTGTCCTCAGGTAGGATGGACATAGAGGCAGACGGCTTGTAGTGGAGGAGGAGATGTTGCCCTGAGAGTTTGGGTTTCAGTGGGTTTTCCTGGGAAGCAGGAATTTCAGCTTGTTACTGGAAGTTACATTTCTGAGCAAAAGACGTATGCTAGGTGAAGACTGAAGGCTGAAGATGAGGAACCAGCAGGGCTCACTGCTTGTAAATTAGAAAATAATTTTCTAAATACTATGGTACTGCCATACAAAGTCGCTAAAATAGAGACTGTCATACAAATATTTTCAATTATAAGGATTTCTTATTTGTTCCACAGAAACATATTTAATATACATTTAATGTTAACATTCATATAATTTCATAACTTGCTTTTTTTTAGGTTAGTATTTTTTGATGGGCATTTTCTCCAACTTGCCACCTAATTTTTATAATGATCATTTTCAGTGAATGTACAATCTTCTAAGTGGATATACCATAATTTGCTAATCTGTATCCTTATCCTTGGGTACTCAGAATGTTTAGGATTTTTCATTATCATAAAATACTACAATGAATATCTTCATACCATACATTATTTCCTTTTTGGAGAAATATTGAGATAAATCTGCAGGCTATGATTACTTACGGCTTTTTGACACATAATAGCATGGTAGTTTCCCAGAAGGATTTTAAAATAAAGTAGCTTACTTTTCAGACTATGACGGTTACCTCCTTTTATAGTGGTTTCTTCGCACTTTCACTCCCCTCTAGCCCTTCTTATTTGTTCAGGACAATCCTTTCCCGTTCATGGGCTCCCTCAAATATCTCCACACAAATATTACCTGCTCCTTCTTATAAGGCTGATTCTGGGATATATTCATATGTTAAATGCAACTTGTAGTCACCATTATAATGTTTCAATGTGTAATACATTGAATAAATTCCTAATTGCCATGGTCTAGATATGGGTAAGATACCCTTAGTTGTAGAGTAATTTCTAATTTATATACTATGTCCTCATCCTCCAATAGCTTGAAATTGTTAATGTGGTCAGTATCTTTTCAGAAGTCTGCTCAGTTCGATGGCCAGAACTTCTCAATCTGTGAGAGTAATGGCCGTGTTTGGGCACATGACTGTGACCCCACTCTCCAACCCATGTCTGATGGGACCATGTGTGGACACTTGGAACAGACTGAGCCATGTGCTGTCATAGAGATAGAGGAAGAGAGGTGGGAGAATGGGGAGGTGGAGGAGAGGAAGAGGTGGGGGGAGAGAGGAAAGGAGAGAGAAAGGGAGAGAAGGAGACAGGAGAGAGAGAAAAGGGAGAGAGGAGAGAGAAAGGGAGAAAGGCAAGAAAGAGAAAGGAAGAGAGAGAAAGAAAGGGAGAGAGGGAGGGAAAGAGAGGGAGGGAGGGAGAGAGAATGCAGCAGAAAAATTGTTTCCTGGGTTTCTAATTATTTTCCTTCCCGTAGTTTCAGTCATTCAGCCATTTCTCAAGTCTGGCTGCATATTTTTGGCTTTGAATTTGGAGAGACACCCCACCCTACAAGAATTCTTGTAATAAATCTCTCTCCCCTCTTTCTTTCCCTCCTCCCTCCCTCCCTCCCTCCCTCCCTCCCTCCCTTCCTCCCTCCCTCCCTTCCTTCCTTCTTTCCTTCCTTCCTTCCTTCCTTCCTTCCTTCCTTCCTTCCTTCCTCACTCTCTCTGTCTCGGTCTCTTTGTCTTTCTCTCTTTCTTTCTGAATGTGCTAACTTGGTTACTAATACAGCCTAGAACAAATGGAATTGGGAATAGATATCCCTTGGTGAGGTGCAAATCCATGTAGCTTAATAATAAAATAATGGATTTGGATGTTGACAAAAGTTTTAGCTGTTCTCTCCTGCTGACATGTGGGGCTGTCAGGTTGAAACATGGTATAATTCCATTTATGATTCTGAAGCAATGGAATCTCTCTGAAAAACATTTTTCCCCTTTAAATTATTGACACTCTAAAAAGTAGCTTATTGCAGCTGCTCCAAGTGCTGGACAGTTTGGATGATCTGACACGATGCTTTAATCTAAGACCTTGGGTGACCATATCCATCAATTGACCCAAAGGGCAAAATGAATAGAACGGCTCCTCCTGCAGCTCTGGATAAATATGTGTGGTTAATGGGAGGCAGAGGGTAAAATTTCCAGGGCTCTTTGGTCTTCTTTGACAAAATTAAAACAGAAATCCAAGAAAACCCTGAAAGGCCCCATACCTTCTCACCTGTGTCCTAGGACTTTCCCTCTAAAGGTAGCGTGAATGCTGAAGAGCTGAGGCAAACTAGAATCTCGTCCCTAAAATGGACGCTCTCCAGAGGATGTTTGGAAAACCTGGCTGGACATCATGGGCTATTAGTGGTCTTTTATTTTTCCTTTCTTTTCTTTGCTTCTATTTGTTTATTTGCTTTTAAATCGGAATAGAAAGGGGAACATTGGAAGGTGAGAGTGGAATGTCCTTAGAATCAGAGGAAGGCTTTCCTATTGGGAAACAAAGGGCACAGACTTCATTATTTGGAATAAATTGTAAATCGTGCCCTCTCTTAACCTACTGGGTGGTATTGTCCTACTAAAAGATCTGACTCTGAAAAAACATCCTTTCTCCAATGCCTCTCCCTTGGGAGCTTTGAAGATTCTGGTAACGTGGGGAGGTACTGACATTTTGGAAACTCCAGACAGATCTGTTTCTGCCAATGGAGTGATTGTGTGTGCATGTGTGTGTTTAGATTACAAACGATTGGACTAACTTTATGACTGTGATTGTACAATAAGGAGCAATGGGCAAAGCTATCAAATCATTTTAAATTGGCCTCTCAGTATCTTTTCCCTTTGCTGAGTAGCTGGAGTTTATCAGTGGACTGACATATTTCCTAGCATATTGGACCTCAGGCAGTCACTCTCCGTTTTTTTTCCTGCCAGTGTTTTGTTTTGTTCATTCATTTAATTAAAGTGTACCAAGTGCCCAGAAAATGCCTGGAATTGTGCTGGACATGATGATCGCTACTCAGAGTAGATCTGCGGCTGCTCCGTGGAGCCCCGGCTGACCCAGCCAGCATGAGCCAGGGAACCAAGCAGTCAGCACGTGAAGTACCCAATGCCCAGCCTCAGGCAACATGCAGTCTAGTTAGTGAGATGAAGGGCATGCCTATGAGAGCTCCCTAGACAGTGCGATCTCCATGGGTGCAGCAAAAGGCAAACAAGGACTGCCCGCAGGCAGAACAGATCTTGCTGGAGTGGTCACCCAAATCTTCACTAAAGAGGGGTTTTGGCTACATCTTGAAGGACAGGAAGGGCTGGGGAATGCACAAGTGGATGCTAGAGAAGGGAGAGGAGTCCAGGAAACAGTGTAGCTGTGCTGGGGAGACCTGGGTTGGAGCTTGAAAGCTTGAGAGGATGAGACATTGGTTTTGGACAGAGATTGAAGAGCCTTGGATACTGACGGGAGCCCTCCCTTGATCCGCAACTCTGGAATATTTCCCACCCTTTCATAGGCCCCTTTTGACCCCATCCCTGAAGGTTGCAAACTTGGGCATTGTCTTCTCTCTTCTTCCAGGTGAAGATCTCCTCCCAACCCCCAGCAGACTCTCATTTGTTTTTCTTCTAACTTTGTAGTGAAAAAAGAAAAAAAAAAACAACTTTGGATTAAAAGCTCAGTTAAGAAAGTGCCTGACAACCTGACATGGAATGGTGTGGAACTGGTTGTTTGCCTGTGGTTTAAAGGTGGTTTCCCAGAAAAGCTCTCTCACAGACGGCCTTGCAGAATGCAATGCAGGCATGTACAAGGGGTGTGTGTGTGTCTGTGTCTGTGGAGAGTGAGGGTGGTATGGAGGATAGGACATTTATAAGAATATCTGGCATGTTGGTGGTAAGTTTGCCAAGAAGGTTTATGCTATCTTTGTGCGTGTGTGTGTGTGTGTGTGTGTGTGTTTGTTTGTTTTGAGATGGAGTCTCACTCTGTTGCCCAGGCTGGAGCTCAGTGGCATGATCTTGTCACTCTGCAACCTCCACCTCCAGGGTTCAAGCCATTTTCCTGCTTCAGCCTCCCAAGTAGCTGGGATTTCAGGCGCCTGCCACCACACCGAGCTAATTTTTGTATTTTTAGTAGAGATGGTGTTCCACCATGTTGGCCATGCTAGTCTCAAACTCCTGACTTCAAGTGATCTGCCTGCCTCGGCCTCCCAAAGTGCTGGGATTACTGGTGTGAGCCACCACACCTGGCCCATACTACCTTTCTTGCATGTCGAAATACAAAGATAGCTCGTTTCCAGCCAACCTAAGAGGTTTTCTAGGAGAATATATACATATACACACATAAACCTACACATATACGTACACATACATATACACATACACAACATAAACATATGTATATACACATTTGCATATATATACAAATATATTAAAATATATCCTAGATAAAAGATTTTAAAACAGTCTTCATGAATGTATGTATTTTGGGTTTTAGGACAGATATTTGGTCTTCTTTCAGCATATACATCTGTTAAAGATTTTTCTTCTTGGATAATAGGTTTAGTCTGCAGAGCATTGTCTTTCTTTCCTTTGGATTATTTTGCTCTTCACCCAATGTATTTTTGACCTCGATGGCACCTGCCTTCTCCTTAGGGGTTGCATACTGTATTGTAGAAAGAAGGGGCTTCAGGGAGAGACTAGGGTGAGTAAATGAGACCAATCTGGGTAAATGTCTTCCTAATTTAATCCTCTTATTGGAAAAGAGTGTTATGAATGAGCCCCCAAAGGTGTGCTTTTCACACACACCAGCCCTAGAGGGAAGAATCATGGCTGTAAATGTACCTGTGTAAGCACCAAGTTAAGTGGTATTTTATTTTTGGTCTCTAGACTAAAGGTAGGTAGTGATTCTACCTGAAGGACTGGAGGTATGTGTACGACATCCCAAGCTGTGACAGTTGGGCAGGTTGAGGGAGCATTGTGAAGACTGCAGCCAGGCTGCAGAGGGCAGTGTGAGACCGTGGCGTTGCCAGTCCTGTGGCAGGGCCAGTGCTGTTCTTAATATAGGCCACCTGTGGTGTTTCAAGATAAATTATGTTAGATGGGGAAACTAGTCTATTGGATTTGCAGTAAATGTGTGCCAGTTAGCTTTACCCCAAAGAAAGTCTTTCTAGGATTTTCCTCTCTTCGCCAATTTCAAGACATTAAGTACTAAGACTGGCTGAGTGGCAAGCTTGTACCCTTTTCACTTTTCAAGCACATGAATGTGTTGTGACAATTGAGATGATATTTGGTGCCTTATGATGCACTACAATTTAACTGCCTTGGGTGCTAATGCAGCTCTGGGTAGGGAGAGACACTTCTTTAATAATAATAACAACTTTGGCACCTTTTTTTCTAGAATAGTAGGAACTGTAGCAAGTTTGCTGCAGGAGCTTTTGCTCTAGAGCTGGTTCTGGGTGTTCAGCATCCTGTGAAGGTGGGATTCCAGGAGGGGAGGATGTTGGTGGCTCTCAGAGAGAGTGGCTGGTCTGGTGTAGAGGTTAAGTGCATGCTTTAAATTCAAATGGACCTGGGTTCAACTCTGCCTCTCTAATTTACTAGGTATAATACCTCTTCATTTTCCTCATCTGTAAGATTTGGATAATTATGGGTAAAGGATTTCCTGGAGTTGCTGGGTTAAGTGAGATAATATATGTGGAATGCTTAGCACAGTGACCCATAGTAGGGAGCCTCTAGAATGTGGTATCATTACTGGCATTCAATTCCAAATATTTATGCAACGCCTGTTAGGGGATTTGATAGTGGACAATGTCAACAACCCCTTACCGTCTGGTCTGGTGAGAAAGACATCGAGTACTTACTGCATCAGAGCAGTACTGAGGGAAGCATAGCACAGTGACAAGAAGCAGGGACTCTGGTGCCACAGTGCCTGGGTTTGAATCCAGTCTGTTACTTCTAGCTGTGTGGCCCTTGGAAGGTCACAGACCCTACTGGTATCTACCTTATGGGATCACTGCAAAGGTTAAATGAGTTAATACAAAATCTTAAAATGTTGCCTGGCATGTAGCAAGTGTCAGCATCACATGACTGCTTCTCATCGCAGAGTGCGATGAGCTTTAAAAGGAAGAAGATCAGGATGCAGGGGAAGTGTATGAGAGAAAGATGTAAGTGAAATTCATCTAGCGAAGTTCCACTAAGGAGGGGAATGAGTCACAAAGTAAATTAGGGGGAGAAAAGGGGAGGTGGATTTACATGTGCTCTTATGACATAATCTCCAAGATACATTGTTAAGGATAAAAAGCAATGGGGCAGGCCAGTATGCATAGCATGCCCCCATTTAGGTAAAAATAAATTTATCAACCTATTGTCTATGTATGCATATATGTATGCATGTATGTGTGTATCATCTCTCTCCACCTATCATCTATGTATCTATTATCTATGTATCTATCTAGCACCTATCTATCCATCCATCTATTTAATCATGTACTATTTTAGGCAAGGTTCACTAAGGGATTGCTAATAGTATTGTTTGGGGGCGGGGGGTGATCTGGGGAATTGTAACAGAAAGAAGAAAAAATAAATAAACTGGAAAAATGATCAAGTAAGAAGATAGACACCTTTATGATCTTCAGGCTAAAAGGCAAATAGGAAAACCAGGCCTAGCTTTAGGTTTCTGGTTAGAGAGTCCATGCTGCTGGTTCCTGGTGGGAATGGGCCTACTAGTCTCACTAATTTATTTTATTTTGGTAAATATAGTTATTTTTATAAAAATGCTATATATACTAATATGAATGGGCCTATTATTTTCAAATAAATACTTAAAATATTTCTTCCTATTTATTTCTAACATGGGAAAGATGATGGATATAACCTATATAAGTAAAAGTTATGTGGGGACATTGGTTATTTTTTATTCTTTGAGACAGAGTCTCACTGTGTCACCCAGGCTGGAGTGCAGTGGTGTCATCTTGGCTCACTGCAACACTGGCCTCTCAGGTTCAGGAGATTCTCCTGCCTCAGCCTCCCCAGTAGCTGGGATTACAGGCACCCGCCACCACACCTGGCTAATTTTTGTGTTTTTAGTAGAGACGGGGTTTCGCCATGTTGCCCAGGCTGGTCTTGAACTCCTAACCTCAAATGATCTGCCTACCTAGCTTCCCAAAATGCTGGGATTACAGGCATGAGCCACTGCACCCGGTCAGGGGCTTCTGATTCCTAACTGGCTTCACATCAGACAGAGGCCAGCATGGTACTTATCAACTGTAACACTTTATGGATCCTCAAATACCATGTGATTTACTTACAGATTTAGTAAGTCCTCTGCTCTCAATACTGTGTTTCCCAGGGATTGCAGCAATTCCTACCCATATTCTCATTGTTAATAGGGCAGGCTGGAGGGCTCCAGGGAAGCTTAGCAGTTCAATGGCTCCTTACAAATACCACTCCTACTACTGTTACTACTGCTACATAATATTTATTGAGCACTTATGTTTTCCAAATACTGTACATGGGCCCACCCTACATTCAGCCACCAGAAGTTATTAGCAGGTGGAGAAGAGCACCCGCCCTCAGAGCTGATTAGAGGTGTACTGGTTGGGTGGTGTGGGGTTGGGGATGGATGGACTGGAAAAATGCTTGCCTGTGATCTGGAGAGCTGAGCAGGTGTGCTCACCTTTTCCTGCTTGGCCTTTCTTGATTTGAGAAAATCCAAACAAAACAAAACTGAGCCCAGCCCAAAGCAACAAGAATTTTCAGTGTGGAGATATCTGGTTTGAAAAGCCTTCTAGCTTAAAGATTGCTGTGGTGTGAATGTCTGTGTCTCTCTCAAATTCATATGTTGAAATCTTAACCCCCAATGTAATGGTATAAGGTGCTGAGGCCCGTTGGGAGATAATTAGGTCCTGAGGCCATTGGGAGATAATTAGGTCCTGAGGGTAGAGCCCACATGAATGGGATTAGTCCCCTTATAAAAGAGACCCCAGAGTGCTAGCTCACTCCTTCTACCATGTGAAGGCACAGAGAGAACCAGGAAATGGGCCTCATAGACACCAGAAATGCTGGCACCTTGATCTTGGACTTCCAGCCTCCAAAACTATGAGAAATTTCTGTTGTGTAGAAGCTACCCAGTCTATGGTATTTTGCTGTAGCAGCCTGAACAGACTGAAACAAAGGCCGACGTGAAACATCCCTCTTTCTCTTCTGCTTGGAGAATGGTAGAGGACCACTTAATACATTTAAAAAAATCTCTCTTAGTTTCATTTCAGTAAAGGAGAGGGGAGGGAAGGAGAGTGTCGACCTTGTAACGGCAGAGCTTCTTCTCTAGGACGTGCCCTACTGAAAAATCACAGCTATTTTGTTTTTTCAGTTTCACTGGGACATGGGACGGACATTGTTTACTTGTTATTTGAAAGCTACAAAAAGGTCTGCGTGACCCCAAGTTTTTCCCTATAGGCCTTCTGTGGTGCCTGCCACGCCCACCATTAGCAGGACTCCTCAGGGACCTCTGGGAGCTGTGTTCACTTTAACTGACTGGACACATTTTCACGCTCATTTGCACAGCTTAGACTCAGGCATTGGTCTCTGTTCAGCACACCAGCCCTCACCCAGTGGCTGGCACCCAGTGCTCTCCAGCTGCTCTGAGTCCCACACCAAGTCCCTCACCACCTGACACATAAATGTTCCTGACCTTAATTCTCACATTAAGACTTATCTGTCCCGTGTCCCAGTTCCCCTGACTGCTTTCCTGGCCTCTAGGTTATTTGTAGGTAACGACTGGGTATTCATTAGATCTGGGGTTTTAAACTGTATTCTAAAGAACCCAAGAGAGCCCACAAAAATGCCTTTGGGGATACAGTAGAGTTGGAAGAGGAACCAGGATGGGTGGGCCCAGGCCTGCAATTGATTATAACAGCATAGCTCCACTTGTGTGTTTTATATACTGCTACCTCCTTATAAGTGTCTCTTTGAAGGGTCTTCTTGCTTTAAAAAATACTTGGGGGGCACTTCATGAGACTAGCTTGTGCAAATAGGCATCAGAATGCCTTTCTTTGAGTTGTCCCTTTCACTGGGAACTTGACAGGGGAAACGATCAAATATGGTTTCATATAAGAGAAGGGGCTAGTGGCTGAGATATATCCTTCCATTTTTTTAATGGTATTTATTGTGAAATAAACTAACAAATGAAAAGGTGCACAAACCAAAATCTCATTATTCAAAAATGGACCACAAAATAAATGCTCACATAACTGCCACCCAGGTCAAGAAATAGAACATGACCTGTACTTCAAAGTTTCATTTACTGCCTCATGCTTCTACCTATCACTGTCCTCTCCAGCTCCCTGGAAAATTAACCCCTCTCCTGAGCTTTGTGGCAATCACTTCCTGGCTTGTCACCTTAGCAGTCAGCCCTAAACATTACACTTTTGTCTTGCCTAGTTTTGAACTTGATATTAATGGAGTAATAAATTCTGGCTTTTTTGTTGTTAAACATTATCATCTTCCTTTCTTCCTCACTACTCTCCTCTTCCAAGAAATGCATTCTACAAATATGAGGAAGGATTGCAGTAATATTAATATTTCCACATAAGAAGACTGAATAATCAGAAAAAGTAGTCAAATAACAATGATTCTTAACAAATGTCTACAGCTTGGAGGTAATTATAGCGGGCAGGTATTAAAGCAAATACGGTGTCATAATTAACATTTATGAAATAATGTTCACAGGAAGAACTTTCTATTTTAACTTCACAGATTCTTACAATTCTTGAGAAGCAGGTGTATGGCAAACAGAAATGTTTGCAGCTTTTTCATCTTTCTGTTCTCTTCTAAAATATCCTTGGTAAGGACACAAAGGGACATGCATTATTCTAGGGTTGTCCAGAAAGGCAGGGGCAACTGGAAATGTGAGCGTCCCTCTCTGACTTGGGTCTGGCCTTCTGCCCCTATGGCCCCTGCCTCTTTCTGATGGTAAATGTGGAGAGATGGTGATGGTTGGTTTGTCACAAATAGTTTTCAGTTTACCAAAGTGCACCCAGCTTTCTCTGAATCTCTTTGAAATGCTTTTAGGGCAACATGAAGAATGGAATTCAACAATTCTCCACAGCTGCAGTCAGAATACAGTGACCCCAAGAGCAGCTGGGGGCAGTTATTTTCATGTTTTGTAGTTGCTGTTTCCTTAAAAGCTTTTTCAGAATGTTCTGGAAGGTCCTGTGGCATCCATATTACGAAAGACTGCGTGTGGGGCAGACTCTTGGATTCCAGGTCCTCATCCAAAATTTGGCAAATATTTGTCTCCACTTCTCACCAGCAACATGTTATCTCAGAAGTACTTCCCTGTGCCCTCCTGCCTCAACCCAACAGGCGCACATGCAGGAGTGACTCTCCTCTGGAAGCTCTATTTAGTGAAGGAAACCCTCAAATAGAAGCCGGGATCCCTGGGATCTGGCATCAGCTGAAGCTTAAATCACCTCTTTGACCTTTTGTCAGTATCTCTCTCTTCTGGCCTTAGTTTCCCACATCTGTAAAATGAGGAGGTTGGACAGAAGATCTTAGAAGACTCTTTCGGTAGGGAATTGGCAATGATGTTTTAAGGTAAGAAACTGATTGCAGGGGGTGGGCACGGTGGCTCATCCCTCTAATCCCAGCACTTTGGGAGGCCGAGGTGGGCGGATCAAGTCAGGAGTTTGAGACCAGCCTGACCAACATGGTGAAACCCCGTCTCTACTAAAAATCTAAAAGTTAGCTGGGCATGATGGCATGTGCCTGTAATTCCAGCTACTCAGGAGGCTGAGGCAGGAGAATCGCTTGAACCCGGGAGGCAGAGGTTGCAGTGAGCTGAGATTGCACCACTGCACTCCAGCCTGGGTGACAGAGCGGAAAAAAAAAAAAAAAAAAAAGAAAGAAAAGAAACTGATTATCATAGCAGAAATCCAAACTATTTCCTTGGGCAGGACTGTTTTTACATAGAGACAGATTAGTAAGCAGAATAAGTAGCCTCTCTTGAGGCTTTAATGGATGACAAAGGACTGTATTATTATAATTATTATTTTTAGATAAGGTCTCCCTCTCTCACCCAGTCTGGTGTGCTGGCGTGCCATCTTGGCTCACCGCAATCTCCGCCTCCCAGGCTCAAGTGATCCTCCGACCTCAGCCTCCTGAGTAGCTGGGACCACAGGCTTGAGCCATCATGCCTGGCTAATTTTTTGTAGTTTGCGTAGAGATGGGATTTAGCCATGTTGCCCAGGCTGGCAAAGGACTGTATTTTAAAACAAAACAAAACATAACACCCCCACAAACTTTTCCAAAACAAATAAACAATTCTCACTTTTTTACCCTATTAACAGTGCCTGAAATATCACCAATAGATCCTTCCCTTTTTGCAGATTTTGTGATTTTCTAGAGTTTAATTATAAAAAAGGCATAAATGGCTCTAAAAGGAGGAGTAGACAATACCGTTATCAATGGGATTAGTGGACTTGGGCTTGACAAGAGGCAGGGATTTTAGCACTGTTCCTGGCTCCATGCTTGTGAAGCAGCCCAGGCAGTTTCCAGCTTGAAGGGACGTATTCTAAACCAGCACTTTGCAAACTTTGATGAATCTACAAATGACCTAGGGGAACTTCTAAAATGTTGTTTCTGAATCAGTAGGTTCTGCACGGGACCTGAGAATCTGCATTTCTAATAAGCTTTCAGGTGATGTGGTTGCTGCTGGTCCACAAACAAATCTGGAGTAGCAAAAGTTTATAGCGCATGACTCTGTCTTTTGAACATAGCTAACTGGACTGCAGGGGCTGATCCCATGGCTCCAATCCAGCCAGTGTGTAAGCTGACCTCTGATCACAAAGGGATATTGGGTCGATCAGGAATTTAAACAGGAGAGGTGGGCAGTGGTTTAGGAGCAGAAGCGGAAAAATCTAAAGAAACACAGAGACACATACACAGAGAAGCTGACTCATTTTAATGATGGAACATTAGAGAAGGACCCTGTGAAGACTGTCTTCTGTGGGCGTGAGTTATGTCTATATCTTGAACACAGAGTGACCTCTGGCTCCTGTCTCCCCCATGCATGCCGGACACTACTTCCTCTTTATCCATCAGGCCTGCATGCTGAGATTATTTTCAAAGTTCCTGGGGGGCCAACGAGGTAACTGAGGCTTTAGTTGAATCCTGAAAACTCTACGTTGTGAAGGAAAAGGTGGAGTTTGGGTGGGGATGTACACGTGGATTGGGTCTCAAAGTAAAGCAGCTTTGGATTGCTTGAAATCCTTGGATGCTTGATGGCAGAGGTTTGTGTGTGGGCTGAGAGTGGGTGCAGAAATAATGGAAGATGAAGAAGAGTCATATGTCACAATTTTTTCCAGGGCTGCTCAAGAATTTTGCCAGTGGTGCCAATCTATTTGTAGGGATTTGGTTGATCAGCTCACCTATCTTTCTAGAATGTTTTCCTTTCCACTCCCATTCTCATGGTTGCCAAGAGAGCACACAGCATAATTCTAACTCCTTGCCATAGTTAATTGGCCCAGCAGTGGGGAGCTGACCCAAATTGGGCCAATGTGCTCTTTTCCCAGGAATTTGGAATGGGTCCTAAGAGTCAATTTTGACTCTTTCTTGGTACCAGGATTTGGATCATGCAGAACTCAGGAACCATTGAAAAAATGTTTTCTGCTATAAAAAAAGTTTTCTGGCAAATAGGAAGAATGACTCTACAATATGGCAGAGGAAAATGGAGCAGATACACTGGAAAAAATCAAACAGATGCACAGAAAGAAGAAAAATCTGGTTCCCTACATGATTCTAGTTCTTGTTCTAAATGGTTTCTGAGACTAAATTGCATCTATCCTCGTATTCCCTGAGATATTCCAATATCCTTTCAACACTTGTTGTTTGTGGCTTAAGCCATTACAAGTAGGGATCTGTCATTTGCAACTGAGAAAGCCCTAATGAAAACATGCTTTAGAGAAGGTCTCCTGTTGCTGAGGCAGGCCTTTCTGGTTCAACTGCAATGATAGATGGAAGGTAGTGGTGGGCTCAGATCAAAATATGCCATGGAGAATGCCGCTCCTTCTTGTTTATCAATAGTCTCATGACTACTAGCTTGAAGGGTGTTCACAAGATACTCCATCCATCCATCCAATCATCATCTAATCATCTATCCATCTATCCTCTATCCATCTCAGAAAGATTTCCTGATCTCCTCTGTTGGCTAGACTCTATGCTAATGGCTACTCTGTGACCTCTGGTTACTGGTTTTCATGTTGTGCCCGTATTTAGTATATGATGTTATATTAAGTCCTAAAATTATGGTAACACAGAACAGGCCCAGTTCCCTACATTTTGATTCCTACCCCTCATAATATTTCTTTCTATTTTGTACAAATGTGAAATATGTAATTAATACTACCTCTTCTTGGGAAATGTCTTACATCCAATATCCCAAATGCATTAAATACATCATTTAGGTGGTTTTGTGTGTGTGTGTGTGTGTGTGTGTGTGTGTGTGTGTGTGTGTTTTGAGACAGTCTTACTCTGTCACCTAGGCTGGAGTGCAGTGGCGCAGTCTCAGCTCACTGCGACCTCTGCCTCCTGGGTTCAAGTGATTTTCATGCCTCAGACTCCTGAGTAGCTGGGACTACAGGCGCGTGCCACCACACCTGGCTAATCTTTTGTATTTTTAGTAGAGATGGGGTTTCACCATGTTGGCCAGGCTGGTCTCGAACTCCTGACCTCAAGTGATCCACCCGTCTTGGCCTTCCAAAGTGCTCATTTAGGTGTTTTTATATGAAACAGAGAAGAGGCCAGGGGCCAGGTACGGTGGCTTACCCCTATAATCCCAGCATTTTGGGAGACAGGTGGGAAGATGGCTTGAGCCAAGAAGTTTGACACCAGCCTTGGCAGCATGGTAAGACCCCGTCTCTACAAAAAAGTTAAAAAATTAACTGGACGTGATGGTGTGCATCTATACTCCCAGATGTTTGAGAGGCTGAGGTGGGAGGATCACTTGAGTCTAGAAGTTTGAGACCAGCCCAGGCAACAATGAGACCCCACCTCTACCAAAAAAAAACCCAACAGACAAAACGAAACCAAAATTAGCCTGGCATGGTGGCACACTCCTGTAATTCTAGCTACTTGGGAGGCTAAGAGTGAGAGGAGTGCTTGAGCCCAGCAGTTTGAGGCTGCAGTGAGCTATGATCACCCATTATACTCCAGCCCGGGCCACAGGGAGAGACCCTGTCTCTGAAAAATAAAATAATAAAATAAAATAAAATAAAAAATGGGTGTCTCAGAGTCCCTGTCCAGAGACAAGGACACCATTCCTGATGGGTGTTATGTTTGGGATCTACTGGCTCTTTGTCCAAGTTTCTTCATTTTCTTTTTGAAGGCTTAGGTGCTGGTTGAGAGGGTGATGTAGGTTAGCTTGGTTTTCAGCTGTCCTAACCCCTCTTTGGACCATAGATCTTTTCCAAGTATCCTGGGCCCCCCAGAATCATTCACTTTCATTTCATTTCTGCTGAAGACTCCTAAGAAGGGAAATTTTCATCTCTGAATTCAAGCCTAAGCCGGAGCTTCTCCCACGAATAAACTTTCTCAGGATTTCATGCCAAGAGACCTGGACTAGCAAGAATAAAGCAAAAGAGAAGGAGGGCTGGACGTATCGTGCCTTGTGTTAGCTGGTTGTAAATGATCTCAGAATCTTGAGACACCTACTGCATTGAGAAGCTTCAGAGCTTCTCTCAACTCTGAGATTCACAGAGAGTCAGTTCACTTGAAATGTAAACATCTTAGCTTTTGGAAGAGAAAAAGAAACTGTCATTGTGTGTTGGAATATGATCTAGGTAGAGCAGTGGTTCTCAACTTTGAATCACCGGGGGAGCTTTTAAAAAGCATGAATGGCTGGGCAAGGTGGCTCATGCCTGTAATTCCAGCACTTTGGGAAGCCGAGGCAGGTGGCTCACTTGAAGTCAGGAGTTCGAGACCAGCCTGACCAACATGGCGAAACCCAGTCTCTATTAAAATACAAAATTAACAGGGTCTGGTGGTGCATGCTTGCAATCCCAGCTACTTGGGAGGCTGAGGCAGGAGAATTGCTTGAACACGGGGGGGTGGAGGTTGGAGTGAGCCAAGATCGCACCATTGCACTCCAGCCAAGGCAACAAGAGTGAAACTCTGTCTCAAAGAAAAAAAAAAAGAAGGAAAAAAAAAAAGCATGAATGCTGGGCCTCAACAGAGTAAATGAATCAGAATCTCTGGGTAGAGTCTGGGCATGGAGCTTCTGAAAACTCCCCAAGGTGTTTTCATGTCAAAGTCAAGGGTCTTGGTCTAAAAGAGAAGTGAGAGATGGCAATTTAAGATGAGCAGATGGGAAGGGCCTGTGATTATGGCTGCTTTCCCTAGAGGTTTACAACTTTGAGGACTCTCTTGGGCAGACAGAGAAGCCAGGAGGGTCTGGTGCACGCTATTACCGAGGGTGCCATCTTGCTTTAAGCCCACAAGCTGAATAATTATTGTAATAAAAAATAGACAAGGAAAAGATACCCACCAAAGGCTTGGGTCAGCCACAGCCTTACAACATTCTGGTATAGAATGCTCTGGTACCCAAGAAATACCATTGCCCTGTTGATACCTCTCGAGAGAGGTGGAAATGATCAGGGAGAGTGGAAGAGGTCATGACTAAGACTGAGGAGCATACAGGGGCCAAACCTTAGCAGCTTTAGGATTTCGTACGATGTGTGATGAATCTTGAAGGAGGAGCACAGCACAGCTGTGCAGGAAGGTGATCTCTTGCAGTCAGCATTGGCCCAGGGATTGAGTGGGTGACTGTGTTCAATTCTTCACTGGAGGAATTCCATCATAAATATGAAAAAGGGATATGTGATGCTTCAGGGCTTATAGAGACAAAACACCTCATGTATGTTGGTAAGTTGACAGTCTGTCACCAGTTTCTATGCTCTTGATGACATTTGATCCTCACAGCTCCTGGGAAGGAAGGCACAGAACAGTGCAGGCACAGGCAGAAGACCTCAGCTTATGGTCTGCTAGTGGCCTCCTCCTCTGTGTGACCTTGGGCAGGAAGGGCAGGTATTGTGGCTTCTCCGTGGGGCATAAGAGCAGAATTTTCTTGGGTCAGATTAAGATCTTCACCGACTTTAAGCACAAAAAGGTTTCAGCATCTCCCTTCTCATATATAATTCAGAATAAAATAATACTAAGCTATAGAGTAAATATAAATAAATGTAATAGAATTCTTATCTGATTACTTTGTTGTTTTTCCCTTGGTTTCTTTTTTTTGAAAAAAAAAAAAGAAACCATTCTTCAAAAATTGTTTTCTCACATTCTTCCTTGACATTGCTGTTGCCTTAAGCATGGGCCTAGAGGCCAATTGGCCCCATTTGGCCATCTAGCATGAACACATAGCCATGAGCCATCAATGAGTCCAGCTGGAGGTTGTCTTTCCCAGTGACAATCCCCAGCCCTGGACTGAATGGGGAGTGGGCTTGATTGACCCTCAAGCCCATTTCCTGCCATTTTTAAAATAATGGGCCAAGAAGAGCAAACCAACAGTCCTTGTTTCCCCATTAACTTGGGGGCAGTGTAATCTCCTGGAAAGAGCAGTGGTTTGGAGAGAACAAACTGGTTTTCAATCCCACCTCTGTCCTTTTCTATCTGGGGCTCTCTTTGCCTCTCTTCATTGATTAAATGGTGTTGCTAGAGATCTCATGAGACTCTGTGAGGATTAGATGGTAAAGCACATGAGGGAAGGCTGCTTGGTCATCTGGTTTACTACAGGGTGAGTATCCATTGTCTGTAATACTTGGGACCAGAAGTGTTTTGGATTTTGGAATATTTGCATCATGTACTTACTGGTTGGGCACCCCTGCTAAAATCTGTAATGCTCCAAAATCTGAAACTTTTTGAGCACTGCCATGATGCTCAAAGGAAATGCTCACTGGAGCATTTTGTCTTTTGTATCTTTGGATAAGGAATACTCAACCTGTATTACATTCTTGTGCCTACAGAGTGCCTAGCACACAGTGAGGACTCAATAAATATTTACTGAGCATGCACTCTCTTTATCCGCACTCTAGTTCTTCTCACTGAGAAGGTGGATAATAGTGTGGAAAGTTCTTAATCACTCTGTAGTAAGATAGTAGTGTGGGTAGAGGCCTTCCTCTCTTGGATGGGTGAAATGTCCAAGGAAAGTGGTCTGAGGGATGGTCCCTTTGCAAATATTGTTTGGAGGTCAGGAATTTGAACTTATGGCCCTGAATCTGAACTTGTGCTGCAAAGCGTTTTATGCCTGTGGTAGTAGATATTCAAATAATTATTTGTAGCAGACTCATAGACAGTAATGTTGAGTAGGTATTTCACAGCAAGGAACTGGGATGAGAGCCAGGTCTCATGGTCTCAGGTGGTAAGATCTCAGGTTACATGGTCTCAGGTGGTAAGAGATATATACTGTTGACATTTGTTTTATTTTTATCTGGGTGTGGAGTGGTAGCAATGCTCACTCAACAAGTTACCATTTGTAAGAGAGTAAGAACGGATTATTTGGTCCTGTCTTCTCTGTGCTACCTTTTCACCCTCACTCAGGATGGGGAGGGCACAGAGCAGGGGTGGAAAGTGGGTGATTGGGGTGGAAGGGTCTGGAGTGCATCTCTCTTAGAACTCAACTTGTGGGCTGCCACATTTGGTTTTGCAGGGTGGAGTCTGTGGGATAATAGGTTCTCACATGGGGAGTAAAGGGAAAGAATTCTGACACTTTAAGGAGAATGGGGGCACCGGCCCTGCACCCAAGCCATTCAGAACAGTCTTCAGGGTCTTTAACAAGAGCGACTGATATGGTTTGGTTGTGTTGCCACCCAAATCTCATCTTGAATTGTAACTCCTACAATTCCCATGTGTCATGGGAGGAACCTGGTGTGAGGTAATTGAATCATAGGGGTGGGTCTTTCCTGTGCTGTTCTCATGATAGTGGATAAGTCTCATGAGATCTGATGTTTTTAAAAACAGGAGTTTCCATGCAGAAGCTCTCTTTCTCTCTTTGCCTGCTGCCCTCCATCTAAGACGTGACTTGCTCTTCCTTGCCTTCCGCCATGATTGTGAGGCCTCCCCAGGCAAGTGAACTGTAAGTCCATTAAATAAATCTCTTTCTTTTGTAAATTGCCCAGTCTCAGGTATGTCTTTATCAGCAGTGTGAAAACGGACTAATACAGTTACGTTCTAGCTCTCCTTTTTTGACATCCCTGGGGTCTTGGAGAAGTGTTATATTTCAGGGGTGTTGTAGAGCTCTAGGCTTTCAGGGCACGTCTTTTTTAATTTTAATTTTTTTTACATTTAAATTTATTTGTTATTTTTAAAATTTCAATAGCTTTTAGGGTAAGAGTGGTTTTTAGTTACATGGATGAATTATATAGTGTTAAATTCTGAGATTTTAGTGTAGTCAGGCCACATCATTTGGTCAAGTGTTTAAACCAGTGACTCTTGATAGAGAAAGAAAAGGAAGATCTGGTGTTGGTGTTTAAGAATTTGATAGTTTGTAGCTACGATGAGTGGGCTGTGCTCTCTGTTCCTGTCAGGCTCCATCATCACTCAGGGCACTGCGTCTCAGCTTCCTAGGAAGAGCTGATAGTTTCTCGCCTGGCCCTTGTTGTTTGGTTTGGAAGGGCTTTTAGTTTGTCTGTTACTTTGTCTGTGCCCTGTAAGTGAGTGACTGGCCACCCAAAATGAGAGATACTAAAGGGATAGGAACCAGAGAATGCAGATTCAAGACCAACCTCTTCATATTAAGGAAGAGTGGGCTTTGGGGAAAGAGGAGATCCAAAAAAATCAAACAAGAGATGGGATGTGTGTGGCCATAATATTGTAGAGATATCAGTTGTCACTCAAGCCATGTGGAGAGTTGAGAGTCTTGTGGTAAACACACGAAAGTTAAGCTGTTCTTCACAAAAACTTGGGTGCTTGTAGAGAAGAACACATTATCTAGAGTATCGTTTGTCTCGATTTTGCTACTCCCAGAGGGGCCAACTTTTGTGCTCGAATAAAGTCACTGCTGTGTGTTTGGAAGATGTCTTTACTTGCCAGAATGAATAGAACGTCCTGAAATTGCCTGGCTTCAGCATTTCAAAGTGAACTGGAACCTCAGGGTCCTTCATAACAAAACTGACCTTGGTCTTCTGGTCTTCATGAAATATTAATGCTTCAGTGAATATTTCTCAGTTTCTTCCACCCCAGATAGTTCTTACTCAGCCATGTGCTGACAATTTTATTTGTAGTTGGCTCTTAAATGGAACTGGAAGTACAGCCTTGTCTATCAATTATTGATAAATTAACCAATAACATTTCCTTTGTTTCCTTGCCCTCAAAATCTCAGAATCAGAACTTTTGAAATGGCTCCATGTTGTTTCTAAAGTCTCTGGGATGATCCACATTCTTTGTTGTTTTCATTTGCCAGCGTGCACAGGAGCAAACCCCCCACTTCTCCTACTTTGGAAAACGTTTCGACATAAATGTCTGGTTCTTCTGAACACTCTCATTCCAAGCATAGAATAATTATTAGCTTGGAGAGGCTTTGTTCTTTTTTTTTTTTATTTAAGATGTTGGGATCCCTGCCTACGTAAATGAAGTCAGGAAAGACACTGAGATGTTAAGATGTTTGTTTTCTTCTTTCCTGGGTGGGTTCTCCTAAAAGATGTCAGCGTTCAATTGTTGGCTAGCAACCTGTGGCATTTAATTATTCTTGACGTTTAATCCATCATGGTGTGAAAAAAAAAGAAAATGTAGCCTGTCTACTCCTCCTCCTCTTCCAAGAGAAACAATAGAATAATTAAGATGGTAACTAAAGTTCTAAGAATAATGAGAAACCACATAAAGACTAGCATGATATTACTCTTAGAACATTAACAGGAAACAAGTTCTGAGGCTATCTCCTCCTACTACATTTTTTTTCTCTTCCTGTCCAGATAATCATGAGTCATCATCCTGTATAAATGAATAATAGTTTAATTTAAATAAGCCAATGTTGTTTGGAGGTCGTTTATCACTTCACAGCTCTCATTCACAGTCAAGTCATGTGGAACTACACAACTTCCTTTTTGTGCATTGGAGCTGGAAATCTCGTTGAGTTTGGGAGGCCTTACTTCTGCATATTTGAATCTGGTGACCAAATTAAACATTGTTCTAAGTAAGTGGGTGGGTGGGGATGGTGATGGGCTGGGGCTGAGGTGGGGAGACAGAGAGCCTTGAGAGGTTTTAGGCTTTTGCACCTGTGATTTCAGGGCATGGAAGCTGGATTTGGGTTTGAATAGTAGTATGTTGATAGTGGTGTGTGTGATAGAGAACTGATCCTAAAACTTAATATTTCAATAAGAACAACCATAAAGGACAGAAAATGGGACCCTTTTTAAGGGCTAACTATAGAAATTGGATTCATACTGTTAGGACTAATGATTGAAAGCAAAGGAAAACTCAAGCAACGTTCCTCAGCCGGCACATTCAAATGATAAATTGCATTTAAGCACTGAAAGAAACAACAGCTGCAGTTAATGAAAAGCCAAATTTATCTAAATTTCTCCAGTTGATCAGTCAAAATAATCAGTATGGCTCTCACTCCATAATCACTTTTTGGCGGGGAAGGGGGACGAGGGGGGAGGTCGGAGAGGGGGAGGACAAAGAGAGAAGACAGGTTTTTATTTTTAAAGGTATAGTTTTCAAAAAGGAACTGTAAAGCTACTGAATTGTAGAAAATACATTTTCTTGTTATCAATATCATCAATACTCTAGATTTGTTGTTTTATTTTTAACTCTCCTAAGGATAATGCAGTTGGCTCTTGTATGGAATGAAGCCTATAGACATGGGCCGGAGGCGGGAAATCCGGGGGCGGGTTGTGATAATGATACAAATCTGAAATGCGTTCCAAAACATCCTATGTCCATTGAGCTGTTTCATTATTACAACACCTGTGAAATAGACAACAGGTATCATTTGTGGCTATTTTACACAGACAGGCACCAAAGGTTTGGGGGGCCAAGTGACCTACCCAAAGTCAGCTAATAAGCTCCTCTACAAGCTGGGGATATAAGAAGATGTCCACACTCCTCACCAAATGCTTTACTAGAAAACAGAAATAAATTCTCCACGCCTCATATCCTTACATGGTGAAAGCAGGAAAATCCTGTTGCAGAAACCACTTGGAGGAGCTGCCATCAAAGGCTGCTTGGGGCCAGCTTCCCTCCAGCACAGAGCTCTGCGCAGAGCCTGCATGTGGTGTGGAATTCTATTAGAACTTACTCACCATATGTTTGTTTGCTGGTGTTCAGTGGAACCTGAGGGAGGGCATAATGGATCTCCGTTACTAAACTGTGTGGAAGGCTTCCAGAGATTTAATAGTCTACCTCGAGGTGATGAATAGAGGGGCTCTTGTATGCCTTGCATAATCAGGGAGCCTTGGTGCTCTGAATGCGCCACGCTCTCCTCCAACACCCTTCTGGAAAAGTCTGTACAGCTGGCACTCCTGGAGGCATTTCAAAAGTGGAGATGGGTGGGGAGGGTGCCTTCCTCTCATCTTCCCTGAGAAAAGATTTGCGGGATGAGATTGCACTGATAGCTGGAGATTTTGAGTAGAAGGAAATAGGCTAGAGGAGTGGAGAGGAGAGGGAAGGCATTCGGTGACCTGGATTTCCCTCCTTGCAGCTGTAGTGGTCTGATCATTCTACCAAGGCCATGACTGTGAAGAGCACTGTGGGTGATGGCTGGTGGCTCACCGGAGCCGGCTTGTGCACGGCGCCCGAAGCCAAAGGTGAGGGACCACTGGTATTGCTGAACCATGAGGCTGCCAAATGGCCATGAGATTTTATTCCTTCCAGTTAATTTTCTCACTGATGTGCTTTTAATTCATATGGTGTAGAAGTAGGCTGGAAGGTATTTGGCAGGGGGGCGACAGAAATAGAACCATGGTAGAACTTTGCTGGTCTCTCTGCCAGGGAACGGAACACTTGAAAAGGTAGGAGCTCGAGGAGACTGAGCCCGTGAACTCAGGAAGGACAGAAACCAAGCTGCTTCTCCAGTGGATCAAGGTCTAGATAGCTGTGAGAGTGGGAGACATGGAGAGTGCAGGTTATTAGTTCTTTTTCTCATCCCTGTGGCTCTCTACCATCCCCTCTGGTCTTCTGCCATCTTGTAGGTAACGTTTCTCATTGTTGCCTTATTTCCTTCCTTCCCTCCTTCCTTCCTCTCTTTCTCTCTTTCTTTTTTTTTCTTTTTGATGGAGTTTCGCTCTTGTTACCCACGCTGGAGTGCGATGGCGCAGTCTCAGCTCACTGCAACCTCCGCTTCCCAGGTTCAAGTGATTTTCCTGCCTCAGCTCCGAGTAGCTGGGATTACAGGCATGTGCCACCACGCCCAGCTAATTTTGTATTTTTAGTAGAGACGGGGTTTTTCCATGTTGGTCAGGCTGTTCTCGAACTCCCGACCTCAGGTCATCTGCCCGCGTTGGCCTCCCAAAGTGCTGGGATTACAGGGGTGAGCCACTGCGCCTAGCCTTCCTTTCCTTTTTTGACAGCCTAACCCACACATTAAATCCTGTCATGAAAACCAAAGCCCATCCCTCTAGTATGGATTCTGCATTGCACCAAAATATGAGGGCATTTTTGGTACCTGGAGCCATGTTTGAAGTGGATGGAATGCTGAAAGTTAGACAGACAGCCATCTTTTCATGGACTTGCCTGCAGGTTTGTGCATGAAGGAATCTTGTATAATTCTTTCAGTTTAAGCAAACTATGAGGCATTCATTTTTTCATTTATTAACCATCTACCATGTAGCAAGTACTGTGCCAGACATGCAGAGTACAACAACAAACAAGGCTTGGTGCTTGCCCTCTAGAGGCTTTCTGGGAATGCATTAAAATAAACCAGAAGTTGGTGAAGTGTTAGATGTATGGCAGAATTTCATTTTCCCATCTCTTTGTTTACACAGGGAACTCCAGGAATTGGGAGAGGATAATGGAGCTAATTGTAATGTCAAGGTAGAGAGAGAGTTTGTAATGTGACTTAAGGTTGGGAAGGGGCAAATTTTCTTTTAGGATTATAAAGTAAAATTATGTCAGACACTAGCCAAGGGTGCAGCTGGGCATGAATCTGTTGTCTAGACCTAATGGGGCAGTTATTGGCAGGAGATTGATCTCCCATGCCAGTGGGAGATGCATCTGAAATTGTTTTTAGGCACTTGAGGAGAACAGAAGAAATAAAGAGGAAGCTGAGCCAGAGTGTGGGCCGCCTCCACTCCCTCAACTCCTGGGGTCCAAAGCTCCCCTTGTCTTTCCTCTAGAAGCAAAAGAGGGAGAGAAGAGCTTAGACTACAACACATGGCAGGCTTTGAACCTTGCAAGATCAGGGATGCACCAAAGCTAAAGGAAGAGAATTAATCTCAGGAATGGAAAAGTCTGGGACTTCTGGAGCAAAGAAACTAGGAGAAACAATGTCAGAAAATTTGGGTAGTTCAGCTAGCCTTTACTTAATAATACTTGTAGTGATGGTGGTATTCTTAAGGGTGTACATGAAGATCAAAACAAGAAAGAGTTTCTAATCCAAACTAGGGTAGGAGGGTTTAGGGGAGAGTGGAAGAAGTGTACCATCATCAGTGAATCCTGAAGCCTCATAGACATTAGAACAGGACAGTCAAACAGAGGCCAGAAGATATTAGCTCTGTTATTTATTCTTCACAAATTCCTGTGCTTTCTCTGTATACACTTTGTCTTTTCTCCTTTGCAACATTATCTTCTTGAGGATTCTTTGTTCTTTTCTACCAGACTAGTGATTGTGGATATACTTGGGACTCTTTTCCTTTTCCCAATGCTAGACTCTCTAGTTAGGAGGATCAGTAGGTCTCTGGGGAGAGAGTAGGAAATTCAAAGGTCATAAAAAGATGAGGCGTGGGACAGAGAGCTGCAGGGAGAATCATTACTCTTTCTTCTCAACCATAAAGTTTTCTGCAGTGTGACACGAAGTTGGCCTTCCAGGCCTATTTCTCAGTCCTGCTGTAGTCACACTGGCTTCTGGGCCTTCCCTTGACATTCCTTGGTTTCTTTGCCATGCTATTGTTTATGAAGTTTCTGGTTTCCTTTACCAGTCCTAAAGGGGATGCTATCCATTTCCTCTCAGTCCTACCTGATGCAGCTTTGGGAAACCCACAAAAGACTCTTCTTACAAACTCCTTGAGCATTTAATGGCAGAATCTTGTTCCTTAGAGGTAGCTCATTTTTTTTTTCTCTTCTAGGTGCTTTTGGGATTTTTTTCTGTGATTTGCTGTTCCAAAAATTCATGAGAATGTGTCTGGATATGTATGTGATCCCTTTCAAAGTTAAAAACCCAAATTCTTCTCTCTAGGCCTTTTCCATTTTTTACTTGCAAAGTGAGAATAACTATTTACCTTCAGATTGTTGGGAGAGTTTAATAAGATGAAAGACATCAAAGCACAGTATCACCTGCAAGTTTACACCCTCCCCACCTCAGCAAATCCATACCTGGCCAATGAGCAAGAGTAGAAGATTTCAAAAGGTTCCCCAGTAGCCTTAGACAGGGAAAGGTGGTGCTTTCAGCTACAGAACATCTTCTCAGCATTTTTAAGCTTCTTTAATTGGTAACAGATCCAATGATCCAATCCAGCAGCTGCAGCAGTTAGAAGAAGGGTTGAAAGATTCTAGAAGATACCTACTCCTGCTGCATTAGACATTTACATTATAACCATTGGCCTCATTTTCCTGTTTATCTCCTTAAACTTTTTTTTTATATCAGCTTTTTCCCCCAGGTGTGATTTACATGTAATTATAATCACCCTTTTAAGTGTTCAGTTCAATAAGTTTTGGCAAATATTTATCATCACTATCTCATTATACTCACGATAAAGAATATTCCCATCACCCCAGAATCTACTGCATGCTTCTTTCCCTTTAATCACCTCTGCCTCCTTCCAGTCCCTGGCAATCACTGTTGGGCTTTCTATCATTTTAGTTTTGCCTTTCCCCATATTTCTTATAAATTGAATCATACAGTTAGGCAGTTTTATGTCTTGGGTTTCTTTCACTTAGCAAACTGCTTTTAAGATTCACGCATGTTGTTTTACGTAGCATGAACTGTTTCCTTTATATTGCTGAGTAGTACCCCAATGAGTACATATACCATAGTTGATAGACATTTGGGTTATTTGCAGTTGTTGACTGTTACTAATAAAGTGACTATGAACATTTGCACACAAAACATTGTGTAGAAATATGTTTCCATTTCTTGGGTAAATACTATGACTAGAATTGCTGTGTGATATGATAAGCGTATGCCAAAATGGTTTCCAAAATGGCTGTATAATTTTATATTCCCACCAGCAATGTATGAGTTTCAGTTGCTCCATATTCTCATCAATCCTAGGTATTGTCAGTCTTTTTAATTCTAGCTGTTTCAGAGAGAGTATAGTGGTATTTCATTGTGGTTTTAATTTGTATTTCTCTAATGATTAATGACGTTGGACATCTTTTTATGTGCTTGTTTGCCATTCATATTTTCTTTGTTCAAATCTTTTACTCATCTAAAAAATCAAGTTGTCTTATTATTGAATTGTGTTTTTTAACATGTTCTGGATTCAAGTCTTTCATCAGATACAAATTTTGCAGATATTTTCTCCCACCCATTTTGTGGCTTGTATTCTTATTAATGGTCATTTTTAAAGATCAAAAGTTTTTAATTTGACAAAGTCTAATTTATCATGTTTTTCTTTGTATTCTCTGTGTCCTATTTTTGAAATATTTTCCTAACCCAGGGTCACAAATATTTTTTCTTACGGGTTTTTTTTTGAAGTTTTATAGTTTTAGCTCTTATATTTAGACCTGTGATGCTTCTTGAGTTAATTTTTATGTATTGTGTGAAAGGTTAGTGTCTAGGCTTGTTATTTTTCCAAATGGATATCCAATTGTTCCAGCACTATTTGTTGGAAAAAACTATCTTTCCCCATTGAGTAACCTTGACATCTTTGAGTAGATCTATTTCTGGACTCTCTTTTGTTCCACTGATCTATATGTTTATCCTCATAAATACTATACTGACTTAATTATTATAGCTTTACAGTAAGTCTTGAATCAGGTAGTGAACACTTTCTAACTTTTTCTTTTTCAAATTTATTTTAGCAATTTCGGGTCATTTCATTTTCCTATAAAATTTAGAATCAGCTTACCAGTTTCTACAAAAAGACTGCTGTGATTTTGATTGGGATTGTATTAAACCCTTACATCAATATGGGAAGGTTGGTACATTAATAATTTTGAGTCTTTCATTCATGAACATAGCATGTCTATTTATTCAGATCTTCTTTAATTTCTTTTAGCAATACTTTATTTTGTAGTTTTTAGTATGTCGGTATTACACATATTTAGACAAATCTCTAACTCTTCATATTTTTTGACGTGATTGTAAATGGTATATTTATATTTTAAAAGTGAATGTCCAATTATTTGTTGCTAGTATATATAAATGCAATTTATTTTTGTATATTCATCTTGTATCCTGTGATCTTGCTAACCTCACTTTTTAGTTCTGGTAGCTATTTTTATATTCCTTGGGATTTTTCATATGGACAGTTGGGCCATCTGCAAATAGAGACAGTTTTACTTCATTATTTTAACTCTCTATGATTTTAATTTTTTTTCTTCCTTTATTGCACTGGTAGAACATCAGCACAATGTTAAATAGAAGTGGTGTGAGCGGAGATCCTGACCTTGTTCCTGATTTTAGGGAGAAAGCATTCAGTCTTATCTCCATATATGTTAAAACTCCACGATACCATTTTCTTACTGTTTTAGATAGTCAACTATGTTTTAAAGACATTAAAAAATCAGATGAAAGTCTTTTATACTTGCCATTTCCATTGCTCTTCATTCATTTGTGAAGATCTAAATTTCCATCTGATATTTTCCTTCTGCCCGAGGAATTTTAACATTTTTGTAATGCATGTTTGCTGACAAAGAATTATTTAAGCATTTGTTTTTCCAAAACATCTTGATCTTGTCTTCAGCTTTGAAAGATAAGTATGCTGAGTATAAAACTCTACATTGACAGTGTTTTCTTTTAGTATTTTAAACATGTCTCTCCATTGTCTTCTGTCATGCATATTTTTGGAGAAGTCTGCTGACATTCTTATTTTTGTTTATTTGTATTAAATGTGTCATTTCTTATTTGACTGTTTTTAAGATTTTCTTGTTTTTGGCATTTTTGGCACTTTTATGATAATTTGCCTTGGTGTGATTTTCTATGTCTATTTTGCCTGAAGTTTTTGTTGAGCTTCTTGGATTTGTGGATTTACAGGTTTCATCAAATTTAAAGTTTTTTGGCCATCATTTCTTCAAATGTTTTTTTTTTCTGTCTCAATCCCTAGTCCTTTTTTCCTTTCAAAACTTCAATTAAATGTATGTTAGACTGGCTGATATTCCCCAAATTCACTGAAGTTTTTTTTTGCTCTGTTCATTTTTTAAATTCTTTTTTTTCTCTCTGTGGTTTACAGAGAATATTTTTTATTGCAACGCTTTCAAATTCACTTTTTGTTTTTGCAATGTTTAATATGCTGTTAATCTTATCCAGTGTATTTATCAATACATATCCCTAGAAGTTCATATGGTTCTTTTTTATATCTTCCACTTTTTTTCTCATCACATTTATGTTTTGAAAAATATCCTTGAATATATGGAACATATTTTTAATAGTATTTTTAAGTCTTCTCTAATAATTTAATTATTTCTGTTGTTTCTGGGTCAGTTTCGACTGGTTGAATTTTCCTCTAGTTATAGGTCATATTTTTCTGCTTTTTTTGTTTTTACATGCTTATAACTTTTAATAGGATTCTAGTCATTATGAACTTTATGTTCATTCATGCTGGGTTTTGTTGTATTCTTTAAAGCACGTTGAATTTGTTCTGCATATAGTCATGTTACTTACTATCAGTCTTATCATTTCCAGGCTTGCTTTTAAATTTTATTAGGGCATGTGCAGCGCAGCCTTTATTCTACTGATCATTTAGCTTCACTATGAAAGCACCCCAATTCTGAAGACTCTCTATTCAGTTTCCTGTGTCTCATGAGATCCCTCTTTTGTGGTGGTTTGGAATTTGAACATAAACTCTTCCTAGCCATATGTGAACTATGAAAATTATTTGATCTATTGCTTTCCAAAGTTTCACCCCATATTATGTACAGATTATTTCTCAAAGACTTGAGGGCATCCCTCTGCAGTTCTCTGGAACCCTCTGTGCAGCCCTACTTACTCTTGTCTGCAAATTCTAGACACCTTGGCCTCCCTATCTTTGCTTCCTAAACTTAGTGAGAAAAAGTCAACTGGATTCCCTTCCTGTTTGAGTTCTCCCTCCTGTACTGAGGCCTGGAAACTCTCTAGGCAGTGATCTGGGTTAATTTTACTGCTCATCTCATTTGTTTCCTTTCTCTCAGAGATCATAGTCCCATGCTATCTGCTACACATGTCTGAATACTATTTCATATATTTTGTCTGATTTTCAGTTGTTTACAGAGACATTTCCCATAGCAGTTAATTCTTCATTTGGTAGAAGTGAAAGTCCTAGACTTTTAACAAAGGAAACAATTGATGCACAAATACATTCTTTATTTAAAAAAAAAAAAGGCAAATAATACTGGTTAAATGCAATTCCCTCTAGATTTCTTCACCTTTCCCCATCCAATGTCACCTCTACCCTACATCAGTCCTTTCTGTAGAAGTAACTACTATTACCAGTTTGGTGGGGTTTTTTTTCTTTTTTTCTGAACTCATTCAATACATTTACAAATTTATATGTGTTTAAATAGGAATATACTATGGTTTTATATTTTTTGAGATTTGAACATTTTTGTATAAATGAAATTTGTACAACTTGTCATTTTCACTTAGTGTACATCTGTGATATATTGCCTTATGAGTTTAAATGAATATACCTTATTATTTTAAACTGCTGCATAGTATATTAACATGAATATGGATATATAGATATACTATATAGTGTACTGTATAGTATCTAGCTTATCCATATGAATATATTTTAATTCATTTAACAACTTCCTGTCTTTAGATTTCCTACCTTTCCGACCAATAAGTAGTTATGGACTACTGAATATTTGATTAAAAAAAACAACTTGTAACCAATATTAATCATTCAGAATGGTGACTAATATGTCAATTGAAATAACATAATATTAAAGCAAATAATCCCTGCCCCCAGGTTATAAAATGGAACATTACTAGTTTTTAGAAATTTTCTTTATGTTTCTTTCTGACATAATTCCCTCTTCCCTTCAAACATAACTACATACTACTCTTCTGTGGTAATCCTTTCTCTTGTTTACTTTATACTGTTACCACTAATGCTTGTCAGTAAATTGCATTGCATTTCCTTCTCTTTTTGAACTTAATACAAATGGAATGACACTGTAAATATTCTTTTGTCACTTGCTTCTTTTCCTTATTTCTGTTTGTGAAACTCATTGACATGTATTATTGATGTGCACTTAATTTTACTGTGGTATGTTATTCTACTTTAAATATGCTACACTTTATTTTTTCCATTCTACTGTTGATGTACATTTGGGATGTGTCCAATTTTAGGCAATGTTCCTACGAACAACTGGTACAAACCTTCCGAGGCATGAGTTTCTCTGGTGTATATATCTAGAATTGCTTGGTCATAATGCA
This sequence comes from Homo sapiens, assembly GCF_000001405.40. Taxonomy (NCBI): domain Eukaryota; kingdom Metazoa; phylum Chordata; class Mammalia; order Primates; family Hominidae; genus Homo; species Homo sapiens. The sequence goes on along the minus strand of NC_000002.12, from coordinate 67,815,942 downwards.
TGTATGGGTTCAACTTTTTTAGGCATGGCCAAATTTTTTCCAAAGGAGTTTTGCAAATATATACCTCCACTAACAGTGTTTGAACTTGACATTGCATCCACATCCTCACCAGCACTTGGTATTGTAAAATATAATTTTTTCAAATCTCATGCCAGTATAGTAATTGCTAATTGTTTTTTTAATTTGCATTTCTTTGATGATTAGTAAGGTCAAGAACCTTTTCATGTTTATCGACGATTCAAATTTCCTTTTTATAATTAACTAATTAATTAATTTATTTTTATTTTTTGAGACGGAGTCTTGTTCTGTCACCCAGGCTGGAGTGCTGGAGTGCAGTGGCACTATCTTGGCTCACCGCAACCTCTGCCTCCCGGGTTCAAGCGATTATCCTGTCTCAGCCTCTCAAGTAGCTGGGACTACAGGTGCACACCGCCATCCCCGGCTAACTTTTGTATTTTTGGTAGAAACGGGATTTCACTTTGGTGGCCAGGCTTGTCTTGAACTCCTGACCTTGTGATCCGCCCACTTTGGCCTTCCAAAATTCTGGGATAACAGGTGTGAGCCACTGTGCTGGGCCTCAAATTTCCTTTTTAAAATTCAAGTCTTTTGTTCATTTTTCTTGCTTCTGTTTCTTCTTTCCTCCTCTTTTTTCCTTCTTCATCTTCTTCTTTTTTTTTTTTTTTTTTTTTAGCAATTTGCAGGAATTATACTATAATCTGGATTGCCATTCTTCTTTAATTACATGAGTTGCAAATATTGTTATCTTCCCACTATCTTTATGGTGTCTTTTGATGAGCACAACTTAATTTTCATATAGTCTAAGTTTTCCTTTTATTTATTACAAAGTTTACTTTTTCTGTCTTATTTAAAAACTCTTACATACCAAGAAGATATTACCTAAAATATTATATCTTTACTTTTCACATATAGGTGTTTAGGATTAAATAACTGGATTGATTACCTGTATGTATATGTAGGTAAAGGTAAATTTTAATCTTTCTCTAAAGTATACCTAACAGCACAATTTTCTTTTGAAATTTTGTTCTTTTTCCACTGAACTACAATGCTAACTCAATCATGTATCAGTTGTCCTGGTAAGTATTGTTGAGTTTCTGGGTTCTCTGTATTGTTTGATTTTCTCTGTTTCTGCCTTTTAGCCTCTGCCAGGCTGTTTTAATAATAGTAGCTTTATAATAATTTTTAATAATTAGTAGAACAAGGTCCCCTCCCCCAAGTTTTCTTCTTCATGCTTATCTTGTTCAAGACTAGCCAACACTTTAATAGTTTCACATGAATTTTAGAATTAGCTTTCAAGTTTCAAAACAAACATATATGTACACGCACATTTTTTTCTCACTTCTCTCTCTCTCTCTTCACCCTCCCTGCCCCATTCACACACAACAAACTGTTGAGATTTTGGTATTTATTCTATTGAATATATAGATCAATTTAGGGAGAATGGACATCTTTATTACTGGAGTCTTTTGATCCCATAAAGTCTACTTTCTATTTATTTACATTACAAATCTTTAAAAGCAGTATTATTATTTTTTCCATAGAGGTTTTTTTGTTATTTTATTAAATTTATTCCTAGATAATCCATACTTTGTAAATGATGTGTAAAAATTTCACCTTCTAGGTAATTGTTGCTGGTATATAAAAATGTAATAGCTTTTATATGTAATTTTATATCAATTATTCTTGGTAAACTAATTCCTATTATGTATCTGAACAACAGTTTTATTTTATTTTTTCCAAATCTTTATCCTTTTTATTTCTTTACAGTATTGTCTAGGATCTCCAGTATATTGTTGAATAAAATTAGTGATAGTGGATATTTTTGTCTTATTTGTAATCACAAAGGGAATACTTTTAATATTTTACTCTTAAAAATGGGACTTAATGTATACATTATATATATATATGATTACGTATTTTTAAAAAAATTTTATTTATTTTCCCCATAAGTTATTGGGGTGTAGGTGGTATTTGGTTACATGAATAAATTCTTTGTGGTGATTTGTGAGACTTTGGTGCACCCATCACCTGAGCAGTATACATTGCACCACATTTGTAGTCTTTTATCCCTCATCCCGCCTCATGCTTTCCCCCAAGTCCCCAAAGCCCATTGTATCATTCTTATGCCTTTGCGTCCTCATAGCTTAGCTCCCACATATCAGTGAGAACATACAGTGTTTGGTTTTTCATTCCTGAGTTACTTCACTTAGAATAATAGTCTGCAGTTTCATCTGGGTCACTGCAAATGCTGTTAATACAATCCTTTTTATGGCTGCATAGTATTCCATTATACATACATATATATAATATATGTATGTATAATATGTATATATGTATGTATAATATATGTATATATTATATATACACATATATATGTGTATGTATACATACACATATATGTATGTTTGTATATATACACATATATGTATGTTTGTATGTATATATACACATATATGTATGTTTGTATATATGTATATATGTATATATGCATATATACACGTGTATATGTGTATATATATGTATATGTGTATATATATGTATAGATAAAGAAACTGTGAGATAGATATAAACATACATATACATATATAACATATTATACATACATATATGTTGATTGATGAGCATTTGGGTTGGTTCCACGATTTTGCTATTGTGAATTGTGCCACTATAAACATGAGTGTCCCAGTATCTTTTTTGAGTAATGACTTCTTTTCCTCTGGGTAGATACCTGGTAGTGGGATTGCTGGATCAAATGGTAGTTCTACTTTTAGTTCTTTAAGGAATCTCCACACTGTTTTCCATAGTGGCTGTACTAGTTTACATTCCCACCAGCAGTGTAGAAGTGTTCCCTGTTCACCACATTCATGCCAACATCTACTGTTTTTTTTATTTTTTGATTATGGCCATTCTTGCAGGAATAAGGTGGTTTTGATTTGCATTTCCCAGATCATTAGCGATGTTGGGCATTTTTTCATGTTTGTTGGCTATTTGTATATCCTCTTTTGAGAATTGTCTATTCATGTCCTTCACCCACTTTTGGTTGGGACTGTTTGGTTTTTTCTTGCTGATTTGTCTTAATTTGTTGTAGATTTTGGGTATTAGTCCTTGGTCAGATGTGTAGATTGTGAAGATTTTCTCCCACTCTGTGGGTTATCTGTTTACTTTGTTGACTGTTCCTTTTGTTGTTTAAAAGCTCTTTAGTTTAATTAGGTCCCAAATATTTTTCTTGGTTTTTATTGCATATTTGCTTTTGTGTTCTTGGTCATGAAATCCTTGCCTAAACCAATGTTTAGAAAGGTTTTTCCAATGTTATCTGCTAGAATTTTTATAGTTTCAGGTCTTAGGTTTAAGTGCTTAATCCATCTGGAGTTGATTTTTGTATAAGTTAAGAGATGAGGATCCAGTTTCATTCTTCTACATGTGGCTAGCCAATTATCCCAGCACCATCTGTTGAAAAGGGTGTTCTTTCCCCACTTTATGTTTTTGTTTGCTTTATTGAAGATCAGTTGGCTTTGGTTTATTTGGTTTATTTCTGGGTTCTCTATTCTCTTTCCTTAGTCTATATGCCTATTTCTATACCAGTACCATGCTGTTTTGGTGACTATGGCCTTATAGTATGGTTTGAAATCAGGTAGTGTGATGCCACCAGATTTGTTCTTTTTGTTTAGTCTTGCTTTGGCTATGCAGGCTCTTTTTTGGTTCCATATGAATTTTAGAATTGTTTTTTCTAATTCTGTGAAGAATGATGGTGGTATTTTGATGGATATTGCCTTGAATTTGTAGGTTGCTTTTGGCAGTATGGTCATTTTCACAGTATTGATTCTACGCATCTATGAGCATGGGATGTGTTTCCATTTGTTTGTGTTGTCTATGATTTCTTTCAGCTGTGTTTTATAGTTTTCCTTGTAGAGGTCTTTTGACTCCTTGGTTAGGTATATTCCTAGGTATTTTTGTTTGTTTGTTTTTTGCAGCTATTGTAAAAGTGGTTGAGTTCTTGATTTGATTCTCTGCTTGTTTGCTGCTGGTGTATAGAAGAGCTACTGAGTTGTGTACATTAATCTTGTATTGGAAATTTGCTGAATTGCTTTATCAGTTCTAGGAGATTTCTGGAGAATTTCTTAGGGTTTTCAAGGTAAATGATCATATCATCAACAAACAGTGACAGTTTGACTTCCTCTTTGCCGATTTGGATGCCCTTTATTTCTTTTTCTTGTCTGATTGCTCTGGTTAGGGCTTCCAGTACTGTATTGTAGAGGAGTGATGAGAGTGGGCATCCTTGTCTTGTTCCCATTCTCAGAGGGAATGCTTTCAACTTTTTCTCATTCAATATTATATTGGCTGTGGGTTTGTCTTAGATGACTTTTATTACATTAATGTATGTCCCTTGTATGCTGAGTTTTGCTGAGAGTTTTAATCATAAAAGGATGCTATATTTTGTTGAATGTTTCTTCTGCATCTATTGAGATGATCATGTGATTTTTGTTTTTAATTGTGTTTATGTGGTGTATCACATTTACTGACTTGTGTATGTTAAACCATCTCTGTATCCCTGATATGAAACCCACTTGATCATGGTGGATTATCTTTTTGATATGTTGTTGAATTCAGTTAGCAAGTATTTTGTTAATAATTTTAGCCTCAATGTTCATCAAGGATATTGAACTATAGTTTTCTTTTTTGATTATGCTTTTTCCTGGTTTTGTTATTAGGGTGATGCTGGCTTCATAAAATGAATGAGGGAGGGTTCCTTCTTTCTTTATCTTATGGAATAGTGTCAAAAGGATTGGTACCAATTCTTCTTTGAATGTCTGGTAGAATTCTGCTGTGAATCTGTCTGGTCCTGGACCTTTTTTTTGTTGGTAATTTTTAAATTACCATTTCAATCTCTCTGCTTGTTATTGGTCTGCATGGGGTGTTTAATTCTTCCTGATTTAAGCCAGGAGGGTTATATTTTTCCAGGTATTTTTCCATCTCTTCTAGGTTTTCTAGTTTATGTGTGTAAAGGTGTTCATAGTAGCCATGAATGATCTTTTGTATTTCAGTGGTGTCAGTTGTAATATCTCCTGTTGCCTTTCTTGGTGAGGTTATTTGGATTTTCTCTCTTCTTTTCTTGGTTAATCTTGTTAGTGGTCTATCAATTTTATTTATCTTTTCAAAGAACCAGCTTTTTGTTTCATTTATCTTTTTGTAAATATATATTTTTTGTTTTTATTTCATTTAGTTCTGCTCTGATCTTAGTAATTTCCTTTCTTCTGCTGGGCTTGGGTTTGGTTTGTTCTTGTTTCTCCAGTTCCTTGAGGTGTGACCTTAGAATGTCAATTTGTGAGGTCTTTTTGATGTAGGTACTTAGGGCTGTGAACTTTCCTCTTAGCATCACCTTTGCTGTATCAAAGAGGTTTTGATAGGTTATATCATTATCGTCATTCAGTTCAAAGAATTTTTAAATTTCTATCTTGATTTTGTTTTTGACCCATTGCTAATTCAGGAGCAGGTTATTTAATTTCCATGTATTTGAAGAGCCTGTTTTTGTCATATTACCAGGGTTGGTTTCCTTCTCATTTGGGTAGGCTCTGTCAGAGGGAAGGTCTAGGGCTGAAGGCTGCTGTTCAGATTCTTTTGTCCCACGGGGTGTTCTCTTGTTATAGTACTCTCCCCCTTTTCCTATGGATGTGGCTTCCTGTGAGCCGAACTGCAGTGATTGTTGTCTGTCTTCTGAGTCTAGCCACCCAGCGAGTCTATCCAGCTCTGGGCTGGTACTGGGGGTTGTTTGCACAGAGTCCTGTGATGTGAACCATCTATGGGTCTCTCAGCTGTGGATACTAGTGCCTGTTCTGGTGGAGGTGGCAGGGGGCATGCAGTGGACTCCATGAGGGTTCTTAGCTTTGGTGGTTTAATGCTCTATTTTTATGCTGGTTGGCCTCCTGCCAGGAGGTGGGGCTTTCCAGAAAGCATCAGTTTTAGTAGTATAGAGAGGGACTGACGGTGGATGGGGCCCTAGAACTCCTAAGATTATATGCCCTTGGTCTTCCGCTACCAGGGTAGATAGGGAAGGACCATCAGGTCAGGGCAGGGCTAGGCATGTCTGAACTCAGATTCTCCTTTGTCCTTGGGTGGGTCTTGCTGTGGCTGCTGTGGCAGATGGGGGTGATGTTCCCAGGTCACTGGAGTTGTGTACCTAGGAGGGTTATGGCTGTCTGCTGAGTCACGCAGGTTGTCTAGGAAATGGGGAAAAGCTGGCAGTCACAGGCCTCACCCAGCTCCCATGCAAAACAAAGGGGTGGTCTCACTCCCACTGTGCTCCCCGCAAACAGCCCCGGTCTGTTTCCAGGTGGAGGGCATGAGGGGATTGAAAACCTGCCCCAGGCTTTCCACCTCCCAGCTGCCAGAGAAAAGGGCTTGGTTCTTTCCCTGCCTGTGGAGTCTGCATGCCAGATTTGCTCACTCCCCTGAGTTATGGCCAGAAGGCTTCTTGCCCCATTCAAATTGTTACAGAGTTCAGCTAGAGATTTCCTTCTCCCTGTGGAGTTGTATCCCCTGCTCCTCTGGTCGGTCACCCACTGAATGGAACCGTGTGGTGCCAGGCAGGAATAGCCAGCTAGGGGACCCAGCAAGCTCCCAGGGCCTTTCTGCTGCTTCCTCTACCCCTGTATTTCACTCGACTCTCTAAATTGGCTCAGCTCCAGGTAAGGTCGGAAACTTCTCCCACAAACAGACCTTCATCTTCTCCAGTGGGAGTGTGTGTTTGGGAATGGAGGGTCTCCCTTTCCCACCTCTGCAGCTGGGGCACTCACAGTATTTGGGACGTTTCCTGGGTCCTGCAGGAGCAGTCTGCTTCCTTCAGAGGGTCTGCGGGTCCTCTCAGGATTGCTGGTTTGTTCTTGCAGTCGATCTGGAGCTAAAATTCACACTGCGAGCTTCCGTAAGCTGTTCTGTCTGGAGCTGCAATGTAGTCCTGCCTCCCATCTGCCATGATGATCTCTCTCTCTCTGCTTATGTATTTTTGAAATTATTAATTTAAAAATTAGTTAAGAATGTTCCCATCTCCTATTTTTCCTAACAGTTTTTACTTTAAATTATTGAAGGATTAAAACTCTATCAAATGCTTTTTAATGCAGTTACTGTGATAATCACATGATTTTTCTCTTTTAATCCTTAATGTGTTGGATTATGTTAACTACTATTTTTAGTGTTAAACCAAACTTAATCATGATGTATTATTCTTTTTATACACTGTTTTATTTTGTTTTCCAAAACTATGCTTAGTAATGCATGCAGTGCTCTTTCCTTGAATGATCCTTTTATATTGTGATATCAAAGCTCTGTTAGACTCATGCTCAGGATGTAGAAAAAGTTAGGAAGCATATGAAAAAGCAAGAAAAAAAAATACACCTTCAAAGACAAAGCAATCATCAGACCAGAATAAAATATGGCACAAATGTTGTAATTACCTGACAAGGATTTAAAATAAGCATAACCAGTACTTTGAAGGATCTAATGAAAAAAGTAAACAACATGCAAGAGCAGACAGATAATCTCAGCAGGGAAATGAAAACTACAAAAATCATCACATGGAAATACTAGAAATAAAAAATTCAATAAAAGAGATGAAGAATGCCTGTGTTGGGCTCATCAATAGACTTGACATAGCTGAGGAAAAAAAAAACAGTGAATTTAAAACTAGGTCTATAGAAATTATTCAGACTAAAATACAAAGAGAGAAAAATGGAAACAAAACAAAAACATCATAACAGACTATTCAAGAGTTCTGTGACAATACCAAACATTTAAACATATGTATATCTGGAATTCTAGAATGGGGGAGAGCAGGAGGAAAAAGAAGAAGGAGGAGGAAGAGGAAAAAGAAATGGAAGAGGAGGAAGAAGGAGGAGGAGGAAGAAGAAGTGAACAAAGAAGAAGAAGCAAACGAAGAAGAAGGAGGAGAAAGAGGAGGAGGAGGAGAAGTGAAAAAAATGGGGAAGGGGAAGTATAAGAGAGGAGGAGGAAGAGGAACAAGTGGAGGAGGAGGAAGAAGGGGAAGAAGAAGAAGAAGGGGGAGGAGGAGGAGGAAAAAGCAGGAAAAAGAAGAAGGAAGAGGAGAAGAAGGAGAAGGAAGAAGAAGGAAGAGGAGGAGAAGAAGGAGAAGGAAGAAGGAGGAGGAGGAAGAAGAGGAGGAGGAGGAGGAGGGGGAGGAGGAAAAAACCCCAAATCCAAATAACTTGGAGTCTGATATTCGAGGGCAGGAAGCATCCAACATGGGAGAAAGATGTAGATCAGAAGATCAAGCCAGTCTAGGCTTTCCATGTTCTCTGCCTGCTTTTATTCTGGCCATGCTGGCAGCTGATTAGATGGTGCCCACCCAGACTGAGGGTGGGTCTGTCTTTCCTGGTCCTGACTCAAATGTTAATCTCCTTTGGCAGCACCCTCACAGACACACCCAGGAACAATGCTTTGCATCCTTCAATCCAATCAAATTGACAATATTCACCATCACATGGAAAGTCTTGATTTTTCAGAAAATTTTTGATGACTTGGTGTTCCTTTTTATTCTTCCTATGTGTAGTGTCATCTTGATTACACTTATTACATGAACAAACCTCTACAAACCCTAGTTTGTAGCTGGCTGGCACCTCTTGACTTTCAGAGCGAATGACTGTCTCATCACTGTTCTATAGGGCATAGGTTTCAAACCGAAATGTTTAAATGATGGGTCAGTGAATGTACATGATGGAAGCATGCAGTGAGTATAACACACTTGATATTCTCTTGGTCTATCTCCCCACTTTTCATAGTGACACAAATAACAGAGGAATAGTTCTCTATTACAAGAAAAACAGCAGCAGAAGCCTGATGGTAAATGGCAACTGGCACTGGGTCTCGGTGTCAGGGAATCAATATGGAATGTTGGCAACTGGCAAACTGGAAAGCACATGCCTTGTCTAAAGGGAGCAGTTGTTATTAGGCAAGCTGATTGTTGCCAGATGAACTAATAAGCCTAAGTTTAATAGACAGATCTAGTTTTCAAGAGATGTTTGGAAATCAGAGTATGTATTTGAAATCTCTCATTTTGAATATGCTGTCAACTAAACCTATTTTTTTTTTAAAGAACAGTCGAGGCAAGAGAACATAGGTGGACCAAATAAGAAGTTTGTGTTTGCTAGTTTTCCTGTAAGCAGAATTATTCTCATGCAGACCTTTTGAAATGGAATCATATAATCAACATACAACTGAAAAGATCAAGGCTTAGATAGTTTAGCAGAAAGTTGAATGACACTTTATTAATCACATGGTATTTGTTGTTTGAATTAAAAATGCTTATATGCTCTCCTCTGAGCATTTATTTCAATTAGTGACTGATTTGGTTCAGAAAGTTGAATTTCAGTTTTTTCTTCAGGAAAAAGTGAAAATTATGAGGAGTAAAAGGTTTAGGGAAGAGACTAAGTCCCATTTGGACATCATAAGGTAGAAACAACCTTATTTTCATTTAGGTAAGCAAAACTTTGGTTTTCTTTAAGCAATATAACAAGAGAAGTTCTCATTTTCCAAGTGTGAAATGTTAACCTGACAGGGCTAAGGGACAAATATCAAAGTTAACATATGGGTTACATTTGCATGTTTTCTTTCATCACTGTCCTGAGAAACTGTAACTGATTTTCAGCTATATGTTAAAGCCTGTCTGTGTATGTAAGAGCAAGACTTCAGCAAGTTTGTTAAGTGCCTCCTTCAGTTTTGCTCCAGAATAGTGGAACTGTTTACAGAAGGTATGAAACCATGAGAAGTCTCAATCCTTTTGTGTAACTGTCTTGATTAATACATTGACAGGATCTAGTATACTGAGAATAGGAAGTAACTCATTCTTAGCTCTATAATTTTTTTTTTAGATGGAGTCTTGCTCTGTTGCCCAGGCTGGAGTGCAGTGGCATGATCTTGGCTCACTGCAACCTCTGCCTCCCAGGTTTGAGCGATTCTCCTGCCTCAGCCTCCCGAGTAGCTAGGATTACAGGTGCGTGCCGCCACGGCCAGATAATTTTTAAATTTTTAGTAGAGAAGGGGTTTCACCATATTGGCCAGGCTGGTCTCAAACACCTGACCTTGTGATCCACCCACCTTGGCCTCCCAAAGTGCTGAGATTACAGGTGTGAGCCACCACACTCAGCCAAAATATTTTTTTTTAACTAAAAGCCTCTGTGTGTGTGTGTGTGTGTGTGTGTGTGTGTGTGTGTGTTTGTGCATGAGGGTAGAGATAGGAGAGAAGGAAGATCTTGATGTAGTATTTAATGTACTTTTATATTTAAAGTGGTTCTTTGTAGACAACACATAGTTGTGTCTTATTTTGTATCCATTCTGACAATCTCTGACTTTTCATTGTTATGTTTAGGTATTTATATTTAAAGTGATTATTGACACAATTGGATTAATATCTACTTTATTTATAACTTTTCTTTTCATCACTTTTTCTTTTCCCCCATTTTTCTGCTTTCTTTCATTTTAGTTGAGAATTTTATATAATTTTTTTCCTCTTTTTGCATACCAAGGATACTTTTAAAAGTGTGTTTTTACACTTGTCCTATATTTGCAATATAAACTTACTAATCTAATTCCATTTTCAAATAGCACTACCTTACTTCATGTATAGTGCAGATATGTAATCATAACAGAGTATTTCCAATTCCTGGGGTGTAGACTTTTTTATTTCATTTGTTCAACAAAATTAATGTAGGATAAATTCTATGTCAGGGACTGTGCTAGTTTTGAAGAGTATGTTGATACATTGTAACCCTGTCACATTCTGCCCTTGTGGAAACTGTTTTTCAATGGAGAGACTGACATGAATGAATCTATCACATAGGTACGGATTGATAAATGCTGATCAGCTTTATTTAGTCCTAATGCAGGGTTGTGACTGTGAGGGCAGTTTAGAATCGCTTCCTCTGGGAAACTTCTCATTTCCCTGGGCTCATGTCTCTGTAGCCATTGGTTTTCCTGAAGATGACAGAGAAAAGCTAGATGACTTCTTGATCAAGAATTCTAAGAATCCTTATTTCTGAACTGAATCAGTTTTTGAAGGGCACAGGAAGTATAATCTGTCTTTTCTTTCTTTTTTTTTTTTGAGACGGATTCTTTCTCTGTCACCCAGGCTGGAGAGCAGTGGCGCCATCTTGGCTCACTGCAAGCTCCGCCTCCCGGGTTCACGCCATTCTCCTGCCTCGGCCTCCTGAGTAGCCGGGACTACAGGCGCCCACCACCATGCCCAGCTAGTTTTTTGTATTTTAAGCAGAGACGGGGTTTCACCGTGTTAACCAGGATGGTCTTGATCTCCTGACTTTGTGATCCGCCCGCCTCAGCCTCCCAAAGTGCTGAGATTACAGCTGTGAGCCACCGCACCCGGCCTATAATCTGTCTTGTCTTTTGACAGCTTTATTCTCACTACCCGCCCCACTACCCCCATTCCCCCCATATTGGATTATTCTGGAACGGTTCTTTTTCTTGTCTTCTGTCTCTTCCAGTTTTCCTCAAATCTGTAATAACAAGTAGTGGCAGGAGGGCTGATGAGTTTCACATGGGAAATGGGTACATGGTTTGTGGTCCTTCTTTTTTCCTTTCCCTAAAATTGACTTAAAGCTTATTTCAAATGAAATAATTTGCATAATTTTTATGGAGCATTTCTGAATTGGTAGCATGATAGAATAACCAGTTTAATACAAATGATAACTGTGAAACTGATTATTGCTGTGAAAAATGTCATCTTTATTTTTCTATAACTCACTTTACCCTGACTTTGAGCTTCTATATATTATGCCTGATGAAGAAAGCTTAATCTTGTCGCCTTTTTCCTTCATCGTCGAACTTGGATTGTCTTTCTTTTATCGCCTTCTTTCCTCAGCATTTATAATAAGTTGTATGTCGGCAGCTGACACTCTTGAGGTTGTTAGAAAAAAACGTTTTTATTTATTTATTTTATTTTTTTTAAACTCATCTATTTTGTTACTATTCTGTTATCTTTGAAATGTCACGTATCTCTTCTGACCCTTGGTCATGTCATGCATCCACTCTGGCACATATCCCATCCAAGATGGTACTTTCTTGGATCTGGTCTTTGCTGTCACCACTGCACCCATCAGAGGGGTCTCCCTTTTGTATCCATCACCATGTCTGCTGTTCATTCTCCAGACTGAGAGGGAGAGGCAGAGTACCATAGGTGAAAGGAGTGCAGGGGAACCTAAACACACTGACCAGCACTTCACAGGAGCATTATCAGGGTAACTTCTGGCTCATCTCTAATGGTCTATAGAGTTTTTTGAAAAAGGCATTGGCTTTATGGGTTAGGGCTATTTATGTTCAAATGATTTTTTTTTGTTTGACCATGGTGAATTATTTATTTTCCTGAACATTAGTTTCTCCATCTATAAAATGAGTATAATAAGATCTACTTTAGTGAATAACTGTAAGTTTAAATGAGATGCTATTTGTAAATTATGTGACATACTTCCTGGTCCATAATAGACCTATGTTCAACTTCTACCCTCTAATAATGATCTGTAGAATCTTAAAAAAGCAACTTCTTTTCTCTGGTTTTGAATTTCTTCCTTGGCAAAATAAGGTCTACAGTAAAGGTAGGAAGGAAGGGTGGGAGTGATGAAAAAGAGGAAGCCATTAAACCAAGTAATATTTGAGGTTCCTTCCATTTTTAAAGTTCTATGATTCTTAGTTGAGGGGACAGAGGGAGTCTGTTTTATTAAGAGAAGTAGCCAGTCCCCTGGAACATAGAGCCAGGCTTGCCATGCACTTCTGTGTGGTTCCCTGGCTCTGGGATTTCAGCAAAGGCCTTGGCCATGTTCTAGAGCTACAGAGTTTCCCTGGCTATAGCTGGTCACTCACAGCATTGGGCACACAGAGAAATGATGACTCTGCAAATGAAAAAAAACAAAGATGCTATTTTTTTTCAAAGAAGCTCCTAGGCTGTCTTCCTTCTTACTTCCACCCTCAAACAGAACTTTGAGAGGCATCGGGCATTAAGACATTCCTGCCAGCCAGGCATAGTGGCTCACACCTGTAATCCCAGCGCATTGGGAGGCCAATGCAGGATTGCTTGAGGCCAAGAGTTTAAGACCAGTCTGGGCAACATAATGAGACTCCATCTCTACAAAAAATTGAAAAAATTAGCCAGGCATGGTGGCCCATGCCTATAGTCTCAGCTACTTGGGATGTTGAGGCAGGAGGATTGCCTGAGCCCAGGAAGTGGAGGTTGCAGGGAGCCATGATCATGCCACTGCACTCTACCCTGGGAGACAGTGAAATCCTGTCTCAAAAAAAAAAAAAAAAAAAAAAGAAAAACTGCTATTCAGCTACCACTTGCTACTAATTTTCCATGAGTCTCCTCTGTGTCACTTGTGTTCAACTTATGGCAATGTTTCCTGAGAAACACAATCCTGTGGCTGAGCTGAGCACGGGGGCTTGCCTGATAATAATTAGCCTGACTTGGGTGGAATAGAGTCAGGCAGAGCCTGAATCATGCCCCTGACATTTGCTGGCTCTGTGACTTTGGAAAAACTTCTTATCCTCCCTGATACTCAGTTTCCTCATCTACAAAATGGAGATGTTGGGTACCACGTACAATCAAGCTCAATAGTAGCACAGTGAGTTGTGGTGAGGATCAGTAAGATAATGCCTGGGGCATTGTAAACCTGAGTCCTAATTCTTGTCAGGGAGAAGGCTGCCCTGGTGGCGGTTGCAGCTCTGTCACTTGTAGACAGGCTCTGGAGCAGGGAGCGGTTTCTGAGATGTGTCCCCTTTCCTGTGGTCCTCACCGCTGTCCTGAGGCTTGCTGATCCTGGGTTGCACTGAAGGATACAGCTCTGGGTTCCCTTCTTCCTGACTCACAGGGCCTGGGCGGGCCCCCTTCATTACATGATTTCTAGTCATCATGATCATCTTACTCGCGAAAAAGAAGCATGCTTTAAAATCATCTGGGGCTCTGTTGAATAGGTAAATACTATCCTAACCAGGGGTTTTTAACCTGGCATCCAAGGGCTTTGGGCTGCAAGTCTGTGAGTCCATGAAGTGGTCAGCCAAATTTTGACGTGAAAGACCATTTTTCTGAGGAGAGGTCAATGTTTCCCACAGTTTCTGAAAGGCAGCTGTGTCCCAGAAAAGGCTGAGGGCCACTGTTTTCCCAGCACAGTAGGCTTTGTTGATGATAAAAGTGCATTTGGCATGTTAAAAATCATACCTTGTGGGACGAGCAGAACTCTAAGGGGATCCTGGTGGTGAAGCCCAGAAACCAGGAGATGATGTGAGAGGAAGGCCACTGAATAGCCCAAGTGTGAGTGACTGGCCTCTGTCATCCTCCAGAGTGACTGGAAGGCAATTCTTTCACTCAAGAACAATTGAAGTCTACATGCTCCAAATGCAAATTATTTGGTGGCGACCTCCTAGAACAGCATAGAAAAGATAATTATTTTTTGGACTTAAAACTACAGGGGAGCTTAAAAATTACCTAGTCTATGACACAAAGGAGGCCTCAAGAGTTTAAGTGACTTGCCAACAAGCCAATGGCAACCTATGGCTTGAGTCGGACTCTCCTGAACTCCCCTTTCCATCTTCCTTTCCTGAGAAAATTCTTGTAATTATTAGCTGCTGCAGACTCACAGATCATAAGTAGTTGGCTATTAGGGAAAATGCACAGAAGTCTTCAAGAAACCATAGGAAAACTGTAGAGATCATCTGGTAGCAGAAGACTGAGGCAGGAGGACTGCGTGAACCCAGAATGGGGAGGCTGCAGTGAGCCATGATTGTGCCGCTGCACTCCAGTTTGGGTGACAGCGAGACCCTGTCTAAAAAAACAAACCAACAACAACAACAAAAACACACAGAAAACTTATGGCAATTGAATTCTGGCAATTGAAGCTGTCAGAATTTAGAATATCTCATTTTCCCTATGATTAGACTTCCTAACCTGGTCTAAACAGTTAAAAATTCTATGACAAAAAATTTATTTTTTTCTGACTATAAAAGCAATCTGGGAATATATAATAACAGGAAATTTTAAAAAGATGAAAGAAATCATTTGTGACCTCATAACCTTCATAACTAAGGGATAACTCCTCATTGTAACTTGGAATGTTAACTTTTGATTTTCTCTTCATGTGTGTGTGTGTCTCTTTCTTCCTGTAGCTTTTTCTCTGATGTAGATTTCGATCATCCTGTGTGAAGTGCATTGCATCCTGCTTTTTTCGTTTATCAGTGTATCATCAAATATCTTCCATGCCATTAAAGAAACTTTAAAAAAATCACATGTAAGGGTCACTGGGAGGCCATTACATGACTTGACTTTGATTCCAGCTTAATTTAAACTTGACCCTGTGCCTGGACATGTGTATCCATGGATACTGATATTCTAAATAGTGCTGTGATGAACATCTCCACCACAAATTTTTGTTCATACCTCTTATGACTTCCTTGGGGGTAGATATCTGGAAGTTGAGCTACTTGGGCAAGAGGCATGACCTTTTCCAAATCTCTTGATACCTACTGTCAAATTCAGAGACACTTTAAATGTGAAGAAAAGGTCAATGGAAAATGCTCTTCTCAAACTTCTTTTATGAGACCGATTTACTGAACTTGCTGACCCAAACCAGATTTTTTTTTCCTAACTTTAACATATCTGAAATTTGGTAATTATTAAAAAGAATCCTATGTATATGGTAGATGCTCAATGAGGTGATTTCTTATACATTCAAAAGGTAATTACTGAGTACTCACTGTGCTGAACAATGAGGGCAGTTGAGGATAAACAGATGATGAGAAAAAGCAACTCCCTAAATGATGATGTGTTTGAATGCTAGTGCTGACTGAGTGGAAACTTTGGCTTCCAGGCACCATCTATGCCTTAAGTGAGGTTTCAGAGGCTGTTAGGATTAGTTACTGTATTTATTTACACAGTTTATTTCTTTGAGTATTTTCCTGACCCTCCCTCAATTCTGAAGAAGTTATATAGGATCTCTCTCTCCCTTCTTCCATATGCTTTTCCCTGCTTGCTGGGAACAGTGTGGAAATACTTAATTTAGTGAGCAGTATTTGGGGAAAAAAAAACTATATATATATAATATAATTTGCCCTTTTTTCCAGAAAGACAAACTGCTTACCCTTTCTCCTGTCTCTGTCTGCTTTTACCAAGGGCACTGAAGTTTTAGAAGGGTGCAATAATTCATTTGTTCCCTACAGTAAGTCAGGAAGCATTTAGGAAATAGTCCTTTCCTCCCATTATGCACTCTATTCTCTCCTTCCCATTTCCTTTTTCTTCCTGCCTAATGGTATTTATATTATTTGGATGGAAAGGGGGCAATTACCCACATACACATGACCACTATAGCGATAAAAGTCATCTATAATGTGATAATGGGTGAACAACAAACTAAACTTCTTTCCAATAACACCAGCCACAATCTATGTTTAATAAGGTTAATGTCTTCATACTGCTATTGGCTGAGGCTAAGAATGCCAAGGACAAAAGAAAGACCAGCCTGAACCACGATTTTCAGAAATGACTGAACCTGTTTAGCATGCAAGCCCAGGGAAATGGCAAGACAGGTGATGTTTGGATGAAGCCAACCTCATTTTTTGAGCTTAGGCCTCCAGTGCAATCTGGGAAACCAATGTCTATTGAAGAAAGGTGTAGGCTTTTTTTATTTTTTTTTTGTATTTTTAGTTTGCTTATCTAAGAAGAAAGTGAGCATGTGCCTTTAATTACTTTATATGTATCCCTTTGCTAGAATCCAGTTTTACTGAACATTTAGAATGCCTTTGCTTTAAAAGCAAAAACTTGTTTGAATAAGGACTAATTTTTCAACATGTGGACAAATATTTGAATAACTGGTGGAAATAATAAATTACTAGCAGAAAGTGACTTCATTGCTCTTAAAAGCAAAAAAGCACCCTTGGGAATTTCAGAGAAATGACTCCATTTTCATATCACTCCCTGTGGTAGCCATTTGATCTCGCTCTGGGGTAGACTGGGATGCAAGTTTATTTTTAATAAGAGAGCACCTACGCATTTTCTCTGGGAAAACAAGCAGAAGAATGGACAGTGGGTGAAATCGACCAAGATCTCTAAAAGTAATGATTACGTTTTAGTTATTTTCTTCAAGGAAAACTTGCTTGTAGGCACTGCCTTGAAGCAGTGTTGTTCTTTCCAAGGAGTTTAACGAGTGCTCATTATTTTGGCCATTTGCACTTTCCTGTTTCTCAGATTCCAGCTGCATAATCCAATTACAGTTTGTGGATCTGGTTGGAAACTGGGCCAACAGGGGAATTCAGATTTTGAGCCATGTCAGTTTTGGGGAGAGAGAACTATTGTTGGATCCAGGATGGTGTTAAGAAGCAAGGCTCTGACAGAGTCAGGCCACCTGGTTTAATCTTGGTCTAGTTCATCCCAGCTTCAGGTTCTAGAACAGCGACTTAGCCATTCTTTGCATAAGCTCTCTGGGCCTCAGCACTTCATTTGTATGAGTGTCTGCCTCACAGGGTAAAGGAGGGGTTTAAATGAAACAATGCACATGAGGTGCTTGGCATGTAGCAACCAATGAATCTGTGTTACCTGATACTATTACACTGAAAACACAAAAATGGTAATCTTCTTGTTTCAGGATTGGCAGAATAGCACTCAGTAGATAAAACGAATACATTTGCAATCCACGTGTGGCTTTTTCTCTAACCTCACACACATGCAAACCACTCCTCACACATATCACTGAATTTTCTTTCTCTGGTGCACAGACGTTTTTACATGTTGCCTCTAGAGTAGGTTAAAAAGTTTATATTCTCTTTTAAGATGTTTTCCTTTTATCTGCCCAGTGATAATCATTTCCTGTACTCTATCTACGACATCATTTTCAAAATATGTTAGTGGCTGGTTTTTCTGGCATCAAGCCAATGTTGCTGGCCTGAAGTTTCTGGAATCAAAACATTAATTTCGGAAAGTCTTGCTAAAGGCTGGGCACGAGATGTGTACACAAAATATAAAGTACACAAAGTTGAGCATCCTAAAACACATACCACCTTGCCACTTGGATGAAGCCCAAGTTTTGTTGCATTTTCTGGCATTGAAGCCTTTTGGACTGGCACCCAAACCCAGCATGTTTCTCTATCTGAGGTCTCTGGACGTCATCCCCTTTAGGCTTCATGAATTCTTCCATGTGCCAGAAATAAATGCAAACTTTTGCTTGTTTGGGCATTTTACTATGAGGACTTGTTAGATTTCATTAGATTTTCAACATGGGCTTTGACCTAGAAAGGATAAACATCTTTGTCTTACCTGAACCTTCCTTCCACCCTTCTCGTGCTGGAATCCCACTGCTGCCTGTAGCCACATGCTCATCTCTACCCCAGGGTCTTTTCTCACAATATTTAACATATTCTGCTTTTCGACATGCCCACCCCCTCCTGCTGCATCAGCATTTGATACCATCATTTATTCTGTGACCACCTCCACAATTTTTGGTTCATCCTCTTATTACCTGAACAATTTTTTATCTAATATTTTTTCCTTCAAATCAACTATTCACTTCAATATATTTAAAAAAGAAACTAGTGCATAGGTAACAAAAGATAAGTACGAAAGTTGGAGAAGACTATGGCCTCAGAGAAAAAATATTTCTATTGTAGCAGAAATAAAAGCCAAAGACTGGTGATGTCAGAGGAGGGGAGAGGATGTCAGAGGAGGGGAGACCCAGAGAAGATTGGGTGTGGGGCTGGTCATCTCTGTTCTAGGGGATGAGAACAAAAATCATCAGGAAAACAGTGGGGACTAGGGATGGGCAGCAAATGAGGGAGTCTGGCTGACCTGTGGGAAAGGAGCTAGCACTCGTGTAGGAGAGAAAATGTGCATAGGGCAGGAGTGGGAAGGAGGGGAGCGGAGAGACAGGGTTTCGGAAATGGACACAAGGTGTTGGGTGAAAGATAGTGCCTAGGGTGAGGCTGTAAATGCAAAAGCTTTGGAAGCTGCAAAAAGATAGAGGCTGAAGAGGGGTAATGGGGGATGGGTGAATATGGAGGGGAGAGGTGATACAGGCTGGAGGCTAAGATTTTAAAAAGTGCATTTTATAGAGGAGGGTGTGGGAAGGGAGTGCAGAATGTCCCAGAATAGGGGTCTGAGGAGCTGGAGGAGACACTCTGAAATGGGCAGGGGCAGCATGTGTATATGTATATGTGTGTGTGTGTGTGTGTGTGTGTGTATGTGCGTGATGGGGAGAGGGTATGAAGAAAAAATGGGAACCATTTTCTTAATATTGAAAACTACTGCCTTACTGTCTTTTCTTAAATCTGGCACAGAAATCTGAAGACCCGACCTTACTATTGGCAAAGACAGACAAACACTCTACAAATAGTGCTTGAAAAATGCCACTGTTTGGTTCAGATGGTGAAGAGGAACTCAGGAAGGCCTGGCAGTCTCTAGGAGGCTAGGGCAGTGGTTCTCAAATGATAGGGTGTACAGAAATTCCCTGGAGGACTTGTGACAACAAAGATTGCTAGGCCTACTCCCAGGGTTTCTAATTCAGCAGGTCTGGGGATGGAGCTCAAGTATCTGCATTTCTAACAAGTCCCCGGTGGTGCTGATGCTGCTTGCATGGACCAGTTTTGAGAACCATACTTGGAGAAACACTTGGTTAGGAAAACTATGTCTGTTACAGATTGATCAAAGGGCTCTTAAGTTCCTTTTGTACAATAAATCACTGCGATATCAAATGAGGTAAATGAACATGCTCTTTGAACTCTTAACTTCTAGACCAATATAAAACATTCTAAATATGAAATGGAAACATTTACAATTGTTATTGATTCTCATCAATGCAATGTTCAATAAAGATAAGAATCACGTTTTCAGTCTCCACTCTTGATTTTCTGCTTTGATATGGATTTTTAGTTTTGCTTTCTTCTGATATGCTGGGATTTCAGATTTAGTTTATGGTGGTGGCCCCTTTATGGCATGAAGGAAGAGGGAATGCAGGGGAAGCCCAGGGAGATTTATCTCCCCGAGCCTTGGATTCAGTACAATTTTACAAGGATGCTATATCCTTATATCCATGATCCTCCCTTCTAGCTAGTCAAGGGCAGGATAGCCAGTGGTGAGGGAGAAGTCTGCTGATGTGAGCTAGGATGCTCTTTTGGCCTGATAGTCATACCGTGGGTGTCTGTAGAGCCCTCCTCTCTGCCTTCTGCTCACCAAGGTGGCTCCGGCCCTTCCTCTGGGTCTAGGTCTGAGCTTGGCGTGCCGGGAAGACACTTTGTGGGAAGGATAGGGCCCATTCCCAGAGCTTAACCAGAACAGATTTGACTGTGTCAGAAACTACTGCATCTCCTTGTGCATATCTCATGATAAATTCACACAATGTGCTTACCTTGATAGATGCTGGTAGGGTAAACAATAAGCTTTTAAATATTAGCATATATTTCATATTTTTCCTTGTTCAGCCTGGACAGAGTTGTCCTTGCTCTTGATAAAGGATTCCAGGAACTGAGGTGATGATTAAGAGTGTTGTTTAATTATGAAAAGGGAAATGGTCCAATCAGTAACTAATACAAATAAACAACAGAAAGGATGATGGATATTGACTTCTTAGTGCTCCTTGTTTTCAGCCATCAGTGAACTGAGTATGTTGTTTGCTGTAGCTGTCCATATTTGATGTTTCTTCTGTAGAAAAGAGAAAAATACAGATAATTAGGGTACATCAGAATCAGAGATTGAGTGCTCCGGGGTAGAGCTGCCAGATAAAATACAGGATGCCCAGTTAAACTTGAATTTCAGATAATGAATAATTTGCTGTATGGGACATACTTATCCTTTTGAAATTCAAATTGAACTGGGCATCCTGTATTTTTTATTTGCTAAATTTGGCAACTCGACTTAAGGGGGAGCTTTTGTTTTGGAAGCAGCCTTGATCAACACTCAAGAGTCAGTTACCACTTGTCCTGCTTTGCTCCATCCGGAATGTTGACATTCTCTAAGTAGAAAGATGCAAATCTGCAGGTGATATTTATGAATTTAGGTTGACCTTAAGAATTCAGATTCACGATCTTAGAGAAGGAAAAAAAAATCAAGGCTGGTATTGACAGGAAGCCAAAAGTGACCCTTTCTGCCCTTTTTATGGCCATCAGCTAATATAATCAGTTGGACACAAGCCGTAACCATTGAGTAACAGACGGGCCACCTTTGGATTAGCTGTGCTGCATTCAACACCTCTTTGAACAATAATTATAATCTGTTGGGTGGAAATATCAATTTAAAGGTCAAGTGCTTTCATAAAAAAGGTGATTATTCAGTATTTCATACTTTGAACCAAAGCACACACCAGAATTCACTGTATCACTGTCTTCTGTACAGCGCATATATGCTGAGAAATGGATTGCTTAATTATATGATTATCTGTCTTTAGGGAGGATATGTGAATGTGAATGGAAGCCGCCAGGAGAGGTACATTGCTTTACTTGTGATCCTTAATCTATATCTATAGCCATTACAGGTTACAAGTTGACTTTTAAAACAAATATCTAAAATATAAATTACTTTTACAATGCAAAGTAGGCGTTTTGGTGTAAAAGAGCTCCTTTGGCTGAAAAATGGACACATTACATGAGTGGGGCTCCAGGCTAACATCATTCCTTTCCATTCCTCTGGTTTTTAGCAATATGCCAGTCAAGAAGTGGGGTTGGGGGAAGGCCCATCCTCCTAATTAACTAGGGCCAGGAAAAAGGCCATGCAGTTAACCTTTGCACGTGAATCACCAAGTATAATAATAGAAAGAAAGACCTTCTTGTAGTGCATGAGAATTCCAGGAAAATCGATGGAGATCCCAGGAGCCAGGAGAGCCAAAAGACTGGAGATGTTAAGGATGTGCAGCAGCCAAATGCCATTAGTCTCTGTGTGTTTCCCCCATCCTCTGGGGTTTATTGTTGAGAGGGGGTTCCGTGTGCAGGAGAAAATTAAGACTGTAATGTAGGTGTAAGCTTAAAATATAGCAGGGAAGCTGGGTCCAGCTACAGTGGCACATGAGGTAGGTGGTGAAGGGGCAACCAGGTGCCAACAGTTCTTCCTTCACAAATCCAGCTCCAAATGACATCTTTGGCAAACTATTCCAATGGCCTTCTGATTTTTGGGCTAGTTTGGCTTTAACTTTGTGTTTCATAACAAGAAATAGTGAAGTAGTTGCAAAGGGTAGAAAACAAGAAACAAAACACTTGACAATTATGTTGCATTATGTCTCTTGACCAAAGCGTTCCATTGGATGTTCAATCCTGAAGAGAAATGCATTGCTTCTGTCCCCAAGGGCATCCAGTGACTTTGAACATCCTGTGCAGGGTCATTTCCTAATATGTGACATTGACTCCCCCTCACCTATCCTGTTCTTCATGGAATGCAAATAATATATGCATGTGTATCTATAAATCAAATTCATCTAATTACTTCCTTATCTCCATGAACTTATTTACAAAATGCAACATTTTTGGAGGGAGAAAATTTGCCAAGGAGCAGCAAAAGCTTCTCACAAAGCTGAAAATATTTTACGATCCAAAGATGAGCACCAGAGACACAAGAATAATTCGTTCTGTGAAGATTGCCAAGAAAAGCTTGTTTTGAAATCCCTGTGCCCGTGATTACATCATGCCAGGTGAGGCATCCACCTTTGGAAACAATAGATAGACATTTGCTCTTCTCGAACTCTGCTGCCTGGTTTCAAAGGGCTTTTTATTTTATTTTTTGCCTCTTTTGGCTCCGAGTGGCGGTAACACATGGTAAATCTTTAACTTCAAGTGTCCTTCTGTGGTGACCAACTAAAATATTAGCAAAATAAATGTTTTATGGGAAAATGTTGGCAGGAACCCCAACAGAAACAGGTGGTATTGGGTTATTTCAATATAATGTAATGATATAGCCAGGTTTCCATCTGGACAGCATGTGGTTGGGTCTGCTCAGAGAGTATCAAAGAGTGTGAGTACGCACTGGGGAAGGCAGCGGTGCACAAGTGTGCAGCTAGATGGCTACTTTACAAAATAATAGTCTGGGTTTCAGGTCCTCTGGGTTAAATATTTTTACTGTCAAAATCTGAATTTCTTCATAAAATATTAAAGGCGAAGCAAACCTCTGACATGCAATACTGAGCGGCGTAATTATAAGGCAGTTCCTGGAAACCAAAGAGAGCGTGCATTAAAGTGAGGCGTTTATTATAAAAGAGTTCATTACCCTTGGAAGCGAAGACATGTTTTAGAGGGAGTCTCAGAACAGAGAAGCTTTTCTTTTTTTTTTTTTTTTTTTTTTTTTTTTTTTTTTTTAGCAAGGCTTACTCTACTGTGAAAAAACGCTGAGGGGTGTTGGTAAGGATACAATTAGAAAATAAAGACAGAATGGGATTAGTTGACTGCTAAAAACCTGATCGTGATCCAGGGCTAAAATGAAGTATCCTTAATTTACCACCAGGGAAGACTCTCCCTCTTCCATAAAATTCCTGCTTCAGGCACTTCAAAACACATGGAATTAAGAACACTTGGAACATTTGGTTTTGCACTCAGCTATCCTCACTGTATATTCATGCTAAGCTCGATAATAAACTCTTGGCTCAATAACTCCCCGTATGAATCCCAGAGAGGGGAATCAAATTATGGCTATGTGCAGAGGTAGATCCTCTTCATAGGCAGAGAGACCTCACTCCCTGGCTCTCTCAACCATAGCCAGAGGAAGAAGACTGGAATATTGCATACTGAGAGTAAAACAATTAGGAAGTGGCTTGCAATATCCTTGATGCTGACTAGAAGACCCAAGAAGTCATGGGAACAATCTGCCAAAATGAAGGAGCCATTTGGACCCCAGGGTACATGGCCAGGAAGGCTTGGATTCTAGGGAATTCTTTGCAGCCATTAATTGATAGTGCAGCAGACATAGAGATACTGAAAGCAAATGCCTAGGTATGAAATCTAAGGACTGATGGATAAAAATGATGGAGCAGGGAAGGCTCAGGAAGAAGAGGTAATAAAGTCAAAGCACTTAATTATAGTGCCCTCATGCCACTGGGACCCAGAAGGGGCATGCATTCATGAGACTCTGGCCTGCTACTCAAAGAGCCAGCTGCCCTACAGTATCTACTGCATTTTTCTAGATCAGTGGAGAGAAACAGAGGAGATGGCATGATGAGAGACCTGGAAGCCCCAGGTCTGATTCTTTTACTATTACTTTTGTGGGGCTGGACTGAAGCCAAGAAGAGAATGGTGCCCTAGAGGATAAGGCAAGAGTATAGCGTGGTCCCTGCTTTACTTGGGAAAATGATTTTCTTCATCTGGAGCATGATGATATGAAACAGTAACAGCACATCTCAGTTCTTCCTTCTAAAATGTATTGGGACAGCTATTGAATGCATCATAGGACTTTGGCTCCTGGGTTTCTAAAAGGTGGTAGCAGACATAGTCTTCCTAATGGGGAAGTTTGTGATACAATGGGGAAGAGTGGATACCAGAGAGGAAATGGAATTTGAGCTATCCCAGTCAAGAGACTACTTTATTTTACCCCTATCCTGTGGCATATAGTAACTGCTAAGGTACAGGCTGAACTGAACTAGGCTAGAAGACAGGGTTTTGCAGGTATCTGATGATGTATCTTAGAAGTTATGTCTAACTCCAAATACTGAGTCCTTTCCATTATACATCAAACTACCTTCTACCCCTATAATATTTCTAATAAAGAAATATTAGAGGGAATGTAATGATTTAAGAGAGAGGTGGAGAACTTGGTAATAAAGACCCAATTTATGCCTCCGATTTAACTGCTTGGCTTTTTAACCAGGTAGTATTTTTTTTTTTTTGGTCTTTAGAAGTTATCTGAGATTGGGACAGTTTGTTAAATTAATTGCACAACCATTGAAAACTCTCTGAGTATCTTACCCTGGAATTCTTTCCTCCACTGTCCTTTTCTCCTGAATCCCAAACTATCAGGACCTCCAAGTATAACAACACTAGTTCTTCCTTAAGGGAAAATAAATACCTTAAGCCATGGAGTAAAGTGAGTCATCTTCTGTGAGTTAGGGAGGAAGCTGGAGCAGAGTGTGTGTTCTGCATGTGGGGAAGGCAATGATGTTGACCTGTGGTTGTGGATTCCTCTCCCTTTGCTGCTGGCTTGTGGTGGCTTATATTAATAGGAATGGGGTGAAAGGGAGGCTAGAAGCTTTGTGGAGAAAAGCCGTGATCTGATTCATTCCCCTCGAATTGTCAGTGGGCTCTACATAGTCTGGTTGAAGGGAGGAAGGTTGCCTCATGAGCTAGGTTCAGGCTGCTGAGGAAATTTTCCAGACTATTCCTTAATATTGCAGTGAGAGCAAATCAGGTGCAGTTGTAGAATTTGTGTGGTCATTCTGAGATCTAATTGAAAAGGTTGCTAATGCCTAATATTGATTGAGCACTTACTATATGCAAGACCCTTTGCTAAGTGCTTTGCAGGTGAGAGAATTGAAGCTTAACCAGGTTGAAAAACTGGTCCAAGGTCACAAAGGTAGGAATGGTGAGTTTGAATCAAGTCTGACTCCCAAACCAAAGCTCTTAACCACAATGCTAAAGTTACAGACCAAATATAGTGCATAAGAATGTTGTGAATGTATACCATATCAATGGCATAAGTTGTGGCTCAGAGTTAACTATTTACAAAAAGTTGGAGGGTTCTTTCCTATTGTCATGGCAAAATAAATTTCAGATAGATTAAATGTGTAGGTTAGTGACAAAAGCAAAACACAAACCAATAAATGTAATGGGAGAAAATGTTGAATAAATGATAACTCGAGGCAGGGAAGGGCTTTATAAGAGGAATAAAAATATGAAAGAAGAGGGACAGGTTTGGCTATAAAAACCTTCTAAAATTTCCATATGTCAACACTATGAGGGAAGTTAAAAGACAAAGAGTTGGGAAAAACATATATAATCTATATGTCACCTAAAAGGTGCATATCCCTAATGCATACAATATTCTTGCTAATCAAATAGACAAATATCCTAATAGAAAAATGGATAAAGACCATGAATAAATAATTTGAAAGATGAAACACAAATGTATGATAAACAAATGAAAACAGGTTCAATCTCACTAGCAATAAGAGAAATTAAAATCAAATTGATATGCCTTTGTTTGGTCTTTTAAGTTGGCAAAGAGAAAAAATGATAATAAAGTTAGTGAGGATGTAAGGAAAGTGACCATAACTTGGGGCATTTACATATATTACTGGTAGAGTGTGATTGGTGCAACTTATTTGCAGGACAGTTTGTCAGCGTGTATGAGCATTTACAATTTGTTCACATCCATTGTCCCAACAATTCTATATCTAGCAATTTGTCCCAGAAAATATGAATGTGAGCAATGACTTCTCTCTGAGGGCAGGCATTGAAGCAATGTTTTGTTTTTGTTTGTTTGTTTTTAATTTGTTTTTGAGACAGGGTCTTGCTTTGTCACCCAGCCTGGAGTGCAGTGGCATGAACATGGCTCACTGCAGCTTTAACCTTCTGGGTTCAAGTGATCCTCCCACCTCAACCTCCTGAGTAGCTGGGACCACAGGCACACACCACCATGCCAGGCTAATATCTTTTTAGTTTTTTTAGAGACAGGGTCTTGCCACGTTACCCAGGCTGGTCTTGAACTCCTGGACTCAAGCAATCCTCCCACCTCAACCTCCCAAAGTTCTGGGATTATGGGTGTGAGCCACCACGGCCTTCTGAAGCAATATTTTACTGGTAAAAATTAGAAACAACCTGAATACTCAATAATAGAAGATTGGCTAGAGTAAACATATTTGATGGAATATTATTCAGTTACTCAAAATAAGTTTGTAGAATATTTAGTGCCATGAAAAATGTTCAGTATGTATTCCTTAGTGAAAAAGCAAGCTATAGGCCGGGCGTGGTGGCTCATGCCTGTAATCCTAGTACTTTGAGAAGCCGAGGTGTGTGGATCACCTGAGGTCAGGAGTTCGAGACCAGCTTGGCCAATATGGTGAAACCCCGTCTCTACCCAAAATACAAAAATTAGCTGAGTGTGGTGGCAGGCCCCTGTAATCCCAGCTACTTGGGAGGCTGAGGCAGGAGAATCACTTGAACCCAGGAAGCGGAGGTTGCAGTGAGCTGAGATCACGCCATTACACTCCAGTCTGGGCGACAAGAGTGAAACTTTTTTTTTTTTTTTTAAGTGAGCTACAAAGTAGTATACATTTTTTCTAAAAATTATATATGTCCATACCATTTCTAACATGACTGACAAAAGAAACACCAAAATGTTAATAGGGTCTAGGGTCTAGCTCTCTGATCAAGGGAATTGTGTTTTTCTTTTTTCCTTTGTTGTATGTTTTCCGATAATTTGCAAATTATTTCTATAATTTTCATAAAATTTGAAATTATATGCATAAAATATGTAATCTAAAACAAAATGGTATTAGAAGGTGAAGGTGGACTACCTATTTTCTATGTAGTTTGGTAAGACATAATATGCTTGTGTGTAGGGACAGGGCTAAGAATCAAGTGCTAGAAAATACATCATTTCAAATTGTTGCTGTCATTTCTATTTTTTTTTTTTTTTTTTGAGACAGAGTTTCACTCTTATTGCCCAGGCTGGAGTGCAATGGCGCGATCCCAGCTCATTGCAACCTCTGCCTCCCGAGTTCAAGCGATTCTTCTGCCTCAGCCTCCCTAGTAGCTGGGATTACAGGCATGTGCCACCACACCTGGCTAATTTTGTATTTTTGGTAGAGGCTCCATGTTGGTCAGGGTGGTCTTGAACTCCCGACCTCAGGTGATCCGCCTGCCTCAGCCTCCCAAAGTGCTGGGATTACAGGTGTGAGCCACGCGCCTGGCCTTTGCTGTCATTTCTGAGCATATGATTGAACACATAATTACAGTTTTGGAAAATCCAGGATTTCTAAGGAACACAAAGATGAATATAATGGAAGTCCTACTTTGTGATTTCTAAGTGAAGGCAGGGGGTTACTAATTTACTGATCCCATGAATATCAAGATCTAGACAACTTAACAAGGTGCTAAGCTGACCTGGAAATGGACTCAGCCCAGGAAGCAGAGGTTGGCTGGGTTCTTTCCATACTCTCCAGTGTGAATTGGACTGAGATAGCTTCTCCTAAATTCATGATTTCAGGTTCCAAGTCCTTATTTAATCACATTTAGGAACAGGTTAACTGTCTGTCTGTCTGTCTGTCTGTCTATCTATCTATCTATCTGTCTATTATCGGTCTATCTATGAATGAATGAAGGTATGTGAGGAGGTGGGAATTGTAAGCCTTTCGGTTTGTACTTTTGAGCAGAAGTCTCTTGCTTTGATTAGTTAATGCACCAATTTGGGTTGAATTTATCAGCTCTGTTGAAAATCACTTTTTCAAAAGAGCTTAATTAGCTATTTAATGAAGAAATCTACTTTGTGGTGAAAATTCATGGCTCGTTAAGTCCTGGCTGGAGACTGTGGAAGGCAGGATTGGGATTCTTTGCTAGTGGTCTACTTAGTCCCACGGATTGCCTTTTGGTGTTCTAGAGCTAGGAAATGGAGTTCTGCATTGCTTACTCCCAGATTCGGAACTTTGAGCTTTCAGGGTGGGCTTTTGATATTAAATAGAATGATTAACCTGTCACTTTTGCTGGGAAAGGATTGCTAGCTAGCTGGTGGAGTTCATTTACCATAATCTTATATTATCTTTGGAGAATTCAGAGAAGCTAATAGTCCCCTTTCCCTCTCCCTCCAAGTGTTTCTTTTCTGTCAGTGTCTTTATTTTGTGCATTTCTTTGCACGTTCTCTGTTAAATACCAACCTGTGCTCAAATGAGCCATATTTACTAATTAAATGAAGGCATTTACATTTTATTTCTCCTTTTTTTCGATATGAACAAGTCCAACCCATCGATTGCATCTGTATATGTAAAATATCAATTATTTATTTATTATTTTATAAAGATTTTAAATAACATGAGAACAGACTTCAGAAGACTAGTCTGTTTACTATCTTGAGGGTTGTTGAACAATTAATTTCTACTTGTTAAGTGTTAGTCAATCCATGTTATGTCAGCAATATAAGGTAAGCAAAGTTAAGACAGAAATATTGTGTAGAATGGTATCAAATATCTCATTAAAGTTTAGATGAGGCTGGGCATGGTGGCTCACACTTGTAATCCCAGCATTTTGGGAGGCTGAGACAGGAGGACCACTTGAGGCCAGGAGTTTGAGACCAGTTTGGGTAACCCAATGGGATTCCATCTCTACAAAAAAATAAAAAATAAAACAAAAGCCAGGCATGGTGGTGCAAACCTGTAGTCCTAGCTACTGGAGAGGCTGAGGTAGGAGGATCCTTTGAGCCCAGGAGGTCGATGCTGCAGTGAGCTATGATTGAGCCACTATGCTCCAGCCTGCATGACAGAGCAAGACAGTGCCTCCCCCCACAAAAAAAGAGATGAATTCTTTTTTTTTTTTTTTCCATTCTAGGTACCTAAAATGAGATATGGTGAGGCAAACTAGGATTTGAATTTATCTTGGTTAATATATTTCTCTATTGCAGAATGGTTCTTTTCTCAGGTCAGCCCATCTCAGTTGCCTCTTCATGGGAACCAGAAATGAGACACTGTATTTCTATTTAATCTGGCAGCCAAGAACCATCATACCTCACCAAGGGGATAGTAGAGTGGTATGGAAGCTCTTTGCTCTGGCTTGAAAAATGCAAGCACCTTCTGCTAGATAAATCAATGTGTGGTGGCCCCAAATCAAATGTCTTCATTTCAAAGTGGCTGGACTTTCTTTTAGAGCTATGGGAAGGAGAGAAAGTCTAGAGGATTGGAGAAAATCCAAACCAGTTCATCAGCCCTTAATGTTTTCAAGCATGTTTTATTTTGCTATAGTGTCTAGTAAAGAGTTTAAGACTGTCTTGGTGAGGGACGAAAAGCAGAGCTATTTTAGGACTGGTGACTTCATAAGCTTCAGAACGTGGACCCAATTAAGCTAGAGACCTTGTAGAAGGTATGCCTTTGGGGTATTTATTGCAAGTCCAGAATATTATAAAATTAAATAAATTATTCTCTCTGGAAGGAATATCTACATTTTCAGCCATGTATGAGTAACATACTAGTTTATTTGGGGTAGGTAAAGCTTAGTCCTTTGCATTTTTAGCACAGATATGGAATACTTTTCTTCCAGGGTCCTTTGTGCATAGCGCAAGTCTGCTTGGGGTGTGTATAAAAATGCAAAAAATAGTTGCATTTGGCTACTAGTAACATAGATTGGTAATAACAGTGACTTACATAACTTACATTTTTTTTTTTTGCCCCTCATGCAATAGAAGACCAGAGAAAGGCAGTCTCTAGGCTAATATGGTGTCATCAGGGTCCCAGGTTCTTTCCATCTTCCTGTCCCTTCATCCTCAGCACATGGCTTTCATCCCCAGGGCTGCCTTATGGTTCCATCTGATTGTTGGGTTTCCAATACCACTTCTATACTCAGGAATGGAGTACAGGGAAGAGGAAAGGGTGACAGGAGGAGATGCCAGCTGTCTGTGCCTCCCTCAAGGAGGTTTCCTGGAAATCTGCTTCAACAATTTCCATTTGTGTATCGTTGGCCATCCTGACCTGCAAAGACATATTTTAGCAGCTGGGCATCTACAACTGGATTCTTTCACCAAGGAATACAGGAGAATGCATGTTGACTGGGTTACCAGCTGTCTGCCACAGCAGGAGGAGTTCCAGTGGCCATTGTGAAGTATTTCCTGAGTGCAAACCTGCCTGTCACAGCTCCCATCCTGAAGGCTTTAACTCCCTAAGAACTGGATCATCTATAAAACAGATGAAGCTCAGAATACTCACTAGTTTGCTGTTGGATACACAGCAATCTAAAGAGAAATTGGAAATTGGCCCACTAGAAACAGACATCAAAGGCAAGAGCAAACTAAAAGCCCAATTTGAAATATTGTCACTGATGTCATCAGTTCATCAACAACCATAGGATATAGACATGCTTAAGTTTTAGTTATCCAATTTATCCCTAGAATAGGAGTTTCCAAAGTAATAGCTACCTTTTACGGTGCACTTAATATGGGCCAGGTGTTACTCATCCATAATGTCTAATCCTCACATGAACTGGCATGGGAGGCATCGATATCCCATGCTAGGGAAATAAACAGGAAGTCAGAGGGGTTGGATCACTTACTCAAGTCACACAGCTAGTAAGAGTGGGAATTTGGACTCACATTTCTGACACCAAATCTGTGACCTCTCTTCTGTTGCATGCTGGTGATTTAATGCTGGTCTAGGAAAGACATCAAGATTCTGGAGAAAAAAAGATTTGATGAACTTGTTCTCATGATGGGAAGCAGTACTAAGGATGATGTGAAGTTTTCCTGCCTCTTCTCAGTGGCAACTGTTCATTGACCATTATGCATGCATCATAGGCCCACAGCTGGATACTGAGAACAGTGTGAACACGTAGAACCTCCTCCTCCTCATTGGGTCACATTGTGTGCCACAAGCGTCACTCTGGAGTGGGCACAGCCATCATAAAAGCAATCAGTATATTCTCATATTTTTTCTTGATGTAAAAAGATGAAGTCATGGCATATGGTCAGATTGCCAGCACTGTTAATAATAAACCTCACATAATTAAGCACTGATTTATTTCTTTATATAAGTGAAACAAATTGCTTTAACTGCCTCTGCTCAAGACCATCCAGTCAGATGGATTATC
Source organism: Homo sapiens (assembly GCF_000001405.40). Taxonomy (NCBI): domain Eukaryota; kingdom Metazoa; phylum Chordata; class Mammalia; order Primates; family Hominidae; genus Homo; species Homo sapiens. The sequence continues at coordinate 67,784,190 of NC_000002.12, read as the reverse complement.
TATAGGAAGTTGAAACTAAAAATTATGGGCACTCATATTTCACTGTGGTGGAGGTTTATTGGAGGTACAATTAGAACCCTAACTAAATGTGTCCTGTATTCTCTTTGATGGAGAGATCAGATATTAATCTGGGGATATGACTAATTCTCAACACAGCTGCTCTCTGAGCTCTAATATTCCCGCTTTAGGTTTAAAACCTGGAAACGTTTAAAAAATTGATCAGAGCTTATAATAGCAATAATCACCTTGAAATTGGTTGTTACTCCAGTTAATGAACTGAGTAGTAGGGCATGAGCCTCCCTCTGTGTCCCTCAGGCCTTTAACTAACAAGCTAGTTGTTAACCACTGGGTTTATTAAAAAGGAAAAAAATCTCTTTAGGAGAATTGAGTTGGGAAAAAGTAGGGGACTGGATGTGTTCACTCAGGATCCTCTAAGAGGACCAGCCATTTCCAGCAGTCACACCCTTTCCCTCAATGCCCTACCCTTCCCACCAGAACCAAAGCAGGGGTGGCCCATAGGAGGTGGCATCTTCTCCAGGAGTCAGGGCATTGCTCATCAAAGAGTGGTCCAGGAACTTGTTAGAAATGAAGAATCTCAAGCCCAATTCCAGATGTGTAGAATGAGAGTCTGCATTTTAACATGATCCTCCCTTAAAGAAGTCCTGAACAGGGTGAGTCTTCTTGCTCTGAGCCCCAACTTGTAAAATTGGGACCTCCCATCTCAGAGGCTTCTCTGCAGCCTCTTGTAAGGTCTCAGCAAATTCTCTGCTTCTGCCTCTAAGTAGATCCCTGTGGAATAGGGTAGTGGACACCAAAGCATTGCACATGATACCTGGTAAGGAATAGACCCTTGATAAATATCTGTCTAAAGAGCTATTACACTAAAGTGTATCTCCTTTCAAGGAAGAATTTCTTGGAGAAAGGGGAAGGCAAGCTGGATGAGGTCCTGGGCTTGGAAAGCAGCCAGCCTCAAGTGAGCAAGTCAGTCCCTGGGGTTTGGATTGTTATCAGGTAAGGAGGGGCTCACATCCCTAGAACAATTTTGTTCTCTCCTAAATTCCATATCCTAGGGCTTGGATTAGACTACGAAATGCCACCAACAAATTTCCCTGCTCAGTGTCTGAAGAGCAACATTCCTTTTTATAGAGCCTGCAGACTTCTAAGACCCCCTAGCCAACCCTTTCCAAGTGAGTAGAGTTTGGTTCTAGGCTCTGATTCAGGTCTAATGAGCTGGTGCTTTATTTCTTTGTTCTGTTTCCTTTACTAACTGTCCACCACAAAAGGTTTTCCTGAAAAGCTTGATGAAACCCAAATAACAGAACTGCTGGGTTTTATTGATGTGCCACTGTTCTGGAACGGTGGGGTTAGCAGATTACAGGAGCAGCTTTAGGGAGCCATAGAAGGCTGTGGGAATGATGTCATGGGTTAGCAAGGCTGTGGAGCAGTGCGAGAAAAGAGATTCTCCTAGAGTTTGGCGTCTGCAGAAAAGCCTGGGAGTGAAAAAAAATGACAGACTCTGGGTTAAGCAGAGCATCAGAGATTTGTGAACTATTAGGAGCCAGCTGGGACCAATCCACTTCCTTGCTCAGTCCTCCAGAGTCACTTAGATTGTGAATCAGGCTTGGTGGGAAGGTGATGGGCGCTCTGTGCACAGCAAACCTACCAAGACCTCACAACCCCACTGTTCTGAAGGAAAACTGCTGTCTGCTCTCACTTCCTCTGTGGTTTTTGTAGGTCCACTCAGTGGACATGTTGCTCTCCTTTCAGATTTACTGGAAATTAATTTTAACTCTAGGGCTGGTAGTCCCTGAATGACCCTTTATTTCTCTCTAGAAAAGGAGGCAGACATTTTATAATTTGTTAGCTTGTGAACAGGCTAATCATGAGATTCTCTGGTACTTTTCATCCATAAAAGTTCTTTAAAAATTTTAAGTTACAAACAAGAAGCCTCATTTTGTACTTTGCAGTGTAATTGTTTAGGAATTCAAGCCAAACAATCTGTCTTTTAATCTGTTTTGTGTTGTATCCTTTATAAAATTCCATTTCATTTAAATGCATAATTTGCCTCTTTTTCAAACCTGGAGATTTGCGGACAATCACACAGTATGGGAACTGGGAAGACTCTGTGGACAATCTCGCCCAGCTCTCACTAGCAGAAGTGGAACCCTAGCTTCTTACCTACTTACCCACCATCACAAAGCTAGTCAGTGGCAGAGTTGAAATCTTGTTTCTCTTTTTTCTTTCTTTCTTTCTTTTTTTTTTTTTTTGAGACAGAGTCTCACTCTGTTGCCCAGGCTGGATGTGCAATCATGGCTCACTGCAGCCTCGACCTCCTGGACTCAAGTGATCCTCCTGCCTCAGCCTCCCAGGCAGCTGGGACCACAGGTGTGCACCACCATCCTCACTAATATTTTAATTTTTTTGTAGAGATGGGGGTCTTGCTATGTTGCCCAGTCTGGTCTTGAACTCCTGGCCACAAGTGCTACTCCCGCCTCGGCTTCCCAAAGTGCTGGGATTACAGGCACAAGCTCCTGTGCCTGGCCTTGTTTCTTGTTTCTGAGCTGGATTTTGAAAATTGTAGAATTACCATGTACTTATAAGGAAATTAGCTATTTGTCATAAATGTTGCCACCCCCACCCTTCATTGTTACTTATCTATTGATTTTTTTCATTCAGAAATGTAAAAATATAAATGAAGTTAAATTTAGTAGCTCTTTTCTTTATGGCATATGTGAATTTTTGTCATACTTAGAAATGTCTATTGTATTCCAAGATTCTTTTGAAAAATGTTTTCTTTAATGTATTTATGTCCCATAGAAAGGACTTATAAAAATAGCAATTTTTTAAAGACAGAGTCTCCCTCTGTCACCCAGGATGGAGTGCAGTGGCACAATCTCGGCTCTCTGCAACTTCTGCCTCCCAGGTTCAAGCAATTCTCCTGCCTCAGCCTCCTGAGTAGCTGGGATTACAGGCACACACCACTGCGCCCAGCTAATTTTTGTATTTTTAGTAGAGACAGCTTTCACCATGTTGGCCAGGTTGGTCTCAAACTCCTGACCTCAAGTGATCCGCCTGCCTCAGCCTCCCAAAGTGCTGGGATTACAAGTGTGAGTCACCGTGCCCTGCAAAAATTGCAAATTCTTTTCATTCTGTATCTCCTTTGCTTGTGATTGTTTTGTTTTCCAAATGGACAGCATGTACTTACAAAATTTGTAGACCACAACCACTCTCCAAATACGAGTTCAGTGAGTGTTCTGAAGATCATAAAAGTGAAAACACCGGCCCAAAATACAAGAAATCTTCTCTGGCAAATAATTTAATCATGTGTGGCTTCTGTTCCTTCACATATAATGCCAACTTGCTATGCTAGGTATTTTATCTTTGCATCATTTTCAATACTGAAGGTATATTTGGATCTTCTCTTTTTTTTCTTAGTTTGGCTAAAGATTTGTCAGCTTTGTTTGACTTTTCAAAAAACCAACTTCTTGTTTCAATGATCTTTTCTTTTTTTTTTGAGACAGAGTCTTGCTCTGTCACCCAGGCTGGAGTACGGTGGCATGCTCTCGGCTCACTGCAACCTCTGCCTCCTAGGTTCAAGCAATTCTCCTGCCTCAGCCTCCCAAGTAGCTGGGATTACAGGCATGTGCCACCATGCCTAGATAATTTTTTGTATTTTTAGTAGAGACGGGGTTTCACCATGTTGGCCAGGCTGGTCTCGAACTCCTGAGCTCAGACAATCCCCCAGCCTCAGCCTCCCAAAGTGCTGGGATTACAAGAATGAGCCACTGTGCCCGGGCTGATCTTTTGTATTATTTTCATTTCGATTTCGTTTATTTCTGTTCTGATGTTTATTATTTCTTTTCTTCCACTAATTTTGAGTTTGGTTCACTCTTGCTTTTCTAGTTTTTTAAGATACATCATTAGATTGTTTCTTTGAAGTTTTTCCTCTTTTTTGATTTAGGCACTTTTAGCTATAAGCTTCCCTCTTAGTACTGCTTTTGCTGTATCCCATAGGTTCTGGTATGTTGTGTTTCCATTATCACTTGTTTCAATAATTTTTTCAATTTCCTTCTTAATTTCTTCATTCACCCACTGGTCACTGAGGAGCATATTGTTTTTCATGTATTTATGTAGTTTCCAAAATTTATCTGGTTATTAATTTCTAGTTTTATTCCATTGTGGTCAGAGAAGATGCTTGGTATTTCAATTTTTTTTTTTTTTTTTTTTTTTTTGAGACAGAGTCTCGCTCTGTCACCCAGGCTGGAGTGCAGTGGCCTGATCTCGGCTCACTGCAAGCTCTGCCTCCCGGGTTCAAGCCATTCTCCTGCCTCAGCCTCCAGAGTAGCTGGGACTACAGGCGCCTGCCACCACACCTGGCTAATTTTTTGTATTTTTTTTTTTTTTTGTAGTAGAGACAGGGTTTCACCGTGTTAGCCTGGATGGTCTCAATCTCCTGACCTTGTGATCCGCCCACCTCAGCCTCCCGAAGTGCTGGGATGATATTATTTCAGTTTTTTAAATGTTTTAAGACTTGTTTTGTGACCTAACATAATACTCTATCCTTGAAAATGATCCATGTGCTGAGGAAAAGAATGTGTATTCCGTAGCCATTGGATGACACGTTCTGTAAATATCTGTTAGATCCATTTGGCCTATAGTGCAGATTAAGTCTAATGTTTCTTTGTTGAATTTCATCTTTCCAGACAATCTTCCTATCTGATCTGTCCAGTGCTGCAAGTGGAGTGTTGAAGTCTCAAGCTATTATTGTATTGGGGCTCTAAAATCAACTGGTGGCAAAGCCATCCAGGCCTGTGAACTTCCCTTCAGGGTGGTGAGGTTCTCTAGGTTCCAGGTGGGTCTAGAGGTGCCGCAATCAGGGACTCGAGTAAAAAACCTTAGAAGTCTACCTGGTGTTCTACTGTACTGTGGCTGAGCTGGCACTCACACCACAGGTCGCAGTTTTTCCCGCTCTTTCCTCCCTTTTCCAAAGTCAGAGGAGCCCTGCTCCATAGCCCCTGCCCCCTACGCCACAAAGAGCACTGCCAGACTACTACTGATGTTCCCTTAAGGCCCAAGGGCCCTTCTGTCAGCTTGTGCTGAATGCTGCCCGACCTGGACTCATCCTTCATGGCAGTGGGCTCTTCTCCGGCCCAGGGAGGTCCAAAAATGCCATCTAAGAGTGAAGTCCTGGAATTGGGGACCCCAAGAACCTGGTTAGTGCTCTACCTGCCTGTGACTGTGCTGGTACTTAAGGTGCAAGATGAAGTTCTCTTTACTTTTTTTCCCTCTGCACCTGAAATTGATTTTGCTGTAAGCAGTAAGGTAGTTCTTCAACTCTAAGCGCCCTCCCCACCCCCTTTAATTTGCTGCCTTTTGTTGTACACCAGTTTATTGATTGGTAGGTCCATTCTTTCACCAAGGATTTAAAACGCCATTTTTATCACCTAATGCATACTTAAATTTATTTTGAACTATTCTTTTTCAGAGGTGTTTTTCATAAAATGAGTTTTTGTTATTATTGTCATTGCTATTTTATCATGCCCCCCAGCCTGTACCTGTGGTTGTTTTGATCGGGATTGGATCCCAGTCCTTCTGCTTCAGAGTCCAGTAGTCCTAGACCAAATTAGCTTGAAATTTAAAAAGCGCATCTGAAGAAAAAGTAAAATTATGATTATGAGCAGGATTGGATGTCTGAACCCAGAAACAACCAAATGATTCACATTTATTGGAAATATACTATCATATTTTATTGAACTTAAGATACAATTAATTATAAAACATATTTTTATGTATCATTCAAAAATTATAAAATGCCAATTAATTATGTCCCCTCATTGTCAGGTATATACAACTTCAGAGATGTTAAAATGTCAAAAAATCTGTGTCTTAGAATCAATGAAATACCATAGTAGTAGGATGTGTTATAAAAAAGAAACATAATAGGAAATTTGCTTATGTAGTGATTTCTTCACTCTTTTGAACTTGTTTTTCAAACATCTCATTCTGTTTTGCCCTTATTACTTCTCTGTAGTATAGGAAGGACCAATGTTTTCATTCTCAGTTTACTGATAACAATAATAGCAACATGTATATAGCAGTTACCTATGAACCAGGCACTGTTCTATGTCCAGTGTCACAAAGTAAGTAACAAAATCAAGATGTGAGCCTAAGAAATCTGGCTGCAAAGTTTGTGTTGTTAATCATGCATACTCCTCATGTAATAAAGAACCTGAGACCTGAAGAGCTTGGGAGACTTGCCATGATCCTTCGGTGGATTCTTACTCCTACACCAGGGCATTCTATACACCACCATTTGAAAGCCATAGTTGCAAGCACTATGTGCCTGAATGTTTCTAAATTTTTGGTTTTGGTTCAGAAGAGCTTACAACCTGGGTCTATGGTGTTACTTGGAAGTCTGGAAGGATAGAAATGGGGGACATCTCACTCTGTAGACCACATGATCTGAACCTCAAAGCCCCAGCATCTTCCAACCTCTCCTTTCTTATCTTAGCAGTATGGTGTCAGAAGCTCAAAAACTTTGTACAGAAAAAAGAAGCTAGTTATTGGCTAAAAGTACATATCCCTTAGTTTTTGTGTTGTTTAAAAATTTTCGCCTTGCTTAGAATAAGACATTGCCAGTTAAGCATGAGTTCATTGCAGTGACTTTGGTTTTCTCTCCTGGGGCTCTCACTTTGGCTGACACCAGGCAGAATCACTGATGATGGCAGCTTTCTGAGACAGGCCCTTGTTCAGAATCGTGCAGAACTGACTTCTATTGACCTTAAGAGGATAGTCCTTACAGGTGAGAGATACAGCTTCTTTCCTTGGAGTTAACCATGGTCATTATCTTCATGTCTGAGTCTGAACCTTTTGTGTGGGGTAGATAATTTGCATTTATCTGGAACAAATGGCTTTCTGAAGTATCAGCTGATCTAATCTTTTGAAGTCATTTCCCTCTGCAGAGCACCCAAGGGCATGTATATGAGTGATTTGTGAGTCTTCCTGATGCTTTTTTGGGGTAAAGGACATTCCAGATGGTGTGAGGCGGCAGCAATTGCTTTTGGATCTTTTCCTGGAATTATGGCACCAACCTGGTTAAATGAGAATCAGGCAGCCTTTCTCTTTGTCCAGGCCACAGGGGCATATTTCCTTTGTTCTATGATAAGTGTGGATCAACAATTTTCTCTAATGCTTTTACAGCAGTAGGTGTCAAGGAGTACCAATCTACTGTGCGCTCATCACTGGGAGCCCAAGATGTAAGTTGTGAAAAGGGAGTTTAAGTCCCAGACAGTTCAGCCAAAACCAGCCCCTACCTAGGTTCATGCATTAAACCCCATTGCAAGGGTTTTTAGTCCCCATTTTGTCTCAGAGTCTAATCGGCTAAGAATTTGGAAACATACTGCTAAAGTGAGCATTGAGGAGGGCACTTCGTAGGCACACTATAAGGGCTTCTGATTGGCCATCAAAGAGAAGGGAAATCTGCTGACTCCTACTAATGAGAATTTTCTGCAGTCTCATATGTTAAACCTTAACTAATTATCCCTAAGAAGAGCTGCTCCCCAAACTCATTAACTAATTAAACATTTCCAGATAGAGAGTTACCCATGCTGCATTATATTGCTGAAGTCACTGGTGTTCTTCCCCAGGTTTATAGTGATTTCTTAACAAAACCCAAGGATGCCTGGATCCTGGATTGTTGATCATTGATCTGCCTATGAGCCATGCCACTGGCGTGGCTACTGATTCATGCCAGTGGTTTGATGGGCCCTCAGAGTTTGCCCTCTGGAAGCTGACAGCCAGGCCTCTAGGGATCCCTGAGGGTTTCCCTAGCATCCTCTTTTTTAGCAGGATCATGAAAAAGGAAACTGGGTTGGCCTCTTTCAGCACGAGGGAGCCTTTGCTCTCAGCTGTGATTAAGAAAGCAGTGCTTCTCCGGATGGGGAATTTTCCCTTTGTTTCGCTTTTATTGAGGATCCCCTATCCTGAGGTGTTTTAAATTAAATAGCTAGATTCTGAAAATGTTAATTACTGCAATGTATTGGAGAACTTGATATCGGGATTCATTTTCCTTTGAAATACCACAAATACTAAACCCACATTGCCTCCATTTGTGCTGGGCAAATGGTGACTCTAATTCAGTCAGTTTCGGTTGTGGTTATAGGGCCTGGTTAGGGTCCTGAGGTACTCTCTGGAATGTGTAGTTTTTACCCTAATTCCAGAATTGGTGGCTGGGCCTTTGCTATACATTTGTAGCAGAGGCACACTGGTTGCATTTGTAGCTGAGAGAGGCAGTGTTAATTAGTGGTTAAGGGCTGGGCTTTGGGCATAGATGGGTTAGAACCCCTGCTTCTCCCTTACTGTCTCTGTGAATTGGGGCAAATACCTTCACTTCTCCGAGTTTTGTATTTTCATTTGTAAAATAAGAAAATAAAAATACAGGTCCAAAATTGCTTTCCGAACACTTAGGGCAAAATGTATTTTAGAATTGAGATTCTTTCAGATTTTAGAAAAATGAAATAGCACATATGCCCTATTTTACATTAAACTACCAGCAAAGGTGAGGTCTGGGTGGTATCCTGTAACCTATTAATATTTCTGCAGCAAAATGACAATTCATGCTAAATAAAGATTAGGAATAGGCTCACAGCAATTCAAATTCAGGTCAGATTTTACTGCCAAGTGAGTTTGTGGCAAAACTTATCTAAAAAGTAAATGGTTTTCAGGGCTTTTTGGATTTTGGAATTGTAGATAAGGGATAGCAGATCAGTATTTACTTACATTCTTCTTAAATAAGGTATGTGTGAAGTACTTATTACAAGGGTTTTTACACACTAACTGCCCAAAAAAAGTTAGCTAGCATTGAGATTCTTATTCCCTTGCTAGAACCCACTTCCTTAGTGTTTGTCTCTGAGTCTTCTGGCTGGTCATTTTGTCTCTGAGTTAGCTGTAAAAATGTATCATCTACGCATGTATGCAGATGAGAGAACTTTTACTAGCTCTGCCTTGGAAAGTGTTTCTTCTGTTCTGCTAATTTTAGAAACCATCACAGTCCAGTAGAACATTTTGCAATGATGGAAATGGGCTGCCCAATATGGCAGCCATTAGCCATCTGTGGCTGTTAAGCACTTAAAATGTGGCCAATGTAATTGAGAAATTAAATTTTAAATTTCATTTAATTTTAGTTAATTAATTTAAATTTAAATTTAAGTAGCCACATGGGGATAGTGACCACTGTGTATTAGGCAGTGCAGGTCTAGACCTGAACATAGTGTCAAATGCTGAGATGACCTTGTCCTCTTTAGATGCAAGATTCTTTATCCTTAAGCTGCTGAAGCTGGTGAGGAATTGCTCTTTCACTTGTTTATTTACCAAGTATTCTGTGAATTTCTACTACGTGCCTTCTACTCTGTGTTAGGTACTGGGGATAGAGAACAAGGTTTCCTCACCCAAGGAGAACATAGATACATTAGCATATGTAAGCCTACATTTAAAAACATAAATAGGCTGTGATGAGTCCAGTGATAGAGATATTGGATTGCTGTGGGAACACAGAGTGGGGACACACAAACAGTGTGGGGAAAGGTCAGAGAAAACTTCATTGAGAAGGAAGGAAGCTTTTTGTAGCGCTTTGTACAAGCAGCATGAGTTAGCCAAGGGAGAGTAAGAGGAAGAAGGAATTATAAGGCAGAATGAGAGAAGACATGGAAATGAGACCTAATGTGACGTTCTGGTAAGCTATCAGCTCTTGATGTGGCTAGAGTGGCAGGAGTTGGGGCTGGAGTATGGATGGAGCTGAGAACGTGGAGGGCCTTGCTTGCTGCAGAGCTCCTGCAGGCAATACTCAGAGCCAAAGCAAACCTGAAAAGTGGGGATTCACTTTGTCACTGTTCTAGTCAGTATTTAGTTAGGAAAATGGAAGACATTTTAAGTATTTCAAGATGGAAGAGGTTTCATGTGGGGAATTGGAGGTCTATGTAAAGATTGGAGTCTGGAGACCAAAGGTGAGAATGCTTTCAAGAAATGTAAATTTCAGAGATTGCTGGAAACCACCAGCTATGGTCTGGGCTGCCTGTAGCCTTGTAAATCATGGGCAAAAGTCCACATCTGCTGTCTGCTTGCTTCCAAGGCTTATGTGTCTGCTGAAGCTGGAGAAGATGCTTTTCTTCTCTTTTGTCTTCCAAAGCTTACGTCAATTTCTTTCAATGGTGGAATTTAGCCAGGGAATCTGTGAATTGTAGTACTCGGGCTTTCCGTTCTTGAGGTTCAGAGAAGAGCCTAGAAGAGCAGGATAGTACTGAGTAATGACAAACAGTATAAGACATCACCTTTTTTTCAGTGCCTTAGACTAGTAATATCGGCTATAGGTGAAGTGACCACAGAATTTATTATACAAACCAGGTCATTTTTAAAAACAAAAGGGGCTATAAAATTAGTTAATAGGTATTAGTTAATACAAAGAAGTATTATCCCAGGCAAATGGAAACATATGGTTACCCTAGATTATGGCATCATTAAGAAATGCTTGCCTTTTTTTTTTTTTTTTTTTTTTGTAAAATAAGAGGGAAATAGAAGAAACAACAAGAGAATAATGTTAATCATTGTCAAATCTGGATGATAGATATGTGGGGTTTTATTATACTATTCTATCTACTGTTGTGTTTGAAATTCTCATAATAAAAGTTAACTAAAAAGAAGTACCTGAAATTGAAATTTTTAATTTTTTTAATTTTTAATTTTGTGTGAGTATATATATAAATTTATATATATATATGCATAACTTTTTAAAAATTTCACACTGTGTGTGTGCGTGTGTATCCAATTCAGATGATGGTGTTTTAAAGGAAAATATATACTATGTGGTCTTTAATACTCTGAGGATAAAGTATTGTAACCAGGAAGGGGGAGGGAAGTTTCGGGTTTGGCCCTTGGGGCTGTTGGACACCACACCTGAATTGTTTATTGTTGGTCAGTAGGTCTTTGGGGGCTTTGATAATTAGTCTAGAAGCTAGAATTGCAATGAAATTAGCCCCTGAGATGATTTATCACACTCTTGACATCTAGAAAGTGCTCAGTGAAGATTTATTCAGTCAATGAAAGAGAAATAGTGGTGCGTTTTTCCTTTGTAGGAAGTGAGTTTAAACTCAAATGACAGCTGGCAAGGCTGGGAAAAGTCTGGAAAGATAGCTATCTAGATGTCAGGGACCTTGGCTGTTTTTTGGAACACAAAGGGGCTGATTGCGTCATACTCACTTGATTTTCCTTTTTTTTTTTTTTGTTTATCCAGTTAAGCTCTTAACTCTGCTTTTGAAAAAATAAATTTATTGTGAGTTCAGTAGAGCTCTGATTCTTGTTTCTCCAGCATGGAAGCAGATGTGCGTTTGGAGCATGCTGGTTTGGGGGACCCACCAACCATCCGAAGGAGCCGAATGTGAAATGAGCAGGGATTTTTGGCTCCCCTTCTCAATGATGCTTTGTGATCTAAGAGGTGTTTTCCGTTTTCAGCAATGTGCTGCAGAATGGTCTGTAACGGTCTGTTGCAATTTTCTCCCTAAATCTCCCATGTTTCTGCCAATAGTGAATTAGACTGTCATTAGCTTCACAGATGTGCTTTGATCCCAATATGGCTTGTCTCCTGGCAAGGAGACATCTGAACCATTGATGCAGATTTTCTAAACCTGGAGGATGAAGCACAATATTGTGGAAGCAACACGGAAGAGGAGCCTGGAGCCTTGGGTTCCAGTCACATCTCTGTAGTTAATTAACTATGTCATCTTGGGTGAGGCATGAAATTCTCATTGTCTCAGTTCTCTGGTCTGTGAAAGGAGATTGGATTGATTCCTAAGTTCCTTTCAGATTCTCTCATATTGAATAGGAAAACTCTTCAGGTTTAGGAATAGATGCTATCTTGCTGTTGGGGTTTTGGTTTTCTGAACGGAAAATCCACAGTGCTTTCCAGGGATAGCCATTGATCCTATTTGGTTATTAGCTCCCTACTCCCTACTCTGCTGCCTGTAAAAGGGTACAACAACTGCTTAGGTTTGATGATATATATTCTGGGCATCTCTGTCCTTCAAAGGCCAACTTGTTTAAAGGAGGAAAAAGAAGTTAAAGAATCATGAATTTCAGAGCTGATTAACCATTATCTAGGGAGTCTTAACCATGATCTAGGGACTTTGAGTCTAACTCTCCTACCTTACAGATTAGGAACTCGAGGACCAGAGAGGGTAGGTTGCTTGCCCAAGGCCACAGTGACAGAGCTAGACCCAACTTCAGCTTACCTACTTTTGGGCCATAATCCCAACACTCAGGCTTGTCAGAAGACTGGAACTTGGTCAATGGAAAGATCCTTAGTGATTTTAATTTCACATGGATCAGTAGAAGTTTTGATAGGAATATCATGACATGTTAAGTTGGAGTAGAGGTGCCTCTTCAGCTTCAGGAAAAGTGTGGCTTGGAAGCTCTGGGGTCAAGTTCTGGCTCTACGGTGTGCTAAGCCAAGCAACTCCTTTACTGGTATGAGCCTCTGACTCCTCATCTGTCAAATGGAGATGGTAATAATACCTTCATTGCCTACATCTCAGGCCTTTCATGCTGAGCTTGCGCATTTATGACAACTCTGACGACTAAATAGATTTATACAAAGGATAATGTAAAATAATAACAATCACTCATTGAATATTTCTCATGTGTCAAGTGCTGTTTGTGCACCTTGGATACACTTGTTCATCCAATCCTCAATCAATGCCATTAGGCAAGTTCTATAAATGAGGAAACTGAACTTACCTAATACAACAAAGATTGTTCATCTAATAAAGGAAGCACTGGATTCATGCTAAGACAACCAGAGTATGTGCTCTGAACCACACACTAGAATGTGAAAGACCTTATCACTGAGCTTTCTTCCAGTGGTTTTGTGATACCTTTCTCTGATTCCTATGCATGCTAGTCTGGATGATGCTGGGAGATATGTGTGTATGATGGGTACCAATCCAAACAACCCATTTCATAGCGGGTGATGTGTGTAATACTCTGCCCACAGTGCCTACTCTGCCCCAGAACCAGGGAGTGTGGATGACTAATTTTGGCAACAGTGATTGTTGAAACCAACCCCTAAACCACTCATCACCACCCTACCCTGCCCCACTCATCTCTGGGCAGGTTGCTCAGCATCTCAGTAAAATGATCAGTATCTGCCATGAATAGCCAGAGACATATTTGGAAGGAGAATAGAAGCCATAGGCCTTCTGTATTGACCCAGAGCAGTAGAAAACATATATGGAATCAGTTCTTGGGAAAAAGGGGTCATACTGATATCTTTTTATCTCTAGTTATCCCTACCCATCTATTTCTTTCTATCTATCTATCTATCTATCTATCTATCTATCTATCTATCCATCAACCGATTATCTATCATTTGAGCCTTTAAAGTACATTTGAATTTGACTCATAAGGGGCTCATTTAGAAGGTTTTGATTTCCAGTTCTTCCCTCCTGTCCAACCTGCTTTAGGCTGTAAAATGTACCAAAGAGTCTTTGAAGTGCATGTCTTAGTGAGGTGACAGGGGGAGGAGAGACAATTCACAATTGGCCACTATTAGTCCAGCTGAGAGTTGGGCCACAGTGAGGGATGGGGCATCTCTCCCAGGAGGGCCACCTGCCTCTAACAGCCTTCCTTTTGCATACATCTTGGAATGCCAGGAGAAAGTGTGCAAAGAAAATGGAGTTATTTGGACAAATATTCCTAAGTTTCAAATTTGTTTTAATGAACATCAAGCCAGATGATAGGGGAAACATCTAAAGTGCTTGTATATAAGAGATAAACTTATGTGTCTATATGTGTGTATATGTATATGTGCTTTTACATATGCACACATGTGTATAGGTGTGTGTGCAGCAGACACGTATGGTCATGTTATCTCCTTATTTGTTTAAAATATTTTAAAATATTAATATATATTATTTTTAAATACAAAATAATATATACTTGAAAAATGCAGCATAACAATAGAAAAAAATTATTCCTATACCTCAAAGTAGCCACTGTTCAGATTTTGAGGCATCCTTCAGTCTCTCTTGTTTTTTCAATAAAAGCAAGTCATCATGTACATAATTTAAAAAGTCAGATAGTCATACAAGACTTATGATAAAAAGCAGCAAATTCCCACTCCAGGCCTATTGTCACGTTTTCCAGAGAAAACTGCTCTCAACTGTTTAACTGTCATTGCTGGTATTTATTACCATATTGATGAATAATACATTAGGGGCTATTTTTGATTTACCAATGTAGACATTACCTGCTGACTTCCTACTAATGTAAGATTTAAGTCTCTTAGAGCCTTTATACTCTCATACAAACTTGAACACACTCACACCTGCACACACTTCCTCTCCCACAAGCATCTCAATACAGTTATAACAAAGCTTTCAATTAAATCAGGAGTATTATAAAGAAAAATGTATGTATAATTTAAATCAATTTTATGTATTTACTTTGATCCTAATATTTTGTTTTAAATTTAATTTTAATTTAAAATAGGTAAAAATTTATTTTAAATCAACAATATAAATAAAATAATGTTTATGTTATTTTGACCATGTAAATATTGTATATCGCTAACCCAAATGATGTGTTAGTTATATTTCAGTTACATTTTCCTTTCTGGTACCATTTGCTAGAATTAATACTTTTTTTTTTAGATGGAGTCTTGCTCTGTCGCCTAGGCTGGAGTGCGGTGGCGTGATCTCGGCTCACTGCAACCTCCGCCTCCCGGGTTTAAGCAATTCTCTGCCTCAGCCTCCCTGGTAGCTGGGACTACAGGTGCCCACCACCGTGCCTGGCTAATTTTTGTATTTTTAGTAGAGACGGGGTTTCACCATCTTGGCCAGGCTGATCTTGAACTCCTGACCTCGTGATCCACCCACCTCGGCCTCCCAAAGTGCTGGGATTACAGGCATGAGCCACCGTGCCCAGCCACTTATTTCAAACACAGTAGGTGATGTATCAGTTCCATTTTTCCCTCCCTGTAGACATACAACCTGGAGGGCTCTGTGCCCCTGCTCCTTCTGGGCTGGTGGCCCCCCTGGCCTTGTCCTGAGACCTCTTTAAGTTTTCTTTTGTGTTGGAGCCTCTGCTTCCTGAATCTGCTACCGTTTTCCTTTGTGGTTTTCTACATGTTTTCCATGAATACATCCTCTGTAAGTTTCCTGAGAAAGGATGCATGGGAGCTAACTAGTTGAGACTATATATCATTCTGGGTCTAGCCAGGAGACAGGAACCACATCAGTATTTCAAACAGGAAAAATTTAACATAAAGAAATATTACCAAGTAAAAGATGCCTAACTGAAAAAGGGATAACAGAGCTAAAGAGTACAGAGAGGAGCTGCTACCTCTAGGGCTGAGGGTGAGCACCCAAGGAAGGAATGCATTTGGAAGGGTACTCCCCTCTCCAAGGCCGAGATTGAGATCTCATGGGAGACGTGGCTGTGGCCTGGCCTGCTGATGGCAGAGAAGTTTACTGGATGCCTTGGGTTGTAGTTGGTGCCTAGGATGCTATCCACTGGGATGCTGAGAAAACTTGCTGAAGGGTAAGTGCCAGTGGGTCTTCTGTATGCTCCCCTCAACTCTGTCATAGAATGAGGCACCTTGGAATCAAGAAGGGAAGGCCTTTCCTTTGCTAGAGCTTTGATGTCTTGCTATTGCTTTGATGTAAATTTCCTTCAGAATTTTGAAGGCATTTCTTTATTGTCTTTACTTCTCGTGTTGTTGTTGAGAAGTCTAATGCCATTCTCAGTTTTAATTCTTTTACACGCTCTTTCCCCCTTCTATAAAGTATTTTAATATTGTCTTCAATATTCTGATAGTTCCTGACGATGTGATTTAATGAGTTCATTTTCATTGATTTTGTCAAACATGCAGCAGTCTCTTTCTGTATGAAAATTGGATCTTTTTGTCTGGCAATTTTCTCTTTATTACTTATTTGATAGTTTCTTTCTTCCATTTTCCCTGTTCTCTCTTTCTGTTGCTTCATTATTTTACTATTGTGCATCCAAATCCAATCCTCTAATTTTTTTGGCTTTCCTTTTCCACTTTTCATCTTTGTTCTGCTTTCTACAAGATTTCTTTAAATGTAACTTCCCCCCCTTCTACTGAATTTTTAAATTTCCTACTATTATTTTTCACTTTCAGGAGCTTGCATTTATTGTTTGATTGTACCTATCTTATACGTGGGATGGAATATATCTTGCTTCTCTGGGGATATCAATTACAGTTTTGTTCTGCTCCTCATATTGTCTGCTTGAGTTCCTGTTATTATGTTTATTTGTATTAACTGTGTTTTTCGCTTTAGAGGCTTTCCTTAATGGTTGGGTGTTTCTGGTGTCCAATCGCACTCGGGAATGAGTCAGTACCAAGTTGATTGGATGCTTGGTGTGTTTATAGTTTTTGTTTGTTTTTGGTCAACTGATGGGTTTTGCTGTAGAATGATCAGAAAGATCTGACCATTTTGTTGGGGAAATGCCAACTGCCAGTAAATATTGGTCTTACACATGGGTAAGTTTCTCTAGAGAGGAGTCCATCGATCTTTTGCTGGAGGTTATGGTGGTGTGGAACTGATGGCCAGCATTCTTACAGAAAAGTGGTGAAAGGGACTTTTATTTATTATTATGTCTCTGAGTCTGGGTTCTCTCTGAGGAAATTTCTTCAGAGGTTGGGGAGAGATAGTTGTCTCAATGCAGAGGATAATGGGGAAAATCTGGGAGTCTAACTTCTATTTAACGGTGTTTTTTGTTTTTTTTTGTGTGTGTGCAACATAGAGACTCTTTCTTTCCTTTCTCAGCTCTGCAGAGGAAACTGACTTACTTCCGAGAAATCCTAATGAGGAAAATGGGGCAGAACTGTCTTAACTGTGGTGGTGGGGCTATGTGAGGGGCACCCATCAGAGAGCCAGTCACATTTACTCCACAGGTAATACTCAAGATTTTCTGGAGAGCCCATAACCAACTATAATTGTTTTCTTAAATACCTTAGCTGCCCTACAGCATAATTTAGTGGGGCTGGTCCAGCTTTGCCTCTTTACCAACTGCCAGCTATCAGTTTATCTCCCTCAAATGTGCAAACAAGATCCACCATTTCTAGGCCCTATGTAGTATTTTTTCTCCTCCTCTCTTTCTTTTCTCTTATAATTTCTGTTTTGCTTTTATTTTTGATATAGCCTAGCTCCCAAATGTAAAGTGTATCACATAACTTAATGCCTCTGAGTTATTCCATGACACTCCTCTTGTATCCTTCTCCATGATTTCTCAGTCTGATTTCTCAGTCAATTCCTCTATCCTCTCAAAATTTCCAAAAATGTGTTGACATCTCTTACCCATTGTTGTCTTTTCCCTTTCACTTTTTTCTTGCAAATGTATTCCTTTTATATTTTTAGCTTGATTTGAGGAAGGTACAGAAATAAATTCATGTGTTTATTGGAAATGCTTTAGCACACATCCTATGTATTATGTAAAAACTAAATGTCAGCTACAGTCCCTGTTGAAATTAACAAACTTGTACAGATAAAGCTAAACAAAAACTCAACTTGTGAATGTACTAAGTATTTTTCCTTTGAGTGAATTTTAACTGTTTTCACTGTCTCAGAGTTGGATTCACATGGTTAGGTGTTAAAGGTGGATGCTGTAACACTGTTAATTGGTTTGTGCAAATAATGAAATTACTGCTAGAGACAAGAGTTGATTCTGAGACCAGGTTCCTTCTTAGTGGATTGAGAACACGAAGCTACCCACCCAGGTGATTCAAATGTGAAGCAACTATGCCCAGTACTAGGTGAATAAAATGAATATCTATAAGGGTGAAACTCAGGTGTCAGTATTAAAAAATATACCTAAGTCATTCCAATGAACAGGTAGGTTTGATCATCATTGGTCTATCTAAAGAGTGGATTACAGCTCCAGTGACATGGTTTTAAGCATTGGTTCTCAAATTTTAGTTGATATAGGTATTGCATGGACAGTTCTACTTCCCTGAGATTTGGATTTAGTAACTGTAGGACTGGACTTTGCGTTACAGCAAATTTCTATATGATTCTGATGAAGGTGGTTCATAGGCCCTTCTTTAAGAAAAACTGATTTAAGATTTTCCAGGAAGACTATCACAGTCTCTTCAGATATCTCTTTATCCTGATATTCAGATTCCTGAAGTTTCATATTTAGAAATTTATTCTATGAATTTGATTCTGTTGGACTATAGATATTTTCCCAAGAGTAGATTCTTACTCTACTCATACTCATCCATCATCCCTAAAGAGAAGCTTGAGCCCCATGATTAGGTTATATAGTCTCCTACATGCTCTCTCTTACATTTTTGTTTTGTTTTATTTCTAAAAATGTAGCATTTTTACTCACCGAGAACACTGTGAACTTACTAAGCGTAGGAACTGTAACTTCTTTATAAGCCACTATGCTACCTGATACATAGTAGGTGCTTAGTGAATATTTGTTTATATCTGTCATTCACTGTCTAGTAAGAACTTGGATTTATCAGTGCCCTTCTAAAAGTAAAATTTGCTAAAACGAAACTTAGGGAGTAAAATGGCAATGCTGTGTAACTTGAGGAGGGAGACAGGAGGGCTCACTAGAAAGAAAGACACTGAAAAGGGATGCTAGAGAGAGTGGGTGAGCCTTTCTACTTTATAATTTTTCCTCCAATCTGACCATGTAAGAAAGTCAGGGTTGTCTTACTCTGAGGAGAGGAAGAAGCAGCATGCTAGTAGTCAGCTAAAGCATAATTAGTCTTAGCTCAAAATGTATCATCCTCTTTTGGTAACTCACTTGGATGGATTCCAAGTGGCATCTCCCTGCAAATACCACAGCCCACTATCCACCTTCAGGCAAGGATAAGGCAAAGCAGCCTTATCTCTGTTTCACAAAGGTGATTGCTGCCCAGTGGCATTGAGATCACAGCTGGTTTGATGTGTGGTAGGTATAGTGGACTAGACCCCAAGACTCCTTATCGGAGCAGTCCTTTACTAACAACTTGTTTCTTCTGCAGTTCTGTTGAATATTGATTAATCAGGCCACATATACAAGTTTTAAATCAATCACTCATGGGGTTAGACTTTACTACATGTAAAGCTTATCCAGATCTTAGATCTTTTTTTCTCAGAGAAGTCCCTCCCAAGGAACAGGAGCTTGAGGCAATCTGAGAGAGAGCAATGCACTTGAAGATTAGAGATAACATCATTTTTTCTTCACGAATCTCTACATGTTGGTTATGAGATAACAGGAGCGTTCTTTCAGTTTACTTCTATTTGATTAATCTCTCCATCCTCAGGACCAGGGACATAAAAGGCACTCAATCAATGTTTAGTGAATTAATGTGTACTTTTTAAACATAAGATATGTTCTGGAAAGGTGAATAAATCAAACTTTGTAAATGGAATATCATTTAATAAGAAGCTCATGTGGCAATTTCATTCTGATATTCTCTTTATCTCTGATTGCTGATTGGAGACAGTTAATGCTTCCCACATATTCCTTGTATATTAGTCTGTTCTGACGCTGCTAAGAAAGACATACCCAAGACTGGGTAATTTATAAAGGAAAGAGGTTTAATTGACTCACAGTTCCACATGGCTGGGGAAGCCTCACAATCATGGCAGAAGGTGAATGAGGAGCAACGTCATGTCTTACATGCCAGCAGCCAAGACAGCTAGTGCAGGGGAACTCCCATTTATAAAACCATCAGATCTTGTGAGAATTATTCACTACTACGAGAATAGTATGGGGGAAACCACTCCCATGATTCAATTATCTCCATCTAACCCCGCTCTTGACATGTGGGGATTATTACAACTCAAGGTGAGATTTGGGTGGGGACACAGCCAAACCATATCACCTTGTGTTCTCCTATACATCTCAGCCCCCCTAGCTTTAATGTGAGGCCAGATAAACAGTCCTAGCCAGTGGGATATCAGCAGAAGTGATAGATGCCACTTCTTGTCTGAGACAGTTATGAGCTGGTGTTAATTCTCCATGTTCTTTCCCAATTTGGGTGGAGGGTTGAGAAACATCAGCTGAGAAGAACCCTGAGATGGTAGAGCTTCACAATGAAATATAATGAAAATAGCTTGGTTCTCTGGGTCACTGTTGGAAGAGAAGTAGCAAGGAGAGCTGCCTCACTTGCCTCAAATTGTGATATGAGCAAGAAATAAATCAGCAGTGTGTTAAACAATGGAGATTTTAGGAGCTATTTGTTATTATAGCAGAACCTAGCTTATGCTGACTAATAAATACTTCCTTTATGGTGGGTTTATTCTTATGAACATGTCTAAAAGAGAATATAACTAACACCTGTGTTTCTCAAACTTGAGAATGTATGAAACCCTTTCAAGAGAAATAAAATGTCTCTTGGGACACTTAATTTAGTATATTTTTAAGGTAAGTATATATGTGAAACTTGGTAAAAACTGTATGTTTATAGGTTTTATGTAACTATGATTTCTATATGATTTTTAAAAAATCATAGAAAAACAAAAGTAATGCAATTTGTGATTGATAATATTTTGTTGAAATAAAATCATGTGCATTTTGTTTAGTAGTTGAAAAATACAATGTCAAATTCAATTCTATGTTCAGTTTATTTCTCTATTTTGACTTCAGTGACTGTAAGCAGAAAAAGCCTGGTTGCATAAGGATGCTGTAGATAGAAAATGGCTTAGAAAACTTCAGGCCCTTGTTTGTTAGTTCAAGATAATAGGATCTTTCTTTTAGCCCAAACCCTGCCTTAGAGCAGTTCTCAAGTGTGCATTTCAATGAGGTGTCTCCTAATCACGCTGTCAGCTATCTCATTCATTGGAGAGAAAAGTTAGCACTGAATTATTAGTTAAACCTGCATGAAGTGTGTCTCTAATCCAACTATTTCTTGAATTAGGGGAGAGAAAGTGTTTCTTGTTCATTTGTTACCATACCTAGTACTGATCAGCGTTTCTCAGTGATTCACAGGAAGTCAAGATCCACCTAGTGAATCTGCTTGCAATGGATTCCAGAATAAGGCTTTTCCAAATTGGGCATGCCCAACAACCCATCACCTTCCTGGTAAAACAGAACAAAATGTCAAAATTCTCATAAATAACTCTTTTGGACCCTTGAGAACATGGTCACAGAAGTAAGAGTTTATGGACTTCTCATTGACATAAGTTGAGTTTGGGCTTTTGGAGTTCAAAAAGTTTGGGCTTTCGGAGTCAGACAAACCTGAATTCAAATCTTAAGTGAGCCATGTAACCTTGGGCAAGTTACTTCTCCTGACTGAGTCCCTCTTTATTTGCTATAATGTAGACATACTAATACATATTATTTAGTATCATGATCCATCTGCATGCACAGTGTTGCCCTTAAAGATGATCCTACTTATGTCTCAGTGGTATAATCTCCTGGCCAGCTGCTTTACCCAATAGTGGACTGGTGAACTGGAAATTACATGGAAGGATAAGATTGAAAAATATAGATGGTTGTTAAGAAAAATGAATTATTTAACATTTGAAGGTATTGGTTAGAAAATGTTTCAGGAGTCTATTTTCTTGTTATTGAAGAACAGAAGTGTATATACAGTATTTTTTTCTCTCTCCATTTTTTGGGGAGTACTTAGCTATCACTGCGGTAATCAACACTTGATATTTTCCTATTTTGTCATAGCTACCTTCATCCCAGGGAGTTCTAAAGAGTAGTCTTTGGTTTACAAACTCTGATTTTAGAGTCAGTATAAACAAGGAAGCTTTGTGGTTCTATCCCCCACTAGTGCTATGATTCTACTTTTATGGGAGTTTCAATTTAGAGATTTTAATAAACCTAAATCTGCAAATGGGTAAGAGAAAGGAAGAAATCATGAGAAGCTCATATATTCTACCATCAGTTCCTTGTTTAGACTCCCAGAAAGGTTACTCTGCATACTGGTAGCTACTCTCCCTAAGAATACAAGCTTATGACCTGAATTTCTTTATTTTACTTCAAGGAATTTCATTTAGTTGAACAAACAGAGATTCGTGAGGGCTATTCAATTTTATCTTCTAAACAATGCCACAAGGCTTTTGAGAATGTTGGAAGCATTAACATTTTACCATGAACTAATTCTTTTTCGTTACTTTACTCTGAACACCTAGCTTGGCTCCCTTGTCTCCAAAGGGCTTATTATTTGGAGTGATGGCAAGATATCCAAAGGGGTTTGGATCATGGAGCACAGTGAGAGTTGAACAGACCTGGGCAGATTCCTATATGGGAAGCTTAGGGCAGCTTGAGGGTCAGGGACCCCAGAGGAGAGGGACACCAGTAAGCAATGGCATACAGGGAAGTGAAAGATGTCAGAGATACACCTTTGATCAATAACAAACTGTCTGTTCTAACATTTGCTTAAAGTTATCCCTCATACCAAGACAGGGAGGATGGGAAAAGGTAGGAAAGATAAAACTCTTTAGCTTTTATTCTTCAGAAATTTTTTATACCTTGTCACACTCTTCTCTGAGAGGTGACCTTCAGCCAATCAACATCTTGACTTTTCATTCTCTCATCTGTAAAATGGGTTGAAAGTTTCTGCTGTGCAATGAATAGGAAGGCTGCAAAAACGAAATGTGAAACAGATCCAAGGAGTTCTCACCATCAACAACACCAAGGAGTTGTCTGGTGGTAGACGGTGGACCACATGGAAAACTAGCTTTTTCTTGCCACTAGCAAGGAATGCTGAGAAATGCATATTTAATTGACATGGCTGTAGGAGAAAACAGTGTCCTTCCTGTTCAGTCCAATCCTCATTTGTAAGGTAAAACCCTTTTATGCACAAGCATTTTTATGGTTTCCCTTCAAGGAACAGAGAAAGAGAGCTGAGTAGAGAGCTGAGTCTTTGCTAACATTTTTCCTTTGTTTTCCTTTCTTTGGAAAACGGGTAAATTCCCCCAGTCCCTTTCAAGTTTTTTTTAGTTCCTGCTGAGCACCTGGGTGTAGCTGTTGAGCAAATCAAGCTTGATGTGTTGAGACTTGAAAGCCTCCTTACACTGAGCTGAGGATTATCTTGGGCATAGCAGCATGCCTCACCTGCAGGTGTTTACGGAGACGGGGTTGTGTACTGCTTTAGATTGAGTATGGGTCTTGAGAGGGTCTGAATTCTATTCCTGCCTTTACTCTTGCTTGCCATGTGATCTTAGGCAGGCATTTTATCCTCTACTTGCCTCTATTTTTTCATCTGCAAAATGGGAATATTTTTACCTTCTTCATGAGACAGTTGTGGTAATTAAATGAGATGACTGATGAAAGAATGTAACAAAATGACTCAAACACAATGAGTGCTCAATAATGTCAGCTGTTTTGAGTGTCTAAGCATTTTCTAACTTCTTAGTTGAAAAAGGCTGTGGCAGAGGAACTTGAAGCTAAAGATTTAGGATCCTTTGTCCACCGCAAAAATGGTGACAGATCTACATTAAGATGCTAAGCCCTTGCTTCTCTTGGCAACTATGTACCTGATTGACTTTCTAGGAGAATCTGGGATGGATTTCCTGCTACTGTGTTGAAATATAAGAGAAAGAGAACAAATCCTATTAAATATAGATACTCCCCATTTTATGGGTTAAAGACAAAAGAGTGGATGGAATGTCAATATCAGAATATCCCAAGGGAGTTGGCCGAGGCTGTAAAGAATTTAGGACTTTCAAAAGGTCTTTATGTCCAGTGATACCTGAAATGTTTTTAACACAGTCCCATGCTATCTCTGCAGAAAGAAGCCACTTCTAAATGGGGATTTTGAAAATGTATTTGTAAAGGTCCAAGTAACTAGAGCAACCACCTTTCTGTACTTGACATTGGTTTGACTAATTTTCATGAATCTGTACAGATGATAAAGTCAGTTTTAATCTAATGTACTATACAAACTCAAAAGAATGCATATTAACCACTTATCCCAGAGCTCATTATCTGATTTCAGTGTAAAAGGATGGAGTTTATTCCATTTGGTTGGGAGCTATCTCTATCATCTGAACCCCCTTAAATGAGGTTGGATGTAGGTTTTCACCATATTTCTCAGATATGGTCACCGCTTTATTAATGAAGAGAAAGGGTTCCAACGATCCTCTCCTTTGCCTGGTGCTTTCTTCCTAGTATTGAAAGGAAGCTTGGGGATCCATTTCAGGATGTGGCTTCCTCTTCATCTTTCTTTCCTGGGTAAGGTGGATTATAGCTCCAGAACTTTTTTAGACTCTACAGAAATCACTTCCTTCTCTCTTGAGATTGTTCCCCAGTCTAATGTCACACAAAGGTTTAGATATAGCCTTTCCCCTTATAAAAAGCCTCATATAACTCTAGGAACTTTGAGTCCTGACTTTTTGTAGTCACATGGTAGTAGGAGCTCTTATCTTCCTCCTCATATTTCCCATAGAGAAAGGTACTTCTCCATTCCCTAGCATTGGGAAAATGGGAATGAACACTTGGATATTTTTCACTCACTTGCTCCTTTGCAAGTGTTTAGTTATTTATCTGGGTTGTTGGGAGGCTGACATCCACAGAACCATATCCAAGGTAGCAGCTCAGCATGGCAGAGTGCCTCTTTCTGCCTGCCCAGCTGGGGACATGTACTTCCTGTCTCCATGTAGTCATCAGATCAAATAAGTTCACTCTCTCCCTTGATTTTCTAGGAGAATTTGGGATGGATTTGTTTTCATTTCATTGAGGTATATAGGAGAGAGCAAAATCTTCTTAAATGTAGATAATTCCCATTTTATGAATTAAGTATGCATCTCCACCTACTATTGGGCCATTTGTTAGGATGGACTCTCTGACTTGATTCTCCTTACAGACAAGTTCTGGGGGCTAGATTGGAGTCTCTGACTTGGTTCTCCTTACAGACAAGTTCTAAGGGCTAGATTGGCAGGTGGAGAAGGAAGCTGCCACTTTGCTCCCTGGTTCAACCTGTGCTCTCCCATCCAGCTTCATCAGAGAGCCATGGTCTTTGGGGATGATTGAGTATTTGCTTAGATATTAATAAATCAAATGCCTTGACACTCCTTTCACTCATGATCCTTGGGTAGATTGGCTCAATTTGTTGGACCCTGGAGGGAAGAGGGTGAGACTTACATCACTACCCAACTTCTCCGACAAAATCTGAATCCAGGGTAGTGTCATTCCTATCTCCTCAGCTTTACTAGCCTCCAACCAGGTGTGGACATCACCCCTCCTTCTCTCTGTTCAGGTAGGCTTTGTATACAGAAGCTTTGCTGTTGTCCCAAGAGAATGGGTGGCCTTGGTGATTCCCACCCCACCCTCCCAAACTTGAGTTGAATCTATGGCTTAGGTGGAAATATGGTTGGCTGGAAAGTGAGGGATAAAACTGCTTTTTGGAAAAGTGGCTTCTCCAGAGGCCTGTTGGGAAAAGGGAAAGGTATTGCACTCACTCTGGGAAGTGGAGCATTTCATCAGGAAATCCTGGGGCTGCCATGAGTAGCGTGGGACTGTCCCTAAGGTTACCCAGTGACATGAATTCCAAGTAAGAAAGGAGGGGAAAGGTGATAGCATGTTGAAGGAGAAGGGGTATGCATCCTCCCTGGGGGTTTTTCTCAGGGCTTTCACTTGAGGGACAATAGGTAATGAAGGAAAATGGCAATGGGGCTTTCCAACAAAAGCAGAGGCACAATGGTGGTAAGTACCCAGACACACTGGGAACATTTGGGGACCACCTCATTGGCTTGGATATAGAAGGAAATGGCAGCTTATGAGACACTCTGCTAAGCCCAACCTTTCCTAGGGAGAGACAACTGAGCACTAGAAGCCACAAGAAGAAGGAGCAGCTGGTGGTGCCAAGCTCTGGAATATGGGGCTCACTGTCCCGGTGCATGATGTCTCTCCATTTAGATTAGTGTGGCCTACGGTCAGTCCCATGACAGCTGCCTTCACTGAGCAGAAACTGGAGGGAATCATGGGATGACTGGAAGGTGTGTGGTCCTGTGAGAATGAAAGCAAAGCTTCCTCCAATGCTAAGGAGGAGAGTGACTTGGGGGAGAAACCTATGTATTTACATTTCATAAGGTTATAAGATCTGAAGTGAACATCCTGGGAGCACAGGGTGAAATGGCTGTTGAGTCCATACCCGGGCTATTTTTTATTAAATATTAATGTTACACATTTCTGCAGGGTTCATAGAGCAGATGTTAGGCCTGACATCATGGTGATTTAATTGACTAAGAATATTTCCTGTCATTTTTATCAATGTCTGGCTTTCCAATGTCTGTTAAATCAGAAAATATAAAACACAGGAAGGGATAATTAATACTCAGTTTCCATCCGTGGTTACCTACAGATATTACCCCCTAGAGAAGTTGTAGCTTTCTCCGGAGTATTTTTTTTAGCAGCAGAGACAGGCTGAGCTGACCTAGTCCCCCTGCGAATTGTCCCACTGGACCTCTCGCTGGAGAACAGCACACTCTGCAAGCGCAATTCTTTCTTTCCTGTTGGTTTTAAGAAAATAGGCATATTCTAAATAAGCTTTGCTTTCATGGTGAAAACTCCCAGGGATTCTAATTTTTCTTTTTCTTTCTAAATCCTACCATACCTCCCTAAGTCATTTCCCTCAACATCCCCCTAGATTTAAAAAAGAGGAAAGAAAAAAGAAAAAAAAAGCTCTTCAACAGCCAAATCTTTGCTGAGGGACCTTTCTGAGTAGAATCTAAGGAAGTGGATAGAACTTATTTTGAGCAAATTCACAGTGACATAAAATGTGGCTTATGGTGATTTAGTATCAGGAAATATTTGCTAAGTTGAAAGCTCAGGAAAGAACAATTCGAAAAAGATTGTTGGTCAGATGCAGCTTATAATGGGCCTATTCATCGTGAAAAAAAAGTCCACGGTCCCTTCCACACAAAAATTACATTATTTATGTAGAAAAAATGTTGGCTTTACGTTTATTAAATGGTTCTGACCTGCCATGCTGAGGTCTCAGTTTCATCCTCAAGGGATGGTGGTTCGTGGAGAGAGAGAGAGAAGGGGGAAGATATGTTGTTCCCAGCCCTGAACATTAAATCATTGCAGTAACAATTTTAGAGGAAATGAGGCAAAATTGGGCCAAATGAAAACCTGCTGGTGTGGCTTGGGAATTACCCCTGCCCGCTTGGGAAAGGGCTGAACACCGTACCATGGGTGCCTGTGGGGCTGAGTTTTTTCCCTCTGCCCGGGGAATTTGCTTTCTGTTCAAAGGAGCAAGCGGGGCTCCCTTGTCTTCTCTTCATCAAGGCAAGCTGGCGCCCATCACAGGTGAAGGGTAATTAAGTCCCAGGCTGTAGAAGAGTGACGCACTTTTTGAAAGTGATTTTTAGGATGCAGACAGAAATGACACTGGTGTGGCAGAGGAGCGAGAGCCCACTGTGTTGGCTGATGTGACGGGGAGGATATGGTGTTGGGGTCCTTGGATGAGACTCACTGCAGCATTGTATAGGATCTGCTTTGTGGAAGCAGGCTCGGGCCCCCTGATATGGTACAGTTAAAGGGGCGCAAAGGCTCTACCATGTGGCTGAAAGTCACACCAGTCTGAAGGTAGGCATGGCCTCTAAAGGGCCCTTGATAAAATACATGTGTGCTTCGTTGGGTGTCACACCAATGTGCTGATGAACACTAGGATGGACTAGTTGGGAACTGTCAGTTTGGGATGTCAAGGGCAGGCCCCTGCAGTGATAGGACACAAAATTGGTAAGTTTTGATGGGTGTGAGAGGATGGAAAAAGGCCTAGGCATAGATCTTTTTATGGGGTGTCCCAGAGTCAAGTCCAGGTTGAAGGTGCAGTAGAAGGGCACTGGTCACCTAGAATCTCAATGAAGAAAGCTATACAAGGGCTGCCTGGATGGGGGCGCGTTGTTTCCCACCCAGACCATAACACCATGCACAGTCCTTTCTTAAGTTATCCCAAGCTCCAACTTTCTTACACCTGTTCTGTAGTTAACAGAAATGGGGGACCCAAATCCAGGCCTCAGAGTTGTCCTAAGAGACATTTGTGACACAAGAAGACTCAGCTCCTTTCAACTCCCCGCCCAACATGATAAGCAGGAGGCTGTCTTTGCATTGCTGCTGAGTTTCCAGCAACAGACTGAAGAGACATAAACACAAGGCCTGGGTGGAAAGTTAGGGGATGTTTATAGCCATGGAACCAAAATACAGGAGGAGGCAGGTGGGTGAAATTTGCCTAGGTTGCCTCCATGCAAATAAATAATGAGCTTTAGTTCGTTTAAGGGGAAAATTGAGCTTTCCTAAACAGACCCATTTCCCCCCAGCTTTTTAAATGTGCCTTTTCATGGATTTTGCTTTCAAATCTGCATGAATTATTTTTCTTCTATTAAATATTAATGTGCCTTTCTAAGTAGAAAAAGGGGGCAAATTAGGTCTGGTACACATCTTCCCTGTCACTATTTACTGCCACTGCGGGACTGCAGCAAATGCCAGATCCCAACATATTATTAAATCAGGCCTGCACTGAGCCCAGATGTTACACTGAAGCTGGGCGCACTGAATACAGGCTAAAAAGCAAACAGCAGCAGGCACGTGGTTCTCTCTGGTAGGGGCTTGTCCTCCCATATCCTCTCCCCTCCTTTTCCGTCCTCCATGTCCACCTTGCCCTTTGACAAATTTGCCATCAGCTGGGCACAGCTTGCTTTCCTGGAGAAGTAATCGTGTGAGAGGGATTTATTTTTTTAAGCCCGTTATTTTTTCCCCAATGACTCTTTCTACTTGATTAGTTCAGGATCAATACGTCTGGTGGGCAGAATGTGATGGGGAGAGTGATTTATCAGTGTCAGGTAGCTCTGGGCTTTGTTCATGTGGTTCTCCTCCCTCAGCGACTTCCCTCTCATTGCCCCAACACACACGCACATACACATGTGCGCACATGCACACACAGACTTCTCCCTCCTCTGCAGTCCTCTCTCTGCTCCTTTCCTTACCTGAATTCTACTCACTTTCACAGCCAAGATGAATTTGGTCTCCTCTCTGAAGCCTATCCTGCGATCCCTAAATTGTGACCTCTAATGAAACCATGTTTCAGATAATTGTTACATGGTGGGGGTTCTGGTTCCCCAATAGGTTGTAAGGAATTATGTCTCACAAACATGGAGAGGTGGAGGGGACACTGGGTTTGCAGTCAGAATCCCTGCATCCTGACCGTGTGGCTGTAAGTAAATTATTTAACCTCCAGGAGACCGTTGGATCCTCCTCCTCCTCCTCATCCCTTCATCCTCCTCATTCCTGGCACGCAGATCAGTGCCTCTCAAATTTTAATGTGCATATGGCTTACCTGGGATCTGGAGTGGCCTAGGGTTCTGTATTTCTAATAGGCTCCCAGGTAATGTTGGTGATGCTTGTCTGCTTGTCACACTTTGAGATGCAAGGTTCTGTCGGGTGTGGTGGCTCATGTCTGTAATCCCAGAACTTTGGGAAGCTGAGATGGGTGGATCACTTGAGGCCAGGAGTTTGAGACCAGCCTGGACAACATGGTGAAACCCTGTCTCTACTGAAAATACAAAAATTAACTGGGCATGGTGACGTGTGCCTGTAATCCCAGCTACTGAGGAGGCTGAGGCAGGAGAATGGCTTGAACCCGGGAGGCGGAGGTTGAAGTGAGCCGAGATCATGCCACTGAACTCTAGCCTGGGTGACAGAGTGAGACTCTGTTTCAAAAAGATAGAAAGAAAAAAAAGAAGCAAGGTCTTATGAATCTTGAATTAGATAATATATGTGAAAATATCTTGCAAACTAAAAAACTGTATCACGGCTAAACCTTGGATCATTCTTGTTTCTTCTCTTATCTTTATCCTCATTTCACATCCATCAACAAATCCAATTGGTGCTACCATGGGAAGGTATAGTAAATCCAGCCATTTATGACTCCCTCTATCACAACAAACCTAGGCTAAGACACTGTCTTTGTTTGTTCTGGCTGCTATAACAAAATACCTTAGACGGGTTGCCTTACAAACAACAGAAACTTATTTCTCACAGTTCTGGAGGCTGGAAAGTCACAGGTCAAAGTACTGACAGGTTTGGTGTCTGGTGAGGGTCCACTTCCTAGATGGCCAACTTTTTGCTGTAACCTCACATAGTGGAAGGGGTGACTGGGCTCCCTAGTGCCTTATTTATTTATTTATTTATTTATTTAGAGATGGAGTCTCACACTGTTGCCCAGGCTGGGGTGCAGTGGCGCAATCTTGGCTCACTGCAACCTCCGCCTCCCAGGTTCAAGCAATTCTCTGCCTCAGCCTCCTGAGTAGCTGGGATTACAGGTGCCCACTACCATGCCCAGGTAATCTTTGTATTTTTAGTAGAGACGGGGTTTCACCATCTTGGCCAGGCTGGTCTAGAACTCCTGACCTCGTGATCCATCTGCCTCGGCCTCCCAAAGTGCTGGTATTACAGGCATGAGCCACCATGCCCAGCCCTAGTGCCTCTTTTATAAGGGCGCTAATCCCATTCATAAGGGTTCCACCTTCATGACCTAGACACTGCAAAGGCACCACTTCCTAATACCATCTCCTTGGGGATTTCAACATATGACTTTTGGAGGCACGCAAACATTCAGATCATAGCAGCTACCATTACATCTCTTGCCTACAGATTATTGTACTGGCTTCCTAATTGGTCTTCCTACTTCTATTCTTGTCCCCACTCCCCCTGTTACAATGTAAATCAGATTGTAAAGCTCTCCCCATTGTCTCAAACTCTTCGGTGGCCTACAGTGGCCTACCCAATATACCCCCTACCATCATTTGCTGACAACTTTCCCCAACTCCTTTGCATCTTAAACGTTTTCCCTCTGCAAGAACATGACTTACTCTATAATTGTATCCAGACTGCTCTTCAACTTCCCCATCTAAAGTAGCAATCCCATCCCTCTCTCCCTTCTTACTCAGCCTTACTATGTTTTCCAGGGCACCTGTTATTGCTCAACCTTCTACTAAGTATTTATGTGTTTGTCTGTGGTCTGTCTCATTGACTTGAAATAAACTTTGTGGGAGCAAAGCACTGTCTGTCTTGCTCTGCTCTGTATTTTCCAGCCTCTGGAACAGTGCCTGACATGTAGTAAGTCTTTAGGTATTTGCTGAATGAAAGGAATGAATGGATTATTCTCACTTAATGAGCTTGCTTTGTATTCTGTACCTGAAAAAGTAAGGTATGCTTATGAAATGAATGAATGAATGAAAAACACTTCATAAGCATTTGCCGAGGCAACCATAGATTGAAGTTTTAAATATGCAGTCCCTGGATTTCTGTTAGTGGAGCTGTTATTCGTTTTTGCTGTGGATCAAGCAAAGTAGTACAGGATTGATCTTGATGATTGAAAGATGGAGACCTTTGAGCAAGAAGTAGAGGCCAGTGTCTGAGCTCTGGGAAGCAATAGCTGTGGGAGCTGAGATGAGCTGGAAGTGTCTTGGCCCCCTGGGTCCACTCATCTTCACTTAACTGCTTCTTTGCCAAAATGATGCCAAACACGTGCGTGCATGCGTGCACACACACACACACACACACACACACACACACCCCAACCAAACCAAACAAAACTCAAATGACAACAAAAACTAAGCCCTAAAAGGAAGGGACAAATTGAGTATCTGAGTTTCTAGTAGAATAAAAGTGCTATATAAATGGGTGCACACAGGGAAGGGCTTTTCAAGTTGGATAATGGAATTTCTTTCTACTTCAGCTCATCTAAAATAGCACATTAATAAACTGAACCAAATGTGGTGCTACAGCTGGTTTTATTGGTCATTAACATTTACAGAACCACGTGAAGTCATGTTTTCCAATTTTGAGATTAAAAGATTTAGTTAGCCTAATTATCAGCCTCTGAATGGGGACTGCGTGGGAGCCCAGTCAGCAGAACAGAGGCTTCTCTGCCTTCTGTGCTGCCTTCACCCTCACAGAGCAGGTGAATTGAAAGCAAATGCATTTATTGACCTTTGGCTGGATTTGACCCTAAAGTAGAGTGGGTAGTGACAGCTGCCCTAGCTTTCACTCTGTGCCTGCCTTGCTGGTGCATTGCCTAGAAGTTCAGGATAAATTTTTAGGTTCAGAAGACCTCTAGGTACACACAAGCAAATGACACCTGTCCTTGAAACCTGGCTTTATTTTCTATCCTCTGTTTACAGAGGTCAAGCCATTCGTTGTGTTATTAAATGTGATTAAAATCTCTACTTCAGTGAAGCTTTTGGTAGGAATGAATCACTTGATCAGAAATAGTGCTTGCCAGATCTTGTGTCCTGATTTTTGATTTGGGAAATAGGGCAGGCCTGAGGCAAAAGCAGAAGAAAGTAAGTATGAGAGAGGAGGTGAAGGGCACAGGAAAGGAAGACCACCAGCCAGCATCTTATCATGACCTGTCCCGTTTTATGTGTGTGTGTGGTGCTGAGATGAGTGGCCTGGGGAAGCCACAGCAGAAACTTGTATTGGGGTCAGCCCTGGGGTTGGTTCTTGGTGAACCCTCCTTGCCCGAACACACACACACACACACACACACACACACACACACACACATGCATGTACATGCACACACAGACTTCTCCCTGCTCTGCAGTTCTGGTGATGGGTGTGTGCCATCTGCCACTGTCTCACTCAAGGATGGTGATTCTCTTGATGAGGATTTGCACTTAGGGCCGAATGGGGATGTGTTGTTGATGGGGTGCATGGCTTGTGGCTCTGTGGTTGACTCCATCAGTATCATCCTTTCTCCTGCTCACCCCTCCTTGCACCACCTGCGCATGTCCAGCTTAGGGAGCCCCATGGTTGCAGGTGACCCAGAGAGAAATGTAACTACCATGGTACAGTCCTGTCTATGGCCAGAAAGGGAGTTTCTAGCACCTGCAGCTTTATTTATTTTGTACTGCCTAGGCCTGTTCTAGGGAATACTTCTGCCTTAAGACAGGAGACAGTCTGCCCTGTAATTACTTAATTTTGTTGAATGAGTCTGACAAATCCAAGTTAGAGTTTCCTTTTAATTAGGGCTCAAGGAACAAGGCAGACTAAGGGAATGGGCTGAAATCTGAGTGAGACCTGG
This sequence comes from Homo sapiens, assembly GCF_000001405.40. Taxonomy (NCBI): domain Eukaryota; kingdom Metazoa; phylum Chordata; class Mammalia; order Primates; family Hominidae; genus Homo; species Homo sapiens. The sequence continues at coordinate 67,751,138 of NC_000002.12, read as the reverse complement.
GTTGGCAAATGAGATCTTGGCCACACCTTTTGTTCTCTCTTGAGAACAAAATGCTTGAACTTCCTAATGTGCAAAATGAGGACAGCTGGCCTACTAAATAGCCTTCTATTCTGTACTTTAACAGTAATGGCAGGTGGCCAGGGGTGGTTCTGAGTGTAGGAGTGGACATGATTATCTCTGTGCAGTAAGAAACCTCACAACATTATTAAAGGTAGATGAAAGGAGGGAGAGGCCGAAGACAGAACATTTAAGGAATGCTTGCATGGTTCCAGATCATGTTTTCAATTACTATTGCCTCTGATTTTTTTTCCACCAGAGCCCCCTGCCCCTGAACCAATATCCTTCTGACCACAAATCTTTGCTTTTTATTTTTTTTTATTTTTATATTTTAGAGACAGGTTCTTGCTCTGTCACCTAGGTTGGAGTGCAGTGGCACAATCATAGGTCACTGTAACCTCAAACTTCTTGGCTCAAGAAATGCCCCTGCCTCAGCTGGGAGTACAGGTGCACACCACCATGCCTGGCTCATCCTTGCTTTTAAATTCCTGTCAGTTATGGGTTGAACTCTGTACTTTCCGCTCCCATCATCAAAGATATGTTGCATTTCTAACCCCCAGTATCTCAGAATGTGACTTTTTTTGGAGATAGAGTCTTTATAGTGGTAACCAAGTTAAAATGAGATCAAGAGGGTGTGCCCTAATTCAATATGACTGGTATACCTGCAAAAGGAAGAAATCTGGACGCAGAGACAGACAAGCATGTAGAAAGAACACCATTTGATGATGAAGGTAGAGGTGATGATGCTTCTATAAACCAAGGAATGCCAAAGCTTGCCGGCAAACCCCCAGAAGCTAGAAGGGAGACATGAAACAGATCCTGTCTCAGCCCTAGGAAAAAAAAAAACAACCCTATTGACTCCTTGATCTCAGAGTTGGAGCTTCCAGAACTGTGTGACAATACATCTCTGTTTTTCAAGCACTCAGTTTTGCTGCTTTGCTATAGCAGCCCTCACAGACAGATATACTGCCTTTCTGATCTTCTGGCTTCAGACCTCTGGCTTGTTGTGACCAGCAGCATTTATTAATTTTCTGATCCCAACTTGATTTCTTTTTAATCTCCCTGAAAGGCATTTGTTTTTGTATTGTGAAACTTAGACTCTGCTTTCTACCTGGCTCTTTCTTGAGACTATCCCTATATTTTGTGTGTAGCTCTCCACTTAGTCTCTGCTGTGTGTGATGTGGGGAGAAGAAGATGGGACTCCTACAGGTGGGGCAGCCAGACCAGCCTCTGTGATTTTGTGTTCACTCTGTGCTGCTGCCTATGGTCTCTCAGAAGCTAAACCCCCTACCATGGTTTTAACATCTGAGTAACATTTAAAGATGAACTAGATAAAAAGGCTAGAGATTTGAAGCCTCTTTGATTATTTTTTATATTCATCGGTCTATCCCAAGTGCATCTACTCCAAAGTTTGGTTCTTCTTCGGGCACTCATGGACATAAAGATGGCAATAATAGACACTGGAGCCACTAAAGTGGGGGAGGGAGGGAGGTGGGCGAGGGTTGAAAAACTAACTATTGGGTACTATGCTCACTACCTGGGTGACAGAATCAATCATACCCCAAATCTCAGCATCATGTAATATACCCAGGTAATAAATCTACACATGTACCCCCTGAATCTAAAATAAAAGTTGAAATTATTAAAAAAAAAAAAACACACAAAGTATGGTTCTAAAGTTGGGGGTTGAGTTATAAGCAAGTGAAACACAGTTTAAATAATGTGACAACTTTGAACAATATTAAATTCTCAAATGGTCTAAAGTACACACAAAAATATAAGAGCCCAAAGGGGCTATATCATCTGTTCACAAAGGTAGTTTCTTATGATTAAATTCCCTTGTGGTATTCCAATATACACTCTCTGATTAAACTTCTTATTTAATATGACACTGGAATTTTATCATGAGTATGAAATATATTGCTTTGATCCTTTCTGGCCAACCTTGTTTTACTAAATTAAGTCAAAGGTGGCACCCTTTGCTATCAATCAACAGACATGCCTTGATCTTGCGCTGGTCCCATAAGCTCTATGCTGGAAACATAAACACGGCCTCTGTCCTGTGTGAGGCTTCCACATAGTTAAAAAGACAAGGCACTCAGGTCTAAGCACTTAGAGAACAATTAAATGCTAAATGGTGTTGAACTGGCTTTGATGCAGTCAGTTGGATTTCACAGAGTTATTAGGAAACATTTCCTCCATAACATGGAACTTTAGTTTGTTGCTGATAAGGTCAAGAAATCCTCCTACTCCACATTTTCTCTTCTATCTGCCTGTATTATTGGTTGCTTGATTACAAATCGGACTCCAAATAGGACATGCAAAACAGCCCAAGGCAGGAGCTGGTGGAAGAGGCTGTCACCTTTAATGCTCTGATGGAAATTTTGTTCATCTCAAATTGAGCCAGATACAGCTAAGAAATCATCACAGTAAGTTTCCTTTTAGTCCAGCGTGTCCCTTCAGATTCCATTTCCTATACTTTATTTACCAAAAGATCCACAATTCTCTAAGATACATATGATACAAATGCAATTTAAAGGAGGCCACTGGGAGTTCCTTTTCCATTTTCCTGGTAGAGGAGATGAGAGACAAGTTCCCAGCTTGGAATTTGTACAGACGTGTTTCCAATAAAGCGCAAGCGGACCTTGTGTCTCCATTGTTCCCTTCCCATTAGCCACGAGGCAGTGCAGATGAAGTGTGAGCTCACATGCAGGGTAATAAAGCCATCATTTGCTTTTCTTCTCCTCACATGGAAAGGGCCTTTGTGTTGTTTTCTTCACAAAAGTGCAGATTTAATTTGAAGTTGGGGAAAAGAGGAAGGAAAAACAACTTTCCAAAACATGAGACAACAGTTCTCCTTAATAGAAACCACATTTTCCCTCTAAATTATGGTACCAAAGGGTCCCTGTGCACAGGTTGGGGGGTAATAAAGGTGGACTTTAGGAGGGCTTGAGGGACTGTGGTTGATATTTTGGCCCATCTGGGCTCATATCTCTTGGGCTTCCTGAGATTCATGAAACATTTTGGGGCCACAGTGAAACGTGAGAAACCCTCCAGAAGAGTGACCGTAGAAATAAAGAGCAATGGTTATTTATGTGTTTAGACCAGAGGTGAGAACATTTTTTAGTTCTGAAGGCCATTAGTGAGTTAAATAAGGTCTATGGGGACTGTAGGTTCCAATGGTGGGACTAAAATATAGGCATGGGGGAGAGAGTAAAGTTAGGTAGATTGAAGATAGGAGAAGGGAAGAGAAGAAAGGGGAATGTAGGGAAAGAAAAGCATCCATGAGGGATTAAACTAGTAGTTGCAACCAGCAGTAACTTCTGGCTCTGCTTTTGGTTGAATTTTTTTTCCTTGGTTTAAGCAGGATTCTCATAATTTTCTCTATGAAAGGTACTTGGAATTTTAAAATGTGCCTGGATTTTTCTGCAGTTTACTCTCATGGGGTAAAGTGTGGATGATATAAGTTACTGGGGGTGGGGAGTTGTCAGAGCGAATAGAGCTTGGGGGACTCTCCTTTCAAGTGAAAACTCCCTTGAATCATGGGGGCAAGGGTAGTACAATGGCAACTGGCATAGAGACTAACAAATCAAACCTCCAAGATTTTTCCCCTCTGCCTCCATCGACTCCATTCCCTCTGCTGGCCCCCTGTTCCTGTTATGGGGTCATATTTGCTAGGTTTTATTGGCCATTCCTCCACTGGAGGGGGAAATGGTTTCTGCCTTTCCAGCAATACCTGATTACTCAGAATCTTGTTTGGAAATATTTGGAACATGTTGAATATTCAATTAAATTTCCTCCAAAGAGAAAACAGAAAGATTTGGAATGAGACTGTTTGAATAGTATTGGGGAAAAAACTATGGCTTTAAACAAATATTTTATTCTTTCTATAGTGTATGGATTTCCTCCAGCAAGCAACCATTTGGAGATAGGTTTTATTTTTGTTGTGGCTGTTGTTCTTGTTTTTGTAACTGCAGGATTGCATCCTTCAATCATCCATCATTCCTTTCTTCCATCCATCCATCCCTCCATCCATCCACCCACCAGCAAACATTAGTAGGGAGTCTTCTTTGTGCCAGGATCACAGCTAGGCACTGTGGATTGAGAGAGTGAATAGAGAGATGAATGAGAAATGATTCCTGACCTTGGGGAGCTCACAGTCCAGTGGGAAAGAGAGAGAGAGATGTGAACATTAATTACAACAATGTGATGAATGCTCTAATAAAGTTCAGAGCAGGGTGCTCAGCTGCCCACAGAGCTGTGCAGCAGCATTCATCTATTTTACCTTGGCCTTCTAAAGGTCTTTGCTTCCTCCAAGTGTAAACTATGATTACCAAATCTCAAGGGTGCTGGATTATATGTAGCTTTAAAATAAGTCTTGCAGGTTGCAGCTACTACTGATTCAGAGACAGTGAAGGGGGAGATGACTGTCGGATTTATTTCCAGAGCTCATGGATTTCTGAATTTATGTGTTCTCAGCTCTTTTTCCTCCCTGGGTCATCAATATGTTCTGTAATATGGCAATACTCCATTCCTGCTCCAGCCTATCTCCAACATGCTGTTTAACTTGATTCTTTGGGAGACCTGTCCTTATCCAAAGAATTTCACTGGAAACAGAAATGGGGTAGGATATGATTGAGTCTCATATCCTTCATTCCAATGAAGACCAATCAGATAACAGCAGTTGAAGGCTTAGATCAGGTTGAACGATCTTTGCAATTCTCCAACTCCTTCTTAGTCATGATCCATTCAAAAACTATGGGCTCTCCAAGGCCAGGCTGCAGCTAGGAGAAAGGACAGTGACCATGTGAACACTTAAGTCCCTGGAAAAATGCTTTCGGGAAGAAAACAAATGTAGTCAAATATCCAAGGGGTTTTTATTGCTACCAGGAACAATAATAGAGAAATATGAACTTGGGAAACCTTTTGTTCTTGCTGAGGTTTGAATATTCCCATGTTGGTGACAGAGATCCTGTGTCATGGTAAAAAAAGATGCTCTTATTGATTACATTGAGAAACTTTTTTTTTTTTTTTTTTTTTTTGGTGTTTTCTTCTGAGATCTCCAACCAAAAGAGAGGGAACATTCTAGATTCAAGCATCACCTTGAATGCATGGCCTTAGAAGACAATGGAAAACTTCAGTGTAGAGAGAACATTTTCTCCAGTCATTTATGCTCCCCTGAAATTAAATTTGAGTGAGTCTGGGTTATTGAAAAGTTGAGCTGCTTGGCAGACATTTCTGTGAATGATGTAGCCAAAACATATTACTGAGCCCTTCATTGACCCTGAAAATGGGATTTTTAACAGTTAAGGCAGGAAAAAATTATCAGAGCTAGTTTAAAAGGAGGAAGATGGAAGTGATATTTTTGAAGTCTCAGAACCTAAACGTAAATGCAAAGCAGACAGAATAGAAAAAAAGCATGGCAATTGTTTCATGAAGTGTCATATTTGGGGCATTAAGGGCCTGGCTTTTGGGTAATCAGGGTTAAAATGTTCAAGTTTTGGCAGGGAAGGGAGTAGACACATTAGACATGTAAATCACACCCAGCCACCCAGATGATTGGAGTGGCTAGGACCCAGTGGCACTTACAATGATGTTCCTCACTGTATCATCTAATTCCTGGACCGGAGTCCACAGGCTGTACCAACAGTCTGATTCAGAGTAGGGGCATAAGAACTGGGATATCATACAGTCAACAGTGTCTGTGTAAAGCTTTGAGATCTTCTGCAGGAAGGCACCATGGCCATTTAAAATCTCTTACCCCACACTTAGGTGGCCCATTTACCTCCTCACTAGAACTCTGGTCACTACTGAGTCTGCCAGCCTTCCTCATCTGCTCTCCCTACCCTCAGCCTCAGCCTGTGATGGTTCCCTCTCTCTCTCTTTTTTTTTTTTTTTCAAAAAAGAGATGGGGTCTTGCTATGTTGTCCAGGCTGGCCTTGAACTTTTAGGCTCAAGAAATCCTCCCACCTCGGGTTCTGTTCCAAGATGGCTGAATAGGAACAGCTCCAGTCTGCAGCTCCCAGCATGATTGATGCAGAAGATGGGTGATTTCTGCATTTCCAACTGAGGTACCTGGTTCATCTCACTGGGACTGGTTGGACAGTGGGTGCAGCTCACGGAGGGTGAGCTGAAGCAAGGAAGGGCATCACCTCACCTGAGAAGTGCAAGGAGTTGGGGGATTTCCCTTTCCTAGCCAAGGGAAGCCATGACAGACTGTACCTGGAAAAATGGGACAGTCCTGCCCAAATACTGCACTTTTCCAACAGCCTTAGCAAATGGCACACCGGGAGATTATATCCTGTGCCTGGCTTGGTGGGTCCCACACACACCGAGCCTTGCTCACTGCTAGCGCAGCAGTCTGAGCTCTACCTACGAGGCAGCAGCCTGGCAGGGGGAGGGGCGTCCACCATTGCTGAGGCTTGAGTAGGTAAACAAAGTGACTGGGGAACCTCGAACTGGACGGAGCCTACTGCAGCACAGCAAGGCCTGCTGCCTCTGTAGACTCCACCTCTGGGGACAGGGCATAGCTGAACAAAAGGCAGCAGAAACTTCTGCAGACTTAAACTTCCCTGTCTGACAGCTCTGAAGAGAGCAGTAGTTCTTCCAGCATGGTGTTTGAGCTCTGAGAATGGACATACTGCCTCCTCAAGTGGGTCCCTGACCCCCATGTAGCTTAACTGGGAGACATCTCCCAGTAGGGGCCAAATGACACCTCATATAGGCGGGTGCCCCTCTGGGATGAAGCTTCTAGCAGAAGGATCAGGCAGCAATATTTGCTGTTCTGCAGCCTCTGCTGGTGATACCCGGGAAACAGGGTCTACAGTGGACCTCCAGCAAACTCCAACAGACCTGCAGCTGAGGGACTTGACTGTTAGAAGGAAAACTAACAAAGAAAACGGAACAGCATCAACATCAACAAAAAGGACATCCACACCAAAACCCCATCTGTAGGTCACCAACATTAAAGACCAAAGGTAGATAAAACTACAAAGATGGGGAGAAACCAGATCAGGAAAGCTGAAAATTCTAAAATCCGGAGTGCCTCTTCTCCTCCAAAGGATCACAGCTCCTCACTAGCAATGGAACAAAGGTGGATGGAGAATGACTTTGAAGAGCTGACAGAAGTAGGCTTCAGAAGGTCGGTAATAACAAACTTCTCCGAGCTAAAGGAGGATGTTCGAACCCATTGCAAGGAAGCTAAAAACCTTAAAAAAAGATTAGATGAATGGCTAACTAGAATAAACAGTGTAGAGGAGACCTTAAGTGACCTGACAGAGCTGAAAACCATGGCACGAGAACTACGTGCCACATACACAAGCTTCAATAGCCGATTTGATCAAGTGGAAGAAAGGGTATCAGTGATTGAAGATCAAATTAATGAGATAAAGCAAGAAGTTTAGAGAAAAAAGAGTAAAGAGAAATGAACAAAGCCTCCAAGCAATATGGGACTATGTGAAAAGACCAAATCTATGTTTGATTGGTGTACTTGAAAGTAATGGGGAGAATGGAACCAAGTTGGAAAACACTCTTCAGGATATTATCCAGGAGAACTTCCCCAACCTAGCAAGGCAGGCCAACATTCAAATTCAGGAAATACAAAGAACACCACAAAGATACTCCTCAAGAAGAGCAACCCCAAGACACATAATTGTCAGATTCACCAAGGTTGAAATGAAGGAAAAAATGTTAAGGGCAGCCAGAGAGAAAGGTCAGGTTACCCACAAAGGGAAGCCCATCAGAGTAACAGCTGATCTCTCGGCAGAAACTCTACAAGCCAGAAGAGAGTGGGGGCCAATATTCAACATTCTTAAAGAAAAGAATTTTCAACCCAGAATTTCATATCCAGCCAAACTAAGCTTCATAAGTGAAGGAGAAATAAAATCCTTTACAGACAAGCAAATGCTGAGAGATTTTATCACCACCAGGCCAGCCTTACAAGAGATCCTGAAGGAAGCACTAAACATGGAAAGGAACAACTGGAACCACCACTGCAAAAACATGCCAAATTGTAGATGATTGATGCTAGGAAGAATCTGCATCAACTAATGGGCAAAATAACCAGCTAATATCATAATGACAAGATCAAATTCACACATACAATATTAACCTTAAATGTAAATGGGCTAAATGCTCCAATTAAAAGACACAGACTGGCAAATTGGATAAAGAGTCAAGACCCATCAGTGTGCTATATTCAGGAGACCCATCTCACATGCAGAGACACAGATAGGCTCAAAATAAAGTGGTGGAGGAAGATCTATCAAGCAAATGGAAAGCAAAAAAAAAAAAAAAAAAAGCAGGGGTTGCAATCCTAGTCTTTGATAAAACAGACTTTAAACCAACAAAGATCAAAAGAGACAAGGCCATTACATAAAGGTAAAGGGATCAATTCAACAAGGAGAGCTAACTATCCTAAATATATATGCACCCAATACAGGAGCACCCAGATTCATAAAGCAAGTCCTTAGAGACCTACAAAGAGACTTAGACTCCCACACAGTAACAATGGGAGACTTTAACACCCCCCTGTCAATATTAGACAGATCAACAAGACAGAAGGTTAACAAGGATATCCCGGACATGAACTCAACTCTGCACCAAGCGGACCTAATAGACATCTACAGAACTCTCCACCCCAAATCAACAGAATATACATTCTTCTCAGCACCACATCGCACTTATTCCAAAATCGACCTCGTAGTTGGAAGTAAAGCACCCCTCAGCAAATGTGAAAGAACCGAAATTATAACAAACTGTCTCTCAGACCACAGTGCAATCAAATTAGAACTCAGGATTAAGAAATTCACTCAAAACTGCTCAACTACATGGAAACTGAACAACCTGCTCCTGAATGACTACTGGGTAAATAACAAAATGAAGGCAGAAATAAAGATGTTCTTTGAAACCAATGAGAACAAAGACACAACATACCAGAATCTCTGGGACACATTTAAAACAGTATGTAGAGGGAAATTTATAGCATTAAATGCCCACAGGAGAAAGCAGGCAAGATCTAAAATCAACACCCTAATATCACAATTAAAAGAACTGGAGAAGCAAGAGCTAACAAATTCAAAAGCTAGCAGAAGGCAAGAAATAGCTAAGATCAGAGCAGAACTGAAGGAGATAGAGACACAAAAAAACCCTTCAAAAAATCATTGAATCCAGGAGTTGTTTTTTGGAAAAGATCAACAAAATTGATAGACTGCTAGCAAGACTAATAAAGAAGAAAAGAGAGAAGAATCAAATAGACACAATAAAAAATGATAAAGGGGATATTACCACCAATCCCACAGAAATACAAACTACCATCAGAGAATACTATAAACACCTCTACGCAAATAAACTAGAAAATCTAGAAGAAATGGATAAATTCCTCGACACATACACCCTCCCAAGACTAAACCAGGAAGAAGTTGAATCTCTGAATAGACCAATAACAGGCTCTGAAATTGAGCCAATAATTAATAACCTACCAACCAAAAAAAGTCCAGGACCAGATGGATTCACAGGCAAATTCTACCAGAGGTACAAAGAGGAGCTGGTACCATTCCTTCTGAAACTATTCCAATCAATAGAAAAAGAGAGAATCCTCCCTAACTCATTTTATGAGGCCAGCATCATCCTGATACCAAAGCCTTGCAGAGACACAACAAAAAAAGAGAATTTTAGACCAATATCCCTGATGAACATTGATGCGAAAATCCTCAATAAAATACTGGCAAACCGAATCCAGCAACACATCAAAAAGCTTATCCACCACGATCAAGTCAGCTTCATCCCTGGGATGCAAGGCTGGTTCAACATATACAAATCAATAAATATAATCCATCGCATAAATAGAACCAAGGACAAAAACCACATGATTATCTCAATAGATACAGAAAAGCCCTTTGACAAAATTCAACAGCCCTTCATGCTAAAAACTATCAATAAACTAGGAATTGATGGAACGTATCTAAAAATAATAAGAGCTATTTATGACAAACCCACAGCCAATATCATACTGAATGGGGAAAAACTAGAAGCATTCCCTTTGAAAACTGGCACAAGACAGGGATGCCCTCTCTCACCACTCCTATTCAACATAGTGTTGGAAGTTCTGGCCAGGCAAGAGAAAGAAATAAAGGGTATTCAATTAGGAAAAGAGGGAGTCAAATTGTCCCTGTTGGCAGATGACATGATTATATATTTAGAAAACCCCATTGTCTCAGCCCAAAATCTCCTTAAGCTGATAAGCACCTTCAGGAAAGTCTCAGGATATAAAAATCAATGTGCAAAAATCACAAGCATTCTTATACACCAATAACAGACAAACAGAGAGCCAAATCATGAGAGAACTCCCATTCACAATTGCTTCAAAGATAATAAAATACCTAGGAATCTAACTTACAAGGGATGTGAAGGACCTTTTCAAGGAGAACTACAAACCACTGCTCAACAAAATAAAAGAGGACACAAACAAATGGAAAAACATTCCATGCTCATGGTTAAGGAGAATCAATATTGTGAAAATGTCCATACTGCCCAAGGTAATTTATAGATTGAATGCCATCCCCATCAAGCTACCAATGACTTTCTTCACAGAATTGGAAAAAACTACTTTAAAGTTCATATGGAACCAAAAAAGAGCCCACATTGCCAAGACAATCCTTAGCAAAAAGAACAAAGCTGGAGGCATCACGCTACCTGACTTCAAACTATACTACAAGGCTACAGTAACCAAAACAGCATGGTACTGGTACCAAAACAGAGATATAGACCAATGGAATAGAACAGAGCCCTCAGAAATAACACCACACATCTACAACCATCTGATCTTTGACAAACCTGAGAAAAACAAGCAATGGGGAAAGGATTCCCTGTTTAATAAATGGTGCTGGGAAAACTGGCTAGCCATATGTAGAAAGCTGAAACTGGATCCCTTCCTTACACCTTATTTGAAATTAACTCAAGATGGATTAAAGACTTAAATGTTAGACCTAAAACCATAAAAACCCTAGAACAAAACCTAGGCAATACCATTCAGGACATAGGCATAGAAAAAGACTTCATGACTAAAACACCAAAAGCAATGGCAACAGAAGCCTAAATAGACAAATGGGATCTAATTAAACTAAAGAGCTCTGCACAGTAAAAGAAACTACCATCAGAGTGAACAGGCAACCTACAGAATGGGAGAAAAATTTTGCAATCTACCCATCTGACAAAGGTCTAATATCCAGAATCTACAAAGAACTTAAACAAATTTACAAGAAAAAACAAACCCCATCAAAAAGTGGGCAAAGGATATGAACAGACACTACTCAAAGGAAGACATTTATGCAGCCAACAGACACATGAATAAATGCTCATCATCACTGGTCATCAGAGAAATGCAAATCAAATCCATAGTGAGATACCGTCTCACACCAGTTAGAATGGTGATCATTAAAAAGTCAGGAAACAACAGATGCTGGAGAGGATGTGGAGAAACAGAAATGCTTTTATACTGTTGGTGGGAGTGTAAAGTAGTGCAACCAATGTGGAAGACAGTGTGGCGGTTCCTCAAGGATCTAGAACTAGAAATACCACTTGACCCAGCTGTCCCATTACTGGGTATATACCCAAAGGATTATAAATCATGCTACTATAAAGACACATGCACACATATGTTTATTGCGGCACTATTCACAATAGCAAAGACTTGGAACCAACCCAAATGTCCATCAGTGATAGACTGGATTAAGAAAATGTGGCACATATACACCATGGAATACTATGCAGCCATAAAAAAGGATGAGTTCATGTCCTTTGCAGGGACATAGATGAAGCTGGAAACCACCATTCTGAGCAAACTATCACAAGGACAGAAAACCAAACACCACATGTTCTCACTCATAGGTGGGAACTGAGCAATGAGAACACTTGGACACAGGGCAGGGAACATCACACACTGGGGCCTGTCATGGGGTTGGGGGGCTAGGGGAGGGATAGCATTAGGAGAAATACCTAATGTAAATGGTGAGTTAATGGGTGCATCAAACTAGCATAGCATATGTATGCCTATGTAACAAACCTGTACGTTGTGCACATGTACCCTAGAACTTAAAGTATAATAAAAGAAAAAAGAAATCCTCCCACCTCAACTTCCCAAGTAACTGGACTACAGGCATGTCGCACCATACCTGGCTCATATTTTCCTTCAATGGCACATGCCACATGCCCGTTACAGCAACTTGAGGAACTCATACTGACTGCATGTGAAAATGTTCATCCCCTCCTGATCCACTCCATCCTGAATCTACATTGGTTGTTTCTTCCTGCATAAGCTATGCACATGGCTCCGTGCCATCGCTCGTGCTGTTCCTTCTGCCTGTAGTGCCTTTCTTCCATTTCTCCATCTAGGAAGTGTCACATCATGTCCCTCTCTGAATCACAAGTGTGTATCAGAATGTTTGTTTCATCACTGGTGTTCAAGTGTGAGACCAATTCAATGAATATTTGTTTGTATTATTTCCCACGGGGAAATTATGGACCAGGAAAATACTAAATAGTACTCAGTATAAATAGAAGAATTCACTTTTAGACTTTGGAAGAGAAGTAGCATTTGGGAAGGTAGACAGGAGGAAGTTGTAGGTGGGGGAAACTATAGAATCAAAGGCATAGAGTTGGAGATGAGCATGGGTTTTGTGTAAAGGAGAAATGTGACTAGTTAGACTGTAAGCTTCATTGAAAGAAGTGATAGAAAATAGAGTTTGGAGGGCCCATATTACTGAGTCCTTTGAGAAGTTTGAAAGAGATGAAATAGGTAATGGGTAGACACTGAAGGTTCTTAAACAATAAATAACCCAATACAAATAATGAATTAGGGAGGCACTGCCTAAGGTAGAGAGGGAGCTATCGGCAGCTATACCGATGGAGGCTGTAGCAGGGTATAAAGTGATGAGGTTGGGCTGTTGTGGGTCAGTGGGAATGGGGTGGTGGCATGGCAGAGACTTCATCCTGAAGGCATCTGAAAGGAAGAAATGGCAGGTGTGGTTATATATGACTACACGAGAACAAAGTTTCTTTTTATTGACTGACTTGGCATTAAGAACAACTGAAAGTTTTGAGGTAGTATGTTATAAATAAATATACTTTAACCTCAAAGCCTTTCTTAAATGGTCCACTACTAAGCCCTAATTTGTGAGGAGAGACAGCTTTTCAATGATAGATGATTCTGGAGAAACTCATCTCAGCAGTTTGGGCACAAACCTTTTCTCTAGCACAGAAAATGTTAGAAGCTTCACTGCTGATTCTAGATTACAAATGCTGCAAAATTTCTCCACTGAATTATATATCTATCAATCAACAATGTGATTTCTCATACCTTCTCCAACACTGCATGTTGTCAAATAAATACTTAAATCTTTTTCTTAATGATGAGTAGAAAAGGGGTATGTTGTTTTAATCTCTAATGAGTGAATTTGCATTTCTCTAATGAGTGATACTGAGCATCATTTATATATAGATCAGCCATTTGTAGCCTGTTGTCGCTCTCTGCGTATTTTTATAATCGGATCCTTTGCCCTTTGTATTCACTTTAAAGGCTGTTTGTTTATTAACAAAATTAGGGTTTGTTTATAAAAGCAGATTTTAAAAACTTTTTACTCCAGTAGTTTTCAGTGTACAGGTGGTTTTTGGTTACATGGACAAGTCCTTTAGTGGTGGTTTCTGAGATTTTAGTGCACCCGTCACCCAAGCAGTATACACTTTACCCAATATGTAGTCTTTCATCCCTCACCCTCCCCCACCTTCCCCATGCCCTGAGTCCCCAAAGTCCATTATATCATTCTTATGCCTTTGTGTTCTCATAGCTTAGCTGCCACTTATAATAAGTGAGATTATACAGTCTTTGGTTATTCATTCCTGAGTTACTTCACTGAGAATAATGGCCTCCAGCTCCATCCAAGTTGTTGTGAGAGACATTATTTTGTTCTTTTTTATGGCTGAGTAGTATTCCATGGTGTATCCAGACAACATTTTCTTTATCCACTTGTTGACTGATGGGCGCTTAGGTTGGTTCCATATCTTTGCAATTACGAATTGTGAATAAAAGCTGATTTTAAAAGCCTAAATTTTCATAGATTTAAAAATGTATATGGATTATCAAACTCTCCAACCTGTTAGCATTCTGAGTATTTGGAAACCTTCAAAATATACCCTTCTTAATCTTAAACCAGTATTTTTTTTTAAGTTATTTAAGCCTACAGTGCTAAATTAGAAAAAGTAAAAGTACCAAAATCTATCCTGATGTTTTCAATTTTATCTGCCTTTCTGCTAACCCCACATATCTAATCTGCACAGAAACATGAAGTTAGGGGGTGTTTGAACATAGTTTTCAGCCTTTCCCTTAGGATCTCTAAGACCGTGTCCAGAAGGGGATGGAGGAGGAGAATGGAGTGATCAGATCACTGACAGGTGTTCCTATCTTGGTCCTTATGCTCCATTTCTTTACGGTTGGCAGCCCCAATCAACCATTATCCTTGTTACAGGCTGAATTGTGTCCTCCTTATCCCCACCTCCCCCATCTATATGTTAAAGTCTTAACCCCCAGTCACCCAGAATGTGACTGTATTTGGAGATAAGGCCTTTAAAGAGGTAATAGGTAAGATGAGGTCATTAGGGTGGGCCCTAATCCCCTGTATTTGGTGTCCTTATAAGAAGAGAGCTTAGGACACAGGCACATGAAGAGGGAAGACAATGTGAAGGCACTGGGAGAAGATGGCCACCTAAAAGCCATGGAGAGAGGCCTTAGAATGAAACCAACCTGGCCCACACCTTGATCTTGGACTTCCAGCCTCCTTGATTGTGAGAAAATAAACTTCTGTTATTTAGGCCATCCCATTTTTAGTGCTTTGTTATGGGAATGCTACCAAACTAATGCAATGTCCTGTGGAAATTACTATAACCCTCACCAATTGGCTTGGAGATCAAGTTCTAACGTAGAAAACCATGGATTAAAAAACACTGGCCTTGAGCTACAAGGGGGTCACACCCTACTCATCGCATCTCTAGCAACTTAGAAATGAAGAAGGTATAAATTAAGAGAGCCTAATTTCAAGGCATAAATTTGGGGTTTATACTTTTCCTAATTTTAGGGTTTGTGAAAGCTTTAGCATTCATAGTCATAGCCCATTTAGATGGACACATTCCTAGGCATGTGTCCATCTAAATGGGTTTCTCCTTTGGGACCTTAGGACTCAGATGCCACATCTGGAACTTTCCCTTGGATGAGAGATGTGATAGCATGTCCCTCTATGACAGACAGGTCAGTCTGGTGGAAAAGAGCCTAGAATGGGAGCCAGAAGACCCAGGCCCTAGTCTTGATTCTGTCACAAACTTCCAGAGTGGCCCTAGGCAACTAGATATGCCTGTTTGGACTAGGAATCCTTATATGGTCTTCATGATTGATTTTCAAACTCACTTCCATGGAATGGTTTTCAGACTCAGTTCCATGGAATCTTAGGGGGCTCTATGGAGGAGTTTTAGGAGTTCTGGAAACTTTTCATTTGATTTTTCTCTTGCAAAATATATCTTAACTATTGAAAACACTGTAAAAAATAACATACATTCAGATGTATTTTATTTCACATTTTAACATATCTGAGAACATCAGTGTGTTAAAATGTGCTGCTAGGTTCATTTGGAATGAATGTCACAATAAAACTTTGTCATGTGGGTATGCACATTTGATGAGGAATACTGATATTCTGCACTAGTCTATCTCTCAAATTCTAACATGACTGATGCCTGTCTCCACTGACACAAAGTAGCACAAGTGAGTTTGTGACTATGGCATATTTGCTTTTTTTTTTTTTTTTTTTGCATATGCTCTTCTCATTTCATAAGACTTGCTTGTATCACCACAACTGACTCTCTTGCATCTTGAAAACATCACACAAGAGCTAGAATGAATGATCCGTTCTGACTTTATGATTAGAAATGCAAGAATTTATTAGGTGTTACCAACAATTCAACTTTGAAACAGATATTTCCTACTACTTTTCTTGCAAGCTTCTGGGTAAATTTAGTTGAACAGAAATCCAAGTTGTAAGACAAGTTGTTTTAAAACAAAACTGTTGCCATTTCCAACTACTTAGCTAGATGAATGAGTATTTTCTAAATATTGTGCTACTAAGTGAAAATAACATAATACTTTGGATGCTGAGGATAATATGTTTGTAATTATTCAAAGTTTTTACATTAATCAAATCAGTCTTAGAGCCAGCAGTGATATATTTTATATTATACGTAGCATATTTGAACTCATGAAGTAAATATATACTAGTGAAGTTCTGCTTTTATTTGTTTTAGGATTCCATACAAGATTTCATTTTCATCAAGGGTAACCTTGTTTAAAAGGCAAGAAAAAATACCAGGTTCGATGACCTTCAAGATTCCTTGTAGCTAGAACACCCTGGAATCTTCCAAGGTGGGTGTGAGCAAGGTTCAGGGAAGAGTGAGTTGGGAAAGTGAAGGGTAGCTGATTTGAGCACCAGCATCTGCATTCAGCTCAGGACCTTTCCTTTCCCTTTTTAACTGAGAGGACTAAGTGTCTAGGGACACACATACCCTATGTAGAACATCACATATGGTCAAGATTTCAGCTATACAAATGAGTGGTCCCAGGAAAATGCCATGGTTATCAAACAATGCTGCAAAGGTTTTTAAAAATATTTTTATGCTGGGTGTGATGGCTCAAGCTTGTAATCTCAGCTCTTTGGGAGGCCAAGGTAGGAGAATTGTTTGAGGCCAGGAGTTCAAGACCAGCCTGGGAAACATAGTGAGATCTCATCTGCAAAAAAAATTTAGAAAATAAAAAAATTAGCCAGATATGGTGGTGAGTGCCTCTAGTCCCAGCTACTTGCGAGGCTGAGGTGGGAGGATTACTTAAGGCCATGAGTTTGAGATTGCAGTGAGCTATGATCATACCACTGCACTCCAGTCTGAGTGACAGAGTGAAACCCTGTCTCTTATGAATGAATGAATGAATGAATGAATGAATGAATACATACATACATAAATAAAACTTTTATAGAGCATAGTATAATTATTTTGAAATTTGCTAAAATTCAATTAAAATGTATTGCATTTCCCTGGACACCTTTTCTCTGGAACAAATCTCTTCTGGAGCCAGTATCTGATAGAATGTATGGGAGGATGCGGCCTGGGACTGGATTGGGGTGGGTGTGTATGCCAGGCATGGGGAGTGGTGCTGCCATCTTCTGGCTGGCATTGGGGCTGTGCACAGTTGGAAACAGGGGCCCTGATTTGTTTCAGCTGCCACCTTTAGATGCCACACTCATCAGAGCTTATCATATTCCCAAGGCCCTCGTTGGATGTGGGGCACTGTGGGCTGGCCATGACCACTGGTTCTGGAGGTGGACAGCACCAATCAGGCTTGTAGAGCATGAAAAGATAGAACAGAGAGGAGCTGCCTGGCTGTCGGCCCTGCCTTATCCCAATGGCTCCTCCCCTTAGGATAAGAAGGAAGGGTTGGATCTGGAATGCTGGAGGGAGGTAGCTCCCAGTGTTTTCCCTGGGACTGTATTCATCCATTGATTTCAGGCTTGAGTGTTTTGACTGGAGGACTAGTGGGGAAGAGGTGATGCTCTTTTGATTCTGACCTTACTTATCGTATCAGTTAGGATAAATGTTCACCTATATATGTAACAGAGGCCCCAGACAAAAGTGACTTAAATAAGATAGACTTTATTTTTCCTTCCTATAATAGCCAGGAAGTAGGAGGCCCAGGGCTGGCATGGAGCTCTGTTCAACAAGGTTGTCTAAAGACCCAGCTACTTCTGCTTTGTTTTGCTTTATCTTTAGTGTGTTTTCCTTATAAGAATGAATGGTCCAAAGTAGCTCCTCCATATCCATGACCCAGATAAGAGGATGGAGAAAAGAGGAGAGAGGGCCGTTACCATCTAAGAACACAGCCTGGAATTTGATTACATGACTTCTGCTCATATTCCCCTGTCCAGAACTTGGTTAGATGGTAATGCATAGCTGCAGAGGAGACTGGGAATATACCAAGATAAAAATAGTGGATTCTATTATTTTGAAAGAGAATGGAAGAATGGAATAGGGATACAATTAGCTGACTTTTCAAGGGTGTTCAATGAAGCACAGAACACTGTGCTATTATTTGGAGCTCTGCAAACCTAGAATCCACCACAAAGGTAGGTGGCCAAGATTGGCAGGCATAGAGTTCAGGAGGGAAGCCTGAGAGCCCCTGATCTCATGGCTGGCACTTTACTGCCATGCTTATCAGTATTTATTTTTCTCAGATATGGACAATTCCAATTTCCACTAGCCTCTGCAACTCCTTGAGGATATCAAGGCAAGAAGGGCTGGTCTAGATGCTCAAAGAATCCCAACGTGTAAGCCAGGGTATTTCAAACATGCCCTAAGTGCCGTAGACTTCTGGGTGTAGGCAGAATAAATGGAAAACAAGGGCTTTTTAACCTAAATTCCATTCTTCACTTGGCTACTTAATAAAGTATTAAGTAGTCTTATATATTTTTATTGCTTTGTCTATGTAAGATTTCTGGCTAAAAATATAGTTTTTACACTTCTGAGCCATGAGAATTGAAACACCCACAACTCAGAAAAGAGACTAAGTGACATATTAAACACTAGACTAGAGACTAAATGACATATTAAACACTAATGCCATAATATCATATGTCATATGACTATGTGATGGGTAATGGTCTTGACCATGTTATTGCTAGGAAACAATTTAAATTGAAAATAAGAAGAAAATGTCAGAGTTGAAAAATAAAAAGTATCAATGGAATCCGGTAGTTCTGAAGAAGTAATTACATAATGCTTTAAAATTTACAAAACATTTCTACATCTATTCCCTTCTCAATCCTTCTCTATTTACAAATAAAGAAATAGAAGCACAGAGAGGTAAAGTAACTTGCCCAAAGTGGTACAGTTAGGAGTGCCAGAAACAGGATTAAAGTCAGGACTTTGGAATTTTCACTATTTACATACTTTCTCCCATATTTGCTTATACTCTAGCTTCTGGATAAAGACCTATTCCTAAGGTACCAAGACCTGAGCCATTTCATCTCGTGAGCCTGATTTCTGCTGGAGCAGCAAGCAAATAGTCTCACCAGCAAGGCCTCTATTCTTTTCTCCCTCCCTGTCATCTCCCATTGAAAGCCTATCATAAATCAGACACTGTCCCAAATACTAGAGATACTGTAGTAAACGAGATCTGTGAAATCTTTATTAGTAGATTCTAGTGGGAGCTACACAAAAATGAAGGCATAACTAAATAGACGCAGTATTTTCACTTAGTGGTAACTGCTATGAAGAAAACTTAGGGTAAACAGGATGGAGAACAGCAGGGTAGGAGCAGAGTCTATTTTCATTGGATGATCAGGGAAGAATGAATGAGATATGAGCAGAGACCTGAATAAAGTGAAGCGGTAAGCCATGAAGTGTCTTAAGAGCATTTTAAGATGCAGTTAGAACCAATAAGTAATATGCTCAGCACAGTCATGGAACTGCACATCAGTGGGGCTGAGAGTGTAAGCAAGAATTTTGAAACTTATTTTGTTTTAAGATGCAGGAGAGAGAAAAGGTAGGTAATTTCAGAAGCCAGTTTTCTGAGTAGTGAGGGGGATGGAATTATGTGCATAAGTGGAGAGATTGACCTTGGATAAGAGGAGGGACAGGTCATCTTTGGGTCAGGAAGGCTGGTAAAGAAGACAGGAACAGATGTGGGAGGGTTGATAGATTTGGTGGGCAAATGAGTTAGTTCTTTTATGGTTGGTTCTATTTTGTTCGTAAAATATCAGGCAAAGTCAGTGAGGTGGGGCAGGGAGCTGATGGTCTTCTAAGATGGTGAGAAAGTGAGTTTATCAGTAAATATGGAAGGGCTGCTGGGTAATGTTATAAGCCCCCATGAAGTCTACAGTATTAGTCTTATGAGAGATCTATCAGCATGGCTGTGCAATTTTCCCAGCTATGCTCGGATGCCACAGAGATATAAGCAGAAAGATGAATTTAACCATGTGTTGGGTATTCTTCATGTGCCCATTCTGACCCATTCTTTATCCTTCTTCGTCGGGTTTGGTACCCTAGGTGGCTGATACTTATGGAATGATTCATGCCTTCCTTGGCCTCTGGGTTGGGTTTGGCTAATGGCAGGCAGGAGATTGAAGGGCAGGGGGCAGTGAGATGCTTATATTTACTTTCCCACTCCTTCGCCAGTGGCCCCTGGTTGTCAGTGACTGTACCCCTCCAAGGAAGCCGTAGCTCCTATTAAGCAGCCCTCTTCTGTAGATGTGGCTTTCTGTAGGTCCCAGGAACCATCTCTCTTCTTATTCTTCCAGGCATAGGGGTGGTAACTGCTTCCTGCTGCTGTTAGCCTTGGGGTGCTTCCCTATCCCTTATTGCTTTCCCTTTACCTTCCTACCCTTTTAGAACAATCCCTTCTAGAAAGTCTCCCCCTTTGCTCTCTCTTGGTTTTATCGGTTTCTTGGTAAGTCCTTGATTAATGCAAACCTGGCTTGGGGTGTGGCCAGGCAGCCCTAACAGAGGGAGAAAGGAACATGGTATTCATGGGTATACAAGGGAGAGATGATGATGGAAACAGACTCTAAGCTGAATGAAGAGGGAAATGAGGATGTGAGGAGAGTGGATAGACTAAAAACGTGGCAGAGTATGTACATGGGAAGTCCCAGTGGAGTCAAGGGACGTTGGAGGTTGGGGTACTACAGTGAATAAGCTGAAAATTGGGAGACCGTCTTTGGAGAGTAGAGGTGCTTAAAACAGAAAATGTATGATGGGTGTAGTTATTGATAATAACAATATTGAGGTCAGTGATTCTCAACCCTGGCTATATATTAAAGTTGCCAGGGGAGCTGGCAAAAAATATTGATGACTGTCTTCACTTTCAGAGATTCTGACTACAATTGTTCTGGTATGGGCCCTGCATGTTGTGGTTAAAACAATAACAACAACAACAACAACAACGAACTAAAACACTGTCTCAGATAATTCAGATGTGTGGCTGGAGTTGAGGATCATTAGTCTAGTGTATGAGCATGGGAGTGTTTGACTGTAACGGACAGAGGAAAATTATCCTTAGCAACCAGAGGTCAAGGAAGTAAAAGGCCAGTGGCTTGGAAGGGCCACCTATGTGGAGGCCACCGAGAATGATGGAGAGAAATCAGTGAGTCAGATGCTGAAACTGGCAGGTTGATAGAACTGAGAAAAACTTGGATATTTCAGTTACTCTGAGCTGAATCTCTAGCCCCACCCTCTCCTCTTAGCTCAGGGCAAGGCCCAAGGATGGGGTGGCCTCTTGGTAAACTTGTCTTTGATCTCCCCTTCCCCAACATATCTCCACCTTTAGTTTCCTTTATTTGCTTTTAGGATTACCTCCTCCCACCGCTGGTGTTTGGAAAACCACATTTGACTCAGGGTGTTTGCAGTATCTTTCCCAAACGTGATTTTCTTGGTTCCTTGATCTTTTTCAACCTTGAGCCTTCTTACTCTGCTCATCAAGAAAATCCCTTTTTCTCTCTCTCACTCCCTCGGGGCTCTGTTAGGGGGATGATAACTTCCCAAGGCTCATTCATAGATTGAACCACCTGGTAACAAGCTTATATATCCACAGGGAGCTTCCCATATTTTAACTAACAAGGTAGAGCCAGCAGGCACAAAAAATCACTCAGATCTTCTCTACATCCAGGTCAGTGCATGTAACATTGCCCAGTCTGCAGAGAGAACAGGAGTTTCATCCTCTCTTTTATTTTCTACGTGCGTGCCATTGTGACGCCATTTAAATCAAATTCTTCTCTATAGCTGAGCACAAAACCTGCACATTTCTGGTTTTGCTCTTTCCAAAGATAATTTCTGCTGTTTAATGAGATCTGAGAATGAAGTCAGGCATGAGCCGGAGAAAGGTCACAGTGTGTGCTCAAAGGTATATTAACTACTGTTGGAGCTGACATCGGTCTCTTTCCAAGAGGACAAAATTAAGGAGCAAATAGTAAATACGTTCAATGGCACTTTATTACAAGTAAGACCATTTACAATGACATAAGAATATGAGAATGGTTTCAAAGAGAAAATAGGAGTGCTTACAAATAGAACACATCTTACCAGTTAGAATAGGAATGTGATTCCAGTCAAGGTTAATGGGGAAACGGTTAATGAAGTGTACAGATTCCAAAGCTGCATGATGCCATATTGTACCTCACAGAGGTAATTAATACTAGAGACTCTGGCTAAATGGACACATTATACACAGCAGACAACTTGAAATTCTGCACACCATATAGAGAAGCTCCTCTGGATGCATTGTGACTCACCGTTAGCACTGACAGGGAGGTATTAGAGCCCATGTTTTCATGATGGAGTCCATGTGGCACCTTGGGATGAACACCAGGCAGGAAGCAAGGAGAGGGGGTTCCAACTCAGACTCTGTCGCTCAGAGGTGGCGTGTGACCTTGAAATAAGAAGTACTTCTTATTTCTCTTAGGCTCAATTTCCTCCTCTGTAAATTGAAGGGGTTGCATTAGATGAAAGTCTTTTGTAATTTGAATTCTGAGATTCTCTGTTCTTTAATGCTATACCACCATTATCACTTACCTACTGCATAATTGTGTAAACGTGGGTATATCTGGGTAAAAGATTACATCTATAAATATAGATGTTGATAGATATTTACCTATATTTACCTGTGTGTGGCACATAGGTATACCTAGGAGTCCATCTTTATTGTGTTTCTGAAAGGACACAGCTTTAAAGAATTACTTCAAAAGGTTTCTGTCTCTCCATTCTATCACCAATACTCATGTCTTTAAATTTTTCTCCCACATTTTCCCCAAAGGGTAAGCTAGCATGAATTGCCTATAGTATTTAAATGCCTGGGATTAAGTTGAATTTGGGGAAAAGAGCTCCTTTAGCCTGTTGACTGCAGACTTATCTGTCCCTGAGAAGCACCCTCTTTGTCTCATGTCATAGTCTGTTGCTCTGAACACCTCAGGCGGGAGTATAAGGCTAAGGCTCTCTTAGTGGTGGCAGGTGAGGGACGGAGCCAGGACCATGCTACATCCTTTACATTTAGCTTTCTTTATGTTTGGCTGTCTGCAATCTCCCCCTGTTCACCTACTTGAGTAGAGGGGCTTAAAAGTAGGGCATTTGCCTGCACTGAGTTTACAGCCCAGTGATCATTGTATTGACAAGCATTGCTTCAGCTGAACAGTTTTCTCTCTATGTCCAGGCCTGTTCGTAGGTGGCATCCCGAGGGCAGATTCCAGCCTTATCCTGGCCTCAGAACTCACTCGTTGCTGCTTTTTAAAATTCCCAGGTGCACCTTGTTTATTTCTCTCTCCTCTCCTTCCTTGAACTCCCCTGTCTTGTCCTTATGCTTCCCCTGCCCCTCAAAAAGAAAAGAAAAGAACGACAAAAAAAAACAACCCCTTCTGGGTGTCTGGCTATAGAAGATATTTAGGTTCCTTATATAGAATTGGAGAAATATCTTCCTATTGTTCTGAATGAAGCAGCTTAAAAAGGCCTGCGAAATCTTAGATTTGGGGTAAAGGGGGCCTAAGTAGTGACAGCTTTGAAAGCGAAATCTCCAACTCCCACCTCCCCCCACAGACAATGGGAAGAAAATCTTGGAGGGTCGGCAGCCTCAGAGCCAAGTTACCACACAACATTGACAGCTGCAGAATTGCACCTATTGATTGCGGTGTAGGGGCGAATGTTTCATCAACCTTTAATTGAGCTGATTCCTAAATAAAACAGGGTCAGCTTTTGCTGTGCTGCTTTGTCTAAACAGCTGCAACTGAGCTCTAGTTGACACCTCTTCAACAGACCCTCATTTGGACGCTTTTTCGCATTCCACGGGTTCTAGAACATTGGTCCTCCGCTGAGACTATTCATCTGCATCACCTGGGAGAGTGGTTAAACCTGCTGAGGCTGGTGCTTCATCCTGGCTGACTCTGATACAGTACGTCTGGGAAGCAGGCTGGGTAATTGTATTTTTATGAGCCCAAATGAATACTCAGAAACTTCTGGAAGATTCCGTTGAAAACTAAATAACCAAATTACCATGTGAAGTAGACAAAAAATATCCTGGAGTTGTGAAGCAATCATATCACAGCTTTTTCCATGGGAGGGGATATGGTCACCTGGATGTGAAGAGGAATACATTAGCACTCTCTTTGTGTACTTTTCAAGTGTTAGGACATTGCTCTTTTTTTTTTTTTATTGCTTTGTTGTTTGCTTCATTTCAAGGAACAATTGGGCTTTCTTGGATGAGCCCATAATCTAGTTTCAGCTTTCCCTCAGACTCCATTAGAGGGAACACTCCCCGACCATCACAGCAGGCGTGTTGGTGAATCCAGTGTTCACTGAAAGATTAAATCGGATTTCATTACACATACCGTATAATGTGGGGTGACCTCCTCCCATTGTTATGTTGGGTGGATGCTCAGAGAGTTCTGATTTTTATTTCCTGGTAATTACTTCCTTGTGGATTCAGCTTTTTTTTTTTTGGTCCCAAACAGTTGCCTTGTCAGGTCCCTTGTCATTCTTCAGTCTCCCTCAAAACCTGACATGTTCCTTAATGAATCCACTGCATACTGAGCTGTGGCCAAGGAAAATCAAGAAGCCATTCCATCAAAATACCCATGATGGAAAAGCCTGTTCTCATTTTGAACTTGTGTTTCACTTCTGTCCCACCTGACCTGGAGGGTCTGCATGCAGGTGACTGACGGGAGAAACATTTGGACCCTAGCTACTGTGAAAACATCCTAATTCCAGTAACTTTGTTTATATTCCTGTGCTTCCTTGCCTTTGAAGCTGCTGCTTATTGGTGGATGGCGGGGGCCCTATGGCTCCTATACATTTTAAAGCTGCATTCCCCAGAGTTTGCCCTGGCTATGGAGACCTGCACTTTGTCTTTTAAGCAGATAAAAAGAGAGGTCAGTCAGAAGTAATTCCCCTATTCCTCGTATAAACAGTTTAACTGCTGCAGCAACATACTTGCTTGGAATTACTCCCTCAGATTCAATTCCCTTTTCCTGTTCCACTTGTAAAAATGGTTAGTGTCCTCTATAAACTGCAGCTCACCAAGGTGCAGGGCTTGCTGTGCAGTTGTAGGATAAATGTTAATCTAATACAGGTTACTAGGTCAAATGCAATCACAGGCATGTGGGAAAAGCTTAATACTGTTCTGCTTCTTCTAACACAGTAAACCTGGATATTATATGATAGGTTAAACACCAGTGAACCATAGCAGGAATTTCCTTGAAAGTAGGATTTAGTACAAAGGAAACTACATTGAAATAGTGACCTAGGGTTGACTTTGCTCCTCGAGAGAGCATTCTGAGATGCCAAAGCTCACTGTGAAAATGGACTCCTTAAAAATGTGACACCCCAGAATCCCCTGCTCAGGAGATGGATGCCAGTGAGAGCAACCATGACACATGTAAAGGTTTCCTATGTTGTCAACCATGACTTCAATTTCTCTTCCTTCCTCCCAAATTCATGAGTGCACACGTATGGGCTTTCCTTATGAAAAGTTAATGGGGCATCAGATGGCCTGTTAAAATCTGGATCTCAACCTGAACATAAAGTAAACACAGAATCAAGCATGTTGAGCAGATGTAGGCCAACTGTGTTGGGAAGACCGTGTAGATCTTGGTGGTGGACTCCTTACTATTTTATGTGGATGTCAGTGCAGTTAAGTGTTCCCAGCATGTACTCCTGACGAAATGCCAAACCGGAGACATACATATGCTAGCAGATGTATAATAATTTCTTAAGTAAATGAGTGTCAGATTTCAGGGGAGTTGCAAAGTCTGGTTTGTGGGACCACTTGGGTTCTGTCCTTCAGAGAGACAGGAGATAGGGCTGGGGCTAACTTTTCAAAGTCTCATGGGGTCTTGCGTGTGGGTGCTGTTGACTCTCATAATGACATGGCAGTGGTAATGCACTGTTCTCCTTGCTTTCAACTGAGACCATATTCAACAGGCAGTCATGGCAAGGAAAGGAGTGCTGAGACCCAGACTAGAATTCACCACTCTTCCTGAAAGCAGTTGAGAATGTGGCTTTATGTCTTCTTTTGGCTCTTAACATAGCTCTCACCAAGCTTCAGGGGTTTGTTTGACTTGTGAAAAATGTATTTATGTATTTACAGGTGGGATGTAGCTTTCAAGTGATTAAGCTATATTGCTTACATGTTAGCTGAGTTTGAGTGTGTAGATATTTGATAAAAAGCCTCTCTCTGCTTGGGTTTGCAATTAAATGCTGGAATTAATCAGGTGATGTGCTCCCAGATGGTTATGAAACTATAATGAAAGTCATCCCAGGTATGTGAGTGACCCATAGGAAGACTGCGTAAAAGAATAAGTATGGGCTAGATGTAGTTTTTAGTAAAATGCATTTTTTAAATTCTTCAAAACAAGTTTGGATTTTTAGGAAACAAACCCAGCAAACTGAACTTCATTCCTAAAATCAGTTGCCAGCAGGAATCAAACAGACTTTATATGATTAATTTTTGTGCTATGGCTCTGCATGGCTGTCATCTCTGGGCCAGCCCATCCTAATCACCTTCCCTGCAGTGCTCTGCCTTCTGCGCTTTGGGCAGGTGGCTGGCCACTCAGACTATGAGAACCTGGCTGGAGGGAAGCAGCTGAAATGGACTCATTCAGACAATTCCCCTCCAGCCAGTATTAGAGACAGTTCCTTCAACAGAAATAGGGATCCTGAGGGCTTCCATTGATTGGGAAATGTCAAACACATAATACGTAGATGACTTAAAATGCTGTAGGCCCCCTTTTTCTCTCTTTGCAGACTGAATGGTCAGGTTTCTCTGTCTCTTTAGGACTCCATTTTCTCTAAGTTTTTCTTTGTAAAGATGTAAAGAGGGAAACATACCTCTTTCCATATTCTGTGTATTCATTCAGCATAGAACGTTGGCAAGGACTCTGCTATTGCATGTTTTCTTTATGAGTTTGGGGATACGCATGAGACTGTGTGTTAATGGAGACCAATCTGGCAAGATCTCAGGCAATGCCTTGCTCCCAATGGTCATGCCCAAGTTTGTGATATCTTTTTAGGAGGCCACTGAAAAAACTCAGAATGGAGATGTGGCCTCTATGTAGATATTTGTTCTGTGAGTGAACATGGCATTAGGAGTCATATGCAGCTTCTCCACTTCCTACCTGTGTGATCTGAGACTACCTTAGCACTATGAGCCTCAGCTTCTTCAGCTATAAAATGAAGATGACATTTTTGAGCTATCCATTCTGATTTTTCTCTTTATATCTTTATGACAGCCAGAAAAGTGGGTCCCTGGGCATGCTAGCCTGTTTGCAGCAGCAGGTCATCATCTTTCTCCTTTTCCCCAAGCTCTTAGTTCACTCCATTTTCTGTCTGGCTTGAGGCCCTTGACTTTGCCTCTTGTTTGGAGCTTTGTTCCCACACTTTGGACTTAGTATTATTATCAGATTTTCCGAAATTTTCCTACTGCCACCTATGCCCTACCCTGGCCAAGCTATTAGCTGATTGGCCTGGATGGAAAATTCAGACATTACCTTGCAGGGTTGTTGGAAATTAAATAGTGGTTTCTGTGTGTGAAATGCCTAAAATAGGCAAATATTGGTTCTCATTCCCTTCCCTTTCCCAAGAAAGGCTGTCAATTCCCAGCTGAGACAATTCAAGGCAATCTCTTAAAATCTCTGAGCCTTTGGAAAGTAGAAAAAGATGACACTTCACTGCATTGGGGGAAGGCCAATGAAATAATATAGATTAAGAAATCTAAGTCTTGTCATTTCACACAGAAAGAAACTAAGGCTCCACTGAGCTAATGCCAGGGATGAGATTTGAGAACTGGAACCATCCAAATGAAAAAGTATTTGCCATCAGGGTCAACTTACCCAGTAGACACAGTAGGCATAGTGCCTAGGGCTCACAATGTTTTTAAAGTTCTGTGAAAATATCTCAGATTATCTTAAAATCAGAAGAAAAAAGTGAGCTTTTAGGTTGAAGAGAATATTTTGATATACAATTGTATTAGTCCATTTTCATGCTGCTATGAAAAAACACCTGAGCCTGGGTAATTTATAAAGGAAAGAAATTTAATTGACTCACAGTTCTGCATGGCTAGGGAGGCCTCCAGAAACTTACAATCATGATGGAAGGGGAAGCAAACATGTCCTTCTTTACATGGTGGCAGGAGAGAGAAGTGCTGAGAAAAGAGGGGGAAAAGACCCTTATAAAACCATCAGATCTCATGAGAACTCATTCACTATCATGAGAAGAGCATGGGGGAACCTCCCACGAGATCCCTCCACCAACATGTGAGGATTACAATTTGGATTACAATTCAAGATGAGATTTATGTGGGGGACATATCTTTCTGCTCCTGGCCCTTCCCAAATCTCATCTTTCTCACATTTCAAAACATAACTATGCTTTCTCAACAGTTTCCCAAAGTCTTAACTCATTTCAGCATTAACTCAAATGTCTAAGTTCAAAGTTTCATCTGAGACAAGGCAAGTCCCTTCTGCCTATGAACCTGTAAAATGGAAAGCAAGTTAGTTTCTTCCTAGATACAATGGGAGTACAGGCGTTGGGTAATTATACTTATTCCAAATGAAATAAATTTGCCAAAACAAAGGGGCTATAGGCCCCATGCAAGTCCAAATTCCCATAGGGCAGTCATTAAACCTTAAAGTTCAAAATGATCTCTTTTGACTCCAGGTATCACATCCAGGTTGTGCTGATGTAATAGGTGGGTTCCCATGGTCTTGGGCAGCTCCACCCCCGTGGCTTTGCAGGGTACATCCCCCCTCCTGCCTGCTTTAACAGGCTGGCTGGTGTTGAGTGTCTGTGTCTTCTCCAGGTGCATGGTGCAAGCTGCTTATCAATCTACCATTCTGGGATCTGGAGGACAGTGGCCCACTTCTCACAGCTCCACTGGGTAGTGCCCCAGTAGGGACTCTGTAATGTGGAGGCTCCAACTCCACATTTCCCTTTCACACTACCCTAGCAAAGGTTCTTTATGAAGGCTCCGCCCCTGCAGCAAACATCTTCCTGGACATCCAGGCATTCTGATACATTCTCTAAAATCTAGGCAGAGGTTCTCAAATCTCAACTCTTGACTTCTGTGTACCTGCAGGATCAACACCATGTGGAAGGTGCTAAGGCTTGGGGCTTGCATCCTCTGAAGTCATGGTGTGAGCTGTACCTTGGTCCCTTTTAGCCATGGCTGGAGTGGCTGGGACACAAGGCACCAAGTCCTGAGGCACCTTGGACCCAACACACAAAACCGTTTTTTTCCTCCTTGGCCTCCAGGCCTGTGATGGGAGGGGCTGCTACCAAGGTCTCTGATATGCCCTGGAGACATTTTCCCTGTTGTCTTGGAAATTAACATTTGGATCCTTGTTACTTATGCAGATTTCTGCAGCTGGCTTGAATTTCTCCTCAGAAAATGGGTTTTCTTTTCTACTGCATGGTCAGGCTACAAATTTTCCAAACTTTTATGCTCTGTCATTTCTTGAATGCTTTGGTGTTTAGAAATTTCTTCTGCCAGATAACCTAAATCATCTCTCTCAAGTTCAAAGTTCCACAGATCTCTAGGGTGGGACAAAATGCCACCAGTCTCTTTGCTAAAGCATAGCAAGAATGACTTTTATTCCAGTTACCAACAAGTTCCTCATCTATATCTTAGACCGCCTCAGCCTAGACTTCATTGTCTTCAGCAGGCACTATCAGCATTTTGGTCAAAGCCATTCAACAAATATCTAGGAAGTGCCAAACTTTCCCACATTTTCCTGTCTTCTACTGAGCCCTCCAAACTGTTCCAACCTCTCCCTGTTACCCAGTTCAAGTGTTGCTTCCACATTTTCAGGTATCTTTACAGCAGTGCTCCACTCCTGGTACAAATTTACTGTATTAGTCTATTCTTACACTGCTATTAAGGACTGCCCAAGACTGGGTAATTTATAAAGGAAAGAGGCTTAATTGACTCACAGTTCCACATGGCTGGGGAAGCCTCAGGAAACTTATAATCATGGTGGAAGGGGGAAGCAAACATGCCCTTCTTCACTTGATGGCAGGAAGGAGAAGTGCCAAGCAAAGAGGGAAAAGCCTGTTATAAAACCATGAGATCTTGTGAGAATTCACTCACTATTCCAAGAGCAGCAGCATGGGAGTAACTGCCCCCATGATTCACTTACCTCCAACCAGGTCCCTGCCATGACACATGGGGATTATGGGAACTATAATTCAAGATGAGATTTGGGTAGGGATACACAGCCAGACCATATTAACAATATTAACATATTCATGTGTATACCAATGCAGTTATAAAATATAATTATATATGTGTATATGTTTATACAGGTTGAGTATTCCTTATTTGAAATGATTGGGGCCAAAAGTTTTGGGTTTCAATTTTTTTTATTTTGGAATATTTGCATTATATAATTACCAGTTGAGCATTGCAAATCCAAAAATCTGAAATCTGAAATGCTCCAATGAACCTTTCTTTTGAATATCTTGTTGATGTGCCAAAAGTTTCAGATTTTGAAGCTTTTTGGATTTTGGGTTTTCAGATTTGGGATGCTCAAATTGTATGCATATATATACATGTATGCATGTACATATATATGTATTTGTGCATATATACATACATATATGGAAGGGGTCACAAAAGCAAAAGTGTCCAATGACCCATGAAAGTCATATGTGACCCTGTTTGCCCATAATTTCATGACAACTGCCTTGGAAAGCCTAATTGCTAATGGATATATCATCATTCTAACAGAAATTCCTCTCTTCTTTCACTCAGTAGGAGGGAAATTCCCTACAGGTGAGCAGAATTGCTTAAGGCTGGTGACTTCCAAGCAAGGAGAACTTCTTACAGTCACCAAAACTAAAATGTGCTTCTTCTCCACAGCAGGGAGGTCATCATGGGTGAGATGACTGTCTCCAAATGGAGAAATGTCTCTTAGATACTTTCATTTATACTTATTCATGACCAGAGAACTGATGTGGGATTTATTTGCCACCAAGTCAAAAAAAAAGTTCTAGGATTGGATAAGTACCAGGAGTTTTGTTAAATGTAAAGTTACACTGATATTCCAAGACACATCATGCACGGGATTCTTGGCCCCACAGGTTCCTCAATTTAATGAATGCAAATGTATTTAGCCCCCATTAAATATGGAGAGAAAAAACCAGTTGTGCGTTCACCAAAACTACTTCCCTGAATGTCAGAATAGAACAGGACTCACAATCAGGGATTCGGAATATTTCCTCAGACCTTCAAATTACTGTAAATCAGGTTCAAATGTCTGTCCTTACTATATGACCTTTCTGCCTCATTTTAAGTCCTCTGGAGAGGTGATTTTCCCCCAGACAATTACAGTCAATCTATAAATGAAGAATAGCTACTGTGTATAGTCATTCCAGTTAAGCAATATGGGCTCTAATTTCATCACAACATTATGAAACTGATCAGTTTCTTTGTATAAAATCTTAAAAGGGCTCCATGGACTATTTAAGCCAAAGAAGGGCTTTAGAAAGCAGTTCAGGAAATTGCCATGATGAAAGCGATTTCCACATGTGTCCCTCAATATTACAAACTCCGCCTTTAGATCCTGATCTTTTCTGGACTGTAATAAGAAATGAAAGAACAGCTTATTTTCCTTTTAAGAGGAGGCACAATTTTTTTTAAAAAGTCCCCAAGAATCCTGTATTTGGGGATGATATGCAGACCATTAGCTTGCTTTCTTTGACCTTCAGTCCTGATCTGTATTCTCAGTTTGCTATGAGTATTCTGTTCCATCTAGGTCAGAAAGAATTACGTGTGTGCAACTGAAGCGGAGTGTGGATTTTAAGCAGAGCATGTAATCCTAAGAATGCAGAAAAATGGTATAAATTTGCATCTTAAGAGGAATGCTTTCTAAAAACACTGAAGCCGTTTTAATTCAATAAAATAGAGAAGGGGATGGAAATGCCACCCACTTGACAAAATCTTTTATTTTCATGGGAGAAAAGAATTACAAAATCATCTATCCACTTGTCAAATGTCTTTTGGGCAGCTTTTTACATTGTGGTGCACATTAAACAGAGGTCAGGGTAACAGCTTCTGTTCTTGTGGAATTAGCATGGCCTTCCTCTTGAAGACCTTCTAGGAGTGGGATTTGAAGCTACCTGTGGGGCAGGGAGACCAGTGTTCCAGGAAGATCCATGTAATTAACTAGGACACCAAGCACATATTCCTCAGGGCATCTAAGCCCCTTTTGTGCCATGGAGCAGAATCTTGGGCTCCTCTCAGCAGGGTCACCACTTATTTACTGGAAATCAACATGTGGTTCATTTTGTGGTATTTCTTAAGCTGCTGCTTTTATATGAACGTTACACTCAGTCCTTTTCCTTCTTTTCTCACTTTGTCACAGGGTCATGCAACCCACAGTGAGGTCAAATTTTTCAGTGTGAGTGTCCTATGGATTCATACTCAAGTTTTTGTCCCCAACCTAGTGTTCATAGGTAGAGGCCATAGAGTGACATACAGGAACAGGCAAACTCTCCTTAGTACTCTTTGGGGGAAGTTATCTGAGAAAACCAGGGTAATTGTTTAAAGAAGGCATTTACTCCTGAAGTTGGTCTTAAGGATTCAAGTGACACAGTTCAATTTCCAAAATCATTTTTGAGTGCCTCTTGTGTGTCAGACTCCATGATGGGTGCTGTGAGGGATAGAAGGATGAGGAAGATAGGCTTCTGTTCCTCAGGGAGTTCACAATCAGACAAGGAAGGCAGAGGGATATGGAATGAACCCTAATGCCATGAGATAATCACTGTCATATGGCAAATGGAACTCTGCAGGAGTGTGAGTCTGAGCAGGGAACTGGAATTAGCCAATGAAGGATAAGAAAGGTGTCACCAGGTAGAAAAAGTAGGGGGTGAGGGCATTTGGGACAAAAGGAACAGCAATAAAAAAGCACAGAAGAGTGAACCAGTGTCATGCTTGTGTGTGTGTGTTTGTGTGTGTGTGTGTGTGCCTGTGTGCACATGCTAAATGCTGCTAGGAATACAAAGACAAGTCAGGTTACAGGGCCTCAGTCTAAAAGATCTAGTATGGAAGACAGGCATATGCATAAATAACTTTAATATGAAACAGACTGCAAGAGATGCTGTGAGAGAGTCATATGATATACTCCAAGTGCATCCCAGAGACAGATTTAGGAAGAAAGAGTTAATAGGACTTGGCATGGTTACAGCCAGAGAGTAAGATGGTTAGAAAAGTTAAAGATGATTTCTGCATTTCAGAGACAGCACCTTTGAATGATAGAATCATAGCCACAACACATTTTGCTCCTTATTCAGATAAAATTTTGTATTTTTTTCCTCTGCTTTAAGACAATCATATACTGCGAGTTTATTTCCACTGTAGTGTACTGCTTTATCTAATATCCTCATAAATGCATGTAAAACCAAAATTTGACCAAAATGGAAACCAATCCACTATTGTACTGGCCTCAAACAATATCTGCAAATGGGCGCCTTCTAAAATAAGTGCTTTGCAATGTATTTGAAGGGTAAATGTATTTGCAAGCAAGTGAAGGAGTAGAAGTTGTGAAGTTAAAATTCAGAGTAGTTATCTGTCTGAGTCCTCTCATCTTGGGAAGTCTCATAAAGGTTTTTATTTTTTTGTCTTCCAGTTGCTTTTGGAGTGGCTGAAGAGAAATAGTTTGGTGGGCTTGAAATGTGAAAGGAATGTTCTGTGTGTCAGGTTTGGATAAGTCACAGCTATAAAGGACAGGCTACTGGAAAATGTATATAGTAAGCATATTAGCTTGAGAAAAATGGGAGAGTTGAGTTAGAGACAGACGGCTAAGGGCTATCATTTACTGGTTACTTAGTAGGTTGTCAGCACAGCTCTATGCACATTATAGCTACTGACTCATTTATAGTTCATACCAATCTTATGAAGTAGGTATTATTATTATATTCATTTTACAGATGACTAAACTGAGACACTAAGCTTAAATAACTTGCCCAGCACACACAGTTTATAAATGAGAAGCACCCAGAGTCTGTGTACATAATTCCTGTATCAAAATAAGTCTCACTCAGAGCAGTTGAAAGAAGACAGGTATTTGACTTTAGGTTGTTTCCTGTATAAAATAATATTTTGCTTTGATTTGAGGAAATTTGTTAAACTTTTCTATTCTGTAAGAGAAAGACTGGACCACAGGATGATATAATTTTAGAATTTTAAAGCACAATGATCTATTTCTCATTCATACAGATTTTTCATTTTACAGATGGGGGAACTGAACCAGTGTCCATTAAAATCAATGGGGATTTACAGCTGGTTAACAATGTAGACAGCACTGTGTGCTGTGCCAGGACAGCCAAATTGACTTGCTTGTCAAGTTGTTGACATAACCAAATTGTGGGGAAAGATCATGAATCAAAGATGGGACAGGGCACCAACCCTCTGGGAATCTGGTAGCCCAGGTAGAAGGCCTCCTTAACTGTCTGTGGAAGCAAAGTGGAATTTCATGGGCTTCTGACCCAACTTTCAGATGAAGTTCACACTTCCCCTAAGGTGCCCTGGCTGGCTGTTCAGTCTCAGTACTAGCAGACCACAAATAAAATCCCTTTCTTTCTCCATAAACTTCTAATAAATTCTCTCTGTCACAGTATAGCATCTGTGTTCACTGGCAACCTGCTTTTCTGATCAAATCCAATACACTTTTGTGTTCATTTGATGGTCTGTTGTAGTCCTTATATGGTCTGCCCAAAAGTGTGAGAGGCAGGCTTGCATAGTGGCGAGTGGTCAGGCAGATAATCTGGAGCTGGCGTCAAGTTTAAACTCCAGGATGAATTGCAAATTGTGTAACCTTGTGCAAAATTCTTTACCTCCATAAGTCTCGGCTTTCCCATGTGTAAAATGAGTCAAATCATAATCCCTGTATGGTAGGATTTTTGGGAGGATTAAATGAGCCAATGCAGATAAAGGGCTTAGCCTAACTCATAACAAGAGTTCAATATATCTTAGCTAATTATAACAAACTAAGTAAATTCATTATAAAACTTGTGCAAGTTTGTCGTCGAAAATATAAATTACAATGAGATATATGATGACTCAAGAGTTGCCAGGATTTTATATCAAATAGAAAACCTCCTTTTCCAAACTGGCTTTCCAAACTCCAGAGTCCCTCTTAGCAGGGTTAGAACAGAATGGGTCGATAATCAATAAAAAGTGATCACGTTTAGGAAACCTTTGATGGCGATTACTACGTTCAAAAATCAGTCATGTGAAGACTCCTGTGAAAAAGCCTTTTCCAGAATTTGGTGTTGGGAAATAATTTTTCTCCCTTCTGAGGCTTTCTTACATTGGAAAAAGCCACTTACCACCTTTCCCCTTTTGCTTTGAGTCAATAACCTTGGTGCTTAGTTTTATATTAAGCTGTAGAAATTTCTATTAGTGTAGATCTGCTTTTTATTTTTCTTTTGACTTTTTACTCACTTTAGTGATTTTTCAGTTTTATCATATTTGTGCCTTATATTTTAAGTTTCTCAAAACCTTTTCATAAGTGAGAAGAGAGAAAAAGATAATAGCATAAAATAATGTCATGTCTGTGGTTTTTCTTACAAATATACCTTATATCCAGTTCTATATATTTGGCTCGAAATAGCTTTTATGTTTCCAAAAATCCAATAAAAATGGCAGAGTTGATTTTTATATAAACACTCATTTTATGTTTTAAAAGAATGGAATATGGAAGTCTCCCCCTCATAGGCTGTTTAGTTGAAATGGGGAAGGGAGATGTACAGGGACTATTGGCCTAGGCTGTTTGGTGGGCTGACCAGGTGGGAACACAACTTGCTAATGAACAAAAGTAGTTAATAGTCATAAAACCAAACCAACCAAACCAAATCAGCAGCTAACAGGTATAGAATATTTTACAAACTATCCTTGTATACCCTGACAAATTATTTCTTACATCAGCCCTGCAAGGTAGGAAGCATTATTTTCAGCTTCATTTTATATGAGAAAACAGAGGCTCAGATATGGTAGGATCCACGTCCTAGGTCTCACGGCAAGTAACTTCCCTAGCCAGAATTTCAAATCAGATCTTAATTTAAAATCTTAGGTCCCTAGCAAAGACATGGAATCAACCTAAAGGCTCATCAATGGTAGTCTGGATAAAGAAAATGTGGTACATATACACCGAGGAATACTATGCAGGCATAAAAAGAATGAGGTCTGTCTTTTGCACAGCATGAATGGAGCTGGAGGCCATTATCCTAAGAGAACCAACATAGGAGCAGAAAACCACCCCGTCTCTACTAAAAATACAAAAAATTAGCCAGACGAGGTGGCGGGCACCTGTAGTCCCAGCTGCTCGGGAGGCTGAGGCAGGAGAATGGCGTGAACCCGGGGGCAGAGCCTGCAGTGAGCAGAGATCGCGCCACTGCACTCCAGCCTGGGTGACAGCGAGACTCCATCTCAAAAAAAAAAAAAAAGAAAAAAAAGAAAACCAAATACCGCATGTTCTTAGTTATAAGTGGGAGCTAAACATCAAATACATATGGACCCAAAGAAGGGAATCAAAGTAGGCAATGGGGCCTACTTGAGAGTGGAGGGTAGGAGGAGGGTGAGGATGGAAAAACTACCTATCAGTTACTATGCATATTACCTGAGCGATGAAATAATCTGTACACCAAACCCCTATGACATGCAGTTTACCTATGTAACAAACCTGCACATGTACCCCCAACCTAAAATAAAAGTAAAAAAAAAAAAGAAAACTCAAAAAACAAAAATAACAAAAATCCCAGGTCCTGTCGACGATTCTCGGTGGCTTCTCCAAAACCTAACCTCAGTAGTGCATTGAGCAAGAGTCTTCCTTAACCTCCGGCTCTGCATCCAGAAGTTTGCTTGGTAGAGGAAGACAGGCAGTAGCAAAGGGCTTCTGAGTAAGAAGAATTATCTTTCAGGTACATTCTACCTGGAGGTTTTTCTTTTTCTTGACTAAAACTAAGGTAATCCCTGAAATCAATTTCCTCATAGTTGGAGAAAGTGTTGGGCAGAAGACATTTTTGCAAAAGCAGTTAGGACAGCCCATCCAGGTTGAAAGAGAGCCGCAGCTTCTGAAATTGCTGCACCTGCAAAGATCTATGCAATGAGAAAATCAGTACCTAGAGCCATGGAGCCCCGGTAAGTGAATTCACC
Organism: Homo sapiens; assembly: GCF_000001405.40. Taxonomy (NCBI): domain Eukaryota; kingdom Metazoa; phylum Chordata; class Mammalia; order Primates; family Hominidae; genus Homo; species Homo sapiens. Next base: position 67,713,814 of record NC_000002.12, on the reverse strand, counting down.
ATAAGGTACACTGCGAATTTTCATGAATTTTAGATGTCTAGACTGAGGGTTTTTGCTGTTAGGTAAAAAAGAAAGTGACCGGCCTGAGACTGGTTCAGTTCTTCCCAACTCTTCCTGCTGTGATCATTGTAAAACACTGTGTTATAAGAAGCCTATGGATATTGCTATGGAAGTCTCTCACTTGGTGGGCCCAGCCATCATTTGCCTTCACTACCCTCCTTCCTGGAGTGGGCAGACTTAGACTGACAGAACTCCTGACGTGTCTGGACCTGCTTCTTCTTGACTGTGCCACTCCTTACCAATAAGAAGGCAACATTTTCCTGGAGATCTCCTCATTTCAAGACTGTTCAATATGTTTTCTCCTCATTTCAAGACTATTCAATATGTTTTCTCCTCATTTCAAGACTGTTCAATACGTTTTCATCCAGAGAATGTGTTCCTTTTAAGTAGCGTTCCCTGACTCAAAACTAATGTCTGAGCTTTCCCTCTTCACAACTCCTCAATTTTCAGAATCGAAATTTCTAAGCTCCCATTTGAAAGTCAGTCTCAGTTCTCAAATAGGCTAGCAGGAGTCTCGATGGGCAATGTAAGTTTGAAGGATGTTGCCTTTCTAGAAAACGTAACGTTTTGTTTGGTTTGCTCTTGGCACACCCCTCACAAAACCACATTCTTTCTTTGTAGCTTCTGAGAGAACAAAAGTCCTATCAGGAGTCACAAAAACACCTGAACCCTTCTTTTTCTATTTCCAGAAATAGTTTATGGGGCCACTGAAAGATGTTGATGTTATCTTTTTAATATTCTGAGGAATAATCCTATTAAACAAAAAACAAGGGAAACTGTTATGCCCACAAGGAGGAATTACCCAAAGCCGACTGGCAGGGGTCGAGTTACTTTACAAAACCCTAGTTGTGTGCTGTTTCTATCTCTCCATCAAGGGCTTGGTGAATGAGCAATAATTTGTGGATTCTGCTCATCTCTCTTTGCGAACTTTGTTCTGTGGAATTAGATACAACTTTGACAAATTAGAAAAGTCTCCCCCGTGCCCTGCGGTCCCCAGAGTAGCACAGTCCGCTGATTGTGTGCTGGCCTTCTGAAGTCCGGCTGTGTCAGGCCATCAGTGGCAGCCCGTCCACTGGAGCAGGCTTTTTAATAAGCAAATCTGTCAGCAGCAGGTTCTTCGGATCTTCCGACCTCTCCTTAATCCTCGGGACACGCTGACTTTCTTCTCTGTTTCGCTTATGGCAAAAGGCCCCGAGCTGGGAAAGAAATATCTTCTTTGTTTATAGAGTATGAGCAACAAAATTAACCTTTGAGATTAACTGTAAATGAGTGGGGATGGTGTTTTATCTTCCCCTAAGGCAAGGGGTTGGGGTTAACACTTGCATGAGGGAGTGAACTTGTGCACGCGTGTGCATGCATGTGCACGCGTGTGCATGCATGTGCACGGACACATACAACGCACCCCACCCCCCACATCGTTCATAACCCAGTATAACTGTCTGCTCTTGTTCTCTCTTCTTTATTCATGCACAGTTTCATTTCTGGGCTGAATAGAACTAATGAAGGATATTCCATTTTTTTTCTATTCTTCAATTCCCTTTGAACTCTTAGAGAAGGGAGAAGGATATAAAACATCAACATATTATGAATGATGCCCCATAAGCCTAAAGATAAAAACTTGTTTTTGGCTAAAAAGGATCATCCTTTCCCAGTGGAATTCTCTGGGCCAGCAGAAGTAAACAGTGTCTTGGTATAGAGCAAGGACCGTGAATGAGATCATAAAAAACTGTATTTAGGGGGAAGTGCTTCTTTAGTTTACATGGCAATGTATTCATGTTTGATAGTGTCAGATGGAAGAGTCACAGTTCTACAAGATACAAAGAATTCTATAATGGTAAATAACTCTCTCGTGTGTGTTTGTGTTTGTGTTTGTAAATACAAACTGTTTAATGAGACAAATGAGAGATTTTTTTGTTTTGTTTTGTTTAAGAGACGTGAGTCTTACTGTGTTGCCCAAGCTGGTCCAACTCCTGGGCTCACGTGATCCTCCCACCTTGGCCTCCCAAAGTGCTGAGATTGCAGGCATGAGCCACCGCACCCGGCCCACATATTTAATTCTAGCTGGTTATGTTTAAACTGTAATTTGACTCAATTAGATATGCTTAAAAAAAAATTTTTTTTTTTTTTTGAGATGGAGTCTCTCTCTGTCACCCAGGCTGGAGTGCAGTGGCGCGATCTCGGCTCACTGCAAGCTCCGCCTCCCGGGTTCACGCCATTCTCCTGCCTCAGCCTCCTGAGTAGCTGGGACTACAGGCACCCGCCACCACGCCCGGATAAGTTTTTTTGTATTTTTTAGTAGAGACGGGGTTTCACCGTGTTAGCCAGGATGGTCTCTATCTCCTGACCACATGATCCGCCTGCCTCGGCCTCCCAAAGTGCTGAGATTACAGGTGTGAGCCACCGCACCTGGCCTAAAATTTTTTTAAAAAAGTAAAGTTGACGCAAACAACAAGTTTGTTTATGGACAAAATTCGTACTGGGGAGAGAACAGAAGCCTCCTCATAGAAGTTATTCTTGGTCTCTGGAAACTCCTGAAGGGTGGGGCAAGATGAGGGTGAGATTGGATTACCTTTGACCCATGCAAAGCCCAGAAATGGACTTTAGACACCCACTATTTGCTGTTGAGAACACTGTGACCACCCATTCTGCTGTGTGCTCTCCATTTCTGGTGGGGTCTTCACCTCCTTAATCCAGCTCAATAATGACAAGGTATCATCACCACTGTGGTGACCCAATCCAGGTGCTCTACTTAGGTGCTCCTGTCCTCATTTCTCAAAGCTGCTGAAATGTGTCTGGGACTTGGGGCACTGACTCATCCTGCTGCAGTCCCTTCTTGGGCCAATGGTTCTATTAGAAGCATATTCTGATTGTAGTTTCTTCATATTTGGCGGGATTCTGTGGAATCTGACTACTTTTATAATTTTGTTACCTTTCATCAAACAGATCATTTTCTGCTGGTTTCAGTTCTTGCCCTCTCTCTCTCTTTCTCAATAAAGCAGAACAAAATAAAGCAATATGCCAGCACAGAGATATTTTATTTTTCACTCAACAGTAGCAATGGCCGTAACAATTAAATAGAAGAGAAAAGGGAGTTTGTTGTAGGTATAAGATTGGGGTTATGCAAAATGGAGAAATAACCAGCTTAGTGCCCACGAGTCCATAATAGAATGATCAGAGTTTCAGGGGAATGAAAAGAGAAAATGTGTTGGAATCCCCCACTTCCCCATTATCATCATCTTGGGCCAGGTATTTAATGTGTGCTGCATTGGTTTTGGCTGAGGAAAGTGCTTGAAGGAAGCAGTTTTTTAAGTTCACTTAATATCTCTGGGAGATAATAAAGATCTTTATTTACAAATAATGTGTTTTCAATGAAGTGTCTTTGTGTGGGCATTGCACACCCTAGCAAAATGGTAAGTTCTTTGTTTTGTCTTGGTGGGAAGAGCAAAGGATACTCTTCAGGATACCTGATTTGAAAATAGACATTTTACTCTCTGGGTGTGTGAAAATGTTCAAGTCACAACTTCTCTGTTTCCCAGTATTCTTGATTCCATAGTGGAGTTCGTAATGTCTGTTCTAGCACACGAGGAATAGCTGTAAAGACCAATGAGGACTTAGGAGATTAAAGGGCTCCATTTGACTACCTAGCTACCTTGTATCTGTCCTTCAAAATGCAGCCATGTGTCACCTCCTCAGGAAGCCTTTCTGGATCATTGGGCAAGAACACTTGCTACACCACATGTAATCCTGGTTTATGTGCCTCTTCCACCATTGGCCTGGAATCTCCTTAAGGGTAGGAACAGCAATTCTTGTTCTGTATTTAATGAAACTTCAAGCCCTGCCCAGTGGCTGGCTCACAGTAGGCACTCAGTAAAGGCAGTCAAATGACAGACAATGTAACTCTGTCATTGACAGGGGTGCTCAAAAAGATACTAGATTTGCTAATGTCTGTATATCAATTCCTCATGGCAAAGTATACTGAAATAAATTTTAAAAATCTTAAATCAATTTTCACGCATTCCTGAAACAAAGTTACTGAAAAGTCCATGAAGTCTAAGGAAACTGAAAATGAAAGGCCATTATTGGAAAAAAAAATTGGACTGCCATTTTCCCTTCACATATTTCTCATACAAATTAGGGAGAGGGTATAAGAATAAGGACTGAGTGCTGGGGTGAAATTGAAGCATTGGATTATATAATCATACCAGTTGTGCCCAGTACTCCTGTGTGGCCTGCAAAACAATGCACTTTTTAAATGTGTATAAGGTGCAGTCAAAAATATAGGAGGTAGCTCTTGTTGGTGTGTCAGCCTGGCAGGCAAAAGAACAATAGGAGATATATTTTGGATTTTCCAGAAGTGAGGACAAATCTGTAAAGCCAAATTGATTTCTCTCAATACACATGACCACTTTGATAACGCTCATCTGAGGAAAAATGGCATGGTTTTTCTTTCTCAGCTGCTTCTGTCCTCCTTCCCTTTGCATCTGGCATTTTACAATAACATTTCCAACAGATACGGGTTGTTCAACAGTCACTAGCAATACATTGATTAATTATGTGTGCCAGGCTTTCAGTATACAATTAAGCTAAACAAAACTGCATGAAAGTAATGTGAATAATTTGACTCCTAGTTACAAAAACAAGAAAACTGAGTGAAAGTGGGATCTCTGACCTCACTCATTTTAGCATATTGTGGGAGATAAAAATATAATCAGAGTTATAAATCATACAGCTGCATACTGTGGTGATGCAGAAAGGAAGTCATTCTGGCCTTTGATTCGGAAGAGTTTCAAAGGTAGAAATTAAAGTGAACAGTTTGTTCTTCTAGTAGAAACAAGATTCTTCAAGTAGGAAATATAATGGGCAAAAATGCCCTTTTCTTCATAAGTGGGCAATATCTTTCTTTGGTTGTTATTCTTAAAAGTTGTTTTCTTGCATTTTCTTCAATATGCTTTAGATATGGCATATTTACATTGTCTCAAAATAATTTTATATCAACCTGCTTATACTACCTCTAAAACCAAAATTTAGAGGATAAAATATATTCCACATCTACAAAAATAAAATGAGTTCTTAATGATCTTTTTCCCTCCTAATTAAAAAAGTGATATTTACTCACTGTGGACAAATTTGGAAAATGCAAAATAGTACATAAAAAAAGGAAAAAAAAATCCATTCATAATCCTATGGTCTTGAGAATCTCCAGGTAATCACACTTAATACTTGTTTCTGTCCAGTTTTTATTGTGTGTGTGAAGTTTATGATTGTATCTTATATATACTTTGGTACCTACTTCCTTCACTTTACAATACTTCACAAGCATTTTTCAATTTCCTATAATAGTCTGTGAAAACAAGATTTTTAGTTGTTTAATATAACTATCATATGGATAAATCATACATTATTTAACAAGGTTAATATTTTTGTCATTCAATTGTTTGCAATTTTTAATTATTATTTTAAAAAGCAAAACACTTGAATGAACAACAAACACTATGCTTAACTCGGTATGCATGTCCCTGATGTTTTCTTTGTGTTAAATTCCAAGTGAAGTTCCTTCAATGTAGGGTCTGAGCAGCTTTAAGCCTCCTATTACATCATAACCAAGATTCTTTCAGAAATGCCAGAAAACCTGAGCTACTTGTACCCTCAGTCCCAGTGGGTGAGCCGCATGACTGCGCCTGAAAGGGGATGCTCTGAAAATCAGTATACCATAGAAACCTGGGGTGGAATCATGAAATGCAAGGATCTGAAAATATGTCTTTGTTTTTTATATGCTCAAACAGCAACAGCAGAGGGAAAGGGGGAAAGGATAAGAATTATGAAAATGTAAAAAGCCATCTAAATGTAAAGCATTTTTAAAATTAGAACCTATCTGCAAAATATGAAACCCTATTTAGAGTGAGTAACAAATTAATCCTCAATCAGAGTACCACGAAAGAGTTTAGGTACAGAAATGTGACCAACCAACTTAAACATGAAAAGAACCAAAGCACACAGGGCTATTTATCCAGACTCATCCAGCAAATGGGTATCTTAACTGATGATAGACTTTATTCAAAATACCCACCCTCTTTTCTGAGAATGGCTCACCTACTCAGTCTGTGGGGCTTGTCACCTGAGAGCTATGTTTGTACCCTTGCCATGACTGATTAGACTGGCTGGCTCAAGCTAGTTGGCTAGAGATTTTCCTATCATCTGTAGGATAGTGAGTCAACCTCTTACATAAGTTGGTATTCCTTTGGTTGTAAGAAATAGAAAACTTGATTTATACTGGCTTAAGCATAAGGGGATTTTGTTGACGCATGAAACCAAACTGTGTTAGGAGAGATTTAGGCTACAGCTGTGATTTGATTGAGAACTCAAATGACATCACAGGAATGCAAGTCTCAGTTTCCCTTCTTCTGAGTTGGTACAACCATCAGGCTGGCTCCTGTCATGGTATTAAAAATGGCTGCAGCAGCCCCAAGCTAGCATTCTTACTCAGATAGGCCCAGGGAAGAAGAGTGTGTTTGTGTCCCAGGATTCCAGACAAATCTTCCCCAGATTCTCTCTAATTGGATCCATTTAGGCTCAGTGCACTTCCCTGGACCAATCGCTGGCCAGGGTAATGGAATTCACTGATGGATTGAAGCCAATTTGAGTATTCCTGTGGAGCTAGAGGTGAGGTCTATCCCTTTTACGCTGCATGGTTGAGGAATTGGATTTCTGTTAGGAAGGACAAACATCCCGTAGAGGAAATCAACAAATATCCAGTAAGATCTCCATGTCATCGGGACTATATCTTGTTGATTGTCATGGGGGTGAATTCTGCTGAATGTAAGGAGTAGCAACAGAGAGGGAAGAAGAAAGCAGGTGGGACAGAGCACCTAAGGTAGAAATGAGGAGACGATGCTGATGGATTTTTAATGATTCCATCTGGTCTTTTCCTAAGGTCTAGTTCTCTCTCTGCCCTCGGTTCTTTGGGAAATCCCCAATGTCCTTATAATAAATCTTCCATTTGTTGAAGCTGCCTTGAGCTGTTACTTGCTACCAGTTTGTACCAATTAATGGCTTCTAGAACATTCCTAAGTTATCTACGAGTCCTGCCAGCCTTTACTTCTTCCTTTGGCTCAGATGAGGGTCTTCCATTTGATAGCTCTGTTTCCTCATTTAAAGGTGATCTTATAAGGTGTCTCGGATTGAACATGGCAAGCATGAACAGGGAGCAATAGGAGTTGACTGTGAACCTGAGACAGGCTGGCAATAGTTTATTGGGTCCATTTGATATAAGTATAGGGAACACATTTGACTCCATTTACTTAGCAGATGTTTATCAGTTCCTCCAAAAGGAATGTTGCAAAAATCTTCAAGAAAGCCTTTCTTTCCTCCTCCCTGTACCTTGGATGTGATGTTATGTGAAATATGTTGATTTTTTTTATTTGCAAAAGCCATAAAAATGTCCTGGTTGACATGCACTGTTGTGACAAGCCCTAGTAGATGGTGTCAATCATATTGCTTTATGTTACATTAAGTGACATATTGTAATGCGATTGATACAACATGGGATGACACATCATAATGCGAAATATCATCTGGAAAATGTAGGAAAAAAAACAGAGGACTCAGCGACACTTTTACTTTGTTTTTTCTTCTTTTTTAATAGTTTGGATAAAAATATCTCCTTAGGATAGTTACTTGGAAAAGGGTTCAGGTCTTTGGGTTTCTACATGGTGCTCTTTTCATTTGTAATGAATAGGTGATGTAGAAAACATTTGCCTTCTTTAGGGTTTGATAAACTCTACATTTGAACTGAATGTCTGCAAACACTCTTGTGGTTCTTTAGTGACAATATATTTTCCACATATCAAAATTGCCTTTATAACCTTTCTATCAAAAGAATTCCACTGACCCCACTTTAGCTCATAGTCTTCTCTTTAAATTTCCTGCTATTTCTTTCTTTTGTTCTATAAAGACTGAAGGGGAAAAAAAACCCTTTCAGATTTCACTGTAAGGTCAATGACAGTCTTACAGTGTAACATCTTTTAAAATTTTGGCTGTATGTTCACAGTCTTATACAGTTCCTGGCACATAGTAGCACTTATGTGTTAAATGAATTTCTAAAGAGTCTTCATCTTTATACCTTATTTGTGTTTATTGAGTGGCATTTATTCAAATATAGTAAAACCCTATGTATTAGTTTTCTAGAGCCGTGATAGTAATTAAGTACCTAAGTAATAGTAAATAAGCCCAAACATGGTGGCTTAAAACAACAGAAATTTTTTCTCTGACAGGTTTAGAGGCAAGAAATCCAAAATCAGGGTGTTGGCAGGGCCATACTCCCTCTGAAGGTCTCAGGAGAATCCTTCCTCGCCTCTTCCAGCTTTTTGTAGCTCCAGGCATTCCTGAGCTTGTGGCTGTATATCTCCAATCCCTACTTTCCTCTTTGCATGACCTTATCTTCTGTCTCTGTGTCTACTCTTCTTATCAAGGACACTTGCCACTAAATTTAAGGTCCATCTGGATAATCTAGGGTGATCTCATCTCAAGATGTTTAACTTAATTACTTATTCAAAGATCCTTTTTTTCCAACTAAAGTCACATTCACAGTTTCTGGTGTACATATGTTTTGGGAGGGGGTCCCAAAACCGGTACACCCAATTAACAAAATTAATAAGGAGCTGGGGCTGTGCTGAGTAATTAACCTTTTTGGTTCGTGGTTACATAAAATCTTCTTGTTTTAATCTACGTTTAAAACCTTTTCTGTTGACTTTCATGTCTCAGTAATTATGGTATTATGAAGATAATTATACATTTCTTTAATAATAGGTATTTTTATAATATCATGGGGTTTTCAATCTGACTATGAATTTGCACTATATGGATACAGAGAATAGAAAAACTTGAGATGAATTTATTGACCTCAATACAGACTCTAAAAGTCCTTTAACAACAAGAAAACTGACCCCCGTGGATGAGCTGTGAGGTGTATGTGATCTATCTTTTGTTAAAGCAGAACATAGAGATTCTGGCCAGTTGAGGATTTTGAGTAGATAGACCACATTGTTTCCTTAAATGTGGATTTCATCCCTGTTACCTCCCCTTATGCCTATATCTACCTACAGACATAAGGTTTCAGAGATGAGTACAATGAATGTTAGGGTGACCAGAGAAGGTCTTCTGAAAGGAACAGGTGATATGATAAGGGGATGCCATTCAAGGGAAATGTGTAGCCTAAGGGTTCTGCCTCTGGGCCACCGAAGGCTCAAATGAGCACTTTTTATCAAAACAATATGGGGCTAGACCTTTAGAACCAGGCATCCCTTAGTCAGGCTGGAAAATTTGCTTCTGGTCCTTCTAACTGTAAGACAGCAGCATGACCATAGACTTGCATTAACTTTTTATCTCTTTGTTCAAGATCTTGTGGCTGCATAGAATAATTTAATAAATCAAAATCATTGTTCTCAATTTTCATTGTGGCTACATTGGTGTTCTTTTGCATGGAGTTCAATTATTGGAATGGCATATATTACACTGAATCATTTTATAGCTCAATGAATAGGCACATCTTCTAATAAATATTGATGCTCCTTGGATGCCTACACCAGTGTTCCGCACATTCAACACAGCTGTTATGATTCAGGCAGCTCGGGGTAATTAATGTTTTTATTTTGTTCTTGTTCTGAACTCTGCCACTCACATATGAACATGTCCTTTCTAGAAAGTAAGAGAAATTCTGACGCAAACGAAATCACCCAGGAATCTGTTACACTAAACACACTTCACAAAATTTTGAGAACTGAAATTTATTATAGAGCTCCATTTAAATAGAGATAACCAGACTCAATGCATTAGAAAAAACTAATAGCCTAAGTGCCTTTAGTCTTTGAAAATGACCAGCTGAGAAGAAATGGAATGTTTTCCTAGTAGGTTTGTAAAGCAGAAACTCTTAACTAAATCCTGCAGGGAATACCACTAGCTTCCAATAAGGAAAATGAAAAAGATGCCTGGGGAGTGTCTTGTGAAGGTACAATAGAAACTAAATATCCAATGCCCCAAGGATCATAATTAGTACATTTGCTAAATAAGATTCTTATACAATCTTACACTTAATTATATTCTTATAGTCAAATAAAATCAGTAATTTTCTTTAAAGTTCACTACACAGTGACTTATTGTTGAGCAAATAATGACATGTCTGAATTTCTAAAATATTTTGGTTCCCAGTAAGAATTCAACATTAGTCATTTTTTCCTGCATCTACATGAAGGTACTGGGTCTCACTTATATCTTTCTTCACAAATAAAGAGTGGCTAGACCACCAATTCACACGTTCTCTCTCAAAGGGATCATGTAATCTGGTATACGTATTTTAATAATAATGTACATATTATACCTACCCATCTGAAAGCAAACATCTAGATGCTCTTTTATTTTTGTTGTTAACTTTTTGGAACACAGAACATGGACAGTCATCTTAGTAGGGGGAAACTTAGAGAAAAAAAATAGTTTTGAATTAGGGCCTGAGGCTGAATTGTGGAACAAGTAGGATTTTTGTTTGTTTCACAAGCATGGAATTGTGCCATTTTGTTATGTTCATGAGTACCAAGTGTGTGTACTCAGAGAGTAGCTTTAATATGTTTGCAAAGTGTCCTCTCCAGTCAGTTTGTGAAAGGTGTTGTCCCAATAATTTTATTTTGCTTTTGTAGTTTGAGCTAGATTTCAGTGTTGATTTATCACCAGCATGAGAATATCCTTGCCAGGGATTATAAAAGGAAAAGGCAAGCCCTTTATACATTTAGCCGTATCAAAACACTGTTATTTCTCAACTTTGAGGTCCTTAAAATTGTCTAAGCTTAGAGCTGAAGCTCACCTATTTCTGTACAATTTATTTCAAACATTTCCCAGACTTATAATTTCGAACATTGTGTATTGTAGTTTTCCTACTTATTTTCATTTCTTTTCCCAAGATTCTGGAGTAATGCTGCTCAAAGTCAAGATATTTTAAGTAAATGAGAGTATAAATGTAAGGCATTCTATGTTGCTTTACTTCTGTGAATACATTTGTACTGGTAATTTGATAACAGAGCATTGAATAAAGAAAGTGAAGAATGATAAAAATATGAGGCAGTGTGCAATGCACATTCAGACCTTATCAGCTCCAGGATCAGTTATCTGTTTGAAGAAAATTACATTGCATCTGTCAATAGACTTAATAACTCAGTGCCTGCGATTTGATAATGGATAATCACACAAATTCAGGAAGCTAGACCATATGCCATTCCAGTCTTCTCTTCTCTTATTCACCTTAATTTTCTAGATGAGTGAAATTATCTAGTTCTGGACTCAAGATGGCACACATGGAAATAGAGCCTGCAGGAATCCAGCCGCCTCCGATGTTAGTCAGGCACAGGTGGAGACTGCCGGGTTATGTCTGGGACCCTGGAATCTAATTGAAATGGGCAGAGTTTGGAAAATTGCAAACCTGGACAATGCAAGTGATTAATGGATGGAAAGTAACAAAGGGTGGATGTGGAACAGTTGAGGGAATTGGCTAGTGGGAAACAGTGAGGCTTCAGAGCCAAGGATTCAGGATCTAAGAAAACAATTTGGTATGCTATATATAAACCATGAGGGATAGGGATTAAGTGGTACAGATTAGAGATTATTTAGGGATACCTTGTCCTGGAAGCAGGGAGTCCCTTAAGGGCCCTTAATTCCTATTGATCCAGGATGCCATTTCTGTTTATAAAACTACTTCTCTACTCTTACATAATATGGTCATTGTATCAGTTAGCAATCATTTGGGCTACGAGTATTTGATGACTTAATTTCAGTGATTTAAACAAAAAAAAAATGTGCTTCTTGTCCTCAGATATCAAGAAAACCAGATGTAGGCAGTTTCTGGTGTGGATTTGGCTGCTCACTGATGTCATCAGGGACTGAAACTCTTTTCATCTTTCTGCTTTGCCCTTTGCACCATGACACTTGTCCTCATGCTTGGTTGTTGGTGGTTACCAGGTGGCCCCTCCATCTACAGACTGTCTCCTCCACAGCACATGACAGAAAGGGAGGGACTGTGCCATCAGAACCTGCCCCTTCACATCAGGAGAAGCAAACTTGCCCCCAGATACTCCCAGTAAACACTTACTTACATCTCTTTAGCTGGAATCACATAGCCACACTGAATTTCTAAGAAAGCTGGATAAGTGAGTATCTCAGTTGGGGCTGGGCATATTGCTGCCCAAAAACATTTGGAGTTTTGTGAACAAGGAAGGTGGGAAGAATGCGTGGCAATTAGGCAACAAGCACAGAGTGTCACAAACATCCACCTAAGCTTTCTTGTGGAGGGAGAACAAGTGCTAGGCAATTGTGCTGGTATCACAGGGGCTACAAGTATTTGGTGGGCCAAGTAATGCCAATAGTAGGGGTTGTTTGGGCCTTACTGCAGTCTATCATTACATGCTCTTTTTAATATGCATGGATTAGATATTTTTGAAATGTGTATTAAATGACGTAAAACCGCAAGAATACACCATGAAGAGCTGACTCAGCCGGAACAAGAAACTGAATCCACACTTTCAATCTGACTCTTGGCTGGGAACTACCCCTACATTTCTATGAGGCCATAGTCTAAACTGAGATTTTTTTTCTCTCTCTTTCTCTCCACCTCTCTCTCTCCTGTTTTATTGACTTTTTGGAGCTCTGGTTTCTGTGGACTGGGAATAACAATCAAGTTACGTTCTTAGAGAAGGCCACCATGCTGAAGTAAAAATATATCACCTTTTAGCTTAATTAAATAGATAAGAACTTGACAACAAGATGGCTCACTTATTAGGCTTATTTTATATCTTTGCTACTTTTTTTTTTCTTCCAGGAAAAGTTCAGAGAGTTTGATTTACATCTAACATATTCCCAGAGAAACTAGAGGGAAGTTGACAATAGATCTTATCACCTTATTTTGCAGATATAGATCTTGAGACTCAAAGACTTTGTCTTCAGTCAAACAGCAACAGTAATCACTGCAAATATTGCTACAAAACATTCCACTTGGCCACATTGCCCTGCTGCAAATAGATGTCTCTCAGAAAGTGAAATCAATGAAAATGAGACCATTTGTCAAGTATTTTCTGTTGGAGAAATGAGTTCCTTGAGTGGTCAGTTACAGAGAGCAAAAGGCCACAGCCAGATTTGCAGGAAGCTCGGCTTTTATTGGTAGATTCATAATGGTTTGATAATGCCACCATTTTTGTTACTGCATCTTTTAAGCAAGAGGGAACTTTCTTCCCATTTAGAGTTTGTACCTCTCATAATTGTTCTTAATTGTAGAACTGATGTCTATTGGTATTTAAAATTGTAATGTGTGAGTATCCTATGATTTTTCTTTAATTTACTCTTTCAACAGCTATTTATGGGAGTCTCCACTAAGTACTTGGCATTGTTCTAGGTGGTGAGAATATAAGACCGATGAGGTTATTTTTCCCTAGGTTTCCATTCTAGGAAAGGGGAAATACAAACAAGTGCAATTATTAGCACTTTAAATGAGATAAACTTGAAAGGCAGCAAGCAGAAAATGACCTTCCAGCTTTTTCTTCCACTGTAACTTTAAACCTGCTTCTTGGACTATTTAATCCTTGCTCCATAGGTAGAAACCTTGGACTGGTCCATCACTTTTCCAGTCATTTTAGTCACAAGAAGAGTCTCTAAAATACTGGAAGGGCACTGCTCTAAGGTGAGAACAAGATAGGTCTGATGAAGGAAAAGAAAAACAATAGAAGGCCTTTGTGGCCTTACTTAGTGGGAAAAGGGAGAGAACATGGGAGGAGGTAAGGTTGGAATGTAGGTGGAGAGTAGCCAGTTCATGGGCCAGGAGCGAGAGTTTATTTTCAGTGTGAGTTGCAGCAGTGGAGGGTTTTGAGGAAGAGAGTGACAGGATCCGATGCGTAATTTTTTTAAAATTAATTAATTAATTAATTATTATTATACTTTAAGTTTTAGGGTACATGTGCACAATGTGCAGGTTAGTTACATATGTATACATGTGCCATGCTGGTGCGCTGCACCCACTAACTCGTCATCTAGCATTAGGTATATCTCCCAATGCTATCCCTCCCCCCTGCCCCCACCCCACAACAGTCCCCAGAGTGTGATGTTCCCCTTCCTGTGTCCATGTGTTCTCATTGTTCAATTCCCACCTATGAGTGAGAATATGCGGTGTTTGGTTTTTTCTTCTTGCAATAGTTTACTAAGAATGATGATTTCCAATTGCATCCATGTCCCTACAAAGGACATGAACTCATCATTTTTTATGGCTGCATAGTATTCCATGGTGTATATGTGCCACATTTTCTTAATCCAGTCTATCATTGTTGGACATTTGGGTTGGTTCCAAGTCTTTGCTATTGTGAATAATGCCACAATAAACATACGTGTGCATGTGTCTTTATAGCAGCATGATTTATAGTCCTTTGGGTATATACCCAGTAATGGGATGGCTGAGTCAAATGGTATTTCTAGTTCTACATCCCTGAGGAATCGCCACACTGACTTCCACAATGGTTGAATTAGTTTACAGTCCCACCAAGAGTGTAAAAGTGTTCCTACTTCTCCACATCCTCTCCAGCACCTGTTGTTTCCTGACTTTTTAATGATTGCCATTCTAACTGGTGTGAGATGGTATCTCATTGTGGTTTTGATTTGCATTTCTCTGACGGCCAGTGATGGTGAGCATTTTTTCATGTGTTTTTTGGCTGCATAAATGCCTTCTTTTGAGAAGTGTCTGTTCATGTCCTTCACCCACTTTTTGATGGGGTTGTTTGTTTTTTTCTTGCAAATTTGTTTGAGTTCATTGTAGATTCTGGATATTAACCCTTTGTCAGATGAGTAGGTTGCGAAAATTTTCTCCCATTTTGTAGGTTGCCTGTTCACTCTGATGGTAGTTTCTTTTGCTGTGCAGAAGCTCTTTAGTTTAATGAGATCCCATTTGTCAATTTTGGCTTTTGTTGCCATTGCTTTTGGTGTTTTAGACATGAAGTCCTTGCCCATGCCTATGTCCTGAAGGGTAATGCCTAGGTTTTCTTCTAGGGTTTTTATGGTTTTAGGTCTAACGTTTAAGTCTTTAATCCAACTTGAATTGATTTTTGTATAAGGTGTAAGGGAGGGATCCAGTTTCAGCTTTCTACATATGGCTAGCCAGTTTTCCCAGCACCATTTATTAAATAGGGAATCCTTTTCCCATTGCTTGTTTTTGTCAGGTTTGTCAAAGATCAGATAGTTGTAGATATGTGGCATTGTTTCTGAGGGCTCTGTTCTGTTCCATTCATCTATATCTCTGTTTTGGTACCAGTACCATGCTGTTTTGGTTACTGTAGCCTTGTAGTATAGTTTGAAGTCAGGTAGCGTGATGCCTCCAGCTTTGTTCTTTTGGCTTAGGATTGACTTGGCGATGCAGGCTCTTTTTTGGTTCCATATGAACTTTAAAGTAGTTTTTTCCAATTCTGTGAAGAAAGTCATTGGTAGCTTGATGGGGATGGCATTGAATCTATAAATTACCTTGGGCAGTATGGCCATTTTCACATTATTGATTCTTCCTACCCATGAGCATGGAATGTTCTTCCATTTGTTTGTGTCCTCTTTTATTTCCTTGAGCAGTGGTTTGTAGTTCTCCTTGAAGAGGTCCTTCACATCCCTTGTAAGTTGGATTCCTAGGTATTTTATTGTCTTTGAAGCAATTGTGAATGGGAGTTCACTCATGATTTGGCTGTCTGTTTGTCTGTTATTGGTGTATAAGAATGCTTGTGATTTTTGTACATTGATTTTGTGTCCTGAGACTTTGCTGAAGTTGCTTATCAGCTTAAGGAGATTTTGAGCTGAGACCATGGGGTTTTCTAGATATACAATCATGTCGTCTGCAAAGAGGGACAATTTGACTTCCTCCTTTCCTAACTGAATACCCTTTATTTCCTTCTCCTGCCTGATTGCCCTGGCCAGAACTTCCAACACTATGTTGAATAGGAGTGGTGAGAGAGGGCATCCCTGTCTTGTGCCAGTTTTCAAAGGGAATGCTTCCAGTTTTTGCCCATTCAGTATGATATTGGCTGTGGGTTTGTCATAGATAGCTCTTATTATTTTGAAATATGTCCCATCAATACCTAACTTATTGAGAGTTTTTAGCATGAAGAGTTGTTGAAATTTGTCACAGGCCTTTTCTGCATCTATTGAGATAATCGTGTGGTTTTTGTCTTTGGTTCTGTTTATATGCTGGATTACATTTATTGATTTGCGTATATTGAACCAGCCTTGCATCCCAGGGATGAAGCCCACTTGATCATGGTGGATAAGCTTTTTGATGTGCTGCTGGATTCGGTTTGCCAGTATTTTATTGAGGATTTTTGCATCAATGTTCATCAAGGTAATTTAAAAGATCACTCTGACTTTTGCATGGGAATAGACTCTAGGGAAAAGAGAAAGAAACAGAGAAACTATTTGGGGGAGGCTTTTGCCTTGGTCAGGGTGACAGATGAGGGTGACACAGAGCAGGGTGGTGATGGTTTTGGGCTATGTGAAGTCTTTCAGGCAGACCCTTCTCTCCTAATGCCCATACAACCACCACTGTGGCAGCCATGAGGTAGTATTTAGTAAGTCTGTGCTGAATATCACATGGATACCTTTGTGAGTCAAAGAAAAGAAATGCCATTTATAGGATTTAGAGAAAAATGTGTCTTTTGGTTTCTTTATCTTATTTTCTAATATCTCAAATTCCCATTCTAAGTGCAGGCCTTAGGATGTAAGCACGTATTGAA
Source organism: Homo sapiens (assembly GCF_000001405.40). NCBI lineage: Eukaryota > Metazoa > Chordata > Mammalia > Primates > Hominidae > Homo > Homo sapiens. The sequence continues at coordinate 67,696,976 of NC_000002.12, read as the reverse complement.
GGCACGAAATCAGCCTGAGGAAAATTTTCCCTGACTCATATTTTTTTCTAATTGTCACACCTTTGGCATAATTCAGCCTTCAATCCTTACACAAGAAAAAAAGCTGCATTAAATATTGTGAGAATTTGGTTTTCTGACTTTTTAAAAAGGTATTCTTGCCTCCCCTTCTCTCTTTTCTCCCTTCCTCCCCCTTCTCGTCCCTTCCCTCTCTCTTTCTCTCTCTCTCTCTTTCATAAAGAAATAAGTGAATGGGAAAGCAGAAGGCTTGATTTAATTTAGTTTGGGAGAAAATCCAAGGGGTGGTGCCATCACTACACACATTTGTCAATAATTATTTTGAGAAGGGAAAACAGAAAAATTCAGTGATATCTTTAGGAAAAAACCTCAACAAACCCTGGCAAAGCCATAAACCACCCCAAGTGCTGCCATAAAACTTCAGTGCCATGTATGGTTTCAAAGCAGGATTTGTGAAGCAAAACCCATGATTAAAGTAAGAATAATATGAGCTTTGTGCAGCCCTATTGGCCCCTGCTGTGTAACTTAAGTCTCCCCTCCTCCTCAGATTCTGCAGAGCAGGCTAAGCAAGGTGAAAATGCCTCAGGGAGGAGGGCTGTTCACATCCAGGTCAGGGAGGATATTGGTCTTGGGAACCAGGGACCTTTATCCTTCTTGTCATGTGATAAAAAACTGGGGTTGGAGCTCAAGGCAATACATTCTCTCTCTCTCTCTCACACACACACACACACACACACACACACACACACACACACACACACAATCTTGCTAGGCTTGATTCTGGTGTGACTTCTGTGATCCTTCATACTGATTCTAATTGAGAATTTAAATTCAGGTAAGTTCTCTCCTTGACTTTCCTTTTCTCATTAGCTCTTACTCCCCTCCCTCGGCCTCAGTCTTCTAACTTCTCCCTAGAACAAGTTTTCTGGGCTCTGCCTACTCTTCCCCCGAACCCCAACCCCGCCCCCGCCTACCTGTTTCCTTCCCTTTTAGACCATGCTATCCTCATTTCTTCCTTTGTTCTTCTTTACCAGACCCCACCCTATGGCCCCTTCCCCTTCCTCTGTGTTCTCTTCTCCATCCCCCTATGGTGTGAAGCCAGGTGTTATGAGTTGAAGACAATCACAGATGTTTGTTTCCTATACCCTTCAGACTCCTTTCTGGGGGAACTGGATGTGGAAGTTACCTCAAGTGTACAGATAGATTCAAGTCAAGGAAGGCTTTCATTCCTCTGTGAGCAGCCTAGGGACAAATCGGATGTGTCCTGCAGGAAGGAAAAAGACACAGGTCACAGGTCAGCTGCTCTGAATTCATGTGGGGGGCCTGTCACAGCCTCTGTGGCCTCAGGGTGCCCATCTGCAGGTAAAGGGGTCAGATCAGATAAGGTTTAAGGTCCTTAAACATCATTTAATCATCCATGGTTCCAACTGTGAGGATGTTGGTTATTACCAATTCTGGCCAGAAAAGCAAGACTCTTTATAAATGAGACAATTCTCCTGCCTGCCTGTGAACATCTGGGCAAAATATTGGGCCCAGAAGCGTTCTAATGAGACTGGAAGAGCCCCAAGAAGTATGTGTGTAAGCATCCCTGTGCCTCTTGGGAGGGGATGCATCAGGTCTCACATGCAGCCTGGAAGAAGGACCCCTGAGGTGAGTTCAGTTTGCTGCTGGCCACGAAAGATGACTGCCCTACAGTGGACCGCTGTTCTGTGAGCTCCCAGGCTGCCCCAACATCTGTCTCTGGCGTCACTGCAATGGGATCAGTTCCCTCAGTGACAGCAGCTACCTGTCCTGACATCCAGTTCATGGGTTGTTGCTTGCTTAGGGAGGTGATAAGTGGGCCAGCTTTCCTTTCGGCCTTTGAGCTGACTTCCTTCAGGGCAGATTCAAAACAACTCCAGTAAGCTCACTGAAAAGCGTGGAGGAACCTATGGGACTTATGAGATCTTTAGCTTTTCCTTTAAGGTTTTCTTTCTCTGCAGATGGTCAAACTGCTCCCCTGTCTTCTGAGGCCTCAGGACCCTTATCCCCATTGGCCTTCTCTCCTTCTTGCAGGCAGCAGGTGGGGCTGGCCACAGGCCTCCTTCTTGGCTGCACCCTGCTAGCATTGGACTTGCAATTTCTCCAAAGACGTTTCTGTTTTACTCAAGGCAAATGAAACTTCATGGACCATTTCTTCCTACTTTCCTAGAAGCAAAGGCTGGCACAAGGGAGGGGGTGGGAAACGCATGCAGAAAGTCACTTCTCAGCACCCGCAGAGGAAAGTGCTGACCCAGCGGCGGGGCACGGGGACTCTGGGTACTCCAAGGAGCAGCTGCGCAGCTGCAAGTGCACATCAATCACGCAGCTTCCTGTGCGACAGGTAGAGCAGGACTTCTGATCAAGTGCTAGTGTGAGAAATGCAGCAACCTCCCCTCCCCTCTTTTTTCTTTTTCTTCCCCTCCCCTTCCCCCACTCCTCTCTCCTCCCCCACCACCCCCCCATCCCCCGCTCTAGCTCTTACTCTTTTTTTAAAAATAGGAGCAGATATTTTTTACTTCTAGCCCAGATGCTACTATTTTTCTGTTATTTGCACTTACTGAGTTGAAACGCAACAGATGTTTCAAAAGGGTTTAAAACGAAATTCCTCATTAGGGACCATGACAAATAAATCACCCACCTAACTTTAGAGATTTCCTTTGCTCAGACTCTTGACAGATATGTTTTTTTTTTTTTCCAGGGTGGAAAGAGGAAGGAAGATCTCTTGTAATAAAATGACAATGAGAAGAATAGAATAAAAATCACGATTATTTACTGACTGAGCTAGGATGTTTAGGTACCCTAAGTATTTTCCATCTGTTATTTTATTCGACACTCACAGCTACCTCAGGGAATTGATCGAAAATTAAGCTGATCTACAATTAAAGATGAGAGCTTGATTCGATAATTAAATCCTATAGTCTTTTGGACACACACACACACACACACACAAAACTTGAAATGAATTTTTTCAAGAAACCAAATTTCCCAGACTTTACTAACAAAGGAGTTCGCAGTATAAGCAGCACCCACATTCTACTGGACTTTTCCTTTCCCTCTATTGTTTCTAGAGAGTTTCCGGAGGGGATCTCAGATATATTCACCAATGGTTTTCTTATTCTCTGCTCCCCTTCAGATGCCTGAAACCAAGCGTCTCACTCCTGCATCTGCTGGGGCCTTTTGTGTAAACCCCTTTCCTTGCTAAAATCTTGTAGAAGCACCAGTCTGAGGCCCCCAGTCACCTGGTACCCTTGAGACAGCACCATGCTGGAGCCAGCCTGTGATCCAGGCAGAATGGGATGGCCCTTCCCCCAGCAGTCCTTCTATTTCCCAGCTACCCTGGAAGTCCTTTATGCTAACAACCCTCTTGCATTTTTAAGATTTATGTATGTATTTATTTTTTAACTTTTATTTTAAGTTCAGATATACATGTTCAGGTTTGTTCTGTAGGTAAACTTATCTCATAGGGATTTTTTGTACAGATTATTTCATCACCCAGGTATTAAACCTAGTACCAAGCAGTTATTTTTCCTGATCCTCTCTCTCCTCCCACCCTCCACCCTCTGATAGGCTCCAGTGTCTGATGTTCCCGTTTACATGTCCATGTGTTCTCATCATTTAGCTCCCACTTACAAGTGAGAACATGAGTATTTGATTTTCTGTTCCTGCATTAGTTTGCTAAGGATAACGGCCTCCAGCTCCATCCATGTTTCTGAAAAGGATATGATCTCCTTTTTTATGGCTGTATTGTATTCCATGGTGTATATGTACCACATTTTCTTTATCCAGTCTACCATTGATGGCATTTAGGTTGACTCCATGTCTTTGCTATTTTAAATAGTGCTGCAATGAACATGTATGTGTATGTGTCTTTATGATAGAATGATTTATATTCCTTCGGGTATATACCCAGTAATGAGATTGCAGGGTTGAACAGTAGTTCTTTTTTTAGGTATTTGAGGGATCACCACACTGCTTTCTACAATGGTTGAATTTAGAACCTTTTCTCTCCTCAGAGCCTGAGCTGGGTACAGATCCCCTGCTCCCCGTCCTATTGTCCTGCGCCTGTCTCTAGGCCATTAGTTAACTGAAGTCTGACTAGGCTGGCTGAAAGCATATCACTTTGCTTGTCCTTTGCTTCAGCTCTCCAAAATCTTGAAAGGTATGAATAGCTGCCAGAGCAACATAAAACTTAGATGCTCTCAAATTAGTCCTTGCTTGCTTCCATTAGGTCTTTTCTGACAATTCTCTCAAAAGGACCAAAGGTTAGCTCAATTAGTGGCCCTGCCCTGCAGATATGAGCAGATAGTAGCTCTAACTTAGCTGTCTGGTAGACTGAGGAAGACAATACAAATATGTAAGTGCTGTGGACTCTTTGTCATTTCTGTTACCTGAGTCCATCCACTCACCATCTCCTCTGCCAGAAGATTCTTCTGTCATGTGGCCCAGTCTCTCCCCTCCTTTAAGTCTTTGCACCAGAGTCATCTGATCAATGAGACCTTTCTTAACTACTCCATTTAAAATGCAACATCCCCCACCTTAACGGACTGACCCATTTCTAACTAACCTACTTCTCTGTTTAACTTTTCTCCATAGCATGTTTTAGAAATGTGGTGAAAGACATATAACACAAAACACACATAATATAAAATTTACCCTCTTCACTTCTAAGTGTACAGTTCAGTAGTGTTAAGTCTATTCACATTGCTGTGCAATGGATCTCTAGAACTCCTTTCATCTTGCAAAACTGAGACTATACCCATTAAAATGGAAGAATGGGGACATTCTTCCCTCTTTTAGCTCCTGAGAACCACCATTCTACTTTCTGTCTCTATTAATTTATGTACCATATGTATCTCAGCTACATGGAGTAAAAATATATTTGTCCTTTTGTGACTGGCTTATGCACTTAACATAAGGTCCTTGAGGTTCGTTCGTGTTGTAGCATGTGTCAGAATTTTCTTCCTTTGTAATGCTGAATAGTATTCCATTGTATGTATACCCCACATTTGGTTTATTCATTCATACATCAGTGGATATTTGGGTAGCTTTCATCTTTTGGCTGCTATGAACAATGCTGTTTGAACAAGTCCCCTTAGAATTTTTCACTTTCTTATGTTCTAAATTAGGAGTTTATTTGGTTTATGCCTGGTGTCTTCCATTAGAATATAAAGCCATAGATTTCTGTTTTGAACCCTGCTGTGTCCCCAGATTCTGAAACAATGTTTGAGATGAGGTAGGTGCTTAAAAATATTTGCCAAGTGGATTAGAAGACAGGGGAGGTTAGGAGAAATACCTAATGTAGATGACAGGTTGATGGGTGCAGCAAACCACCATGGCACGTGTATACCTATGTAACAAACCTGCACGTTCTACATATGTATCCCAGAACTTAAAGTATAATAATAATAATAATAAAAGACAGGGGAAGGTAACAAAAGTTTTTAAAAATTGCTTTTAGAGGAATCAGAATAACGAATGTGGTATTAAATGGTCTCTAAATAGAAGAATTTAAAGACTTCAATCTTCAGGCCACCCACAGATCAAGGTCCCTTTCTTTCTTCAAATGTCATTTTCCTGGCAATGACATTAAAAGTTGAGTATATAAGGTAAACTTGGCTGCTGTCCTTACCAACAGGAAAGGACAGTTCTTTTCCCATCGGGGCTGATGAGTAGAAGTCTTCAGCCACATCTCTCAGAACAGCAGTCCAGTTTTTATATGGCTATACTCAGTCTGATGCCTGCTGTATTCCTCATGTTAAATTTATGTGTGAAGTTAAACTTGCAGGAGAGAGGGAGGCTAGGGAGGAAATTAATGCTCTTCTCTGCATTTGTGCCTTGCCTTTTTCTCATGTCTGTAAAGTATAAACCTTTAATGATGCAGAATCCAAACATGAAAGCTTCAATAATGGGAATATTTTCTTGTAATAATTATTGATGAAAATGAAGATCCTCAGGAAATAGAAGTGCTTTCCAAATCATCAAACAAATGTCAAATTGTTCTTAGGATAATCTGTGTGTAGATGGCTATAGTCAAGTTCTTTGAAAATTGGTCATTTAGAAGCCTTTTTACTGGAAGTGTGGTCTGAGTATAAGCAGGAGCAGCAGTATATGGGAGCTTGTTAGAAATGCAGATTCTCAGGCCTATCCCTGACCTACTGAATCAAAATCTGCACTTTAACAAGATGCCCTGGGAACTCAAATGCATCCTGAAGTCTGAAAAACATTGGCTCAGGGTATTCATTCCTCTAAATAATAACATTCTTCTCCAACTTTAGGGACATTTACTCTTATTGCAGTTTCGGAGACTTTATCTTATTCCGTTAATGTAATTTTTGAATCTTGATGTTCACACATGACCATAGAAGTTATTTTGTATTTTCTCTGGAAAGGCAATTTATTCCAAAAAATGTCTGCTAATTTTCAGACTATAGAGACAACTTTTTGAAATCATGGCACTAGAATCTAGGTCTATGCAATTTAAGATTCAGCAGTAAATTACAGAAAAGATCTTTAACAGAGGTACAACAAAAATAGTGTTTTGGATTTTAACTACTCTTGCTTTTTTTTTCTTCTCGGAATACTCGGGTCCCTGCTTGGCATTGTCAGCCTAGAGAAAGGAAAGAGCTTTTACTACATTAATGTTATCCAACATGCCTATTTTCTAAATTCCTGCAGTACTTATCTTCAAATTCTTGTGCTTGGGTTATCCCCATTTTTGTTACCAGTGCTCCAATCCTTATATTTAGAGTACAACTTGGAATTTGGCTGTCTCCTAGAGATATTCATTTCAGATTAGTTCTACTTTCTCCCTTCTATCTGAATTATTAGAGGAGCTTAGGGAAACCCCCCCCACACCACCCCCACCCCACACACACACAAGTAACATCAACAAAATTTCTGTCTGTGGAGCATGGAAGCCAAGTCTAATCAGCCAAGTAATCATCTTTAGCTTAGTGATTTCATTCTTTATTGTTGGAGTAATTTCTGTATAATATGTTGTTTATAAGACCTAATTGGGATATGAATAGCTTGGGGTTAATAGTTGAAGAAATGTTTCACATTAAGTCACTTGCCCTGATGAAAGTGTGACTTCCTCTGTCTTTAAGAAAAAATCCATCTTAAGACATGCTCCTTGTTCTTTATGAATTATTGTGGGGACAGGAGCCCCCAGTGCATCAGAACTTGAAGTTTAATAGTTCTGGTGGTTTAATTTCCTCCTGTGACAGGTGGGGAACTTGAAGCCTAAAAATTATAATTGATCCACCCACGGTTATGTGGCTTGTTGGTGTCACTGTCTCACTGTATTAAAAGAAACAATGGGAAGTGTTCTGGCTGCCATCCCTGGAACTGGATGCACTTTATTTAAAAACACAAGCAGGTATGCAAAAAGTGCCTCTTGCTTAACCTGTAAGTCACTAACTCTTGCTGCGGAAAGCATCTGATACACTAAACAGGAAGGAGTTTTGAAATAAGCAAATGGCATTGGAGGTTTCTGTGTCTGGTAGTGTTAACAATTGACTGAAATTGGCCCTGAAATACACCACGATGTATTGGTGACCTCTCCCAGGAAGTGCCTCTATCGCACTTTATTTCTTGTGAACTACTCTTTCCTGTTCTGTTGCCTTGAAGTCAGGGCATAGAAAAACCAGGCAGGATGCTTCAATTTGGGCCAAATGACCTGTGTAATAGCAGTAGTTACAATTGATTCCAGAGGACACACACTCTTTGCTGCTTTCATTTCTATGTTATGAAGCAAATAGGAAAAAGAATGAATATTTGAGGCAGAGGGTGAAAAAAATCACCAATTGCTTCCCTGGATAGGCACCAGCATAGATGTATGAGCCCTTAACCCAGGGCAGATTAAAGCACTTTTGACAGTAATAGAACCAAGATCAGACATCATGATTCTAAGAGCATCATTAAAGGATGTACCACTGGGGGTTCTTAGCATTAATCACAGGTGATTATGAGGGCCTTGCCATGTTGTGAGTATCTCTCATGCATACAGACTCACAAACCTTCCCTGGCAAAATGATGGAATGGGCTGAATTATAAAATAATGATAGCAAACTGCTGCTTCAGGACAGCTGTTCACTGTTGTTGGAGAAACTGAGCCTAAAGGAATGGTGGGGAGAGAGAGAGAGAGACAGAGAGAGAGAAAGGGGGTTGTTTTGATTTAAATGATGTATTTCATGCTTTAGCATTGATCTTAATTCAGATTATATTTGAAAAGAAGGAGATATTTTTATTTCAAATATGATTAAGTAAGTGGCCGATCAGTTCCAAATCCAGAATTTCAGGTAGCAAAGAGTATGGTCAGAGATGATTTCCAGTTGACATAGGCGAGCAGCAAGCACATCTCTGGACCCACACACATCATGTTTGCTGCCTCACTGGCATCCTGGCTTGGTGGGGACTGGAGGGAAGACCTCTGGGTAGACAAGTTGGCTGGGGGATATTTGCCCCTCCAAGTCTGGGGAGACCAAGACTGCCAGGGAAGGAGCTGGGTGTGCAAGGAAGTCACTGAACACTCCTCAAATTGTTTCCTTGCAAGTAAGTAAACCACAGATCACACATTTGTTATGCAAGAAAATTGGCTTGGGAATCCTTAGTTCAATTTAGTTGTGGATAATTTAAATAAGAGGATGGAATTTTGTCTCATTTATGATTGATCCAACATCCCCTCTCCCTTTCTGGATTATAGCCTTTTCTTCCATGCTAGATATGTGGTGCCTATCCCATGTTGTCTGTGTTTTGAAATACCTTTTTTTTTTAATGGCCCCCCTCTAATTTTTATTTTATGATACTAAAACACTTGAAATATTATTTATATTTTTAAAAGTACAATTTATAGGCATTTCCAAATATATTTCCCCTTAAAAATGAGAACTTGTTATTTACTGGCCGGGCACAGTGGCTCACGCCTGTAATCCCAGCACTTTGGGAGGCTGAGGTGGGTGGATAACGAGGTCAGAAGATCGAGACCATCCTGGCTAACACAGTGAAACCCCGTCTCTACTAAAAAATACAAAAAATTAGCCAGGCGTGGTGGCGGGCATCTGTAGTCCCAGCTACTCAGGAGGCTGAGGCAGGAGAATGGCGTGAACCCGGGAGGCGGAGCTTGCAGTGAGCCAAGTTTGTGCCACTGCCCTCCAGCCTGGGCGACAGAGCGAGACTCTGTCTCAAAAAAAAAAAAAAAAAAAAAAAAAAAAAAAAGAGAGAGAACTTGTTATTTACTAAAGATATATAAGGATAACCTTCAAAAGACTGAAGTTTGCCCTGAAAACTTTATAACCCAGAATTTTAAAAGCATCTTCAGTTACCTCTTCCCAAATTCTATTCCACTGCATCATTCAGTTGTAAGTGAATAGAGGCTTCTTCCCTGAAACTTGCCATTTGCCACACACAACATTAACTCTCCCATCCAAATGACTTCTTTATTCATAGATTTTTCCCAAAGCAAGAGCCAAAACAGTTTAAAGCATTTATTTTTAGATGCTTTATTTTTTCAACCTCTTCTGGCCAGCCCTGGAAGGTGCCATTGGTCCTTGACTGCAAGTCAGCAAATTGCTTCAGTCATGGCTCTTCATTAAAATCACGGTTTTTTTTTTTCTTGTGTGTAAAATCCCGAGACTCAGGCCAGCCAAACAGTATTTGGTTCCAGTGAAAAGTAGAAATTCCCCATTTTACCTCAATGACCACCGACCTTGTGCCTAAAAATGTTCATATTTGTCACACATCCCTTTCTCAATGGCTTTCTCTAATTTCAAGTAAATCTTTGGCCATATACATCATAGTTCATTTCAAGTGATGCAGAGGACAGTAGCTTTATGAAGGAAGTGCAAGCACCTTTAAATTAGGGTAGAGTTGCCAGATTTAGCAAATAAAAAATGCAGAATACCCAATTAATTCAGAATTTAAGATAAGCAACTAATAACTTTTTAGTATAAGTATATTCCATGTAATAGTTGGACATCCTTATACTGAATTCTTATGTGTTGTTTATCTGAAATTCTAATTTAATTGGGCATCCTGTACTTCTCTGGCACCCTATGTTAGGACAGAGGAGTGAGCCAATTTTATGCAGCCGCTGGAGTTGGCATGGTCCAGCACTAAAACCCCTGTCCCAGGAGGTCCTGTCAAGAGAAGAACCAGGTTAGTTGGCCTTACTTTGATCAAGAACTACAGAGGAAAATTCTAATCCATTGCACTATTTCAGGATCTAAGAGATCAGGGACTGCAACAAATAGAAAGTGAGGTTAGAAAACCAGATCTAAATCAGGTGACCACGCTTGACTGTTTTCTGTGAGGATGTTCTCCATTATCCATGAGTGTCTTTCTTCCTTTATTCTCCCTAAACTTCCCATAAAGATGAATGTGGTTTGCTATCTAGTGATGCTATAGGAAGTTGAGCATTAATGAAGAAAAGATGGCCATCTGTCCTGGCTCACGACCCTCTGGGCACTTAATGCTAACCAGCTTCTCTCCTGGTTAGTATTAAGATGGTGTCGCAGATTCTTTTAAGCAGCCAGTACTTAATGCACATAACAGGCTTGTTAAACCCCTTAAGGAAATAGGCATGGGCTCACAAATCTGGCACCATGAAGTATTGGCTCCTTGCTGCCTATCTCTCTTCTGCTGCAGTTGGGGAGGATAGACCTGACTTCAGATGAAAGGACCCTGAGGTATAAATCAGGAGACCAGGGGCAGAGGGGTGCTTGGCTTCCCATTCTGCTTCTCAGCTTGCTTACCCTCCAGTTAGAGATAATAAGCCTTGTCCTTCCTATATAAGGGGGTGGATATAGCAGCCAGGCAGGCAGATGAGTGGTGAGTGGACAGAATACCAGAGAAACAGAGGAGGATGCTGTTTTCGTTTGATTTTCTGCTGTCCTCTTCTTGGTGGATGGCCACATATCCTAGTTTGCCTAGGACAGTCAAGATTTACTCCTATTGTCCCACTATAATTATTAATAACACCCCTTTCACTCTCAAACATGGAAGATACATTACAATGTCACTTGCATTATGGTAAACATGTTTATGAATACCAACCTAGGATATATTTGACCACAGAAACAGAATATGTGAAACTAGGATTTGGTCATTTTGATTTGTCAGAGGTCACACAATTGCAAAGTGGGCTAAAGAAGCACCTAGTCTTCCCATCCCAAGCACAGTTGCTACACCAGGGCCGACTTTAACCCAGAAGCTAATAATGGGGTTTCAGGCAGAAAATAAGGCTAGATCTTTTCTCTCCTCCCCATGATCCTGTAGGACAGGATTTCTCAACCTCTGTACTATTGACATTTGGGGTGGGATAATTCTTTGGGGCTTGTGGGCTGTCCTGTGCACTGTACGATGTTTAGCAGCATTTCTGGCCTCCACCTGCTAGATGCCAGTAGCACCCCCACCCCCAACTGTGACAACCAAAAGAATGTCTCCAGACATAGCCAAATGTCCCCTGGGGGCAAAAATCACCCCCATTTGAAAATCACTACTCTTTGAGAAAGAAATTAAGATTTCCACTTTATAGTGGTTATAATTGGATTGGGGGGAAGTTGTCAATCCTATGGTTATAGCTCCAAATTGTAGTCTTAACAAAAACAACAATGACAATTGACACTAATATTTCTAAAGCCCTTCATATTTACCAAGAGCATTCTGTGCTTTAAGCCAAGGTTGCCAGGGCAAGCCTTGGGGAGGAGGGAGAAAAATCTGTGGCCAATTGTGAGTCACAACCCATGTGTGCCAGGTGGCATTCCCAGGGATTTGGGGGATAGAATAGATGTTCACCAGTGAGACTGCTTACCACTGTCTAAGAGTCTGGCAGGGCCCCGGGCAGTGACATCTTACATCACAATACTGGAGGAATCTTAATTGGGTCTTTATGAAGGCAAGGAAAAGTTAATTGGTGACGACTGAGTACACACCTTGTAACAAGAACATTATACAGTTTTGGACCCCCCTCTCTCTATTAAGCTAAGGAGCTATAATGCTCCTTAATGGAATATATCACTGTCTAGAACTTTCTCTGTGCCCCACACCTTCTGGGCAAGATTGTCTACTACTTGCTTCTAGGCAATATTAATATTAAGTCTTAATATTTGCTCATTCTCCTACAGAAAGTACAGGCTTCAAGTCTGGGATCTTTATCAACCAATATCTAGTGTGCTCTGCAAATGCTGTGCTAGATGCTGTATCTGAGACTCTCTGACTATGCTGTGTCCTCATTCTCTCTGTAAGATCAGTGATTTCCATCTTAAAATCTGTTTGTTGAGAAAAAAAAAAAATCACTTCCCTTCCCTCTTGGAGTGAGTTCTGATTGTCTACTGTAGACAAGCATGGATGTCATGACTCTGCCTGTGTAACACTATTAAGGTGCGCCTCTGAGTCTTGAGAGTTTTACGCCTAATAATATGGGGCAGGACAAACATCAAGCTTCAGTATGCTTGATGTGAATAGTACTGAATAGAAGTATTCTTGCTGGTCCCCTTCAATTCTAGGCGAGGGTGGTAGAATAGAAGCAAGGAAAAGCAAGTTATCTGTGTGGGCATTATCATTGAGAGGGAATTATGAATAATTAACAGGGGCATTGACCAATAACAATGACAAATCATAGTGTTTCAGAGGGAAATTAGTTTGGGATAAAACAAGGACCATGGGACATCAGTCTGTGATAGGTGCTATGGCCCTTTATGGAGTTTTCACATTTTAAGAAGTGCTTGGTGGTGCTACAGAATTTTAGAATGGAAAACATCGTCTTGCTGAGCTGAGCTGGACACTTGGTTGTCAATTCTGAAGAATCTGTAAGGCAGGACATTCTAATAGCTTCATTTTTGTTTTTTTTTTTTTTTTTTTTTTAGCTGCAGTTACCATCCTCAAATACAAAAGTAATTGATACTCAGCAATGAAAGCTGCATGTGCATGTAGGGGAGAGAAGGAGGTTTCACCAGACTGACAAATGGAGTCATGGTTCTGGGAAGGAGCAGGTAAGGAGGAATTTGACATTTACCCTAAGATCTTATGCAGTCTGGACTGTGATGTTCTTGTGGAGGGCACGTTGGCTTGTGAAACAAGTGCCATGAGGCCCTCAAGCCAAACTCTTCCAACTGAATAAATGAGCTAATTCTACGATACCAGCCAGTAGATGTCTCTCTCTGTTATATCCCTTCTGATCATTACCTTGGCCATCAGACAGTTCTGCTACATTACTTGACTGTACTGCCGAGAGAGAATTGACAACATTAAAACATCTCCATTGCTTTTATGAACTGGCTCTAGGAGACTACAGTCCACTTCCATTACCGAGATGTGTTGCGTGCCTAACCCAATGCTTTTGGAAGCAGGATAATTAGGCATTGCAGGCTGTGATTGTTTAAAGAAGATATACATTCAGGTTTCAGACATGGTGCCGTGAAATGTCTTATTGCATGAAGATTATGCTTACTTTCAAGAGTGCCCTGGGGTTATTTTGGTTGGGAGTTTGGAAAGGAGCAGGACTTTGTTTCTGGTGCACACTCTACAGTAAAGGCAATAGCAATGGCAATCTTTTAATTTCAAACACTCTTGAGAGGCAACTGGTGGGCGGTTCTGAGTAATTCCAGCCACATATCCCTCCGCCCAGAAAAATTAATCACACCTTGGTCATGTCCAAAAAATCAGCATGTTGCTTTTGAAACTTTAACCTTCTTGTTCTTAAAATGCCAGTGCCAACATACGTAGTTTGTATTTGCTGATACAAAGCATATTTGAAATCTGAAAGCATTTAAGAGTTAAATAATACAAGATCCAGTGTCTGGAATAAATTACTGAAAATGGTGGTGTAAAAGGAACACATTTACTACACCTTTTAAGGCCCCAAAGAGAGCCCTAAAGAGGAAAGATTCTTTTCAGATGAAATATATAGATGGCCCAGTGATGATAAAGGGGAAGAATATAAGGAGACCTTTTCCAGACCTTCCCAGGTGGTCGAGAGTAAAGGAAGGATGGCCGTTGACTCACGTGACACCACACCTGAGTAAAATCATGGGCAGTGTCCATTGAGGCCTCATCAATACTTCCAAAGAGTCTAGGATGGCCTTAGGAAGCAATTACTTATAAGGGGTAAACAGAAATGCTGTTTCCAGTAGACAGGTTTCAGGACCACATTTCTAGACGAAGATCTGCCTTCGTCTAGAAATCAGCTGGAATCTTGCTATGCAAAATGTGGACTATGGACCAACAACATCTGAAGCTTGTTAGAAATGCAGAATTTCGGGCTTCACTCCAGACCTACAGAATCAGAGTATACATTTTAACAAGACCCCCCGGGTAATTCATTTGCACGTTGAAGTTTGCAACCTCTTGGGCTCCACCACAAAAACTTCAAGGACAGAAGTCATGTTATTTAGTCATTATTTTATTCATTTATCTATTTATTGAGTATTTATTGAGTGTCTACTTTGTACTATGCATGAGACTAAGCCCTGGAGAGATGGTGCTGAATAGGACAGACAGGATTCCTGCCATGATCATATTTTATTTTTATATTTCTTTAACAAACAATCATATTATGCTCCTTACAAATCATCACTATTTGAAGTGCTTCATTTGCATTGACTCACTTAATCATCTAATAACTCTTGGTGGCAGGTATTATTACTTTTTACCTCTCAGAAATAAGGAAAGAGGTACAGAAAGGTTTAGAAACTTTTCCAAGGTCACACAGCTTGGAGGTAACACAGCCAGGATTTGAATTCAGAGAGTCTGGCTACAGAGTCCAGATGCTTAACCACTAAGTTATGCCACCAAAAAAAAATCAACTATTTATAATCTATGGTTTTGCTGTTAAGGAAATAAACATAATGCTGTGGAAAATAAGTCAGTACCCTTAGCTAGTCTGGTCATGGAAGGTATTTGTGAGATGACATTTAAACTGAGACGTGCACGGGGGGAAAGGACCATTGTCATGTGAAGGGACATGGAGAGCAAATTATAAGCAGAAAGAACAGCAAGTGCAAGGCATCTGAAGTCAAAGAATGTTGTTCTTTCTTAGAACCACCTAAGCCTGGAGCATGCAGATGGTGGAGAAAGAGATGGTAGGTGAGGCTGGGGAGGTCAGAAGGGCAGATGACATGAGGAGGTGAGCAGTATAGAAGATGCAGAGCCTTGGAGGATAGGGGAAGGGGTTCAGGTCCTATTCCCATGTCCCAGGAAGCCAATAAGAGTTTATGCAGGGAAGTGAGGCAATCTGACTGCTGATTTGACTGCTGAGAGGAGAGTAGATTGTAGAGTGCAAAAGTAGAAGCAGCAGAACCCAGCCAGAGTTGATCTGAGTGGTCCAGTTGAGAGATGTGTGGGGCTTTCACCACAGCAGTGGTACAGGGATGAAGAGGAGAGCACAGACTCAAGACCTGATGTGGAGGCAGGACCAACAGGAATGATTCTTTAGATGTGCATGTACACATGCTATGTGTGTCAAAGTGCATATCTTTCTGAGGGGCAGTGTTGGCAAAAGGGAGGAGTTGGATTATATGAGGGCTTCCAATTTCAGCACGTTGGGTACACGGTGCTGCTATTTACTGAGAGAGAAAAAAGTGTAGATGAGTAGGTTGGCATGGGTGGGAATCATGTTTTCCTATTAGGATATATTACTAATAGGATATATATTTGAGATTCTTACTTCCAAGTGGAGGTGTCAGAGAAGCAACCATGGATTTCCATCATTTAGTTCTGGATCTGAAATAGAGTCAGCTCTTAGTCAGTATTTGTTGAATGAATTTCAGTGAAGAAGACCTCCTGGTGTGAAAAAATACAGAATTCTGTAGCAGTTTACTATTGCCTGAAGGTTACTCTAGCAGAGATCAAAGCTTTACTTTGTAGAGTTGGGAATGACATAAAAATGTAAACAACAATCACAACAACAAGCCAACAAACCACAGATTATGAGAGTTAAT
The DNA here is from genome assembly GCF_000001405.40 of Homo sapiens. Classification (NCBI taxonomy): domain Eukaryota; kingdom Metazoa; phylum Chordata; class Mammalia; order Primates; family Hominidae; genus Homo; species Homo sapiens. Next base: position 67,681,005 of record NC_000002.12, on the reverse strand, counting down.
ACATTAACTTAATTTACATGACGGAATACATGAAAGACACCAGGGCCATCTTGAAAGTAGATTTCACCAGGTAAACATTAGGCATTGGAAGAGAAGATGGTATGAAGGTATAAGTGCCTTGCAAGCATATTCTATTTAATAAAGTATCTGCAGTGGCTAGCACAAGTGCTCATTGAATGCTATTTCAAATAAGATATCCAAGATGAATTTTGCCCAAGGCCAATGCAGTTTAATTACAGTGTATTTTGTGACAACAAATTCGCTAGAGAATTTGAATTGTCTGAAAATCATTTACCTTCTCATAGACTCATCATACCACTCCATACTTTGTTGTCCTCTTAGCTTTATCTATTCAATGATTTCATACATATTAGGATCACAGAATTACTTGCATTATACTGAGGTGTGCAGAAAAAGTAGTTTCCATGTTTTCTGAATTTGTTCTGATATCCTTTTGTATTCTACCTGATTGGTGTAATGAAAACAACCACCACCACTGCCCTAGTTTTAATGCAGTCTGGTTCAAAACTTAGTCCAGTTGAGTAACCTGTCTCTTTGAAGTATTATTTCTTTCTTCTCTACACCTCTGCCCTCTCTTCGGATGGTGTCTGAGATGGGGAGAAAGATCTTCACAGATCCAGAAAGAAAAGGTCTCCCCATGATTCTCCCTGAGTGGGTGCTGCCTGGCATCACTGGAATCTGCTCTAGCTGGCCGCCTTCTCTAGACATTCTGCAGCTGATAAATTTGTGATAGGTTTCACAGCTCTGCCATGGTCAAGAGCTTTCCCTCCATTGTCTGGCCTCCTTTTGATCCTTACTGACTCTGTAGATCCCTCTGAGTCTCTGTAAGTCCTCTAAAGGGTTTCTGGAGAAGGCTGTGGGGTTATCCTGTCTCCAGGAAGGCCCTGTGGCTCTCTATTCAGAGTCTATGACACATGGGAACTGAAGGCTACTTAGAAGTCCTTCTCTCAACCTGACCATGGCACTGTGTCTTCCTAACTCTGTTGGTCACCTTCCTCTCTTCAGATTTAACTTATCACCTTGGAGTACGGAGTTCTAAGCACACACATGACTGCCTACTGCCCTGTCTCTATGTCCTTTCTTCTTCAGACCTCCAAGGGGAAGGAGAGGATTTTTCCTTGTTATATTCTCCTTTTTCACAAGTAGCACCTGTCCTCTCTGTTTCAATGAAGCTGAAATGCAGAAGAGGTATGAGGTACAAGGAAACATGTTGGAAAGTATTTCAAAAATGTTATACTGGTTATACATATTTGAAGTCTGTGAATGCAGATGAGAGGCCTGAGGTAGTATAAAATAAGGCCATTGAAAGTCTTGAGACATTCTTGATGACCAAATGCATTCATCCAGAAGAAAACTGGCCCCTGGAGGAAGACTATCACATCTCTTTGTTCTTTTGTTGCTATATTGAGTCTTCACTGGCAAATAAAAGTCTCACTTCTCCAGCATCCTAGAGCAGAGTGCCTAAGAAAATGAAATTGATTCAATTGAGCAAGTACTTATGGAGCTTACTGTGTATTCTTTGCTTAGTGCTGTGGAGGAGAAAAAAGGTAAAAGGTAAGTATCCTACCCACAAAGAGGCTACAAACTTCTTTGGGAGATAGGACACATACCTATGAAGCAGTTGACTGAAGAGACCAGGTAGGGTAGTATTATTGGAACAAGTGGCTTGTCATAGACAGTAATGCTAGAAGAAATGAGGAATGGGAGATCACTCTGAGCTTTGAGATCTCTAGAAATAATAGTCCATCCATGAGGCATTAAGGATGACTCTGTTAAAGACAAGCACAGAGGTCTGGAAGATAGGGTGTGGAAGATAGGGAAGATGGAGGAGCAACAAGAACCAAGACTTGAAAGTATGACTTTACTGTCCAGTATGGTAGCCACTAGTCAAGGGTGGTTACTGAGCACTTAAAATAGGGCTAGACCAATTTAAGGTGTCCTGTAACCATAAAATACATGCCACATTTTGCAGTCTTAGTATGAAAAAAAATGTAACATGTCTCATTAATAATTTATAAATATTGGTAATGTGTTGAAATGACACTATTTGGATATATTGGATTAAAGCATATTTATTAAAATTAAAATTTCCTTTTTTATTATTTTTAAAATGTGACTTCTAGAAAATGTACAATTACATTTGTGGCTTGCATTACATTTCTAATGGACAGCACTGGGAGAAAAAAAGATGTCAAAGGCATTGCCTACTGAATGGGTCTGTGTCACCTAGGAGGTTCCTGCTTCTGAAGAAGAAGAATCCTTTTTATGTAAACAAGAAGATAAAACAATAACAAAAAGAAACTTCTAACACTTCTATGGGAAAGTAATTGTTCATTCAAAGCAAACAAAAATTCAGTAATATTTTTAAATGAATCTATATTATAATAACCCTCTAGCAATTTTGTACACATTAAAAAATGACAGATAAGACATTACCTGTAAGACCACCTGGGTGTGTAAGAATCAGAATCTGCAGCCCCTTGCATTAACTCTGAGGTCCCCTTGGAGTCTGCAGCTATAACCCTGGAGCTATAGCTGGGTGGGAATGGTGAGGCATTCAGAAAGAGAAATCTGGCTGTATTGGGTAGAGCCTTGGGCATCATGTATACGAATTGGGACTTTATTCCCTAGGCAGTAAGGAATCTTAAATACCCACACACTCTTTCACCCTCTCCTTTGCTTGTCTACCCAGTGTAGCTTTTTGAGGTGCTCTTGTCTTGGTGCTGAATTTTGTTCTTTCTGCAGCTTGGATATCACTGTAGGTGCCCATGCCCTCTGAGGGAAGAAATTGAGTGCAATTCTAAGAGATGGGTTCGAGCCTTTCTGGGCATCCTCAAACCTCCTTTAGAATTGCTTTCTAGGCCAGGCACAGTGGCTTATGCCTGTAATCCCAGCACTTTGGGAGGTCGAGGCGGGCGGATCATGAGGTCAAGTGATCGAGACCATCCTGGCCAACATGGTGAAACCCCACCTCTACTAAAAATACAAAAATTAGCAGAGTATGGTGGGGCATGCCTGTAGTCCCAGATACTCGGGAGGCTGAGGCAGGAGAATCACTTGAACCCAGGAGGCAGAGGTTGCTGTGAGCTGAGATTGTGCCACTGCACTCCAGACTGGCAACAGAGTGAGACTCCATTTCAAACAAACAAACAAACAAAAAGAATCACTGTGTAGTATCTGGTCAAGTCTGCCAGTTGACGCCTTTTTGCAGGGTTGGGTGACAGCTATAGAACTGGTATTATTATGTGGCCAGAGACTCCACTGGCCTCTTGTTTTCTAAGTCTCTAAATATCTTAAAATCCCTTCCCCAACTTCTGTTGAATGCCTGAAATCTGTTCTCAATGCCCAGCCCTTTCTGGAAGAATCAAAGCATCTCACTTACCTGTCAGATAAAAGATATTCATGACCATTGTCCAAAACCTGCTGCTCTTGGGACTGCTACCTGGGAAACAGGTCTGCATGGGGCCATCCTCACAGGAGCAAAAGATGTGCCACCTCCAGATGTCTTCTGAGGTTGGTGATAATTACAGTCAATGAGGTCCATACCAGAGGGGTTAAGAGGAGACGTGATAAACTTGGGTAACCTTGCTACTGTTTGGGACATAGAGCTTTTATTTATTGGATTCCTCAAGCGTTTCTCAGGAGATTTTGTCGTGTAAGTCACGCTGACAGATTTATCCTGGGCTCCTGTCATCGAAAGCTGTTTTCTCACTAAGCAGGTGGAAAAAGCTGAGGAAGGTAACTGCCGGCTGGGAGGTCATTTGTGCATTGGTGCCATGAAGTGGACATATATGTATTCTGCAAAGCCTTAGCTATCGCTTCTACTTTGTCCTAGATCTTTCCTTTGTGACAGTAGTTGCTGTTGGCATTCCCACATTATTGTCTGCAGCGGTAATTAGAGACATAGGCCTCACCCATACAGCATACATAGACTATCAGGATTCCTCTCACACATTGGGTGGTGAGGAAAGAGGGTCCAGTTACATCCATTAAAAAAGGCCAGGCAAAATCCTACAATATAAAGCTTCCAGACAGCATTTCCAGAAACACTTTCAAATTTGCAGACACACCATCACCAACCACCACCATGGACAAGGGAAAGATTCCTATTTGACCTCTGTTCAACTCTGGTGGTGGAGGTTTTGTGGGGAGGAAGTAAAGAGATGAAGAAAATAAAAGACGAAATGGTAGAAAGATCATAGCATTTTAGCCTAGAGAGATCTTAAAGGATTAGGGTCCAGTGCTTTTCAGTCTTTCTTTTACCATAAAATTCTTTGTTCAAACGAAATTGCTATTGTTAACATTTGTTTAGCTCATACTGTAAATCAGCAACTGAGCTCAAAGTTTTACACATAAGTCTTCACAAAAACCCTAGGAGGTAGGTAGAGCTATTGTTTTCATTTTCCAGACAAGGGAATTGAGGCACGGAGGAGCTTTAAAAGCTTGCCTGAGGTAATACCCTAAGAAGTGGTGGAGCTGAGATTGGAGCCCTGGCAGCTAGTGTTAGAGCTGGTGTCATGAGCCAGACATGATGGGGATGTCCTCCAGAGATGTGATTTTCACTTCAGTGCTTTACTGGTGGAACCAACCAATGAACAGAAAATTAGAGGGCTGCTCTGGTTAAGGCTGGAGTGTGCTGTGGCTCAGGCCTGATCCATGCATCTCCACTCCCTCACCCCAGGGGAGTTAAGGAGAGTTAAGGGGAGTCAAGCGACTTCTGATCTAGGAGTGTGCTCGCATGTTCTTGGTTGATGAAGCTGAGAAGCTGTTTTTGGAAGGTGCTGACCCTCAAGCCTAGCTATCTGGAGTCTCAGGTCACTGCCAACAAACCAAACTGTACCTGACTGTACCTGAAATCCTCTTGTACCAATTTCTCAGAGCTAATAATGATCAAGTAGGCCAAGCCAAAAGAATAACTAGAATGTTTTATAGAAACAGAATTATAGTCGACCTCGGAAATGATACCAACCCTTCCAAGACCCTGCCAACAGTGGATGCAGCAAGAGTTTATGTCAAAGCCTGCGTCTCCCATAATGGTGCCCACTGAACGCTTGAGGCTCCATTCTCAGAATTTCTTACACAGTCCCAGGTGTTACCAGGCGTGTATTCTTCAAGGTCTCACCTACTGTGTTCTTCCTGCCCTGCTGACACTTTAAACTCTGGTTCAGTTGCTTCGGTGCGCAAAGAGCTCTTCCAGAAGACCTACTTTTTAACAGGACATTTACTTTCGATTTCCTTCTCTTCTTACTCAGCTTTCTCCTTCTCAAAGCAAAGGACTTGATTGTTTTGTATTCGAACAATCTGCCCTGAGGTTAAAAAGGTATTTACTTAATCAGTTGCCCACGATGCATGTCCAAAGAGTAATGCTTCAGCATCTCTTTTCTGGTTCCAGGAGGGAGGTGAAAGGGCCCTTCAGAATAAGAAGGGTGTGGGTAAGATCGGGAAAGATACTTAGGAAAAAGTTTGATTCTCTTTTGTATCTCCATGCTGTACTCCCCAATATGAATGCTGTCTTACCTAAGGCCAGATCTGAGAATACAGGAGTAAAGACTAAATGGTTATATGTCTTTGAAAGGAAAAATTAATTTTTTTGAACTTTCAAAAGTTCTTTTTTGTGACTAGGGTGGGCTTTCTTGTAACTAGGGTGACCTGCGAAGTTGTACAGGGCACCAAGCCCGGAGGACTCCTCACTTGGTTTAATGCTCTGCTGTCACCATCTTGAAATTCTTAATAATTTTAGAACATGGGGTTCTGCATTTGCCTTTTGCATTGGGTCCTGCAAATCACGTAGCTGGTCCAGCCTGCAAAGCAGTTTGGGATACATGTGTTTGTTTGTAGTGAAAGTGGGTTGGAAGAATTACGTTTGTATGGGTGTTATGACCACTCTGGCTACCAGCCTTGTAATAAAAAACTGTTCTGGCATAAAAATATATGTTTAATTCAGAGTTAAAAAGAACTATACTATATGGGAAGCATGTGGTTACGCTGAATTTGGTATCTCACCTTTATAAGTTAAAAGACTAGTTCCTTCTCAGTGCCTTGTGCTATTTTTGACTTACAAATCCTGACACTCCAGGGTATGACCTTTTCTAACCAACGCTTGCCTTGCTGGCAGTGAGGTTACCATGGGTCAGGGCTGAGCTGCTTCATCTGTCATTTTCCCGTTGGGTACAGAATGAGCCTTGATAATTAAGTGAGTCAGGAGTTTCAGTGTGGTTTTATCATCCTTCTAGTTGATAATATTTAAAATAAATGATCAGATTATTCTAATTTATTTCAGGTCATTGCGTTCCAAAGACCCAGTGTTATTTTTCAAGGCAGATGTTGAAAAATGCCAACATCATAAAAAATTAGTTTATTCACATAATCTTTAGTAAAGTCACAATAAAATATATATTGAGTTTTTCAAAGAAGATATCAGGAAGTAAATGTTTCATAATATAATTATTAGCAAGATTATAAATATCAGATTTCAGATAGTGTAATGGAGAAAAATAATAAAATAAGAGAAAAGCATGAGTAGCTAAATTTTTTAAAAAGGATAATATAATCCCTAATCTGATTTGTCAAGGAATGTCGGACATTAGAAGTTGACTTTGTTCTATAATTTAAAGTGAGGCAAGGGCCAATTAGGCCCTGCCATCTGGTCCCATAGCTATTGTTGTTTGTAAGTATGTTCTGAGCACTGTGCATGGTGGGTCATTTTGACCTGTCATGTGCCCTCTCAGCCATCTTAGAGAAGATAAAAAACTGACTCTCATTTTGGGAGATTGTGCAATGTGCTCAGGGGTCCTATGGTTTCTTCAGTGTGGACATCAAAAACTCAAGTATCTACAGGGGCCAAGCAGGCTACCAAAATGGTTGGTGCCCCTGGGTGGGGACTGGGTTGAACTGGAGAGCCATGTCCAGTCTCAAGTGAGCAGCACGTTCGGTAACTGACATTAGCTGAGCAGAGCAAATATGGTTGTCAGAGGTTCTGATTTTTCAACAGTTCTGATTTCTCTTCACTGGAAGATTTGAAAGGCTATCTAGTGAATCAATATCTGAAAATTCGGCTGTCCAAAAACATCTGTCACCATGGATTGCCCATACCCTGCGTAAGTGCACTGCTGTGGGCTGGGGCATATTGATCAAGGAAGAGGGAAGGTTATTTTGAGGGCTCACATTATTTTCTTAAACTAGAGGAAACCAATTCCTTTTATATTCAATTACAGGGCAATCCTTTCTCTTGTTTTAATTTAGTTGACACTGGTCTCATTTGATTCCTTCTTTATGGACTCCATCTTCCTAACTACAAAATAGGAGTGAAAACCTCCTGATTTTTACTTCAGATTGAATATTAGAAAATATAATAAATAGATATATATTTCTGGCTGAGAAGTGTGCAATGAACAAGACCACCTAGAGAAGAGAAGAAAACTCTTTTGCTATTAATTGACTTAATGGACATGAAAAATGTGCATTTCATTCTGACGTGGTTTATGGAATGGGCATATCCTGATGGGGAAATGGCCTAAGTGACCGCACCTTCCCTCATTTTCTTTCAATCCTGAAATTTTGTGAAGTCAAATGATTGATTTTTTTTTAAGGATTTATGGGCTATTTTCCTTATTGATGAGCTAGTTAGACCAAGCTAAGAATTTCTAATCAGATTAGTAAATAAAATATCTTTCAAAGCCATTCTCACTTATCTGTGTATGGAATAATAATCATTCCTGTGTAGAATTTATAGTTTGAGCTATTAAATTTAATGGTGTCAAATAACTAGAATATTAGAGTAGCTTGTGTCTTCCACTAGCAAGTTTCATAGATTGCCCATCTCTCTTTTTTCCTAAAGGAGAACCGAAATTGGTTTATTTTGCTAGAAATGTATATATGTGTGTGATGTGTGTATGTGCTGTGTGTGTGTGTGTGTGTGTGCGCTGTGGCAGTATGTGTATATGCCATGTGTCTGAGTGTGTATTTGTATGTGCTGTATGTGTGTGGTGTGGGAGTATGTGTATATGTATGTGAGGTGGTGTGTGTAGCATGTATGTGTGCTGTGTGTGGGTGTATATGTATGTGATTGTGTGTGCATGTGCTTTATATGTGTTTTGTGGGGGTATGCATGTATGTATGTGAAGTGGTGTGTGTGTAGTGTGTGTGCTGTGTGTGGTGTGGGTATATGTGCTGTATGTGTGCTGTGGGGGTGTGTGTATGTATGTGATGTGTGCGTGTAGTGTGTGTGGTGTGTGTGTGTATGTGAGGTTGTGTGTGTAGTGTGTGTGTGGTGTGTGTGTGTATGTGTTGTGTATGTATGTGATATGCTATGTGTGTAACATGTGTGGTATGTGTACATACTGCATGTGCTGTATGTGCATGTATGTATGTGAGGTGGTGTGTGTGTATGCACTGTGTGTGTGCTGTGTGTGTGTATGTATGTGAGGTGGTATGTGTATGGTGTGTGTATGCTGTGTGTGTAGTGTGGGTGTGTGTGTATGTATGCGAGGTGGTGTGTGTAGTGTGTATGCTGTGTGTGGTGTGGGTGTGTGTAGTGTGGGTGTGTGTATGCGAGGTGGTGTGTGTAGTGTGTGTATGCCGTGTGTGTGGTGTGTATAGTGTATGGTGTATAGTGTATGGTGGTGTGTTTGTATGTGCTGTGTGTGTGTGCTGTGTGTAGTGTATGTGCTGTGTGTGTGTTGTGGTTGTGTGTGTATGTGAGGTAGTGTGTGTGTGGTGGGTATGTGTATGTGAGGTGGTGTGTGTATGTGGTGTGGATGTGTGGTGTGTGTAGTGTTCATATGTGGTGTATGTGCAGTGTGTATCGTGTGTATGTGCTGTGTGTGTGTGGTGTGTGTGTATGTGCTGTGTGTGTATTGTGTGTGTGTATGTGAGGTGGTCTGTGTGGTGTGTGTAATGTGTGTATGTGCTGTGTGTGTGTGAATATGAGGTGGGTGTGTGGTGTGTGTACTGTGTTCCTATGTGCGATGTGTGCAGTGTGTGTTGTATGTGCTGTGTGTGTGTGGCATGTGTGTATGTGCTGTGTGTGTATTGTGTGTGTGGTGTGTATCTATGTGTCCCTCCCTAAAGAGCCACTTTTGGTGTTCACAGGCTTAGTGCTGTGGCCCCAGGTCCCTAAAGGACTCTGGGCTTCAAGGATGCTGCGCTCCCTCTTCTTCCTGGCTTGCTGTTTTGGTTTCATGCCCTGTCTTCTCCTCTATCTCACCAGCTTGGTTCCTTGTCTCCCAGGATATTCTTCAAAGCCAAGTGCAAATCTGCTAATGATTTGCTTCTTTCTCTCTAGCTTTCCCTTTCAACCCTGCGTTCTGAACCATGACGGGCTTCTTCCCACCACATTTCTCATTTCCTCTCCTCGGCTGCTTTCTTCTACGCTCTATACCTCAGATCTTTTCTTCACTTCTCACAATTAAGTTTACTCCTTCCTTCAACCCCACCGATTTAGATAATTTTCTGATTCTTAGATTTTTTTCCTTGTTCCCAGTGAGTTTTTCTTTTTATTCAGACCCATGTTCTTGCTCTTCTAGGCCCTGCTGTCTCCACTGAGAAATTAACTCACAATTCCTCTCTCTTCCTTTTCTTCCTGCTCTTTGAGTCTCTCCTCTTCTTTCTTCCAGCCTTCTTCCTCTCTCAGCTTTTTCAAAAACCATTTAAGGCAGCTTGCAAAGGTGTTTACAATACAGTAAAAGAAAGGAAGAAATGTAAAAGTGAGGCACAAAGGGAATGTATATGACGTGAGTAAGTGAGGTAAGTACACCAACTCAATCCATGAGATGGATTCCACAGAGTCTCCCTTCTTTTTCCTCCTGTTTGCCTTGGTTAATTTTCTTCCCTGGAAGCATGGCAGAGAAGGCCTCCCAGAGCTCAAAGGTCAGAAGACACAGTGATCACTTAGCCACCAGTTTGTTGGTGCCACAGCTAAAGGACAGGATGAGAACAACTGGCCTTTGAGAGTGTACAAATACCAGTCATTTTATTACTGACACATAGCCCTTACTGACAACTGCTTGTCAAAGGGAAATGCCAGTCGTGAAGAATGAGCTGAGTGTCACCCCTCATCTGCATTTAGGTCTCATCACATGGTAACCCAAGAGTGGCTCGTGCATCATCCGCAATTGATATCATGTCACCTCTGCAGGACCGCGCCTGCCTTTCCCTTTCTAGTTTTGCAACAGCTTCGTGAGAAGGCTGCTGAGATCCCTTCCATCATGTCCCTTCAGGCTCAGGGCAGATGCCATTTCTGCCCCTGGAGTTTTCTGAGGCTTGGGAACATTGCAATGTCTTGATGGCTGGCTCTGCTATTGATCTTGATTTCCTTAATCATTTCTCCATCCTCCTTCTGAAAATTTATGCCTGTTTCTGGCTTCTATACCCCCTCCCTTATCCCCATCCTTTGTGAACACTCAGGCAGGGAATTCATTTAGTTTTTTTTTTTTTTTCCTCTTCTGGCAATAAATTTTCCTGTGACCTCTTGTTTCTTATCTACTTAAAAAGTCTTATTTATTTCAACCTCTGATGCAATTTATCTTGTGTTCGTTCTCTACCTTTGCCCGTCTTACTATTTTTTTTTTACACCATCTTGAATTTCTCTGTAATAGTAGAAGCCCTTCTTGACCTAATATACCTGGTGGAGATGCCCTTCCTTGCCTCTGACCAATCTTTCCACCATCGACTTCCTCTGCCCTCATCTCCTCCCTCTCCTGTGCCTTTGGTATTTATTACCGTACCTTCCCTATTTGCTGGTAATCACTTACCTTGCTTTTCTATTTTTTCTTCTCCCTCCCGTCCTATTGCTTTATTTCACTGTCACTCTTGCCATAATTTTATTTTTTTTTTTAGCCAACTAAAACTATTCTGACGAGATGATTTGCTGCTGCTACTACCCTAGGCCCAGTTATGACACAGAAATCAGGCCCACCCATCCCTTCCTCCCTTCTCCTTGTAGAAAACAGTCAAGTTCATTCAAGTTCCTATCTGTCGTGTAAGAAATCACCCTCCTACCATATGGGATAACTTATGGCTGCAAATAAAAATTTCCCAGTGTTTGGCTGCTCACGAGTTTTCACTTCCCCAGCACAGCTTGGGTAAGCCCCAAGATGTTAAAATTCCTAGGGAGTGCGTATTTTCATGGAAATCCACTTTCTGCTTCTAGAATATTTCTTCTACTCATAGAGACTTAACTTTTCAATAACGTTATAGAATGGCACATGTTTTCTCTTCCACCCCTACTCTGACCCCTGCTTCTCCTTCTTTTTTAAGAAAGGCAGTTTTGAGTTCTCAACTTCATTTGTTTTCTTCGGTTCATGGAATAGAGGAATTTTTCTGTATAAATAAGAGCTTTAACCTCTTTCTCACTCTAACTTATAAATAACAGCTCACATTAGAATTAAAAGGCCCATTTTATTTAAGTTGACTCTGTTTCTAGGGATTTGAGTGATTGTGAGTAGGGCTACTTTCTACACAGTTTACGAAGGTAATGCCTGGCATTGCCCCAGACACAGCCACACGTGTAAAAAGCCAGGGCTTAGGAAGCTGTGGGTGCCATCTGGGGTCATATAGATAACCTGATTTTCTTCCGGAGATGTTATGGAACTGCTTTGAAATAACAGGCACTAGATAGACTTTTGTGATTTATGAATTATCCAGATAACCTCTATGATTCATTCCTCATTCCAAATTCTTTCAGAAGATAGACAGGTCTAACCATGTACTCACTTTGACCTAGCCCATGTCTCCACAGTTTGGTAGAACTAATTTTTCCAAGGACATAGTCCACACCCATTTATTAAGTCTTGACATTATTACTGTTGACTTTTATTTAAGAGATTTTCTGAATGGTGATTTCCTATGTAGTAGTTAAAGCATCCATGGCTTGTGGAAGGGAGTCAGTGGGCCTGGGTTATACCCTCAGTTCCACTCCTGGGTCACTCTAGAGTAAATGACTTAATCCTTGGTGTCTAATTCCGTGCAAGTGAAATAACATGGCCTTGGAAAGCAATAAAAAGGAAGAGCAGGGAATGGGTCAATGCTATTAGTTAAGTAGATTTACATTTATGTTAAAAAATTTAAAACCTTGACTGGTAGATTTCCAGTTGCCACTTATTTGAAAGCTGTGCTCTAAAGTTTTCTGGGGTTTGCAGCCTATGGTCATTAGGTTGATAGCTCTTACCTGTCTTAGAGTCTTACAGAGTGTTCTAGAAGCCAGGGGCTTTTAAATTTTTTGATGACATCACTTCCATTTTTTTCTGTGTCTCAATTACAAACCTTCAAAATGATCACTGTTGTAATACAATGCTGAATGATCTATTATCCTTTAAAGGATACCTTGATGATACACAATGCTGTGACATTACTTTCAATGCTTGGATCATCTTTTAAATGGTGCCTATGTGTAGCACATTGTCAGGGATATGAGGAAATTTTCCATTTCCTTCCCCAAGAAAATCACTGAACAACTCTTCCATGTTTGTAGTAGTTCATGATTATTATTATTATCATTATTTTGCAGGAAAATATTTTATTCCACAATTAAACATAGGCTTGCTATGAATATATCCCTAGGAGAAGTACCATAGATTTAAATTTAGACCAAGGCTTAAGTGACTGGTACTGGATTCTTGAGGGCAGATTTTGGATGTGGCTGTGTGGTGGAGAAACACCCTGGTTTCCTGGAAGGTGGAAGACAGACCTAGAGAAAAGGCAATGCTAAACACAGAAAGAGGACCTTCAGGAGCTGAGAGAGCTGAAAACAGATTCTTTCACCCTTCCTAGCTGGCCTCTGCCCTTGCCAAGATGTTGTTCTGAACGTCAAGCCTTCCTTGGTGTGAAATACCCTTCTCTCTCATCCAAAACCAGAGGAACGAAGCCAGCCCTGAGGCCAGGATTAAGAAGGAAGATTGTGAGGGGACACCTTTCCCTCCAGGGATGATGGCACTGACTATGCCCACTAAACTATTGGATTCCAGTGCTAAGCAGTTACAAGAAGTTAAAAGAAATAGTGACATGGATTAACAGTCTTGGATGGGGTACTAAAAACTAAAACAATTCATTGCAAAGTTCAGTGTGAGAAGGAATGAAGTATTATGTGGGGAAGGGATTGCAAATGCAGTTTCCTATATTGATGTTCTGGTTATGTTTTATAATTTGCTCATATTAGGATGGAGCAGGGAAAGAAACCCAAACCAGATGAAACTGAGATAAACACACATAATGGAAAAAGCTCTGACCCAACCACCAGGAGATTGGATTATTAGCCTTTCTCAATCACAAGCAGTTTTGTGGGTTTGGGGGCAAGTCACTTCACCTCCCCAAGCCTTCACCTTCTCATGTGAAAAGAATTACAGCAGAGCCTAGATTGCTTATTGTAGAAAGCTGATTTGAGATAAAATATGTAAAAGCATTTTGTAAACTGGAAAGTACTATTTACATATCAGGGTTTATTATTCTTTCTTAATCCTGCCAATCCACTGTCCTGTCCACCAAAAGAACAGAAAAATGTTGGCACAGGACAATTTTCACAGTTTGGAAGGAGGAGTAAGTTGTTGCCTTTGCACCCTTCACTGCTAACATCTGTCACCCCCCAGCTCTGACAGCTGCTTCCAAGTTTCCTTTATGAAAGAAACAAAACAAGATTGGGTCGGCCCCCAATTCCTACTCTACCATGCTCTGAATCTTATTAAAAAATTAACATCTCTTTTTTTTCCACATATGCTTGGAAAGAGGCCATGAAAGAAAGCTCTTGGCCATCTTTTTATCCTATTTTTCATCTGGTTTGGGTTCCTTTCCCTCCCCTAACCTGCTATTAGCAAATCATAAAAAATAACCAGAGCATCAATATAGGAAGCTGCATTTGCAATCCCTTCCCCACGTAATGCTTCATTCCTTCTCACACTAAACTGTGCAATGAACTGTTTCATTTCTCAGTACCCAATCCAAGGAAATTTCTCATTCAGTAATATTAATAATAATATATTTTTAAACCTTGACTTAAAATTACAGTAAGTGCCAAGACGCTCTAGTTGCTATTTTGTTGAAATAATATCAGGTTTCCTGTGATGCTTTACATAGCTGTCATCTCTGTGATATAATATGCCCATGATTTATTAACCTACTAAAAGTGCTGTCATTGACTTGTCATAATAAACTTTTCTTAAAATATTAAAGCCTAGAACGTTGAGCAATAGCTCAAACCAGCACAGAGGCTCTATCTGGTTGTCGATTTGGACTTGGTGGCCTGAAGTTTGCCTTTTACATCTTGGAAAGAGAAGCCCTGCCTTGGCCCCTTCCCCTTCTTACTCTCCCTCCCTCTGGACTCTTTGTCACCAAACAGTCTGGCAGAGAGCAGGGGACGGCATGTGAGGAACTCTGAACATGAAGGATGACCTCAAGCTTCAGCCCGAGGGTCAGTTCTGTGACTCTAAAGGCTTTCTGGCCTCTGTAGAGAGGAATCTAAACACAGAGATCCTCACCCAATGTGCCTTTGTGAACAGGCATTGCATCCACTTCCTTGTGGGGAGTGGTGAGGGGAGGGAGTGTTGATACTTTTTAGAAAGAGAAAAATGTCTGACCCTGGAATCTGAGTTTATTTTTCTTGGATTTGAAAGCAGGAAGGAATTTTGAATCGGGGAGTAGGCAGACACAATGGAGACACATGGAAGACCTGCAGTCAAGGCTCTGTCTCTCTTCTGGGGACCTGTACCTCTGGCCTTGCCACGTGTGTTGGCTGATCCCCTTGACTCTGGTACTGAAGGGGGATGATCCTGGTGACCTGACCACTGTTCATTAAAATGTTCATACCCAGCCAGGCACGGTGGCTCATGCTCATAATCTCAGCACTTTGGGAGGCCGAGGCGGGTGGATCACGAGGTCAGGAGATTGAGACCATCCTGGCTGACACGGTGAAACTCCATCTCTACTAAAAATACAAAAAATTAGCCGGGTGGTGGCGGGCGCCTGTAGTCCCAGCTACTCGGGAGGCTGAGGCAGCAGAAAGGCATGAACCTGGGAGGCAGAGGTTGCAGTGAGCCTAGATTGTGCCACTGCACTCCAGCCTGGGTGAAAGAGTGAGACTCCGTCTCAAAAAAAAAAAAAAAAAAGTTCATACCCTGGTGCTCATCTCCCCAGGTTTGGCAGACTGTTCCGACAAGCTTGTGAGATTCCCCCAAAATGATTCACGTGTATTTCAATTAGAGATTTGGGAGGCCTTGCTAGCTAACTTATTTATCATGAAATTAGAGCAATGAAAAAAGGTGCAAGTCTTAGATTCATAAAATCTAGGAGTGAGGTAAAGTTGGAAGGTAAGAGAAAGAGGGAGATATTGAGAGGGGAGAGGGAAAGGTAAAGAGAATTTAAGATATGTAATACACATCTTTGTACTTCAATTACACTTTAAAGTCATTTTGTCAAGTTAGAAGCATAAATATATAAGTATATTTAAATATATGGAGAATTTTTAATGATCACAAAATGATCATGTTTGGTTCATCTGGAGATGTGAAGGCCCAATCAAGACTCCAACAAAAAATGAGCATGTCTGGAAGAAAGTATGTCCAACCCAAACTTGCCTACTGACAAGTAAAAGGTCAAGGTTTGGAGTACGAGACATGAAATGTATGTACTGTAATTTCAGAAAACTAAAAATGCACTTGAGAAATACTTCTGATTTTTTTGTTATGATTTTACATTTATAGGATGATTACAAAAGGTACAAAAATTAACTTTCCTCATTCAGCTAGCTCTTTCACAACAAATGCTTGGTGTTGTCAGTGCCAATGGATCAAAATTGTCGAGGGTAGGTTCAGTTATTTTCATCCAGATTGGGATCCTAAGAAATCAGTCACTAAACCAATATCATAGAATTGCTCAGAGAATGAGATTAAAAAAGTATTTGGGGGAGAAGGGGATTTTAAATGACTCTATAAATATAACATTTGCAGTCACTATTTCTTAAAGTATGCTAGACATGGTTACCTTACCACTAATCTAGACCTTAAGCCCTTAGAGAATAGGCATGATTGACATCCGGCAGTCAGTATGATGACTGAGTTGAGGTGATGTACTAGGCACTGGGAGGAGACTTTCATTTTTCCTTTCTGTGCAGCAAATATTTATTGAGCCTGTATTATCCTCTTGGTCCTCTGTTAAACACAACCAACATAGCAGTAAACAAATCTTAAGTGTCTTCATAGCATTTACATTCTAGCAGAAAGGACTGATAAGACATATAATTTTTTTAACCTTATATTTTTAACTGCTTATATGCTAGACTGGAATAAAATGGAAAATATTTGAAACAGCACATACAAATGGTATATAACAAAAAATGCATATGTTTGGACACTTGGAACTTCTGAAGAATGGAAATAATCCACCAGCTAGAATATTCTTTTTTTTTTTTTTGAGATGGAGTTTTGCTCTTGTCATCCAGGTGGTGCAATGGCGCAATCTTGGCTTACTGCAACCTCTGCCTCCTGGGTTCAAGCAGTTCTCCTGCCTCAGCCTCCTGAGTAGCTGAGATTACAAGGGCCCGCCACCACGCCCAGCTAATTTCTGTATTTTTAGTAGAGATGGGGTTTCACCATGCTGGCCAGGCTGGTCTCAAACTCCTGACCTCAGGTGGGTGGGCGATCACCCACCTCTGCCTCCCAAAGTGCTGGGATTACAGATGTGAGCTACTGTGCCCGGCTAGAATATTCTTAAGAGATGAAGGAGATTGAGAAGGAAAGAGGCAATGAGGCCTTGACAAGAAGAACCATAGCGGGAAGGAATAAAAATGAAGTGGTCTGTGTCCTTTTCCTACTCAGCAGGTCTAGTTCAGTGCCAAGGACTCGATGGGTATTCTACAGGGGTGGCAGCCTCCCCTGCTCCTCCTTGAGCTGCTGCACACTTCTTATTGTTGGCAGAATGAGGAAAGTCTGGCTTATAGCACATGTTAGCATTGGCAATATTCGTGCATGGTGACACACTGGGGGATGCCTTTACCCATACTTGAAATCAATGCCTTGTTGACAGAACTTTCTTAGAGCTGGAATGCAGAAGGTCCCATGGGTCTTGTGTTGCTCTCTCCTGGAAAAGCTGGTGAGAATCCAATGGTTGGACTCAAGACTCACAGGAAGCCTGGCATAGCACACAAGAAATTTGGTCTGGCTCATTCAGGGAGCCAATTGATTGGGCTTCAGATAAACCAAACATCAAATGCAAATCCCTATGCTCTTCTGCAGTTATGCACCTCAGTATCTATCTCAGGACTGAATTTAAAGGTTTAAGGGGGTCTTTTCTTTTCCTTGGAGAAGGGCTGGGCAGGGAAGAGACTATGTAGGGGAAAATACGTCAATTCTTTTTTTTTTTATTTCCCAAGGATTCTCATATGGTAAAAGAATTTGTAGATCCAAATGGAAACAGAGAGAAACATGATTAGTTTAGAAAAAGTCAGTCAAACCCTTTGCTTGCTGTTATGGAAATTAAACAACTGCTGGATTGAATGGAACAAATATTATATTTTTATTTTTCAACTGGGTCTTAAAAACTTATGGAGATACAGCCTAAGTTTACACAGTCTTAGATTGATTCCATAGCCTGTATAATATGTATGAAAAAAGTGAACTGTATCAGAGAAAGTCCTAACACTCTTAAAGGAAATGCCTGGCATCTATACAAACAACCACAGAAAAATAAGCTTTCCATTAAAAAAGTCAGGAAAAAAAATGTGAAGGGTAAAACTACAAATTCAACAAATTGCACAGTGGCTTCATGGAGGACAGGCACGTGTCTTTGAAGGAGGTCTGGTGAGTCTTTCCAATACAGCATGAGCTATTGTGTTTGCTATATACTTTGATATAAAATCCAATATATAGAGAGAAGAAGCTAGGAGAAAGTATTTATTAAAAATAGGGAAGGGAAACAATTGAATAAATAAATAAAAGGGGAGAAGGTCAAATATTTCTTATAGAGGAAATCCAAGTAAAATAAGTGGATACCCACTCTCTAAGAGACAGAGCTTTATTCTCTCTCTCCCTCTCAAATGGGAGTTGTACATAGTGACTTGCTTCCAGAGAATAGAATATGGAAAGGGAAAAGTAACTTTACAGTGGAGAAAACTGGCAGTCATCACCTTAACCAAATGATTAAGGTGAATATCACCAGTAATAAATCATGCTGATATCCTTATAGCTGCTGACATATTGCAGTGAGAAGGGTACTTTACCTACGTGGTATTCTTTCCAAAAATCCATAGCCCCACTTTAGTCATGAGAAAACATTAGACATACTGAGGGACATTCTACAGCCTACCTCTCCAGTATTCTTCAAAACTGTCAAGGTCATGGGAAACAAAGAACGACTAAGAGGCTGCATAGACCTGAAAAGACTTAAGGAGGCAGATGACCAAATGCAAAGTGGTATATTGGACTGGATCCTGGAACAAAAAAACAAAAAATACAGAGCACAAAAATAATATTAGTAGAAAAACAGGTAAAATCCAAATGACATCTGGAGTTTAGTTAATAGTCATGTACCAATGTTAGTTTTGCAGTTTTGGCAAATGTGTCATGGTAATGTGAGATGTTAACATTAGGGGAAACTGGGCAAAGGGTATATGGAAATTCTCTATTATCCTTGCAACTTTTCTTTATATCTAAAAATGTTCCAAGTGATTACTGCTTTTTCCTTTTCCTATCTCTTCTCCACCCTAGATTTTATGAATCTAGGACTTATGCCTTTACCTTGTTCCATGACAAGAGAAGCTATTCTTTGCTAAATAAAAGCAGAAAATGGAAATTTGTTCCTCATCTAAAAGCTCTTTTGCTTTTTATTCTCCTGCCTTTCTCTTTGGTGCCATGGAGTCCCAGTATACTCATAAAATCCCTAAGTTATCTTTATTTATAAAGTAATGAGAAAGTAAGTTTTTATGAATTCAAAAGAAAGTGATAATATCCATCAAAGATGAGATTCAAAGGAATATAGATAGCTGGATTTTCAAGTAAATTTTTATTGAAAGTGAAATACCAACTGTATTTTGAAATGCCACCAATCTTGAAGTTCTGTTACAGATTCTTACATTCTGAGCTTAATATCTCAGAATATCCAAGCAAAGGACAAAGGATCAAAGATATGCTGTCTTCTTATTCAAAGGTTTTCTTTCATTTTATTGCAGGGCCCTGGGGTAGCCTCTCAGCTTAAGCCCAGTGTTCACCAATCAGTTGCTAATAACTGGAGCTGAAAGAGGGCTCTGCCCTAATGCCATTATGTTCAAGAGCCATGATTGATTGTGTTATAGTATGTTTTTGAAACCTAATTACTGTCTGAGTGAGTATCTGAACTCATTAATCTTTAGTCCTGTAAATAAGTAAAATTGACTAAATAACTGGATTTCTCTAATGATGGCTTAGGTTATCTTTGGACCTATTGCCTTGCCCTAGCCTCTTTGGGGCAGCAAATTATTTTGCTTAATGGTAATTGCTCCCCAGTTTTGAAATCAATTTGTAAAAATCGGCTTATAAAACAATTTTCCGTGTTGCCCTGTGATTGCTTGGTCCCTACTCTATCTTTGTGGTATAATGAGCACATCCTGTGATGTGCTCACAGACCATTGTGTTTGCTGATGACCCTCCTTTGTGGCGCAGGTCACATCACTTAATGAAAGAAGAGGCTTAAGAGAGGGGTGTTGGCTTTGTTTTCACCTTACTGAACCCTACCTTAGTTTCTACCAAAATAGAAAAGAATTTTATTTAGCATGGCCTATTCTATATACCCCCAAATAACACAGTAATTAGTAGTGATTATTTCCTTCTCCTTTCTCTGCTAGCCAACTCCAGCATAACTAGGGTGTGGGACTTCATAGTACATTCTTCCTTCTCTACTTTTTGAAAAATGTTTTCCTTATTACTGTTTTATTATCCACTAGAACTGTTTCCCAGATAGTAGCTTGATGAGCAAGAGGATTAGGTAATGTTTATATGCATCATGCAACTTCTGCTTCCAACCAAAATGGAGTAAAATGGACCAGACATGCTCTTCCTCCAAAATTATTAAAAATCTAAAAACAAAAAAGACAAGCCCACTTTCAAGACACTGGACATTAGACATTGAAAGACAGTGATTCCTGAGGGACTCAGGTGAGTTGAGCCCTGTGATTGCTGCAGCTTATAACCTTAAGAAAATTTCCAGGCTGTGGTACAGGAGGAGGAGATGGAACTGAGGATCTAGGGGCCCCAAGGCAGCTAGAAGTCATAGGGCAGAGTGCCAGGGAGGAACATGCTGCACACAGAGAGAATTCTAGAAATCTGCAGAGGGCCCGTTTGAGTATTTGGCTATATATTGATTAGCACATGTGTGTGAAAAAACTTCCCAGGAAGAAGAAAGAACCACCTGGAAGTATTAGAGGGAAAAGTGCCTGGTACTCACACAAGGCAAGGAATAGTGCCTGTTCTCATCAGCCAAACTCAAAACCTTCATGATTCCTGGTCACTGGATAGAATCTTTACAAGAGACTTGCTTCAGTAGTAGGGAATAAATAGCCCTAGACCTAAGACTACCTAATAAAGCCTACAAGCAAGCCAGCAATGAATCAAACTTTCCAAGTAGCTTAACTGCATCCCAGAACGAAGAATATTTATAGGAACTACAAAATAGTCAGCACCCAACAAGGTGAAATCCACAGTGCCTGGCATCCAATAATAAATAACTAGTCAAGCAAAACAGGAATATATGACCTAAATGAGGTAAAAACAATTAATTAGAATCCAGCCAGAACTAACAGTGCTGTTAAAATTTGATGACGTGGGCACTAAAAACAGTTACTGTAACTGTATTCTGTGTGTTCAAGAAGCTAGAGAAAAGGTTGAGCATGCTTGTTAATAGAGATACGTACTAATTAGATGTAAAAAAGACCAAACCAAATCAAACTTTAAAAGGTGAGAACTACAATGTCTGAGATAAAAAGCACGCTTGATGAGATTAACAGCATATTAGACATTGCAGAGGTAAAGATTAGTGAATTGAAGACAGCTATAGAAGCTATCCAAAAGGAAATATACAGAGAAAAAAGGCTCAAAAGACAGAAGAGATTTATCAGTAAAGTATGAAACAATCTCCATTAGCCTCATCTACATGCTACTGGAGTCCTCAAAGTGGGGTTATATTGGCATATAAAAATATTTGAAGAAATAATAGCCAAAAAGTTTCCAAATTTAATGAAAACCACAAGTCCATGGATCCAAGAATCTTAAGAACTCCAATCACAAGAAACATAAAGAAAATGCTAAGTACATCACAATCAAATTATTCAAAACCAGTGGTAGAAAAAATTTTAAAAGCAGCCATAGAAAAAAAAATACGTTGTATACAGAGAGACAAAAATTAAGGTTGATGGCAGATTACCTATTAGAAACAATGTAAGTAAGAAGACAGTGGAGCACTATCTTTAAAATTCTAAAGTAATAAAACCTAGAATTCTATACCCAGTGTAAACATCTTTCAAAATGAAAACAAAATAAAGATTTTTTTAGACATAAAAAGGCTGAAATAATTTATTATCCGTAGACCTGTACTACAAGAAATGCTTTAAAAAATAGTCTTCAGGCAGAAAAAATGTGATACCAGATAGGGATCTATGCAACACAATGAAGAGAATTGAAAACAGTGACCACATAGATAAATATGTAGGGTTTTTTTTTTCTTATTAGCTAAATCTCTTTAAAAGATAGTGGGCTGTTAAAAATAATAATAAGGCAGTGTGGGCTTTATATGTAGTAAAATGTACAAGAACAATAGCACAAAGGCTGAGAGGGAAGAAATAGAAGTATATGCCTGTGACTCTGTTCATAAATTAACATGTTCTGTTTAGTAAAAGTTGCTAATACTGTTTATTGAGCATATGCTATGCATTAGACTCTATCCTAGTGGTGACAGAGACAATGGAGAACACAACAGATATGATGCCTACCTTCATGGGTTGTACATTTTCACTGACTCAGCAGATACAGACAAGTAAACAAACAAGATAATTATGGACTGTTGTGCCATAAGAGTAGTAAACAGGATGCTGTAATAGAGAAAAACAAGGTGGACAGGAATATGTTAGATAGGGTGATGAGAAGGTTCTCTGTGACAGTGGGACATTTGAGCTGAAACCTGAGGGATGAGAAGAAGCCAGCTAGGCTGAGAATCAAGAAAGAGGATTTCAGATTGAGATAACTGTCCAGGCAGAGGCCCTGAAGATGGGTGAGAACTAAGCCATTTTAAGGAAGTATCCAAGGGCCAGTGTGGCTGGAGTGTAGTGACAGAGGGGTAGACAGGTGTGAGATGATGCTGCAGAGAAGGGTAGAGGTCAGACATTCTTCAAGCCATGGTCAGGGGTCTGGGCTTCATCCCAAGCACAGTGGGAAAACATTAAAGAGTTTTTAGCATGGAAGTAAGATGATCTGGCTTACTCTTAACAAAAAGATTATTGTATTTAGTATGGAGAATGGAGGGGAAGGAGCAAGAATGGAAGCATGAAGGCTAGATAGGAGGCTGTCTTGATGGCTGAAGTGAAAGACGCTGGTGATATGAATAAACACAATGGAAAAGGGAAGCAACTAGATTGAATATATATTTTGGAAGTAAAACTGACAGGGCTTCACGACACATTGGATATGAGGGCCAGGGACAGGAGGAATCTAGTAAACAGTGGCGATGGGACTTGACCCAACTCTGTCTGAGTCCAGAATTTTCTTTGTATTCGGTATTGCTGTGAAGAGGTCGAACACCCATTACTGATGGCACCTATCACTGATGACAAGAATATAAAAAAGCCTGAAACCATAGTCTTTGCCATCAAGGACAGTAATATCTGACAATGAAAGAAACATACACTGGGAATTCAATGACACTGAAAGCGTTATAGGAGTTCAGAGGAGCAGGAGGAGGATGAGCCAAGGACTGCAGACACACAGGTGTGCTTTGACAGGAAGGAGAGACAGCATGTGTGGAGGGTAGGTGATGTGAGCAAAGACCTGGAGGTGGGGATTCACATAGTGTTTTCAGAGAATAATTAAATCAGGATGGCTTATTAGCAAATAAACCATGAAGAGAGCTGGGTTTGAATAGGTAGCTGCAGGTGAAGCTGAACAGAGAGAGCAGAGAGAGTGATTGAATGATAGTGCAAAACCTTTAAATGGCAACCTTCAGATAGCCCAATGTGTCATCATCCTGGAGTTATTGATTAAGATTGAAGAACTGATGTCATACATTACATGCACCATAGCGATCATTTTAAGTAAAAGTTAGAGATAGCAGGATTTTATTGCCAAGTATATAGACATAGCCTGAGACAAATGGTGAAAACAGAATTTGAAAATTCTGTTTCTTCGCAGCTTTTCCTGCCACTTCATATAAATGAAAGTTGTGTCTCTCATCTTCCCCTCACCCTTTGACTTTTCTCCTTTTCCTCCTTCACCTTCTTTCAATAAAAGCAGACTAACTATAGGTTCTTCTGACTGTGGCAGTCATTTGTGATCTGTGAGAACTGAAACTTTCTTGAGCATCATCAGAACATTCAGATGCTGTAAGCAACAATAGTCCTAACCATTGAGACTTTTCTGAAATATTTAGCAGACTCCAAAGGCACCAGAGGTTCACCCAGTTGGGTGACTCATAAGGTTGGCCCTATGAAGGCAACCTCAACCTTGCCAGTCTTATGGAGTCAGGGAGAGTCTACAGGGGAATGACCCACTGGAATCCCGTTGGTTTGGTTCTGTAATGGAAAGGAGGACATTGCCAATCTTAGGTCCCAACCTTAGAACTGGAGGTCTGAAATTCACAATTTATGAGCTCAATAGCAAATTCCTTCCAACTGAACCTTCCACGGTGAAACATTCACCTCTTCCCATGTGTTTCCAGCTGTGCAGTAAGAATAAATGAATCATTTCTGAAAAAATAACAACTGAGTAAAGTCCCTTTTTTTTTTTTTCCAGACCAAACTCCAAGCTGTGTTCAGATGAAAGACAGTTGGCATCAGTGAACTTTCTTTGTATCCCTGCTTGCAACCCACTCCTGGTAGTCTGAGCTTGTCTACGTTCTAAATACTTTCTTATCTGTAAATCACTGGGTAGTGTACTATTCGTCAGGCTCTGGCTGTGCACACAAATATACACATATACACACACTTCACAGTTCCTGGACAACATTCTCAATCCAATCAAATGATTCCTACTCTGAAAAAAGTCATTTATTTGAAAACATTCATAGTTTGAAAATTGTATGTGGTTTTTTTTTTTTTTTTTTTTTTTAAACTTTATGACTGGTTTGGTGATAGCAGTTGGAGGTAACAAGATAGCATTTTACCTTTCAAACTTCAGCAACGTCGTTAGCTCTATATAACAAAATGTGTTAGGACACATGAGTAAAGGAATGTATCACCACACATTTGTGTTTATTTTGTGTACAAATCTCTCACTTCTTCATAAAGGATGCATGTTTTAAATTTCTTTCATCTCTCCCTCCCTCCCTTTACCATTATGTAATGGCCTTCTTTGTCTCTTTTGATCTTTGTTGGTTTAAAGTCTGTTTTATCAGAGACTAGGATTGCAACCCCTGCCTTTTTTTGTTTTCCATTTGCTTGGTAGATCTTCCTCCATCCTTTTATTTTGAGCCTATGTGTGTGTCTGCATGTGAGATGGGTTTCCTGAATACAGCACACTGATGGGTCTTGACTCTTTATCCAATTTGCCAGTCTGTGTCTTTTAATTGGAGCATTTAGTCCATTTACATTTAAAGTTAATATTGTTATGTGTGAATTTGATCCTGTCATTATGATGTTAGCTGGTTATTTTGCAGTTATTTTGGTTAGCTGGTTAGTTGATGCAGTTTCTTCCTAGTCTCGATGGTCTTTACATTTTGGCATGATTTTGCAGTGGCTGGTTCCAGTTGTTCCTTTCCATGTTTAGCGCTTCCTTCAGGAGCTCTTTTAGGGCAGGCCTGGTGGTGACAAAATCTCTCAGCATTTGCTTGTCTGTAAAGTATTTTATTTCTCCTTCACCTATGAAGCTTAGTTTGGCTGGATATGAAATTCTGGGTTGAAAATTCTTTTCTTTAAGAATATTGAATATTGGCCCCCACTCTCTTCTGGCTTGTAGAGTTTCTGCCAAGAGATCCGCTGTTGGTCTGATGGGCTTCCCTTTATGGGTAACCCGACCTTTCTCTCTGGCTGCCCTTAACATTTTTTCCTTCATTTCAACTTTGGTGAATCTGACAATTATGTGTCTTGGAGGTGCTCTTCTCGAGGAGTATCTTTGTGGCATTCTCTGTATTTCCTGAATTTGAATGTTGGCCTGCCTTGCTAGATTGGGGAAGTTCTCCTGGATAATATCCTGCAGAGTGTTTTCCAACTTGGTTCCATTCTCCCCATCACTTTCAGGTACACCAATCAGACGTAGATTTGGTCTTTTCACATAGTCCCATATTTCTTGGAGGGTTTGTTCGTTTCTTTTTATTCTTTTTTCTCTAGACTTCCCTTCTTGCTTCATTTCATTCATTCCATCTTCCATCACTGATACCCTTTCTTACAGTTGATCGCATCTGCTCCTGAGGCTTCTGCATTCTTCACGTCATTCTCAAGCCTTGGCTTTCAGCTCCATCAGCTTCTTTAAGCACTTCTCTCTATTGGTTATTCTAGTTATACATTTGTCTAAATTTTTTTCAAAGTTTTCAACTTCTTTGCCTTTGGTTTGAATTTCCTCCTGTAGCTTGGAGTAGTTTGATTGTCTGAAGCCTTCTTCTCTCAACTCGTCAGAGTCATTCTCCCTCCAGCTTTGTTCCGTTGCTGGTGAGGAACTGCATTCCTTTGGAGGAGGAGAGGCACTCTGCTTTTTAGAGTTTCCAGTTTTTCTGCTCTGTTTTTTCCCCATCTTTGTGGTTTTATCTACTTTTGGTCTTTGATGATGGTGACGTACAGATGGGTTTTTGGTGTGGATGTCCTTTCTGTTTGTTAGTTTTCCTTCTAACAGACAGGACCCTCAGCTGCAGGTCTGTTGGAGTTTGCTAGAGATCCACTCCAGACCCTGTTTGCCTGGGTACCAGCAGTGGTGGCTGCAGAACAGCGGATTTTCGTGAACCGCGAATGCTGCTGTCTGATCGTTCCTCTGGAAGTTTTGTCTCAGAGGAGTACCTGGCCATGTGAGGTGTCAGTCTGCCCCTACTGGGGGGTGACTCCCAGCTAGGCTGCCCAGGGGTCGGGGTCCGGGGTCAGGGACCCACTTGAGGAGGCAGTCTGCCTGTTCTCAGATCTCCAGCTGCGTGCTGGGAGAACCACTGCTCTCTTCAAAGCTGTCAGACAGGGACATTTAAGTCTACAGAGGTTACTGCTGTCTTTTTGTTTATCTGTGCCCTGCCCCCAGAGGTGGAGCCTACAGAGGCAGGCAGGCCTCCTTGAGCTGTGGTGGGCTCCACCCAGTTCGAGCTTCCTGGCTGCTTTGTTTACCTAAGCAAGCCTGGGCAATGATGGGTGCCCCTCCCCCAGCCTCACTGCTGCCTTGCAGTTTGATCTCAGACTGCTGTGCTAGCAATCAGCGGGACTCCATGGGTGTAGGACCCTCCCAGCCAGGTGCAGGATATAATCTCCTGGTGCGCCATTTTTTAAGCCCGTCGGAAAAGCGCAGTATTAGGGCAGGAGTGACCTGATTTTCCAGGTGCTGTCTGTCACCCTTTTCTTTGACTAGGAAAGGGAACTCCCTGACCCCTTGCACTTCCCAAGTGAGGCAATGCCTTGCCCAGCTTCGGCTCGCGCACAGTGCACTGCACCCACTGTCCTGTGCCCACTGTCTGGCACTCCCCAGTGAGATGAACCCGGTACCTCAGATGGAAATGCAAAAATCACCCGTCTTCTGCTTCGTTCACACTGGGAGCTGTAGACCAGAGCTGTTCCTATTTGGCCATCTTGGCTGCTTCCGACATAGTGCAAATTTCTGACTTTTGATTCATATTCCTTTTAGGCCACAGTTTCAAGGAAGGTCACAGTACATGAAATCCATTGTTTAATACAAGTGGCTTCTCTTTGGCAGAAGGTTTGTTCACTGGTAATTGTTAAGCCCTTCTAAGATCTGTGTGTGCTCAAAGAATGAGGACAGTCACTTTCTGGACACTGGTGAGACAGTCTCCTGAACCAGTCCTCTGCTCTGAGTGACATGCATCTGCTCCTGGGTCTTCAGCAGGTCTTGGGTTTTCTCACCTCTGCACATTCGCTGACCCAAGTTCGCAATTTATGATCTTCTGCTTCTTTCTATCTCTTCCCATTCCTTCCCCTAAGCCTTCCAGGCCCAGTGAAAACCCCACCTCCTTTGCAAGGTCACCTGACCAGGCCAACCTAACCATAGGGCTTCATCTTTTGAGGTCTCTCCTTTGGCCTTTTGCTGCATCATTTGCTCATTATCTCCTCATGTCCACATGTCCAATCTCCCAACTAGATTTAGATAGGTGATATCAAAAATGTTAAAGCAGCTAATCATCTACTCTAAGCATCTCGGTCTTCTGACTCCTAATCCAGTGCTCTTTTGACTGTGCCATGATGTTCCTTATGAATTTTCCCATGCCCATTAACTTTTGGGGGTGGTAATTTATTCATTTATTGAGTCATGATTAAGCAAATATTTATTGAGTGGCTACTAGATGACAGGCTCTACCCTAGGGACTGGAGATACAGTAGTGAACAAGACAGACCTTGTCCACTTTCTTGAGAAGCATATATTTTAGAGGAGAATGCAGAAAATAAGCAAGTAAACATGCCAGATAATCTTAGAGAATGAGAAGCACTATGTATAAAATTGAAAAGGATAGATGGGGTGATAGGCTAGAGAGAGATGGTAGTGAAATGAGCATGCTACTTTAGCTAGGGTGGGCAGCAGAGGCCTCTCTGAAGATGGCACTTGAGCTGAGGTCTGACTGATGAGTTGGGGGTGATCATAGGGGGATCTGGAGAAAAGCAGTGCATGCAGAGTGAAGAGCAAGTGGCAAGTACCTAGGTCAAAATGAGCCTGATGTATTAGATGAGAAAACTATCAGGGTGGCTGGAGGGCAGTTAGCAAGAGGAAGTGGAACACAGGTGATGAGTAAAAAGTTTGCCAAGGTAGATAGGGCCCAGGATATGCAGGCCAAGTGAAAGGTTTGCAGACCATTCTCAGAGGAAGGGGAAGTCCTGGAGGGTTTCATGTAGGGAAGTGACATTGTATGTTACAAATTTGAAGCAGAGGACTCTAGTTTGTAGCAGGAGATTCCTTTTCTTCTGCCTTTGCTTTTACGGTTTTGTTTTGTTTTGTTTTTTTTTTTAATAAAATTGGGGTATACTATACATAAATGGGATACATCTTAACTATCCAGTTGCATACATTTTTACTTATGTATGTACCCGTGTGGCTGCCACCCAAATTAAGATACATAACAATTCCGGTACACCCCAGAAGGCTCTCATGCCCTGCCCAGTCATTCCTCCACTACTTTCATGATGCCTTCTATCACCACTGATTAGTTTTGCCTATTTCTTAACAAAATGTAAGTGAAAGCTTGTTGTATGTACTCTTCTGTGTTTGGGCAGTATTGTTATGTACTATTCCATCATATGAATATGTCACAATTTATTCATCCTACTAGTGATGGACTTTTGGGTTGTTTTCAATTTCAGGCTATTATGAATAAAGCTGCTATGAACGTCCTTGTACATGCTTTTTGATGGATGTGTGCACTCATTTAGGTTGGCCAGGAGTGGAATTGCTAGGTCTTAGGATTTAGCTATTTAGTAGATACCATGAAGCAGTTTTCCAAAGTGTTGTACCAATTTATACTCTCACTAAAAATGTATGATACTTCTAATTTCTTCTTATCCTTACAAATACTTGGTATTATCAGTCCTTTTAATTTTAGCTATTTTGGTAAGATTGTAGTGGGTGGGAGTCTCATTGTGGATTTTTTTCCCAGGGGAAAGAGGGTTTTTTAAAAAATATATACTATTTGTTTACTATTCCAACCTCCCCAGTATCGATATTGTGGTGTTGATTATGTGGTTTGATTTTAAAAGTTTGGATTTCAGGCTGCCTGGCTTGCATTCCCCATTTCCAACACCACATTATTTTTTTCCTTGCACTACCCCCAAGAGCAGTATAAAACCCAAACATGCCAATATGACATCATCAGTTCATTGTCTTCTAAGAATGTAATATTTCATCTTTTGTAGGGTGACCCTATTCCAGGATAGAAACGAAAATAGAAAACAGGACTTAGAACTTGAAAGGGAAAATTTGGGTCAGCCTCCAGCTTAATGCAGTTGCCATTCTTGAAGCCAAAAGGCCGTCTAGTCAATGCACAAAGAGAGTTGCTGAAGAAGTGGGGACTGTTGGTTTCATTACATGCTCATTATACTACTGTATCAGAGTGGTTAGGATTTTGCCCTAACGATGAAATAAGAGTGTTATGCTTCATTTCCTGTTTTGGAAAACAGAGTCTTTGACTTAAAAAAGGCTAATTGCATATTGTTTTTAAAAATTGGGTTGATTCATCGTATCATAATTAAACTAATTAGAGTACTATTATTTTCCAACAGCTTTAATGAGTTCTTCTGTTTGGCAGGAAAGCTGAGACCAAATAATATTGCCATTTGTGAAAAGATGGAGGAACTCTATTCATTTGCATTTTGGTTAATAAGATTTGTGCATTAATCCAGTTATACTTTGTTCTCTTGAGTTTGGCAAACTTCTAAAATTTTCCAATTTTCTACCATGTCTCTCCTTCCCCACCTCCCATCTCTTCCTTAGAGAATTCCTGGCGTCTGATTTAAAATAGGTGGAAACATTCTGTTTCCAGCCGAGGCTCCCCAGCTTGGTTGGAATGCTGGTCTGGTTGTAATAGAGCCTGCTTTTGGCCAGCAGCTCTTAAAATAGCTCCTCAGCTTATAAAGCAGAAAATAGAAGTTTGGGCAGCCCAGTGTTTGCTTGCAGGGTGCTTCTGGCCGCTTGCTTTGGGGGGCACTGTTGCTCCAGCATGAGAATTCCAGCGGGCTGTGGTGAGTGATGGCTCTCTGTTGCGCAATTTTGTATCTGCACTCCTTGTCAAGTAATCATTACAAATGTTTCGTGGAGGAATGAGCTGGCTCCCAGCAAAGGTCTGCTTCTCTTAGAAGCGAGGGCCTGAGGGGTGGGGATTGGTCTGTCCGTGGTAAAATTTCCCCCTTTGACAGTGTAATTAAGTGCTAATTAACTAAATGAGTGTAAATGTTGAAGGCTGAGATAAATATCTACATTTCCTTAATCTTATTTTCCCCTCTAAAATTTGATAAAGAAAATTTGGATTTAATGGAGGATATATGTCAAAATTGTTTTTAAAGATTGCAAATCTGTTTAGAAGGAACTTGGTTCGGATTTCTACAGGAAAAGTTAACAGCATATAAATATAGAAGAGGTACAATAAAATGTGGATGTGATATTGCAATAATTATGTTAAGGAGGCTTAGTGGAGCTACCTTTTTGAAACATCTGGTTTGTTTCTGTTCTTTCCATATCCTGCAGATGTTGCTGAATCCATAAAATATACTGACAGGAGAATACATTAGCCTGCGAAGTCATTCCAATGAATAAAGCCAAGGGTAGCCTCTTCACTTTCTAAAAAATCTAGTTAGAAAAGAATTCTGCTTTCAGAATTCAGCAGGCAGAGATTAGGCCAATAATTGAGAGGGGCCCAGGGCCTTCTAAAAGTGTCAATAGTGATCTGTTCTTGCCAAAGGGGAAAAGAGGGGCTTTGTGGAGGGGCAGTCAGAGTAATAAATGGGAATCTTTGTAATTCAAGCACTTTCTCATTACCTTCTGTGGTTAGTGATTAAAAGTGGGACTGAAGAAAAGGCAAGGGAAGCCCACTCCTTCCCAGCTTGGTAGCAGAGCGAAAGGATCTTGAGCCCATCTTGAGCCCCGTTACCCTTCCTCTCCTGCTGGCCTCTGGGGCTGGAAAGAAGACCCAGAGCCAGGTAGAGGGCTCACAGACTCACGGGCAAGTGCCTTGGGAAGGGGATGCATAATCGAGATGCCATCTGTGGCATTGAGCTGATGACAGCTGCATGATGCCCTGGCTCTCCTGTGTCAACACCCTCCCCAGGCAGGAAACGACAGCGGTAGGCGCATGTGTGCTGAGCCTTCGGGAGAGCACACACAGGCATCCTAAAGGAGTGGGCATGGAGAGCTGGAGTTTATTAAGTAGGGGTTGGTTGCCTGTGAGATTAACACCCTGAAATAAATGCAAAGTTGAGAAATATTTTGGCTTCCAGCCAACTTGGCAGGAAGATTTAGGAACCTGGAATGGTCAGAAGGACAAAGCCTTAAAGGACCCATGTTAAGTTTAGTTTCTGGCCAGCTGTGATCTCTAAATTTCCCCACCATTTACATCACTCCTTTGTGTTACAGCATCATGTGTTCAGAAGGCCCCTATTAAAATGTGTAACAGATGTTTTTTTCTGGCCACCAGCCTGTCAGACAAGTAGGACATACTCATATAAACCCATTGGTGAAAAACTAGTATTTCTCTGGCTCTGCTCTAAGTTGTTGACCTCCAGTTGCTGACATCCAGTCCTATCTGCGATCTTCCTTCTGGGCCAAAGGGACAGATCTCTGCTGTGTCTCACAAAAGACTGTTTCTTGCTTGTTCTCTTAGGGCTCCTGGCTTCATGTCACTAGGGAGGGGTCTCTGCTGCTTGCTGTCCAAGCCTTCCATTTCATTAACAGTTTTGTGTATGGCTCCACCAGGCACTTAACTCCTGACTGCACCATTTACCCCTGTCCCTGGGTCATAGGAGATCACTTATTGAAGTTCCACAAGAGCTCTCCCTCCTCAAAGATTGAGTTTAGATTCCTCTCAGCTACCTGCCCCCACTCCCCAACACCCCAGGGTTATACCTCCCTTCTCCTTTTCTTTTGCAATGTACTCATTTCTGTTTTGATTCTTCAGCTGTAATTCTCAATGCTCAATTGACAGATTAAACCCAATATGAGCAGTTTTTATTCCCTTTGGGAATGTTTGACACTAATGTAAATGTGTTGCTTAAGAAAGGAGGTTTAGCCTCATTGCCATTGCCATTAATAATGATAGAATAATAATTTTTAACATTTATAACATCTTTTAGAATGAACGATATCCTTTCTCATCTACTAGTTCAGCTGATTCTCACAGCAATAATGATATCGGAAGGGCAGAAATTAGGATGTTGAGGTTATGGGTGAAGAAATTGATGCTTACAGAAAGTAAAGCTATTTCTTCAAGGTCGTGTAGCCGGAGAAACTGGGATTCAACTCATGTTAGAATACACATTCAGTGTTTTTCCTAGACATAGCAAGCCCTTACTAATACTTTACCATGATAGGAACTTAAACAGGTAGTCACAGGATGGAAATGTTTTTGTAGGGCAGTGTAGATATGCTAAGGATGGGAGAGTTACACAGAAATGAAGAAAAAGAATTTGGAGCTGCTTTTTCTTAAAATGTGTTCTGCAAACTTTTAATAGGTTAGGGAAAGAGTTCCATAGCAAAATAGGTGTTGTTAGGAAAAGAGTTCTATAGCAAAATCAACTTCATAAATATTAAATTTAATAAAGTCATACAAATTTCTTGATTATAGCACTCTCAGAGCCTTTGACACACATTATCAATTCCCAGGGCAGGAATCAGATGTACTATGAGCATTTTGCAAACATGTTTGACATGGGGCCCTTTTTGACTAAAGCGTCTCCTGAGGACATACTTTGGGGCGGGCACTATCATTTACTACCTGAGAGAGTAGGTGGACGGGTCACAGAGGAGAGGGCTGAGAACTGCTAAGATGTCAGGAAGAGAATCTAGAAGTCATGTTTATTCTGCTATGTAATTACTGGATCAAATAATTTTATCAACCAATTTAGGAGGCTTTATGTTAAGGCCCTATAAAAAGTAAAACTGGTATGTCAGTGTTTCATATATAAGGATTTATTAGAAGAGAAACTGGCAAGACTAAGGGAGGTGACAGTACAATGAGAAGAGCATGCAAGAAGGAAGGTGAGAGTTCTAGTCTCTTACTAATTAATCTTAGCTGTTGTGACCGTGGTCAAGTCACTATACCATCTGGACTTTGTTCCCTCAACTGTGAAGTGAGAAAAATGGATTAAAACAAAATTAATGATTAAATCAGAAATTGATTGTGTAAATAAAGATAAAGAATTTTAAATATTTATATTTATATTATATAGTGATATTATATAATATATTTAATATTTATATCATATAATTAATATTTATATTATATAATATATATTTAATATTTATATTTATATAATTATATATTTATATTATATAACAATTATATAAATAAAAATGTAAATAAGAATTATATGTCATAGAGGATAATAATGGATGCTTAAGGTGGAGACAGACTGGGGTGTTGCATCTTACAGTATATTGCAAGAAGTCTAGTTTAGCCTTCCTAGAGGGGTAAGAGAGAAGCCTGGTAGAATCAGAAGCAATTTGCCTAATGGATGCCAGCATGCATGTTACACCCAGCTTTAAAGTCGAAGCAGAAAGCTAAATGTCCCTAGGATCTCAATCTGAAGGCCGGAGAAGAGTCACTAGATAGCTAATGCTGGCCTTGAAGAGAAACAGAGACAATCTTATTGATTGTGGCAGGAGGCAGACAAATTCCTAGGCACACAGGGGTTAGTTCCTGGTGAAACCTGACCTTCAAGCCAAAGATAGCTTAAAGCCTGAAAGATGAGTTGCCAGAGTCCACAACTGGAGTGAGAACTTCCTCGATGTATTTTAGCCAATCAAATGATGCTTTTTCCAGGCCTGCCTATGGACCAGTCAGCATGCACTTCCCCATTCTGAGCCCATAAAATCCCCAGACTCAGCCACACATTGGTACTACCCACCTTCAGGCCCCTTCTCACACAGAGGGCTACCTGCTTTGGGCCCCCTCTCCTATTGAGAGCTGTTCTGTTGCTCAATAAAACCCTTCTCCACTGCACTAACTCTCCAGTGTCTGTGTAACCTCATTTTTCTTGGATGTGGGACAAGAACCCTCCCGCTCTCCACCAGCGCAGGGCAGCTGCCCTATGTGACAAGGAAGTGGCCACGGTGGGGCCAGGCCAGCCCAGCCCAGGAGCTGCAGGCTAGAGTGGGGTAGTGGGACTGAATGAGCTGTGACATGCTCCCATTCACTGGAGTGTGTGGATGGCAGGAACAAATGAGCTGTAACACACCCTCCTATTTGCCGCACTGTGGGCGGTGGGAATGAATGTGAGCTGTAACATGAACGAGCTGTAACACACCCTGCTGTTTGCTGTGCTGTGGGTGGTGGGAAGGAGAGAGAGATGTAACAGTCTTTGGTGGCTCAGACCTTGGGACTCCCTAGGGGACAGCCATAACACCCCTTGGGGCTCTGCAGTTGCTGGTATCTCTGAGTTTTCAGGTGCCACCATGTTCCCCTTGTCCAGAAGCCGGCACCCAAGGTGGAAGCAGGTCACATCATGCCCAGTTCAGCTGCAGGCTGAGCTCAGAGCCCCAGCGGGCGTGGAATCTGGGGTGGTAGTGTGAGTTGAGTGCAGCCTGCCAGGCTGAGTGGGAAGAGTGAGTCCAGTGGTGAGCCCAGAGCTGAGTGATGCCTGGGAAGGGTACTGCTGGCTGTGGAGATTTCTGGCTGGCAAAGTGGCACCAAAAAACTCCTGTGTCATTACCAGTGAGATAGCAGCTTTAGAGAAAAAAGACTGAGCCCTTCCTAGGGAGAAATGAAGAAGGTTAATCAACAAATTACTGAGAAGGAAGATAAAAATCACCCAAGAGATGAGGAGGCTGAGTATAAGGGATTGACAGAAGAGCCAAGGAAATCAAGAGCAGTAATTAAACCAAGAATGAGGGGAGCTCCTCAAATGGGCACAAGAGACTGGAGGATGGGAGAAATGCCTGAGTGAATGTGGTTTACTGTGACTAGATCTCAACACCCAAGAAAAAAGGAAAAGACTCACTCAAGACTCAAAAATATAAAAATAGAATAGAATTTTACACTTTTTTTTTTTAACCACAAAGAGGTACTGGTCAGGAGCATGAGATGCACTGGAATAATAAATAGCTTTGGTGTGAGCATAAAAATAGTTCCTGTTCAATAGCCCATGAGTCTTAGAGTACAACAATGGTTGTAAATTTGACTTCTATTAATATCCACCATCCACTCCCTGGATAATCCAGAAGTCATTTCTCCTCCCAGAGAGGTTTGTGTGCACTCGGAAGCAGAGAGCAGAGGAATGGAAAAATAGGATGTGAAGGCCAATGCTCTCAGGAGGACAAAGCTAAAGCCCACACACCTTAATATCTGAAGTACTGAGCCCTCTGGAAATTGCAGCTACCTAGTTTGTCTGTTCTACAAATTGCCACCATTCCCTTGCTGATAACCTTGTATTGCCCTGTTATCTATATCTTATCATAATAACCATAAGTGTTTGTGGTGACTGGAGATAGGAAAAGAAGGCAATAAGATACAAATGTTATGGCAGCTTTATAATGCTCAGCCAAACCCTGCATGCACTTTTTTCCTCGTGTAGGGAGGAATAGGGCCTCACCCAGCACCCAGCTGTTCAATACAGAGATATTCTTTGTTGTGCTCTTCTCCAATCTTACAGAGTTCTTCAACCTCCAAATGAAACAAGTATTCGGTTGATACATATTAGAAGCCTCCTGTGATTCAGTCCATAGTTTTAAGAGTTCTAGAATGCTTCAGCAAGGCCGAGGCTTAGAAATGTTCTGCAGCAGCAGAATGTACATTTGGGAAGCAAAAAACATGGCCACATTGTTTAGGAAAGCATCCTAATGCAGTAGACACAAACCAAGAATAATACCACATGTACTCTGCCAGAATCACTCATTGCAAATAGAAAGTTCTTTCCATGAGCCTGGCACCAGGATAGACCAGGGTGGAAAAAAATGGCACAGGGTGGAAAAAATGCCTACCTCTCAAGGGTTCACGGGAAGCACACTTTATTGAAATATGGAACAGCATTTTCTTAGAGAGTTATTTGACAAATAACACATTTAATTTGACTTGTGCAGGAAAAAATCAATCTCAGATTGTTTCTAAGGAATGCCAACATTAAGCTGAAAAATGAAAAAGTCAGCTAGCCAACTAGACATTTCTAAATATCCAGATACTTAGCAGCATGCTCAATAAGCATTTGCTTAGCTGGTTGGCACTTTTGTCTTGGAGGAAATTATGATCTGCCACCATAGATGCCTGAGTTCCTGCAAGTAAGTGGCTGAGAACAACCCATCCAAACTCATCTCATGTGAGCTGACTGGGAGATCAGGCCTGTCTTGCTCCAAAATTATAAATTTCTCCTTGGGCAAAAACTGGCTTTTCCTTCCTGCCTCTCTCTTGTATGTTCAGTGGCTCAATAAATATGTGTTGATGCAAAAATGGGCAATGCCAGGCAATTTAGATCTGTTTTTCCTGACCTAGGAGTAGCACAATGTTGACTGTTGACTTTCTTCTCTATAGAGCCTCACTTCTCACCAGCTGCAATGGTTTTTTTCCTTCTCCCATGGTGGTCTCTTCTCACTGCCTGTAAGACGCTAGCTCCCGAAGGACAGCATCCATTTCCTATTGGCTGTTCTCCAGTACCTACCTTAGTTCTGTGCACTTAGGAGGTGCTTTGTAGGTATTGATTGAGTGAGTGATGCTCTCAAAGGTAACCATATAGACTTTTTATGCTAAGCCACACTAGCCTGCTGCAGGCCTTCTTCTTTAGGCCACTTACATTTGCCATTTCTATCTGTCACCACCTTTTCTACTTCCTGAGGTTCTTCTTCACGTAAATTGGACTGAGGAGCCACAGTGTGCCAGCTCCTGTCTTCCTTTTTGCCCCTGAAGACAAACCTTCTCTCATTGTAAAGCTTTCCCTTCTGATCACTACAGGAAATCACATACAAAAACAACAAGTAATCTTAGGATGTTCTGATGGTCAGGGTCCTGTTCTGTAGCTCCCAATCCCTCTGAAGGGGTCAGTGAAAGAACTGGCTGTTGATTGCTGTAACCTGAATATAGCTAATATACCACATGGCACTCTCTATGCATAGTATAGATTCTAAGAAAGAGCATCCTGTCAGGGAATAATAAGAGAAAGATGCATAAATCTTACAAATATCATAGAACAGGAGTTGGCAAACTATGGGCCAAATTATTTTTTTAAGTTTTTTTTTTTTTTTTTTTAAATAAGGTTTTATTGAAACATGGCCACATTTGTTTATGTAGCCTATGGCTGCTTTTGGGTGACAACGGCAGAGTTGAGTAGTTGTGACAAACATTGTGTAGTGTGCTTAAAGCTGAAAACATTTACAATCTGGCCCTTTGTGGGAAAAGCTTATCCCTGTCTTAGAAGATGCCACAGTAGAAGAGCATTCTTAATGTACAAGAGACTACCTTTTTCCCCCTACTTCTGTTATGCACAGTGACCTCCATAGGGATAGCAGCTGGTGTCTCAAGAAAATAATTCATTTTATTTTCTCAACTTCCTATCAAAAATCCCTCTCCCAAATCCAGCCTAGGTAGTTCCTAACTCCTTCATCCTCATTTACCTTCTTTCGAATCAGATCCTTCTCTCCAGCTGTTGATTCCCCTGCTTTTAAAAGTCTAAATGCCAAAAACTTGACCCTGACTCTGCTCATTCTAATTTTCAGCTTTCTCTACTGTTTATTGCAAGCAACCTAAGAGAAGGTCCAGGATTCATGCCTGAAGACACGGGGTCTTCCTCAGAAGGGGTGCATAGACAGGATGCTAACAGGCTGATCAAAATGATATCATTTGCTCCTGTTGCATCATGAATCATTTCAATCCCAGTTATGCTCCTGAGGCAGGCTCACCAGCCACTCGCCTTTATGCAGTCCTGATGTTTTTGTCTAAATTCAGAATTCTCCATGGTGTCCTCTCATCTTACCTGTAGACTTCAGAGGTGACTGTCCACTCCTTCTCACACAGGTCTCTCAGGTGGAGGGTCTCCCCTCCCAGGATTTCTATGAGGGGACACTCATCTTCCAGGTCCTCTGCCCTTCCCAGTCATAATCCTAAAGGACATTTCCTCATTCCTCCCACAGCATTCACCTTTGCCACATGTGTTTGATGCCTGTCTATATATATACATGGATTTTTAAAATTTCTTTTCCTGGTTTCAAATATGAATTTTGTTCAATGCAAGGAGTTAAAGTAAAAAATTACATAAATAAGAAAAAAAATTACTTGTAATCCCATATCCAGAGATAACCAGTATTAACATTTGAATGTGTAACTTTTTTATTCTGTATGTATGCATATTTTATACACACACATATAATTATTACATCAAATTTTGGTCCAGAGTGTATATTTAGTTTTGTCTTTCTCTTTAGTGCCATATTCCGTGTCCTTGGTTTTGGATTTGTACTACTGTACACTGCCTTATAATTGAATCTTTTTTTTCATGAAGGGAAACCAGATTTTTTTCTTAATTAGATTAAAATCCTTGAGTGCAGGGATAGTTTCTCTTTTTTTAAATTCTCACTTTTTTCACCTCTATTTTCATTCCCACCAGCAACCAGTAAAACTTAGCAGCACAGAATGAGTATTTTGATAAATATTTTCTGAGTAGAATTGAACAGAATGAGGTGAGATGCACCCATAGCAGGAAACTGGAGCACCTGATATTCCCCTCTTGTTCTTGCCACACAGAGAAAGTCACAGCTTGAAACGAGTCATGAACGGTTCTTTGGCGGTATGCACAGTGATGCACCTGCTAAGTTACAAGCCCGATGAATCATTTGCCTGGTTATCTTGCTAGTTATGCTGAACCAAATGCTACTTTTCAAACCAAACAAGTCTAAACCAGAGCTCTTTTCTTGCTTTGGTCTTGGGTTAGTGTTTTCTCTGCAAATAGTCTCCCTATCTCTTTTTAAAAATCTGTACTAGTGGCCTTACAAAAACAATATTCAAAGAATAATTCTCCACTACTCCTGTCTCTTCTAATAGGAATTGTATGACATATTGCCATGTAAATTAGATTTGGCTCCTTGTTTTATTTATACAATAAAACTGAGCAAAGATATCAACCACAGGATAAATTAATTACAAGGCAGAGAATCCTGCCAGATATTTCCTTTGGGGGACAAACCAAACAAGAAAACCACTCCCCAAAACTTGTTCTTATCTATTTCATTACGTGCTTTGGCAAGTCTCAATGACCTGCTTATTTAACTAACCTAATGGGTTTGTTTTTGTTTTGTAATCTACTCCTTTGCAAAAGTTAATGTCTTTTTGCTTTAGTATTAAAAATTCTCCCTTCCTCTGTTCCAGTCTTCCTTATGGACCTTCCTCCCCTGCATTCCTTAGATGAGAAATTGCAAAAGTCACTGAAATTAATGAAAAACACACAGTCCTAACAACAGGAAACCAGAGACCCAATTTGGCCTTCAAGGGGCTCTGCTTAGGTGTATCATATTGCGTTAGATGATGTAAAAACTTCACGTGGGTTAATCAGAATGCAACCTCAACCCTTACTCAAGACACCTGTTGGACTGCTGTTTGCCCAAGAGGTTGAGTCTGCCTTAGTCTCCTGGGTCTATAATGCATTTAGCTCATTATCAACCCTTACTTTTTTTTTGTTGGGGGTATCTTCTATTTT
Organism: Homo sapiens; assembly: GCF_000001405.40. Classification (NCBI taxonomy): domain Eukaryota; kingdom Metazoa; phylum Chordata; class Mammalia; order Primates; family Hominidae; genus Homo; species Homo sapiens. Next base: position 67,641,323 of record NC_000002.12, on the reverse strand, counting down.
TCAAAGCTCTTTCACCTCTGTTGTTTCATTTGATCCTTACTCAGTCCTGGGAAACATTTTATTTCCATTTTAACAGATGAGGAAACCCAGAAGAAACAGACTTGCTCATGGTCACACAACTGATCTCTCTCTCTCCCTCTCTCAACTATTCTAAGTAACTCACTAAAGTTTAAGCATCTCATTAATATTTCCACTTAACACCATTTAGTATATTTTCTTATTGTTTAAAAAAAAAGAAAATACATTCATATTGAAATGTTGCTCATAGTTTTATATTGAAAGTTAGTTCTAATTTCCACTGCTATATCTCATGATGTGTGGTCTGAAGAGACCCAAAGCTGGAAAGAAATCTAAATGTCGTCTGGTCCATACCCGGACTTCTTGGTCCTGCTTTCAAACTGTTGTCAACTGGGACAGCAGATTCTGTTTTTCTCCCCTTTCCCCTCCAAGTTTTAGCTTTTTGCATTGGACCAAGATATGACCTAAAGAAGTTGGGCATCCTGGAACTTATTCTTCTGATAAAAGTAAGATTCTCTAACAAAACGCCTGAAAGTCTTGGTGGCACATCTTAGCAGAGTAAGTGTGAGCTATGATCTCTTTGGAGCCATGTTTCTTGAGTGTCCATTTCAGAGACTCTAAAGGCACTACATGCCCTGCGAGGAGTAGGGCATAAGATGGCCTCAATCACTGCCCACTTCCCTGCTGCTAAGCTAAGTTGCAGAGCTGTAAACTGTATATACCTTGTCCAATCTCATTTTCTAGTCCCTCCCCATGTGTATAGCCCTCTTGTCATCCTCTAGCCTCTAATAAACTCTTGTTTAACTAATCTGAGCTGGGCTACAAGAATTTTTTTTAAAAAAGTTGGATGTCCATGCTTGGGAGAGAGTGTTAAAGAGGGAGAAGCTCCTTCTCTTTTCCTAGATGAATGTAGTTGAGCCAGATGGCCAAGGGAGAGTTGAATTTCAGATGTGAGAAACAAAACTGAATGGTCTAATCATGTTGGAGAGCATCCTTCCATTGTCCATCTTAAAGATTCTATTTTTTATTTTGCTAAGGATGATACCTTTTTTTTTTTCATTTTTCCTGAAATACTCTACTGTTAATTCATTTGACAAATTTATCAAGCACTCAACCTATGCAATATATATAAAGATTCAAAGATTTATAAGGTACTTTTTCTGTCCTCAAAGAACTAACAGTAGGTGAATAAGACCTAAACTTCAGTGAATATAATGTTGATGAAAGCAGGGAGGTACAATGTATTTTGGGTGTCACTCAGTAACAGGATCACTTTCAGCTTCAGATGAGGGGAAATCAAGGCAGGCTGATGGTACTGATGGCATTTGAACTGAGCCTGGGAGGCCAGGCTGAGGAAGTGACCTAGGCAGAAGCACAGGGGCAGGATGTTTTAAGGATTCAGAGCTCGCCTAGGAGAATAGTGGGAGAGAAAGGCAGCAAGATTGAAGCCAGATCAGGGATACCATAGAAAGCTTTGAATGCTAGTGTCAGTAATTCCCACACCATTCATCCACCTGCTGGTATAAATTATGAATTCCAAATAGAGTGGCAGATCCAGGGACATTATGCTATTGGAAGTAGAGTAAAAAGGGGACAGACTCTCTAGTCAGGGAGACTGAGTGAAAATCCTATGCCGGCTGGTGTGTGATCTTAGGCAAGTTACACAACTTTTCTGGGCCTCGGTTTACACTTCTGTAAAATAGGATAAAATTTTAAATGCCCTTACATGGCCACTGTGAGGATTAAATAAGGTAACATATGAAAAGTGCAAGATACAACAGATATGCAAAAAGTTTGAATTCATTTTTATCATTTCCATGGGAATTAGTATAGTGTTACCTAGAGAGTCTCTAAGCTTTCTCATAGGTACCCCATAGTCCTGGGAAGAAGCAATCCGATCTTTATCCTTTATCTTACTTGCATATTGCGTGGCTTCTACCTCTTAGCCCAGAGGTATATGGTATATTATAGAGAAGGGGTGGGTAAATTACGGCCTACAGACCCAATCCAGCCAAGAAAGGTTTTCAATGGTTAAGAAAAAAATCAAAAGAAGAAATTTTATAACACAGGAAAATTACATGAAATGTAAATTTCTATGTCTATAAATAAAGTTTTCTGGAAACACAGTCACATTCATTTGTCTACATATTGTCTGTGGCTGCTTTCCTGCTACAATGGTAGAATTGAGTATAGAAGCTGCAATAAAGATTGTATGGCCTGTGAAGCCTAAAATATTGACTATCTTGACTCTTTACAGAGATGTGCCAAATCTTGTTTTAGATTACTCCTGTCCTAATTTGTATTCCAAGAGTTATGATAAATGTATACAGTGTCAACCAAGTATAAGCTAAGTAATAATAGGAAATGCTTAATATTTTCATTTAAGATCTTGTAAGTATGCTTGAGGAAATTCTGTGTGAAGAAATGTTTTCTTACCTTCCGGAATGAATTTCCAGTGCCCCACACTTGTGTTGCTTATTCTCCGTCACTATGGAAGCATCACAGGTACAACAGAAAAGGGTCTATGACCCACCATGCTATTTGAATCTCAAAGCTGAAGCTTCACTATTAGAGAAAACTTTGTTGTGAAATTTAAATAAGCAGTTTACCTAAAACCATTAAAACAACAAAAGCTAAAAACAAGGAGGAAGGAAAATAAAGAACCTGTTGCTTTCTCATCAAGCTCTGAGACCTAGGGAGAATACCAACATTTATTTTTATAAAAATGCAACTTCTCTTCTGAACAAAGGGATGGATAAACATCTTCAGCTTGCCTGTGAATGTTCCTAATGTAGAAACTGGCTCCATGAAAATCTCTCCACCGTTTTCTATCCTTGAATCAACTTTAATATAGTAACAACCAAAGGGTAAGTTGTGCTACCTATGATATCTGAGAGGCCAAATCTTTCCTCTGTCAGCAGAGTTATTTTAGACCCAAGGAAACGCATGCTGAATGCCCTTCTCCTGTAGCCAAACAGCAGTTTTCATAGCACTAAGTTACTGAAAGGACATCTGAGCAGGCAGGGCTCGGAATATAACCTGTGGGCACTGTAAAAACTCCTTGGGGACACTAAAGCCACTGACAGCTTTTCACTCATTCATTCATGTATTAATACTTATCAGGTAAATAATTATCAACACAAGCTATGTTGAGATCTATGGGAGTTATAAGTTTAAATAATGTTATTTTATTTACTCTGTAGTAATAATCCACAAAATAGGCACATTCTCTCCCTCCTTTCTTTCCTCCCTTCCTCCCTTCCTCCCTTCTTCCCTTCTTCCCTTCTCCCTCCCTCTTCTACTCCTCCTCCCTCTTCTTCTCTTCCTCCTTGTTTTTCTTTTTTGTTTTTGGATAAGGTAGTCACAAAACTGATCATCTATATGGTATGGACCATAATAGCTATAGGATTTCAATAGCTTACCATCTATTATCAAGGTAAGCACAGGCGCGTTTGAACCTAGAAGAGAAATGCCAGACCCCGGCCAGGAGGGTCAGAATGGCTTCCTGAAAAGATAATACCTGGGATGAAACCTGAAGCTTCACTTAGAGTTTTTTCCATGAAGAATACAAAACAAGACTATAATCCTTAGTGAAGAACGCCCTGCAGATGAAGACTAAGGGGTGAGCAAACCCTGATTATCTGGGCATCCACACGGAGGTGAATATGGCTGGAGGACAAGATGTAAGGTGGGTCTGGTACTGAGGAAAGTGGCTAGAGGAGAGTAGGAACTGTCTTATCAGTGGGTTTGTGTATCATGCCAGGGAGCATGAACTTTCACCTGAGGGTAAGGGAATGCATAATCAGGATAGGATTTTAGAAAGATCATTAAGAACCAGGTGGAAGATACATTTGAGTGGAATAGAATAGAATTGGTTGTTAGAAGGCCAGTTGCTGTAATCCAGACAAGAGAAGCAAAGAAGGATAAACTCTTATTGGAAACTGGACTCTCTTCTCTCTCTTCTTTTGATCACTGAACCTTCTCTTGGCATGTATCTACTAATTGCATTCTTATTTGTAGATCTACCTGGCTGTTTCTCCCACTGGCTCATGGATTTTGCAGAGGAGGGATTATGCTCATGTTGTCACCGAAGATTTCATGGAACATTAGACACACATAAGACACCGCATCAAGTGGCCTAACAAATACATACTTGAATTACCCTTTCTATCTCAAGAAACTGTGCATTCAATAAGTGGTCCTTGGTAAAGCAACCAATAGGTATCATCCTAGTGAGAGTAGCGTCTATGATTGTCTTGGAGCAACAGGTATTACTATGCCCTGTCACCACCATGCCGTTTCGGAGTCTCTTGCTCTGTAGAAACCCAATATTCACTCTCATAAATTCAAAAATATTAGATTCCTGTTGTTTTGTCTCTTCCAAGCTTCATAAAGTATCTTTCCTTTCAGAGAGTTGCTTATCTTGCACAAACTAAAGCAGGAAGATATTCTTACAATAAAATAGGAGACTAATATCTAGGGCTAGATTTACTTCTATTAAAGTGCTAGTTTTGATAAACTTTTTTTTCTGGAGGCATTGAATCAATCAGTAAATCAGTTTTAGCACTGTATAAGGAAAAGCTTTGATTGTTCACTAGTATTCATAAATCGAATGACCTATCTAGAAAAGAGAAGGTCCCCTGGCCCCAAAGCTGAGAAAGATCAGGGGCATCTTCTTGGATGGTACCCAGGATATTCCTGCTTTGGGGAAGGCTAGAGGAGATGAAATTTATGGTTACTTCTGATTAAACGATTCTGCAGCCCTATTGGTTAGAAGTCAACTATTTGATGTTTTTCTTCCCATTGGTTTTAAATGTTGACCATATAACAGAACCCTTTCCAAGAAGATATATTTAGCAAATGCCAATGCAAGAATGAAGAGAAGTAAAGAGGGAGTCGATCTTTTTTTTTGTATGTATGTATGTATGTATGTATGTATTTATTTATTTATTTTTATTATACTTTAAGTTTTAGGGTACATGGGCACAACATACAGGCTAGTTACATATGTATATATGTGCTATGTATGTGGCACGTATACACCATGGAATACTATGCAGCCATAAAAAGTGATGAGTTCATGTCCTTTGTAGGGGCATGGATGAAGCTGGAAACCATCATTCTCAGCAAACTATCGCAAGGACAAAAAACCAAACACCGCATGTTCTCACTCATAGGTGGGAATTGAACAATGAGAACACATGGACACAGGAAGGGGAACATCACACACCGGGGCCTGTTGTGGGGTGGAGGGAGGGGGGAAGGATAGCATTTGGAGATATACCTAACATTAAATGACGAGTTACTGGGAGTGGATCTTATCTGACCCTCCAGACTCAGAGCTATAGCAGAAACTTAAAGATTCTCACAGAAAAGGCATATTTATCTTTTTTGATATCTTGAGCCACTGTGAATAAATACTTTGGTCCTTTGTGAAATGCATGAAAGACTTCTTTTTGATTTCCAATAGTCCTAAAACAGCATTTCCATTTCCATGGAGCTAAGGATCTGATTTAAAAAAAGAAAAATCCCAGCCTTAGAGCTTCTCTAGTGTGGGCTAATATGTTTGGTTCTGGGGTAGATGTAATTTGTCTTGGGGTTAATGTTTTAACTCTCACCTCATAGGCTATTTCAAAAATTATAAATCAGGATATACCTGACATGAAAAAGTGGAGTTGGGCTGTGAGACAAGAAACTTGGGGTCTAGTTCTAGTACTGTTATGAACCAGCAATGTCTCCTTCAATGAGTCCCTTAATGACACTAGGCCTTGGTCTTCTTAGCTACCTAATGAGGTAGTAAACTAGGCAATTTGGGAGATTTTCCTCATGTGCCTGCATTGTATGACTTGAAACTCAATTCTTTTGTGAAAAAGTTTTGACAAGCATGAAATGCCTTTGTATGAGCCTACTGAGGGAGGCTGGATCTCTAGGATGAGAATTCACAGTTTTGTATTAGCTCTGCCAGATACTCAGTGCCTCATCTTTTGGTCTGCTTTTAAAATTTATCTAGTTAAAGACACATGAGACACATTGCTCTTCTGGGAAATGCAATGGCTCAATATATTAGTAGTATTTTTGTGAGTTGGGCTGCTGAGACCAAGACATAGGTTTTAAAGTCATGGAAACACAGCATTTTTGTTGAATTCCTATATATGAAGGATAAACATTTCTTTCTCTTCAAGTGGTGTTTATGTTATTCACCAGAAACATGATTGATAACACATAAGCTGGGAGGTGATGGTATATTTATGTGAGACCCACACAAAGTAATTCCACATGGAGAAATATCCTATAACACAACCATTAGGGAAGTCTTGACCGAAGTGTTCCTTTTCCTCCAAGGAAAAATATATCTTTTAATAACGGAATAATTCATCTATTTTGATTCTTTAGACTAGATTATGACCTGAAGTTACTGCAATACTACAGGAAATCAAGTTTGATTTTGTAATATAGTCAAATGAGTACTTTGGAGTGCCATGTCTGAGATCAATAAGGAAGCAGTAACTACATTTACTGTCATATGATGATATTGAGGTAAAAACATAATGGTCAAAATTATAAAATCAATTTCATAATTTAATCAGAAATGTTTATTGATACTGTTAAAGTTGAATTCAATAGCTTCTGGTATGTAGTTAATTTCCTACCTGTCAGAAAAATGTATTGAAATGTTCTTTCTTGAAAATGATTGGAGTTAATTCAGTAGAGAAAACAGCAAAGTTTCATGCTAATAGATAGAGAGTTCTTCTCTCTCCAACCCTTGTTGGATGCAAATGCTAGAAGTTTTTTGTTTGGTTCTTTTCAATACTGCAAAACAAATATCTATCAGCCACCCAAGTGGTTGGGACAGTCATCCCCTAAAATATAATTAATTGTCTTTTTGGGATGAAGAAAGTATTTTTAGCTTTATTGTAAAACTGCAAAGATGAATAAGCAACACATGTAGAGAGGTGTGGGATGGCTCAGTAGCTTCTTATTAAATGATAGCTGCTAAAAAAAATGAGAAGAAAGGTTAAGCTCTAAAGACTGGAATTCTTTAATGCTTTTACTTTGCCACTAGCTACTAATTTTGATCTGTAGTCACATTAAGCTGAAAGTGTCTTAATTGAAGCAAAAGTCACTTAAAGGAATATCTGCAAGAATGACTTGTATATTTGAAATAAAGCTTTTGGGGATTATGAGAACCTGTCCAATCCATTCAATTTAAATGAGATAAAAATCAAATTCTGAAAGTTGAGCAGTTCATTCAGAAGCATGAAACATCTTTGTTGTGACAAATACAACTTTGAAATCCTTTATGATACTTTAGAAATGATCCTTATTCAAAACTTAACAGTGGTTCCCCATTGCACGGTGAATGAAGTCAAGTTTCCTTATACAGACATTCAAGGGTTTTCACAATCTGGCCAAACTCCCTTTCTGGCTCATCTGCTTGGCCTTCTATCACACTCTCTACTTTGCTTAAACTTGCATTTGAACTCACCTGCAAATGGTTCCATGCTCTTTTCTTTGTGAGGAATTGTTCTCTACCATATTATTTGCTTAGCACTTTTGGTATCGATTCAGATCTTATTCTGCCTTATATTTGCATATTCTTTTGGTGTCTGTGTCTTGCCTCATCAACTAAACTAAAAAATCCATGAGGGTTGGTACTGCACTCTGTATCCTCCAGAGTGTTAAGCAATGACACACTGCATTGTAGTTGCTCAGAGTATTTGGTCAACTAAATGTTTTGCAAAATTTTTAAGATTAGGGTTTCCAGAGGCAGCATTTGGGAATGCAGCCACATTTAGGCTTTGAGTGTGCTTTAATTCATTGCAATAAATCAGAATGAAGAAATCATTCTTAATTAGAATCATAAAATTTCTGGACAGGATGAAACTGTGGGTCTCACTGGATGAATGAGATAAAGGCCAGGAGAATTCCCAGAGGTATTTAGCATCAGCGTCACCATCAGACTCCTGGTCTCCACTCCTCTTTATACTGCGTCATGATGACTCCTGAGGAGCTAATTCCAATTATCCACCAATGACAGGAAATGGGAGGCAAGTTGCTTTAAAAATGAACAGAATCCTTTGAGTAGAGGTGATGGTCCAGAAGTTTTAAGAATTGATGACAGAAGATACCAAGAAGCTTTATTTGGGTTGCTAGTTATTAATTGACCTTTGGGTATAAAATGTTCTTATTAAAACAAGTGAATCCAGCATTCCAGCAAAGAAAAAAGATAAACTACCTGAAAAAACATATTGACTCTATTGTGAAACACAGAATTAGCTGAATAGGTGTTCTGTCCCTAAGCTTGGGTGGAATCTGTCTTTAAGATTGTTCCCCTTTTCTCTTCAGTTGTGCTGCTCCCTGCTGTCCCTGGACCTTCACCTGCTTCATGGCACTGACATTTCCACTTGTTTTGATTATCCCTATTAATGTCAAATGCTCACGTTAAAGATTCAAATCTAAGTTTCGTTAAGTGTCAACTATGACTGTGCTTACACCAAGAAAAAAAAGGATATATTTAAGCATTAAAAAACCACGTAAGGAAATATAACTGTATATTTAATGCTAGTGTGAATTTGTCTACAGAACCTATGTGTTCCAGCAAAAATGACTATGAAACAAATCCTTTTTTTCCATTAACTCTCTTATATGTTTCTGTAGGGGAAAACATCCAATTATTTGGGTTAACATGACCAAAGGAGAATATGTTGGGCCGTTGATGCATACATGTAATACTATATAAGACATAAAGACTATTATAGCACTTTTCAGATATAAGATCTACCATTCACTAATGCTTATTATGTGTTGAACCTGTGATAAATGCTTTATATATTTCATTTAATCATCACAATAACCTTACATTATCTATATTATGATCCTCACTGAAATAAGCTTAAGAGAATGGTATTTGAAGCCAGAGAAACCTGAGTTAAATTCTCATCTCCTTCATTTACTGGCAGAGAGACCTTAAGTAAACCACTTACTTACCTCTTCTAAACTTCAGTTTTCTCAGTCGTAAAAATGAGAATAATAATAATACACACTTCATGGGACTGTTGTAAGTATTAAAATAAAGAATGCAGGTAGAGTGTTTGCAAAACCCCAAGCATGTTGTAGATGTTCAATAACCGTTAGCATTTTTTCTTTACTATTAATGTAGATAAAAATGCTGAGCCTTGAAGAAGTTAAATAACTTGCTTTGAGCCACACAGCAAGTTAGTGGAAGAACTCAAATTTAAACCCAGGTCTCTCCCAAGTTTCAGTGTCTGGGAAAATATTACAAGGGCCCATGAACTATTGGAGAATGACCAAGGCAGGGTAACTTAGGATGGAAAAGAAAGAAAATATGTGTATAAGACATAACAGGAAGAAAAAGATCACTGACAAGCTGTGACAGAGGGAGAACGCTGATAAATAACCTCAAAGTTTTGAACTTGAATTAATGGGGAAAAAAAGGAAGCTTCTGGTGCCCTTGGACTGGAGCCCAGGAGCCTAAACCTGCTGCTGCTAAAACTGCCAACAAGGTGCTGCCTCAGCTATAACCAGAGCTCTGCATGAGAGCCTGCCCATTCTGGGACTCTAGAGGCTGAAGCTCCCCTGCTGCCACCAGAAACTCTTAGCAACCACAGTGCTGTGGAAATCAGAAGCAAAGAAAACAAAACAAAACAATGCTTCTGTCTTTTGTTCCATTAAAGAATGGAACAAAAGTCTTCAAACAGTTTCTCCAATTGGTAGAAAGTAACAAGAACCTAGCTGGCAAGGGGCCTTGGGAAATGTAGTCTGCAGGCTTCCAGCCCCAGCAATAAAGAGCAGAATAGAGAAGGTCAGGCTGTGGGGCTGAAAAACAAAAGATAAATAAGCAGCATAGGAAGAAACATTACAAGAATTAGAATTTTCAGAAGGTAGAAATGGTTTTAGAGAATATAAGTTGTTTCTGTTTTGGTTAACTTATATCACAAGGAAAGGTAAATGCTTTTGCTCTCAGAAATGCATTAAAAAGAGGATACATTATTTGTTGTAATAGACCTATAAAAGTTAATTAAATTCCATTACATAATCATGTTTTAACATAAAAGGAAAGTTAATTGAAGTAAAACATAATAAGTATAACAAGTAGGTAACATGTACATATCAGCTCCTGCCATATTTCTCCTGTTATCAGGTGCTACTTATGAGAATTACATTTTCATTCATCTATAGAACCTTCAATAATTGAGAAGGAGTCACTTGAATGATGAAGATCCGTAGGTGCATAAACTAATTCTATTCCATTTCCTTTTAATAAGATACAGATAGTATCCTTAGGTAACAGAATACTGATGCTTTGGTGTCAAAAGTTCTCAAGCTACCAGATTTTGTCTAAACTTGGTGGTAAAGCCCTTGACTTTCTTCTTGTACCCAAGAAGAAATTATAGAAAAACTACTGACTACTTTCTGAGTATTTATTTTCCCCTAGATTTAGTCCTTCTCACACTATTTGCTTTCTTCCCCTTTTCTTTGTTCAGTTAAAACAGAAGGCACCTATATCATGAGACCCTTAGACAGTTCTGTAAGCAGATGAGGGATGCTCTTAGGCAATTTTCCACAGGCCAACTCTTCCTTTACCTGCAAACATGAAATCTGTACAGTAAAGTTCAGAATCCACAGCTGAAAGGGCTATCATTTGAAAAAAAAATTTGCCTCTCAAATATTTAAATTGTTTTACATAGAAGGTAATATTTTCTGTTTTCATCAATATTATCTTCATCCTTAGACCAAAAATTTTAATGATACTTCCTCTTTAATTTCTATTGTCTTCCTCAGTAACTATGGGGCAAATGTAGGTAACAGCATATGAACTTCTTAAACTGTATCAATTGTCTAGTTCTTTGCCTACTTGAAAATTTAGATCAAAGTCTTTACTTGCTTTGAAGTCTCTCCTTACTATCCTAACTTTTTGTTGTTGTTGTTAAGACAGGGTCTCACTCTGTTGCTTAGGCTGGAGAACCCAGGAGTTCAAGCTATTCTTCCACCTCAGCCTCCCAAGTAGCTAGGATGACAGGTGCATGTCACCATGCCTGGATAATTAAATACCCTTTTTTTTAAGAGATGTTGGAGTGGGGGGTTCTCACTGTATTGCCCAGGCTGGTCTAGAACTCCTGACCTCAAGTGCTCCACCCACCTTGGCCTTGCAAAGTGCTGGAATTACAGGTGTGAGCCACTGCATCTGGCCCAACTTATAGTAATCTCTGTAGCCTTTTAAAAAGTGGCTTTACAAAAACATCCAAGGCTTCACATCATTTTACTTAGGATTGGACTGAGGAGGGTTTCCTGCACTCAAGTTTTCCAGAGAAGCAGAGGATGGTGGTGACCATGCCCACTAAAATGGCTTTATTAATTTCTTGTTGGCTCTCCATCTACAAAGAAGTTTCCTACTAAACTCCACTATGGCCCTTGGTCCATTGGCTCACATCCTGGTTTTGCGTATTCAAAACCCTCCATGCCCAGTTCCACAAACCCTGGGCAATGGCTAGGCCAGATGAAGTGCCTTCACAGTGACTAGGGCCAATCATTATGGTGCTCAACAATCTCTGGGCTTCCCCTCCTCTTCCTGGGCACCTAGCCCCATCGAACCACAGGGGAGCCATGGGACTGGTTCTGGTCAATGAGGATAAATAGATCCTGGCCTCTAAAATCTGCCACAAGATTCTTTGCTCTCTTATCTTTCTCTTTTCCTGGTCAGATGCAGAGGATTCAGTAGAAGGCTGCAAATCAGAACTGTTTACAAGTTACAGCCTGAATCTCTGAGTGCCCTGGAGCAGAGCTGGCTGAACTATACCAGTAAGAAATGAACAGTGGTTGGATTAGGAACCTGAGGTATCATCATCATCATCGCAGCCAGACTTTGTTTCCTGTCTAATACATACACCTTTAGAATATCCATTTACCAAATTGAAAATCTGAGCCTTAAAGAGATTAAGTAGTTTGATCACAGCTCCATAGCTAGTAAGGGGCAACCAAGGTCTGCATTAGTAGACTTAATTTAACCTCAGAGCTTAGGTTGCTAACCAGTAAACCATTCTCTGATTGCTACCATTGCTCTGGCAACAGAATACTTGGAGATGTTTCAGGTCCATTAGGAAGGTCCATTAGCTGTAGAGCAATGTGAGATGAGATGCACCTGATAGGTATCAGGCAGAGGAGGAGGAAACTGTGTAAGAGACCTCTGGCTATTTTCCCAGTTTTAATAACCTCTATTTGAGGGTATCAACCACATCTTTACGACTTCCACCTGTACCCAGCCTAATAAGATCAAGCCCTGCCTCTCATGCAGCCATGAAACCCAAAATGAGAGTTCCACTGTTGTAGGTGAAAAAAGACCCAGAGCCAGTTCAGTGTACTGGACAGAGTCAAGAAGAGAGGTCAAGGAAGCCAGCCTCCCACTTTAAGAATACACAAATTGGGTCTCATTTTTCCAATGGGCGAGTTTAAGAGCCATGGTCATTTTTTCTATGAGATGAAAGAAACATAAAGAAGAGACAATGCACATTTTTTTCTTTGTTCTTTATAGTATGTGACTTTAAGCATCTGTTTTAAACTGGTTTATGACAGCAAGCAAATGGAAGTGGCCATTGTTTAGATCATAGCCCATTGGTTTTAGATCTGTCGCTTTTGATGCATCAGGGTTTCAGCTTCTGGTTCTGGGTATCTATTTTCCTTTCATGCTCTGGTTCACTTGGTTTTAGCCACTGCTTCAGGGAATGCTTTGCGTTCCTTAGTTTTTCGCTTTTCATTCAACTCTTAGTTTTTCTCAGCCTCTGATTTGTGGAAAAATAGTTCTTCCTCTAAACTGGCTCCATGGTATTCCTCCCACTTCTTTGATCCCTCTCCCGGGAAGAAAATCGCAGTCTTCTTTTCAGGGAATGAGGATTAACACAATGTTTTGGGAAAGACAAGCAATGAGGAGACAATGGAAGATGGTGTAAGGAATTAGAATCTATGCTGCATCCTTTTCCAGGTACCACTAACCTTACAAAACTCTGTGGCCTTAAAACACATTCAGATTTAAGTTCTGCCTTATCTGCCAGAATTTATATCATTTGTCACAGACTTAGAGCAAATGGCTGTACTCTTCGGATTCCATCAGCAATATGGAACGGGGGCTCAGCCAGAGCCTAGGGCCTTTATCCTTGCACTCTAAGTTGAGCTCACTGTTTACTGACAGTGATATTGGAAACTTGATGGGACACCAGATGTTCCAGCAGCCTTTCCTTAATGCAGAGCTTCTATGATCAGAAAGCTGAGTGGCTATATTTGCATATGAAACTGTTTTCTATGGCAGTGCTGGGAATATTAATTGGGGTTGTTCCATGGAGCTCTGGAGACTTGAGTCCTTAGCAATGATTTAGGAAGACCTGTTGCAAATGACTACAGTTAAATTAGCAAGCTGTGCAGCTGATGGCCTTGATGTGGGCTTTAGGAGTGTCTCTCAAGCCAGCTAGAACTTATGGCCCTGAATTGTTCTCAGTGTTTCCAGGATGAATTAAAAGAGAATGAAGACCCCTCCCTAAAGGAACTTTCAGTCTACTTGTGTGAGTAAGACATGCAGACAGGGACATTACAAGGTGACATAGAAACAAGATGAGAGTGTGGGGCAGACAGTTACGTAAGCACTGAAGGGATTGAAGGTGAAGCAATTGTCAACTTGCTGTCTTCCTTTCCACATACTGGAAAATCTCCCACTAGCCTAAAAAAAGAGTCAGCATTATTGGACTACACTTTGCCACTTATTTTCAATTTCCAGATAAGTTAGTCATGATTTTTAAGCTGACAATAAACCAAATGTGATTGCTTCTAATATAATAGTCTATTAAGATGCAAAGATGAAAAGTGAACTATGCCTTATTTGTTAGGGAATTAGAATGGCCCAGTCTACCCCTCAGAATGCCCTGTGCTTATTCCACCCAAGAGTTTTAGACAGTTCCTAAATCTTTAGTGCTTCAAGGCATCTATGCCGCCATTTATTTTATCTTCCTACCTCTATTTACCTACATGTATTCTAATATCTACATTCGTGTTAGGGGTCTTCATTTATGTAGAAGAATCTAAAGTGATTAAAAGAATTATTCAGGCTAAATTTTTATGTTCAACTTGATTAGATTGACAATTAAATACCAGGCAGTGTGAAAATACCAGTTCCAATGAATTATCTGTCTATATATAATTTTGCCATAATTTCAGAATTTGTTTCATTCAGGCATGAATGCTATACAAATACTCAAGGAATACATGGATGATAAGCAAAATATAGATGCAGACATGAAGTACAGTGCAAAAACACTACTCAAGCTCTGCAACAATGAGAGATTCTTTTGAAGGATTTTAGACAATGTGGGGACGGTTACCAAAGCCACAGGAATGCCAGGCCTAAAGCACTGGCTACAGAATCTAAGTTTAAAGAGATGATGATGGATTATCCAATTCTTTCATGAGACCTTACTCAGAATCCCGTGGTGAATGAAGCCCTGGTCAAGACATTTTTCACAAGGTTGCAGTAGTAACTGAGAATGAGCAAAGAGAGGGAATAAAGTTGAAACTAGCGCTAAAGAGAATGAACTATGAAGATGAGTTCAGTTCCTTAATCTTTTAAAGATATTTTCCAGGTGGTTCGACTGAGCTGTGTAACATTTCCAAACATGTAGATAAATCTCCTCATCTATCATGATGTCACCAATGACCCTAAAAATCTGCACTCCATGGTTCATCATGAAAACATTTCACGGATGCTTTATTATTTTCTGTGAGGAGGGGAAACTCAGGTTTTTTGGAATTTGGGGCTTGCTCCTTATGGGCTCAGGCTGAAGTGCAAAGCGTGTTTGGATTCAACCTTCATCTTGAGGATGTTTTGAGTATAATAAAACTACAAGGCCCTTTATTAAATTTAAAGTCATGGGTTGCATGTTGAGCGGCCTGCATTCCATCCCATTGTTTAAATTCATCAAATAGTCACTCTGGAATTATTTCTAACAACTGGGATGACTTCATTTGTGTTTGTTTTCCCTTTCTATTAATCCATGACAAACTGTGAAATTTGCCATTTTTACCATAACCAGGCCATGAAATTTGTCATCTCTCTCCGTAATTTACATGGAGCCTTGGCTATAGATATATTTCAGGCAGGATGATTGCTTTCTGTCTGAGGCAGAGGACAGAACAAAGGAGGGATATACACAGAATAGAACACAAACAAATTCAGAACAGACATCAGGAAGGGCTTTTTTTTCTTTTCCTTTAATACTGTAAAGTCTGCTAAAATGTGCTGACTGCCTCCCTGAGAAAAGGTTGATGGGACAAACTAAGGTACTATTTTCAAGCCAAGAAACAATGAAATGACACTCCAGGGATAGGGGAGTACTTAAAAGTGGAGACGTCTTGACAAACTGGAGTGAGTTAGAGGGATGTGGTCAGAAATCGTGTGAGTAATGTAGTTGGGAGGCATTTGAAAGTGGAATTTCAGAGGCAAGCCCTCATAACAGTACAAGAGCCTTAAAGCTTGTTCACAAGCTATTGTTCATGGGATGGTAAATTTTTTCTTCTCTTTCTATTCTCTCTTCTCCAAAATTGAATATCAATTAAGTTCTTCCATGTCAGATGCATGAAAAGTTCTCTGAACAATTTGTGCTGAAAATTAGACTAGATGTTTTGCAAGAAAGATCTTGTATCTGTTTCTAATGATCTTCTTTTTGGTTTGGAGAAAGGAAGGAAAAAACAGAATTTCACTGTCCATTTGCCTAATTTGCAAACTACAACATCTTCTTTGAACTGTGGACTCTGACAAGCTGTGTTATTAAAACTGTAGCAATGGCTAACTGAGCACTAGAAAGGAAGGTCACTAAGCCAAGCAGACAAGCTATTTCTCCATGGTGGGTATGGCTTTGTTGTTGTAAGTTTACTCTGAAAGAGAAATGAGGCTATTTCAACATACTATTGGAAGTTCTGGCCAGGGCAATGAGGCAAGAGAAAGAAAGTGTATTCAAATAGAAGAGAGGAAGTCAAATTGTCTCTGTTTGCAGATGACATGATTTTATATTTAGAAAACCCCATCATGTCAGACTCAAAACTCCTTAAACTGATAAGCAACTTCAGCAAAGTCTCAGGATACAAAATCAGTGTGCAAAAATCACAAACATTCCTTCACACCAACAATAGGCAAGCAGAGAGCCAAATCATGAATGAACTCCCATTCACAATTGCTACAAAGAGAATAAAATACCTAGGAATACAGCTAACAAGGGATGTGAAAGACCTCTTCAAGGAGAACTACAAACCACTGCTCAAGGAAATAAGAGAGGACACAGGCAAATGGAACAACATTCCATCCTCATGGATAGGAAGAATCGATATTGTGAAAATGGCCATACTGCCCAAAGTAATTTATAGATTTCATGCTATTCCCATCAAACTACCATTGACATTCTTCACAGAATTAGGAAAAAAATCTTAAATTTCATATGGAATCAAAGAAGACCCCATATATCCAAGACAAGCCTAAGGAAAAGGAACAAAGCTGGAGGCATCACACTACCTGACTTCAAACTATGCTACAAGGCTACAGTAACCCAAACAGCAAGGTACTGTTACCAAAACAGACATAAAGACCAATGGAGCAGAACAGAGACCTTAGAAATAACACCACACATCTACAACCATCTGATCTTTGACAAATCTGATTTAAAAAAAAGCAATGGGGAAAGGATCTCCTATTCAGTAAATTGTGCTGGGAAAACTGGCTAGCCATATGCAGAAAACTGAAACTGGACGCCTTCCTTACACTTTATACAAAAATTAATTCCAGATGGATTAAAGACTTAAACGTAAAACCCCAAACCATAAAAACCCTAGAAGAAAACATAGGCAATACCCATCAGGACATAAGCATGGGCAAAGATCTCATGACAAAAACACCAAAAGCAATTGCAACAAAAGCCAAAATTGACAAATGGGGTCTAATTAGAGAGCTTCTGCACAGCAAAAGAAAGTATCATCAGAGTGACCAGGCAACCCACAGAATGGGAGAAATTTTTTGCAATGTATGCATCTGACAAAGGTCTAATATCCAGAATTTACAAGGAGCGTAAACATATTTACAAGAAAAAAAACAACCCTATCAAAAAGTGGGAAAAGGATATGAACAGACACTTCTCAAAAGAAGACATTTACATGGCCAACAAACATATGAAAAAAAGCTCAACATCACTGATCATCAGAGAAATGCAAATCAAAACCACAATGAGATACCATCTCACGCCAGTCAGAATGGTGATTAAGTCAGGAAACAATAGATGCTGGTAAGGCTGTGGAAAAATAGGAACATTTTTACACTATTGGTGGGAATGTAAATTAGTTCAACCATTTTGGAAGACAGTATGGCAATACCTCAAGGATTTAGAACTAGACATACCATTTGACTCAGCAATCCCATTACTGGGTATGTAACCAAAGGAAAATAAATCATTCTACACTAAAGACACATGCACACGTATGTTTGTTGCAGCACTATTTACAATAGCAAAGACATGGAACCAACCCATATGCCCATCAATGATAGACTAGATAAAGAAAATGTGGTACATATACACCATGGAATACTATGCAGCCATAAAAAGGAATGAGATCATGTCCTTTGCAGGGACATGGATGAAGCTGGAAGCCATCATCCTCAGCCAACTAACACAGGCACAGAAAACCAAACACTGTATGTTCTCACTCATAAGTGGGAGTTGAACATTGAGAACACATGGACACAGAGAGGGAAACAACACACACCAGGGCCTGCTGTGGGTGACGGTTGAGGGGAGGGAACTTAGAGAACAGGTCAATAGGTGCAGCAAACTACCATGGGAGACATATACCTATGTAACAAACCTGCACGTTGCACATGTATCCCATTTTTTTAAGAAGAAATAAAGGGCTGGGCAGCGTGGCTCATGCCTGTAATCCCAGCACTTTGGGAGGCCGAGGGGGGTGGATCACGAGGTCAGGAGATCGAGACCACCCTGGCTAACATGGTGAAACCCCGTCTCTACTAAAAATACAAAAAATTAGCCAGGCGTGGTGGTGGGCGCCTGTAGTCCCAGCTACTCGGGAGGCTGAGGCAGGAGAATGGCATGAACCCAGGAGGCAGAGCTTTCAGTGAGCTGAGATCACGCCACTGCACTCCAGCCTGGGCGACAGAGCGAGACTCTGTCTCAAAAAAAAAAAAAAAGGAATAAAGAAAAAAAATAAAATAATTATCTTTATTAATTTATCATGTTTCCATGTAACATTATAATCTCTTCTAAAGTATGATTTTTGATAGCTTTATCTTATCCTATTAAGTAAATGAATTAATATTTCCTTTATATTACCTTGTGACTAAACTGTTCTTTTTGGTTGCATCTATTTTTTTATGACTATAAATGCTGTAATGATTATCTTTGTGTATAAATCTTTGTATGCATTTCTGACTATTTCCTAGGATATATTCCTAAGTAACCAATTATTAGGTCAAAGCATACAGTTATTTTATAAGACACATTTTTGCCAAATTGCATTCCAGTATGGTTGTACCAATTTGCATTAATAACAGCTTGTTGATTTCATCCTCCTCAGCATTGAATATCTCCATTTTAAGGAATTCTTACTTTGGTAATTTTATAAACCAAAAAAATCATATGTTGCCTTATACTGCACTTTTGTGATTGTGCATTTGCAATTACACTCTGGTAAAGCTGAACTTTCAATATTTCCTTTAATGTAAATCACCGTCTATCCATTTATCTTTTATGGTATTGTGTCAGCCAAGAGGAAACAGCTTCTAGACTGTTGACTACAGAAATGGCATTGACTGAGGGTTCCAACTGCAGCACTTTGAAATCCACTGCCCTATTTATGCCCAAGCCACGCCACCAATGCACTGCCCCTCACCAAAGACTGAGGGTAGTGGGGATACTGAAGCAGACCCATTCTTAGAAGATAGAACACTTTTGTCAGCTGACTTTGTCTCAAGGATTTCTCTCTGACTTTCTGACACCTCTTAGACTGTAAGACAGTCTGCACCCTCTACCAGCAGCTCCGGTGGCTCTCACAGTCTGCTTGTCTTCCTTCTTACTTCCTTTTATGTGGGCATTTCCCCTAAGGTTATGAGTTGAATTATGTTCCCTCAAAATTCATATATTGAAATCCTACCCCAGTACCTCAGAATGTATCCTTATTTGAAAATCAGGTTGTTGCAGATGCAATTAGTTGAAATGAGGTCATACTGCAGTAGGATGGTCCCTTAATCCAAGGATGATAGATGTCCGCATATATAGTCAAGAACACCAGGTGAAGAGACCGATGCTTACAAAGAAAAGACAAAGTGAGGACACAGGAAGAACACCATATACAAGCCAATGAATTACCACCAGAAGCCAGAGGAAGGCATGGAACAGATTCTCCCTCATGCCCAGGAGGCACCAACTTGGCTAACACCTTGATTTCCAACTGCTAGCCTCCACATCTGTGAGACAATAAATTTCTGTCATTTAAGTCACCTAGCTGTGGTATTTTGTTATGGGAGCCCTAATATGCCTACTAAAATTCTTGTACTTTTAATTCTGTCTTATTGTTTGCTTCTTAGACACCTGGAATAAGACAAGCTGTATGTGATTTTTTAATATATTGAATACTAAATCTCTGTCATATTCTTGATAATATTATTCTATTTTATATGCATTTTAATTTAGTTTATATTATTTTAAATTGACAAGTAATATAAATTTTTATGTGCTTAAATAATCAATATTCTCATGGGCTTTTTCACTTTCTTTCTTTTTGTAAGTCTTTCCCTCACTAGAAAGATGACAAATGGTCATTCTCCTCTTCTTCCTTCCCCCGCTTTCCCCACTTTTTTTCCTAGTTTTTAAGGCTTAGACTTTACATTTAGCTCTTAAGTACACTGAGAACTTAGTTTGCGCATGTGGTGAAATATAAAGCCTATGGTATTGTTCCAGTCTTTTCTCACTTCTATTTTCTTTCAAAATGTATTTAACTATTCTTCCATATATATTCTTTCATATAAACTTTTGAAACTTTTTCTTCCATGCTAACGGACAGAAAAAATGCTATTGGAAATTTTATTAAATATACTTTAAACAAACAAGTCTATTTGTCAGTAATTAATATGATTACATTTAGTTTTGCCACCTAAGAACATTATGTCTCCAATTATCCAATAATTAGTTTATATTTTTCAGGAGCAATTTGAAGTTTTCTTTATATAGGTCTCTTGCATATCCTGCTAAAATTATTGTAAAGTATTTTATGGATTTAGCTTTTATAAATGTCATATTTTTTCATGATATTTTCTAACTAGTATAAAGAAGAGTCATTGATTTCCACATGGTCATCTCCTAGTCAACCACTTTTACTAAAATTTCTTATTAATTTCTATTTTAGAGCTTTAGCACATTTTTTGGAATATTCTCTGTGGTGGTAAATCTCACAGTAACATTTTCTATAAGAGCTGGAAGAATCTAAAGGTCATCCTACCCTCTCATTTTATAGATGATACATCAGGGAGCCTCAGAACCATGCTCTAAACATTATGAAAGGAAGACCCTGGAAAGGCCCTACACCATCTTCCTGGAGATTCTTAAACCAAAGATCAGACAGCTCAATATATAGAAATGATTTAACATTTCTGAATAATTATAGCAATAAAATAATAGCCACCATTTTATCAAGGTCTAGACACTCTGCTTGGTGTTTTACCTGGACTGTCTCATTTTATTCTTAAAACAATCATTTAAAATGCAGTTGTTCAAGGTCACTGGCAAGGTTGCTGGCAAGAAGATGAATGTCTGTTCTCTTCTCACTCCACCAGGTGGTTCCTCCATCCAGTCCTCTTTAGGATCAGAAGAGATTCACCAAGTGACTTCTTAGAGTTCTGTGTTATCCTTCGTTAACATGATCCTTTGTCTATTATTAATGATTGATAGAGTTGATCTAGGCTTTTGTTGCAGAGAATAGATTCCTCATCCCCACGCCTACACAAAATACAAAATAATTAAAAAAAAAAAAAACCTGACAGCTATTTAAAAGGTTCTATTAGCTAGGTCTGAATGCCTAGTAAAAAAGGATTGAATTGCTAAGTATATTTTGATCCTCAACTATCTGCCCTTTTGGAGACTTTAAAAAATTATCAAAATGTTTTCTACCTAGAAAGAGTTAGCATCTGGAGTTACTGAACCCCCATGATGGATGGGACTTGGATATCATCTCATCCAATGTGTTATTTGATGCACACCCCTAAAGAGTGCTTGGCCAGTCTCTTTGGGACACCTTTCTAATTAATAGAAGTTCCTTCTTTCTGAAGTCGGCCTCCTGTCTTCTACTCGTCTCTACCAAGTTCCTTTTGTAGTCACATGGGATATGTTACATTTCTTTAAATCTTTGAAGACAACTACCATATTTTGCACCCATCTTTCTCAGCAACATCTCTTCTTTTCTCTGGTCCTCAATTTCTTCAAGCATTTTTCATGTCATGTGAGCTCCTCCTCCTTCCTAAACTCCATCCTCTGAATACTGTTCTCTTTGTTAATATCCTTCTTAAAATGTAGGGTGTAGTACTGAACGGAGGGGTTAGGATGTAGTACAAATAGTGTACAGGAGAGGATGTATTGTGCTTTTTTTTGATCTGGATTATTAAATTTGTATCAATATAGTTAATCTTATTAGCTTTTTAAGCAATTGCACTATATAGTTAATAGGCTCCATTCCCATGCAACTTTTGATTCTCTTCCCTGCTCTCAATTTTGCTACTCCACCAATCTTTTCCATCTTAGTAAATGGCCCCATGATTCATCCAGTTGCTTTGGCTGACATTTGGATACCATACTTGACTCCTTCTCATTAAGCAATCCATTGTTATGTCCCATCTACTCATCTTTCAAATGGTATCACCACCTCCACAACTATCACCCCAGTCCAAGTCACTGCCATCTCTCTCCTGGGCAGATGGAATTGCCTCTTCACTTGTCTCAGAATTTCCTCTCTGGAATCTTATTTAGTATGTTTTCCAACAGAAGACAGAGCAATTTTCTTAAATTGCAAATCAGATTATGACACTTCCTTACTCAAAAATTTTAGGATCCTCCAATTCACCCTGACAAAATCCAGGCTTCTGTACTGTGGCCCACAAACCCCTCCATGATCTGGCCCCTTCCTACCTCTCCCATGTTACTGGGTCTTTTTTTTTTTAAATAAATTATTGTATATATCTATGGTATACAACACAATGTATGGGATATTTATAGATAGTAAAAATGTGACTCAAGTGAAGCCAATTAATATAACCATCATCTTTCCTTCTGTTTCTTGAACACATTAACCTTCTCCCTTACTTGAGGCTCTTGTACCTACTGTCTCCTATGCCAGGAATGTTCTCTCAGTCCTTGCTTGCTTGGCTATTCCCTCAATTAATTTATGCTCAAATATCACCTCCTTAAAAAGTCCATCTTTGATAATTCTATCTAAAACACAATCCCTCATCTTTCCATAGTCACATTCTGTTTCCTCACTCTGCTTTATTTTTCCTCCTGGAACTTACCACTAGCTGCCACTATATGTTTATTTGTTCATTTGTTTAATTTCTGTCTCTACCTCTAGAATGTCAGCTCCATCAGAGTAGGAATTTTATCTGTCTTGTTTTTTGCATAGAGGTGCCTAAAACAATTCCAGATATATACTATGTACTTACAGACACTAGTAGGCTCCTGACACATATTTGTTAATGAATGAATTATTAAATAATGGACGGTATTGAGTTTGTAGCCAGACAAACTGTGTAGTCTTCTTGTTGCTAAGATATCCTCTATGCGTTGTGGTTTTCTAAAGAGTTTGGTAATTTTATCTTGAGTGCATAATTTCTTCTGAGCTACAGGATCAAATTCATTCTTCCTGGCTTCCTAGACTTATATTTCCATTTCTCAACTTAGGCACTACTTTCTCCTACATAATCTTGTTTGTACTGTCCTTTCCAGAATGAATATCTTTCTGTTTGAAAGACAATGTGAAATCTGGGACATTCTACTTAATTCTAAAAATTAACAGTTAATCAACTCAGTAGGCTTTGTCTTCCTTCCCACTCTTGTTTTAAAATAACAAATTAAGAAAAAATTGCTATCCTTCTAAGCATTTTCCCTAAGTTTCAACTCTTTCTGAGCCCATTTCACTTAGGAAAACAAGTCTAATATATGTGAAACAATGAGAGAAGAGTGTAAGATGTTTTGCTAATAGGTGATATGGCACATAGACTTTAAAGCTTTCAGAAAATGGAATGATCTCAGAGAGTGCAGAATTAAGAAGAGTTTTGTGTAGGATGCTTCTCAAGTTTTAAACAAGCTGGCACATTTTATAGAGTAAAGTAATGGCTTTTTAGGAAGAGTATAATATTATACACAGTTTTTAAGAATTAAGCAGAGCTAGGTGCTGGTAATTTCGTCAGATTGTATGTCTTAACTGTGCATGACTTTTATCAGCAGCCAAAAAGACATAAAGGTCTATGTGAAGTCAAGGATAGTGTGGCAGAGTGTTCAAACAAAGTTTTCAGGTCAGCAGACAGCCTTGGATGTACTTTGAGAGGGTGAGGTCAATAACATCACAGCAGCAAGCATAAGCTAACCATCTTGAGAGATTAATGATTTGCTGTTCTCCTAGCCCAGAGACTCAGTGACAATTTTCCCCAAATAACTTCACGTTTAAAGAGTAGAAACAATAAGTGTGTGTTTGTGCTCAGGCATGTATATGTGTGCTTGTGAATATGTGCATACTATGAACATACATGTATGTTTGTACCATAAGGGAAGAGGCTTGCTCTTTTATTACCAAGGAATCCATTTTTTTTCTCTCTTGTTTTATACATCAGTGAGGCCTGTCTAGCTTTCAAAGGCCCTGCGAAGTTCATTATAGTGGCATTAAACAGTAGAGAAAAAAGTAAGATTTTGCAGTTGAAGCATTTGAATGAGATGACCCTTTAGATCTAGTGATATATTGATTCAGAGCACAGGAAGAAACTTAAGAAGACCATCTGTGGTAGGAAAGGGGTCTGCTGGACACCTTTGAAGGATTCTTTTTTTTTCATAGTGACAGTCCAACCCATTGGTATAGTTGGCTGATAGGTGATAAACATTATGAAACATGAAAATTATACTACATGGCTAAGTTTTGCTTTTTCAACAACTGTGCTGTTGGGCTGACGTAACTCATTTCCTGTTTCCATTACTGTTGTTAGTCCCAATTCCTCCCACATCTGCACCCAGATATATCTTATTCTGCAGCCTGTCTGCCCATGTGGGCTCTGTGGTGACCTCATTCTTGAGAAGGGGACTGTGAGCTGTGCTCAAGATGGACAGCCCCTGACAAATGGGTGTTTATGCCCTGAGTGCACAGCTGGGGACTGCTGCAGCCATCCTGGGCTCACTGTACTGTGGTGGGGCTTTACAAAAGGTTTCCAGCATATGTTTGTCTGGATATTTTCAACACTCCCACACAGCTCTGTTTTAAATATTTAACCTTATATGAGGATGTCTGAGGCTTCCTGAAGTTATTCCTGTGATTTATAAAAGAGAAGAAATCTGATCATATGAATAGCAATAGAATGATCAAAAAACCAAATGGTAATCCACTCATTTGCTGTCTTTTTTTGTTTTGGGACTTTGTACATAGAGAACTTAGATCTCAGCTGTTGCCCCACTTGCCATTCAATCTGTCAATATGTCTTTATGGAGCCTAATACATACTAAGCACAAAGGTAAATACAGAAAAGTGAGTCTTAGAAACCCTGCTTTCTGGTGTACAGCCTAATTGGAAAATACTGTCGAATACTATGGAGTGGCATTACATAAGACTAACAGAAAACAGTTTTTTGAGTGTTTACTATGTGCCAAGGCCTTGTGTTGTCTTTAAGTGTATCATGTCATTTACATTCTGTCATAACAATCCTATTAGGTAGGTGGTGTTTTTCTCCCCATTACTTTGATAAGAAACCTGAAGTTAGTGGGACTGAGGAACCTAGCAAAACCACTCTTCCAGGAGAGCCAGGATTCACACCTAGTTCCTTCTGAGTTCCCAGCTGGATGTGGCTCTGGAAGTCAACGTGGTAATCACATGCTGCAGCATGCCAGTAGTGCTGGTCTCTGTAGTGCACAAAGTCAATACTGTTGGAGTGAAGAAGAAAAGGCCTGAGAGCATTAGAATCTTCAGTGGTGTTCTCCCACTCAACACATGGAAGTGGGACTTGGGCCTTCATCTGGGTTATTCAAAGTGACCCCACATCAAAAGCACCTCACACTCACCCAAGGTTAAATTCCTCAACTGTTCTTTTTAATTCAACATAATCATATTAGCACAAGTTAATATATAAAAACATGGAGGCTTGGGTTTTTGTCATTGTTGTTGTTTTTAACCTTATTCCTGCCACCAAACCTCTTTTAGATCATGTGGATAATTACTTGACTTCAGTTTATGAGTTAACTCCATGTAGGAAATAAAGACTCTATGAGTAACTCCACTTTCTTTGTTATCTTTTGTAATTTCTTCTTAATTATTATAGTATAGTGGTTAAGAGGAATGGCTTTGGAGTCATACTGTCTATATTTGAATCCTAGCTCCTACACTTACTGGTGGTAGGTGTACCCTCTCTGTGCCTCAGTTTCCTTATCTGTACCTACCTTATTGGGTTATTGAGAGGATTAGTAAAATATATAAAATCTATGAAAAGTGGCTGGTGCAAACTAAGTACTTAATGTATGCTGACACTTCAGTCAATTATTGATGATGGGATGATTAGATATATCCTTTACCCAGTGACTATTTTCCCCAGCATATAGATATTCTCTAAATATTTGTTGAGGCCAGGCCTCAAAGTGTTTGTAATCCCAGCACTTTGGGAGGCCAAAGCGGGTGGATCATGAAGTCAGGAGTTCAAGAGCCAGCCTGGCTAACATGTTGAAATGCCGACTCTACTAAAAATATAAAAAGTACCTGGGCACAGTGGCAGGCACCTGTAATCCCAGCTACTAGGGAGGCTGAGGCAGGAGAATGGCTTGAACCTGAGAGGTGGAGGTTGCAGTGAGCCGAGATCACACCACTGTACCCCAGAGTGGGACACAGAGGGAGACTCTGTCTCAAGAAAAAAAAAATTGTTGAATAAGAGACACAAAGATTCCATTCACTATGTGAGTTGAGTCTTTGATGCTAAGGGTGATAATCATAACATGTGTCTGAGTTCTGAGGATTCTTTCTATTACAGATTTATACAATGTCAGAACTGCAAGAGGTCCATAGCAGTCTCTGGGTTTAGCCCTTCTGGGCTCACAGATAAGCAAATAGAGGCCAGAGATTCACAGCACCCCAGTGAGGAAGCCTGTGCAGGATTTTTATCCCCATCTGAGAGAAACTTGTAGAAGGGATCCTCAGACTTGTAATATCACAAGGCACCTTCAATTCTCAAAGCACACTCAAAGAACAACCCATCTTGATTCTCTTTAGCTTAGAAGTAAGACTGGTCATACATCATTCCTTGGGGTTGTTGATGATTACCTGTGAAACCAACTGGGGTTGCCACACTGCCTAGTTCCAGAGGCCATAATTCCCTTAGTCATCGTCATCTATAAGAATTGTACCCTTGGGATTCTGTGTGCACAGTATAACTCTGGCTCTCATAAATCAACCAATACAATGTAGATCATCAAAGCTGGGAACTGTGACAATGGATGATACTCAAATCTTTTTATTGGTTACAATATGACAGCAGGTATAGCCACTCTGTGACTTAAGTGTAGTTCCTATTTGTTTTTTAATATTTTAATAAATGGGCATTTATTTAGCAAATATTTACTGAGGACCATGATCCAGGAACTAGCCCGGAAACTATGGATGCCCTCCTGGAGCTTACATTATTCTGGAGATGCATAAACAGATCAGAAACAATGAGTTTGCTTGACAGAAACAACTAATTTGAATTACGTGATGCAAACAACTAGTTGAGTGGCCAATTAATTTTCTCAACAATACCTTTGTGTGTGTCATGAGAGAGGGCACAATGTAGGTAGAACTTACACCAGGGCATATACCACGCCAGGAATCTATTTTTTTTTCATAGCTACTTGGCTTCATTTTTCTTCTGAGGATGAAGGTCAGTATTATTCTGTCTTGATATGATGAGGCAGTCAACAGAATAATTCGAGGTCTTGGGTGAAAGAAATTTGTATGTAAAATTTGAGATTGCCAAACAATATCTTAGATATCAGCAGTGCCTCTATAAATGCTCAAAATTCTCAATTTTATGCAATATGTAACACTGAGTGATTAAGTCAGATTAAATCATATCGAAGACTATAATATTTTTATTGTAGAACTCATTTGCGTTCCTCACTCAAAACTTCCCTCATCTGTTCATCACACTCAGTAAATTTGTAGCCTTTGCTCCACAAATGCATTTTAATAAACAGAAACATTTTCTTTTTCCTGAAAGTGAGTTACTTATCTCTTTATTTTTCCAAGAGGAAATTCAAAAGAAAAGTTTGGACTATATCTATGGTACCATTTTCATAGTTCTGTCGACCAGGACTTGAAAAAAAAAAAAGGTACATTTGAATCCATGTGAACATTTTGACTGTTAAACTTCAACTATGTCTTGGTGGATTAAGATTTCAGGAAAAAATACATGCCCAAGGTGACAATTTGTAGACCAAGCTTCACCCCAGAGCCATCTAAGCTGTCAGAGATATTAAAGCTCATTAACAGGCTTCTTGTAAGAAACACTCACGAATTATTACTCAGTCATGTGAGCCTCTCAACCACAGTCTCACACTTCACAGTTCTTAGGAAAATCTTCTCATTGATGTTGGAGTGTTGCACTCAAGCTGAGAGCCTGAGGCCTTTAATTGAAAGGCAAACATATTGGTTTTATATCTTGTCCTTTCTGGAGGGTGTAGTTTTTTGTTTGTTTTGTTTTGATTTTTTTTAAAGTGACAGTAGTGAGAAAGTGGAAGGGAGGAAATCCACTCACCTGTGACTATATTAAACCACCCACCAGCTGTTAATAATATAGCACATTATTCCATCCTATAAGAAGTCTTTAATATATGAAAGGAAAGTCCTTGCTGGGGGATTAACAAGCAGAACGGGGTGAAATGCAACACTTGCTTTTGATGGTGTCAGAGTTATCTTTTGCAAGCTATTGATGCTATTTTCTACTGTTTTCTTAAAGATTAGCCTTAGGGAATATAAATAATTAGGCATAAAATCTCTGGCATGATATTTAATCCATCACGTGTCGGTTTTCAGTGGCAGGAAGGGCCGCAGTCAGCTGTGGGGAGAGCAGATCTGGCTGAACTGCCCTCTTCACCTGCTGGGTGGGCGTGTTCTCAGGAGGATCAGAATAGTCCTGAACAAGCTGTATCCTTGAGCAATCTGGTCACATTGCTGATGTTTCTGTGTTTGTTTGTAGTATGGCCTGAAGGTCTTCTTTGCAGGCAAACTGAATCCTTATAAAGGAGTAAGGGCAAACCAGTGAAACATCAGAGGGTTGCCTCTTTGGGAAAAATTGGGGGATTATGTAACTCTCATAGTTCCAGGAAGAATGGAGAGGAATGATGAAATTAGTGTAGGCTGGTGAAATTGCCTGTGAACCAGGCCAGTATTTGACATTCCAGTTCATGAGTGTGTTGGTCAAGGTTCTGCAGAGAAACAGAACCAATAGGACATATATAAATATATAGAGAGATGTAAAGGTTGGTCTCATGTAATCATGTGAAGCTAGTGAGTCCACAGTCTGCAGGGTGGGCTGGCAGGCTGGGAACCCAGAGAGGAACTGATGTTGCAGCTCAGGTCCAAAGGCCAACTTCTGGCAGAATTCCTTCTTTCTCAAGGGAGGTCAGTCTTTGTTCTATTCAGATCTTCAACTGATTGGAGGAGGGCCACTCACATTATCTGTGAGTGGCAATCTGCTTTACTGAAAGTCCACTGGTTTAAATGTTAATTTCATCAGAAGAACACCCTCACAGAGATATCCAGAGTATCTCTGTTTGACCAAATATCTGGGCCCTGTGGCCCACATAAGTTGACATATGAAATTAACCATTATAGCCGGTTACTTGTCAACTAGACTAAATATTGTATATTTGCATCATGTCAAATTCCAAAGTATTTTGGAAAGACAGGCCAAGAAAAGACTACGGTGAATATATGTCAGAATCTTTAAGATAGTATGTAAAAACCTAGTGGATAAAAAGTAGGATAATACATATTGAATATTGCTTATCCAAAATGCTTGGGACCAGAAGTATTTCAAATTTTGGATATTTTTAGATATTGG
Source organism: Homo sapiens (assembly GCF_000001405.40). Lineage (NCBI taxonomy): Eukaryota > Metazoa > Chordata > Mammalia > Primates > Hominidae > Homo > Homo sapiens. The sequence continues at coordinate 67,611,925 of NC_000002.12, read as the reverse complement.
AATATTTTCATGACATATACTTACTGGTTCAGCATCTCTAATCTGAAAATCCAAAATCTGAAATGCTCCAATGAGCATTTCCTTTGAGTTTCATATCAATGCTCAGGAAGTTTCAGAAATTGGAGCATTTCAGGTTTCACATTTTTGGATTAAGATACTCAACCTGTAATAGTAGTATAATAAATAATAATTAATAAATAATTATAAATAATAGCAAACATTTATTTGGTACTATGTGTCAGGAATCCTTAAAAACTATGTGAGGTAGTCGATATCCTGGAATCAATAACTGCATTCAAGTCCCAGCTCTATGACTCACTGGCTATGTGACCTTGGAAAGTCCTTCAGCCTCTCTCTACTTTACTTTTCTTAGTGGGGGAATGGGAACAGTAATAGCCCTAAGGCCAAGGATTACTTGGAAGATCAAATGAGTGTTTTTATACCAAGTGTTAACAATAGTACCTGACACGCTAGAAGCACTCAGTAAAAGCCATTATTCTTATAGAGGATAATAGAGCAGAGAGATGATGGGAATGGAGGCATGAGATCCATCCAAAACCTAGAAATGATGTATTCGTTGGGTATCCCTACATGCTCACATCGAGCATGTTTATAGATTGATAAATGAACACATCCTTCCACTGAAGCTTTAGGAACCTGAAATTCAACTGAAAACACTACATTCTTGTCTCCCTTGGTAAACCCAGTGACCTATTTTGCCAAAGGAGAATATAAGGGGAAGCCCAACACATATCTTGTGTCTTCCTTAATATTGACACTTTTGATTATCTTTATTGAGTTGGGATTAAATAAAACCATCTTATGCATGGAGCTTCCTCTAGAGATGACAGCGGAACAAAGTAGAAATGGTACGCAGACTGAGCAACCCAAAATAATTTAGGATGGGCCAGTGTGAGAGACTTCACGGGCTTAAGCCTCCCTAGATTTGTTTTTATTATATCTCACACTACAGGAATTGTTTTGGGGAAATACTTTTTGACTTTTGTCTTACAGTAATACTGTTATCTCCATACTGAAAATCAATGTGTATTTTGTTTCACTTTAGAGAATCTTAACAAGAGTAGCCTAAAACACACTTTGGAATGCTCATAGTGCTATTAAAAGTCAGACAGACCTTAGTTTTCCTGTAACTCAGTCAAGGACATTTTGGAGCTGTGATGGCCCAAGTCACAAGGGAACTCTTGGTAAGATCTTTAGGTTTAATGACTTCTTGATTTAATTTCTTATTTTTGAGTTTCTCAGCTTTTCCTGTCCTTATTTGTGAGATGGAACTCATCTCTCAGTTTTCATGGCACATTTAACTGTTTGGTTTCTTTTCCTTGTCTGACTTTGATTATTGTTCAATGTACTTATAAGTTTCTTTTAGCTAGGGCTTTGGTTTATAAGAGATTTCAAAACCCTCACACAATTATTTTCTCACCAGGATAGAGTCCTGATTAAGAGAACTATTCCTCTTCTGAAAACACATGATGTCATAGGCCTTACCTAGTTGTTTTCTGCTTGTGGCCTCAGTCTTTTAACTCTAAGTATGGAAAACCAGTAAGCAGCAACAAACAATTTTAGGCTAAGTAGGTTGAAGGGGATTCTCCAGTCCACCATTAAAAAGAAAGAAAAATAGTCAGATCATCACAAAAGCCAGTAAATTCTTAGATAACCAGAGTTGTTTACAAATGTTTTGACCACCCCACTTGGCATAAAGGTGAGCTGGATGGCAAAGGGGTGACCACATAAGTCCCCCACATGATGTTTTATTTGCTTAAATGATTTTTAAATCCTATATCCATGAGATAATTGGCAACTCATTTCAATATAGATGTGGATTATGCAACTGCAGTGGGAAAAGGATTCACTGAAGCTGATCTACTAGAAATCTTTACTTTCAATCTATAAAATATAATGTGGTTGAGAATACAAACGTGTAGCCAAATGCCAATGTTTGCAAAGCAATAGACAAATGGAAAGCTATAAGTATTATCAAGATATGTTGATCTATTAATCTATCTATTTATATATCTGTCTATATATGTATCTATCTATCTAAGGACTCTAGTAAATGTTAAAATAATCAGTATTATTATAATTCCTTTTTTTTTTTTTTTTTTTTTTTTGCTAATAGCTCTCCAGAGCTTCATAGTGGAGTCTAACTTCAGCTTCAAACACTGTATTTTAGGATTCTTTTTTCAATCAGTAGTTTTCTTCCCCCTACCCATTCTTTATGTGATGCTGCATCTTATAGATCAATTGCTACTATTAATCAACTGGAAGAATAAATAAAGTTAACATCATAGACACATCAAGGATCAGTTTTGCCAGCTGGCAAGGACTGGAAAAGGTGTAGTGTGTGTGTGTTAGTGTCATAAATGGCTCTGCATGATGATATAGTTGTTGTTATTTGCAGAAAACTTTATATTTTTGTTAGGTCAAGAAGTCTGTAATTCTTCAAATGATCCCTGAACCTTATTTAATGCAGCAAACCACAAAAGGAGCTGGGTTGAACTTTGGTGTCTGCAAGTTACAAAGTAATAACTTTCCCCATCTCTTCTGTAAGTGATTTGTGCCATGTGATGAATGCAGACCCTTCCCTCACAAGGGTTTCCTGATATTATACACTTGTAGCAAATAAGGTTAGAACCTTTAAAATATAGCATTTAGTAATGTGCTGGAAATAGCTTCTTCTCGATTCTTTTAAAGGTCACTGCATTTGCTTTCCAGGCGTTGTTTTAGCTCAGACCTCCACTGAGTGGAACTGAGAACATGCTTGCTTTTATGTCTTCAATTTTCCTAAGCTTGAGAATAAAATGGCAGGGTCTTTCACATAAAGTAAGTGGGGTGTGTGTGTGTGTGTGTGTGTGTACGTGGGTGTGTGGGTGCGCTCCTGTGAGTTTAGATGTATAAATGCATTCTCAACATAATATTAATATTGGTTATATATACGTACCCTGCTTTTTCAGTAAGGTTAGACTTTTGTTATCATCAGTCTGAAAGCCAAGCTTATGGGAGTGAAACTTGAGGACCAGCAACTAATGGAAAGCAAACTCCAAAGAAAGCAATCAATTATTTGTACTTCGCCTCTGAGCTGCATGGATTAGCCTTCAACAAAAATATATTGACAAGACTCTAGCCAGATCAAATTAACATCAGTACACAAGCTTTGCTTCTGTTACACTGAAAAAATGAATTCATTAAGCCATTGATATAAAGCAAGAAAAATATAGTCAACCACAGCATTGCTATCAAAACTAGTATTGGAATGATAGAGAATGTTTTATAGTAATGGATAGAAATCAAGGCCAGGCTAGTAAAAAAAAAAAAAAGGCTTCTTTTATAAAGTATATTTTTTTGTACAATTTTGTAATTTTTTTGTACAAATTTGTGTTTTTTGTACAATTTTGTAATTTGTCAGCACCAACAATATCCCCACCTTCCTCACACCACCATCATTAGAACTGTCATTAACATCATTTTTACCATATTTAGAGTCAGCAGTTGTGGTTCTGTGTAGAAGCCTATTGCAGTGAAGTAAATGTTTATTTTCCCTTATAATTTGTATGTTGAAATCCTAACCCTCAAGGTGATGGTAGTAGGAGGTGGGGCTTTGGGACGTGATTAGGTCATGAGAGTACAGCCCTCATGAATAGGTACTAGTGTCCTTATAAGAGAGATTCCAGAGAGCTTGTTCTCTCTGTTGGCCATGTGAGAACACAGCACGAAGGCACCATCTATGAACCAGAAAGTGAGACTTCACCATACACCGAATCTGCCAATGCCTTGAACTTGGAGTTTCCAGCCTGCAGAATGTGAAAAACAAATTTCTCTTGTTTATATGCCTCCCAGTTTAAGGTTTTTCATAACAGCAGCCCAAATGGACTAAGACACACACTAAAGATTAAAAGTGGTTCGTATCTGCTAATAACTTGTATTCTATGTTCATGCCCTAGCTAATTCTGATCCCCTCTCTATTCCTTACAAATTTTACCTGTAACTCCAAGCTCCAAGGACTAAATTCTCTTCCTCCATCCATGATCTGTCTTCTTCTGAATTCCCCATAGTAGTCACTATCTGGTTATTAATAATTTTTCATTTGCAATTATCTTTTTTTTGGCTTTTAGCCATCTTTACAAATGTGCATATTTTGTTTTTTCAACTAGAATATAATGGTCTTCAAGGAAAAGACTGTGTTTTGTGCATTGGTATAAATACCATATTATTTGGAGTAGTGCCTTACATGTAGTATTAGTATTTAATAAATATTCAACAAATATTAATCAATAGATTATAATTTACAAAAAGTTGAATAATTTTTTCACAGTGAAAATGTTTCTGTAAGAGGTGTTAATTTAGCCAGGTAAGCTTGTATGTGGAGACCATACCATATGCACTTATCACAGGGTCTTTCATGAGTGTCTGGCTGGGGCTGGGGTGGTTGGGTCAATCAAGAAAGTCGGAATTTGCATTTCAAGTGCAGAATTTTTCTCAGAAAAAAGAAGACTTGGTCTAATTTGTAAAATATTCTCTGCATGTGATATGTAGGTTCAGGAAAGTGTGTTAAGAGGGTTGGAGAAAAATGCTATGAGAAGGAAGTAAAAATATAATCAAAAGGTTAAACCAGTAGCACAGAGAGTGAGATTAGTATGGGAGACTGAACTAATGAACAGCATTGAAAAGCAGGGTCAAGAGTTTGCAGTTGGGCTGCACAGATGGTAGTTGTCCTTAGAAGATTATGAATAACTGAAGCATGCCCTTCATATAAGCACATGTAAAAGATTGCTTTAGTGGCACTAAGAAGTGAGCAAGGAGAACTCATGGATAGAATAATCTAGATATGAGCAGGGCTTTGAGCAAAAAAGGAGGGAAATGAATGATGTACAGAGGGAACTGCTTGACCTGCAAACTGTATAAGAGGCAAGAGGGAGAGGATGACATTGTCACTTCTGCCGGAGCCTTAGTGGAAGAGAAAGATGGCCTTTCCCCCTTCCGGAGAGGAAGAGTGCGCAGTAGTCCCAGTTAATGAGAGTAGGAGTGTGGAAGATTGTTCTCTGCCTAATTCCAAAGAGATCTCTCCTTAGGGTCCAGCTCATGGATGATGATGGGAAGGTTTAAGGTCATATAGATTTGTGGCTGGTGAGTTGAGATATTGTTAACCTTTTAGTAGAGAGACAGTACAGAAAGACACGGATTGAAATCAGGAAACTAGATTTTAGATTTGGCCATGTATTAATTGCAAGCTACTAACTTCTCTGACCTTTTGAAAAACAAGAGGAACAGATCAAATAATCTCTAAGCAAGCATTCGTAGTCTGTGCTTTATTCTGGATTTTGGCACACCATTGCTTAAGATTTGACAGCATGGTGCTGGTATAATTTCTTGGGATTCAGCCTAGAAAGCAGCACAGAGCTCCTATAATGAAGGGCCATCTTTTCTAATATCTTCACTTTGTAATTTATATTGATTTACATCAAATTTTGTTCAAAGGATGTGTCTTCCAAGATTGTTTGTAGTTGAGTTTGCTGCAGGGGAGCTATGTCAGGTATGACAAGTATGAGAAAATGAGTGTCCTAGAAGATAGGGAATGAAGAAAATAGAGACCTTGAACGAAGAGTTACATTTTTAGCCAGCTCTGTTCATGTGGGACTTTCAAGAGCGTGGGATGAAGAATGTTGATCAAGAAAGTATCCAGGAACCTGTCTGCATTATTACAAATGAGAGCACAGTGTCTGTGCTTATAGATCTACGCTTGTGCATTTCATTTTCTTCAACTTGGAAATGTTAGCTTATGTGAATTTCAAAATAACACCCTGCCATGTGAACTCACTTTGTTTAGATTATTTATTTGTATAAATGAAATGGAACCTCCCTGCAGGTTGGAATTTCCCAGACACTTTGAAATATATGTATCTAAGGTGGGGGAAGATATATGAATATGCTTCCTTGACTGATGCTTCAAAATAACGTCCATACCTAAATCTGATGAAGCTTCTAGATCCAGCTATCAATTTATAAGAGAGAAAAGAAGAAAGTGTTAAACTATTACACGGAGATACAATTGCAACATCCAAACTGTGGAAAAATCTACAGGGCATATTACCTGGCTACTTCAATAAAAATGTTATAAGAAAGAAAAAAGAGAGATGAGATGAAATTCATAGGTTAAAAGAGACTTCAAATACTTACGAATGAATTGAATGAATTGATTATGTGGATGCCATTTGCATCCTAATTCAAAGAAACAAATTTTTAAATTATGACATTTGTGAGATAATTGAATGTGAGTACTGACTAGATAGTTGATAATTGCTGATGAAATATTGTTAACTTTTAAGCTGTGATAATAATGTTTTTAAGATTCATTATCTTTTTGAGATATATGAGATACATATAGGAGGAAGAAATGGCTGGAATTGGAATTTCCAAAATAATTTGCTTCAAAATAATATAGTAGGAGGAAGTGGCTGGAACTGGAATTAGCCATGATATGGTTATAGTTGAAGCTGGATGATGGATACATGGCAGTTCATTGTATTATTCTTTGCTTAAAATTTCACAATAAGAAGAAGTTTGTAAAAATGCCATCAATTTGCATGGAGCATTTTCTTTGATTCTTGGAACTTTATTAGCACTTCCTCAAGTGACAGGGTAGACTATCCCCAAAAGAATGGGATATAGATATTGTTGGCCTTTAGGTAGAAGGTGTTACTAATGCTAAAGTGGGACAAGAATTGCTAACAAAAGGAAGTATAACTTTTATTGTGTTAATGGATTTGCCCTCCAGTTTCCAAGCTAGGTACAGGAGGAGAAGAGAACCTTAATTTTTCCGGCATTGCTCTTTGTCTTGGACAGTCTTTTTGGCCTTTTTGTAGAGGCGAGTTATTGGCTGAAAGAGACTGCTATGCATTAACAAGTCACAGCAGTTAGACTTAATTCTTCTGGATTCCATGTGTTTTTCAAGCCACAAATATGCTTTAGAGAGACATTTAGGACATTGGAAATACAAACATTTATGGCAATGGCTTCTCTCCCCTTCACTTTCTGAAGCCCATGAAAAGTGAGCAGTCCTCTTCAGCACTCACATCTTTCTCTGTCATGGTACCTGTAGTGGGCATTTGTTGTTCTCAGAGTATCCTGACTTTCACTGGTGAATTCTCTTCTCTCCTCCTCTATTCTACCAATAGACTTTAGAGTAACCTGATCCCACTTCCAGCTCTAGGGGTGGGCCCAGATTGGCTTAACCTACCTGATCAGCACATTCCACCAGTTACGGCCATTGTTTCTGGAGAGGACATATGCCCCATGCCAGTGTGATGAGTGTGTATCTCAGTGCTATCATAATACTGGGGCAAAAGGAATGTATCCTACTGAACAAAGATGCTTGCATCCCTGACTATGTCAGGCATTTATCCTACTACCACAAGGAGAGCAGATGTTAGGATGGAGCTCATATTGAGGACTGCTGAGCAGAAAGATAAAAAGAAATTGGGTCTCTGGAGATATGACTGAGATGCTGGATCAGTGAATCAGGAAGCTGCCTTTCCTTGAGACTGTTCAGTTCTGAGAGCCAATAAATCTCCATATTGTTTAAGCCAAATGAATTGTGTTTTATAATAAATGAAGCATTCTTACCTTTTGACACAGAAATGCTGGGAATATAATATTTTAATGAAGAATCCAGGAGTGAGAATAGACTGCTCACTTTGCCTTTTGAATGGTCTACACCTCAGATCAGATGTGTTAAGACAGTATTGAGATGACCTAGTTGGAAATGTCAAATAAATATACACGTTCAGTGATTAGGCAAGACCTAAAGGCATGATTTTGCTGAGTCTGATTCTGTCTGGTGGTGGATCCAGAAAATTCTGAATAGTACCAAGTAAAAGAGTAAAAGTGATATTTCAGATCTGCAGAGTAACCTGCATGATGGTACCAGATATTGGGAGCATGATGTCACTAAAGCTTGAGAGGTAGGGGCAGAAGGAAATCTGGGTTTAGCACTATATGTTTCTATTCCCTCCTTGAAAAAACTTAAGTCAACTGTATAGGTCAGCATATACACCTCAAATGGCACTAGACTGCTCCACAGGATGAGCTGCATTTGCCTTATTTGCCTTTGTATTCATTAATTATGTCAATTGTGTCATCTGTATGTCAGGCACCACCATTCTAGGTACTGGGAAACCTTGCATTATAAGTAGATCATATAGTAAGCAAATAGACAAATAAATATATAGTTTATCAGATAGTAATTAGTGTTATGGAAAAAAAATAGTAAAACAGGCTAAAGAGTGCCAAGGAAGAGCGAGATAATATATAATGGTCCAGAAGGTGACATTCGAACAGAAACCTAAAAGACGTGAAGGAAAGAGCCACATATATATCTGGAGGAAGAATATGTCAGGAGGAGGAAACAGCCAGTGCAAAGGGTCCATAGTGGAAGCAAGCTTCATATGTTTAAGGAATGTCAGGGAGGACCGGGTGGTTGGAAAAGTGCAAACAAGGGAGAGATTCAAAGGAGATGAGGACACAGAGCTAATGAGCAGTCAGAATATGAAAGACATTGAAGGCTGCTTTAAAGACTTTGCCTGAATTTTCAAATATTTGGAAAGTTGGCAGAACAAGTTAAATTTGGGTATCAACCATGTGTTACACACATTTTAGTTTACAAAGGTAATTTGATGCAAACTATATTTAAAAACAAGCCAAACAATACATAAGTGGACAAAGAAGAAGCCAACGATCTCCTTCCTTCCAAACTTCCTTCCTACTTTCGCCACTCAAACACTTACCCACCATTGCACCCCTGGAAACAGGTGTTAACAATTTAAGTAGTCAATTATGCCTTTTTTATAAGATCATACAAACTTATACTCTCCCCACCAGGCACATAGATCAGGCATGTAGGATTATAATTATTTCTATTTCTTACAAAAATGGGAGTATATTTTCCACAACCTGCTTTATTTATTTATATATATAAAACAATATTTCATGAACCATGTCAATGCATAGACAACTACACAATCCACTCTTCTTGCCATCTTGTTCTTCATTTTCTTACATCTCTCATGTTGGATGATGGCAAAGAATAAGACTATGATCTAAGTCAGTACCGCTAAATTTTCTCATGTAATATTCCAGATGATGGATACAATTAAGAAGTTATTTCCTACATGTAGAGACTACATTTGGTGCTGAATCAGAATTTTATATCTCTATCTATCTCTCCATCTATCCATCCATCCATCCATCCATCCATCATCCATCCATCCATCCATCCATCTACCTATCAATCACTGGTGCACAGGACTCAAGAGTCATTTTGCGGAGAACAATTTTTGCCAAAAATGGCAAAAAGATGAATAGAGGAAATCATGTAGTTTTGGAATTGAAAGTTACTTGAATTACTACCTAATCCAACTCTTGTTTTATTAATTCAGTAAATATATACTGAGTGCCTAGTTCTCAGTAAGCAGAATTATGTTATTGAAGATAAAAATTTGTCTAGGATACAAACAGTTGCAGGCTTCATCTTAACAGAAAGATAAGTGGAGACTCAAAGAGATTAAGGGGGCTTACCAAGTCACAATAGGGAAGTGATAGCTGTGATTTGCACACAGATCACCTGGCTGTCAGTGCAGGAGGCTCTTTCCATTGTATCTCATAGTCTATAGCAGTTTCTAACAGCAAATAACCAAAAAGGCCAAACCCAAGTGCCCTCATTTGCAAAATGTTTAGCCATTAGAGGTCCAAGCAGTGAATGAAATACTAGTTAGACAGCTCTTATCTATTGGGAGCTGGTAATTTACTCTGAAAAATCTTAGTGTAAAAATCTAATTTCAACCCATTTTCTCAGAGGGTAAATTTTGTTCCATTTCCTTTTCTCAGGGTTCTGTCATTAGCATATTACACTAATGAGGGACTCAATTATTTAAAACTGGCAATATTTTTTATTATGTCTAATTAAGTGTTTAATCAGGACATTCTGGTCTTTAATCCTCTGAAGAAACAGCATTCACCAGAGGATGAATAATATGGCTTGGTGGAACTTTCCTCACAACCTCTTGTACTCAGAGGGCCAGGTTAGAAGCTGAAGCCCTAACAAGGAAGGGGGACAGCAACAAGTCATAAAACAGATAGACAATGACAAGTCTGATCAGTAGCAGGTAAGATGATGATGATATGTTTCTGAATAGGTTGTTAGCCATGGGGAAGGACATCTACTACCCCAGCTTAAAAACATGGTTTTTGAAGTGTCCATGGCACAATAAAAGTTGAGATTTAGGGCAAGTAAGATACATCTTAATTTTCTTTACATTCCTCTAAAGTATTTGACCATATCATTTCATTTAAGTGTTAGTTAACCAATTGTCTCAATATTCATAAAGTATTTCAAAGACCATCTGAAAATTGTTTAACCAATAATTATATTACACGGGGCAAGCTGTTGATTTCAAAAGTACATATTAAACATGTATTCATTTACTTAATATTTATCAAGTAAATTGTATTTCCTGTTATACCACCATATTACCTAAAGGCCAGGCTGTTGTAAAACTGACAGTCTTAAAAGAAAATCCCAGAAAATGTCCAGGAACCACTCAAAGGAAGATAAGGCAGGTGGAAGAAAGAAGTTAATTCATATGTGCATTTATTAATTCAAATATTTAGTCAATGCTTCCTAAGTATCAGAAACCACTTTAATTATCCTTGGAAATATAATGAATAACAAGACAGTCATGACTCATGCTTTCTCAATGTTTCCAGTGTCCCAGGAAGATGGACGAACTAGAAATTACAATGCCATGTGGTAAATACTAAGATAAGGGTATGTGCTGAAGGCTATGGGAGCACCTTGGAAAGGAAGGTCAGGGAAGCTTTTGAGGGGAAATTGTATATAAACTGAAACTACAGAACCAGGAATCAGTAACCACCTCTTCCAGTAAAATGGTGGATAAATATCTGAGTGACGCACTAATTGAAAATGACTAAAAATGTTGGATGGGTTTTTTTTTTTTAAATTCTGGATTTTTTTTACATATGTCAGGGAGCAGACAAGAAGTTAAGCCCCAAATTAGGTGGAAATAGGAATTCGGATATAAGCGGCACTGAAGCGAGCTTTTGTCCTAACATCGTTTGGCAAATAGGGTGAGCCTGAGCTTTCATTTTGCAGTGAGGTAGGAGGCGGGACTGGACTCCAGAGGCAGGGCTTTAACACTGAACCAAATTGAGGACTAGCTAAAACAGGTCCAGGACAGAAGCCGCCACCCATAAGACACGCCCACCAGTGTGACCTGTCAGTTTACCATTGCCATGGCAACACCCTGAAGTTACCACCCCTTTCCATGGCAATAACCTAAAGACCCAGAAGTTACCACCCTTTTCCTAGAAATTTCTACATAATCTGCCCCTTAATTTGTATGTAATTATAAGTGGGTATAAATATGACTACACATCTGCCTTTGAGCTGCTACTCTGGGCACACTGCCTAAGGGGTAGCCCTGCTCCACGAGGAGCAGTACCTCTGCTGCTGCTGTACACAACTGCTTCAATAAAAGTTGCTGTACAGCACCACCAGCTCACCCTTAAACTTTTTCCTGGGCCAAGCCCATATTTTAGAGCTCCTCTGTCCCGTATCAACAGTGTACAGGGAACCGAAAACATCCCAGGGTAGGTTTTTGCAACTTGAAGAGTCAAATATGTCAACCACAAGGATTAAGCTGGGATACTAGAGGCCTATACCCACAGTGTAAAGGTGAACAAGAAATAAGCATACCTCACTTCTTGTCTCTTTCCTAGAGGATACTGCACATAAAGCTGTTGTTTTGAATTTTAGTTCTAAGTGGAAGAGGAAAAAAGCTCCTTTGAGAAATAATAATCCCCAGCCAGCCCCAAAAGCCTTAGAATTCTGAATGCCCACAATTTAGGCGATCCAAAAGAGCCAAAAAACCAAAACAGAAACAAAAACAAAGATGAGATGTTACTTTAAAGTGGCTTCAGGTTGGTAGTGCTCTCAGAATTCTAGCAGTAGCAATCACAGATACTCTCTGTGGAAATTAATCTGAAACTAACAATATACAATATGCAAAGAAACAAGGCACTGTGAGTGAAAGCCATCAGAAATACAAGAGCATAATCAAATCCCCAGAATGTTCATATGTTGGAATTATTTTAAACAACTATGATTACCAAGTTAAAACAAATACTACAAGACTGAAAATATGTTTGGAATGCAGGAACTATAAAAAGCAAACTTACAGATTTGAAACAGTACCAGACAAAATTTCTAGCAATTGGAAATAGGACAATTGAAGTTAAAATATAAATGGATGGGTTTAGCAGCAGAGTAGACTCAGCTGCAGATAGAATTAATGAAATAAAGAATATCTCAAAAAAAAAAAACATAATGCAGAACAAAGGAACACAGCACATGGAAAATATGAGAGAGAGATTAAGAAAAGCAGGAGATAGAGTGAAATGATACAGCATAGATCTAGAAAGAGAGTAAAAAGAGAATGGTACATCAGAAACTGCTAGCTATGTAACCAAATGCAAATTCTTTATTTCCTGGGCACATAGACTGTATTTTCTAGCTTCACTTGATATTAGGGTGGCCATATGACTGGATTATAGCCAATTGATACAAAATATTATGTGTTCCTTTTCTAAGCTCAGTTTATAAAATACTTCTTATATGTGTTCCTTCATGTTATTTTTTCCTTATGATTGGCTTGGATGGAGATGACTTTGAAAAGTCATGTGTTAAAAAGGCAGAGCATCCATCAGTTTGTTCACTGAATGACCAGATGGAGGAGGTTAGCCCTGCCTAGTTATGCACCTACTCATGACAGAAGAGGAAATAATAAAGTTCTATTGTGTTGAGCCATTGCATGTTTAGGTCAATTTATTACCAAGTTACTAGACATGCATTAGAGGCAATATTTTAAAGATAATGGCAGATAAGTTTCTAGAATGAATGAGAGATCCATTCATTATTCAGAAATTCAAGCAAATGCCAAGGAGGAAAAAAAAATCCACACGAAGAAGCATCATAGAGAAACTGAATCACTAAAACAAATAAGAAGACCTTAAAAACAGTTGCAGAAAACTATGAGTTTACCTTCAAAGGAATGATATTCCAGCTGAGAGCCGACTTCTCAAGAATAACAATTAAACTGCAAGACAATAAATTAATATCTTGAAGAGACGTTCAGAGAGACAGTATCATCTTACATGTGCATGTCTACAAAACATATTTAGACAAATAAATGCTAAACTTTTATCACCAAAGGAACCTCATTAAGGATATACTTCAAGCAAAGGGAAAGTGATCTCAGATGGAAGGTCTAAAAAGAAATGATAAGAACAAAAATATAAGTGGATAAACTTAGTACTGACTATATGAAATGACAATAGTAATGTCTTAAATGGTTAAAAATAATAAAACCACAATATATTTAAACAGTAGAATTAAGTAAAGTTCTGGGAATTGGTGTTGAATGGTTTCGTCTTTTGTATTTTGGAAGAAGGAGAGTAAAGATATTTAATACACTTAAACTTTGATGAGATAAGCAAGCATTCTGAAATTTCTAGAACCGAAATAAAGTGAATTACTCTAAATTAGGAAGGGGGTAAGTAATGAGGAAAAAATAGGCAAATGAAGGCAAGAGAAGAGAGAAAAAGATATATTTTTTTAAATGTAGAACAAATAACTCATAATTAAATGTTAAAAATGAATTTAAATATATCTGTAGCTACAATAAATGTAAATAAACTGAAGTCCCATTTAAAAAAGATTGTTAGTCCAGATAAATATCTAAAGTATAGCTACTAATATGTACAATTTACAAGAGATACGGCAAACCTATGAGGTCACAGAATGGTTGAAATCAAATGGAAAAAGCTATGCCAAGGCAAATTCTATGTAAAAGATAATGTATATTAACATACAGTAATAAAAATATATATTATTTTGTATATAAGAAAATGTTATATATTTAAAAACAGAATTGGAAGCAACAGATGTTAGTAGTGATTAAGAGGATTATTCTATAATAATAAATGATTCAGTTAACTAAGAATATATAACAACTCCACCCTTATGACAACATCAGAATCTATAAAGTAAAAATAGCTAACAACATTATGGGGAGAAATTTAAAACTGCACCAACATAGTGGGATATATTAATATATATCTTTTGGAAATTGGCCAGGCATGGTGGCTCACACCTGTAATCCTAGCACTGTGGGAGGCCGAGGTGGGTGGATAGCTTGAGCACAGGAGTTCAAGACTGGCCTGGGCAACAAGGTGAAATCCTGACTCTACTGAAAATACAAAAGTTAGCTGGGCATGTTGGTGTGCACCTGTAGTCCCAGCTACTTGGGAGGCTGAGGTGGGAGAATTACTTGAGCCAGGAGGCAGAGGTTGTAAGGTTGTAGTTGTAGTGAGCTGAGATTGTGGAAAAAAAAAAAAGGAAAGAAAAGAAACTGATAGAGCAAGCAGACAATAATCACTACTGATACAGAAAATTGAACAATATAGCAGCTTTATCAGCTAGACTTCTATAGAACAATGCAATCAACAAATGCAGAATAAAAATTCCTTTTAAACACAAGCCAAATATTTATTAAAATGGAACACATATAATGGGTCATAAGCTAATTAATAAAGGCTTCAAATGAATTGTCCTATTGATCACATTAAAATTCTTAGAGATTGGTAAAAGAAAGCTGACTGGAAAAAAAACACATCTATTTGGAAATTAACAAACATGCTTCTATATGAATTGTGGATAAAGACATAATAGTGAAAGTTAGACTATATTAAATTTAACTACAGAATTGCTGACATTCAACAATTTTTAACCTACAAAAATGACAATTTCCTAAGGTTTAACCTAATATTTAGAAATAAACTATAGCTAGATTTCTACATCATCAAGACTTGTGGGGATATGGCTAAAGCAGTACTGTAGGAAAATTTATAGCCTTTAATACTTATAGTTTAAAAGAAGATCTGAAACTAACTATGTAAATTATTTAACTTAAGAGAAAACCCAAAGAAAACGAAAGCAAGAAAGTAATAAATTTAAGAGCATTAATTAATGAAGTACAAACATACAATAAAAATGAGCAATAAACATTTATTTTGTGAAGGATTAATTTATTTGACAAAACTGGAAAAAACAAAGGGAAAAAAGCACAAACATAATATTAGCAATAAAAAAA
This sequence comes from Homo sapiens, assembly GCF_000001405.40. Lineage (NCBI taxonomy): Eukaryota > Metazoa > Chordata > Mammalia > Primates > Hominidae > Homo > Homo sapiens. The sequence continues at coordinate 67,596,686 of NC_000002.12, read as the reverse complement.
CATAATATTTCAGATAATTATCAAAAAATTAGATAGTATAATTTAAAACTTTGGAATGTAAAAGGTCTATGCACATAACAGCCAAGGGTTCAGATAGTTTTTAACAAGTGAGTGCTATCAAATATTCAGAAAAACATTAATTGTAATTTTTCATTGTCTATTGCAAAATATAGATAAAGCTAGCATAATTTTGACACCAATACTGATGGTGATGAGTCAAAAAAATGAAATCATCTGTAATTATAGATGCAACAATCCTAAACAAAATAATAGTAAACAAAATCCAGCAATATATGAGAATCAAAATTATCACAAATAAGTTAAATTTATTTCAAGAATACAAAGTGGTTTAACCCTATAATATCAATTAATGTAACTTGCTAAATTAATAAATGAGAGAAATTATATGGATAAGTCAATAGATGCAGAAAAAGCATTTAATAAAATTTCATGTCCTTTTATGATTAAAAAAATAAAGTCTCATCAACCTAAGAATAGAAGGAAACTTTAACCACCAGATAAAGAATATCTACAGAAAACTTAAAGCAAATGTTATAATCAACGTGGGAAATACTAAAAGGGAAATATTTTCCTTATAACTGGAAAGAAATCAAGGATATCTAGATCTGTTTTCATTCAACATTGTATGTAAAGCTCTATCCAGTAAAGAAACAAGAAAAAGAAGTTAAAAGTATAAAAATTCAGAACACTTACTAAAAAATGTAAGAAAAGGAGTAGAACTGATATGGTAATAAAGGAGAGGGAATTTAATCATATAAAATAATCAAAACTACAAAAGGCAGAAAAAAAGTAAAAGACAAAAATAGGAACAAGAGCAAAGGCAATAGGAAACAGTAAAAAATACAACAAATATTAATTCAGTTACATCAATGATCACTTTGATGTCAATGGTCTAAATACACCAATTATAAGACAGAGATTGTCAGAGTGGATCAAGAAACAAGACCCAATTACATGGTGCTTACAAGAAACTCACTTTAAATATAAAACATATTTAGATTAGAAGTAAATGGATAGAGAAAGATATACCATGCTAACCCTAATCAAAAGAAAGTGAGAGTAGCTATATTAATTCCATACAGAATAGATTTTAGACCAGAAAACTTATCAGGGATAAAGGGGGTCATTACATAATGATAAAGGGGTCGATTTTTCGAGAAGACATAACAATCCTTAGAGTGTATGTGCCCAAGAGCAAAGCATCACGATACATGAAGCAAAAACTGATGTAACAGGAAGAAGAAATAAATAATCCAGTATCAGAGTTAGAGACTTCAACACCTCTCTATCATAAATGGACAAATCCAGCAGGCAGAAAATCAGTAAGGACATAGTTGAACTCAATAGCACCATCAAACAACAGGATCTAATGAATATCTATCTATAGACTATGTCGTCTAACAACAGGAGAATACATATTCTTCTCAAGCTCACATGGCACATTCACCAAGATAGACTAAGTTCTGGGCCATAAAACATTCCTTAATAAATTTTTAAAATAAAAATTATGCAGTGCCTGATCTCAGACCAAAATGAAATTAAGCTAGAAATTAATAACAGAAAGATAGTTGAAAAGTTTCCAAATACTAGAGACTGAGCAATACATTTCTTTTTTTAAATTTTTTTTTAATTATTATACTGTATGTTCTAGGATACATGTGCACAACATGCAGGTTTGTTACATAGGTATATATGTGCCATGTTGTTTTGCTGTACCTCATCATTTACATTAGGTATTTCTCCTAATGCTATTCCTCCCCCTGCCTCCACCCTACAACAGGCCCTGGTGTGTGATATTCCCCACCCTGTGTCCAAGTGTTCTCATTGTTCAGTTCCCACCTGTGAGTGAGAACATGCAGTGTTTGGTTTTCTGTCCTTGTGATAGTTTGCTCAGAATGATGGTTTCTAGCTGCATCCATGTCCCTGTAAAGGACATGAACTCACCCTTTTTTAGGGCTGCATAGTATTCCATGGTGTATATGTGCCACATTTTCTTAATCCAGTCTATCATTGATGGACATTTGGGTTGGTTCCAAGTGTTTGCTGTTGTGAATAATGCCTCAATAAACATACATGTGCATGTGTCTTTATAGTAGCATTATGTATAATCCTTTGGGTATATACCCAGTAATGGGATCACTGGGTCAAATGGTATTTCTAGCTCTAGATCCTTGAGGAATCGCCACACTGTCTTCCATAATGCTTGAACTAGTTTACATTCCCACCAACAGTGTAAAAGCATTCCTATTTCTCCATATCCTCTCCAGCATCTGTTGTTCCCTGACATTTTAATGGTCATAATTCTAACTGGTGTGAGATGGTATCTCATTATGGTTTTGATTTGCATTTCTCTGGTGACCAGTGATGGTGACCATTTTTTCTCATGTCTGTTGGCTGCATAAATGTCTTCTTTTGAGAAGTGTCTGTTCATATCCTTTGCCCACTTTTTGATGGAGTTGTTTGTTTTTTTCTTGTAAATTTGTTTAAGTTCTTTGTAGATTCTGGATATTAGCCCTTTGTCAGATCGGTAGATTGCAAAAATTTTCTCCCATTCTATAGGTTGCCTGTTCACTCTGATGTTAGTTTCTTTTGCTGTGCAGAAGCTCTTCAGTTTAATTAGATCCCGTTTGTCTATTTTGGCTTTTGTTGCCATTGCTTTTGGTGTTTTAGTCATGAAGTCCTTGCCCATGCCTATGCCCTGGATGGTATTGCCTAGGTTTTCTTCTAGGGTTTTTATGGTTTTAGGTCTAATATTTAAGTCTTTAATCCATCTTGAATTAATTTTTGTATAAGGTGTAAGGAAGGCATCCAGTTTCAGCTTTCTACATATGACTAGCCAGTTTTCCCAGCACCATTTATTAAATAGGGAATCCTTTCCCCGTTGCTTGTTTTTGTCAGGTTTGTCAAAGATCAGATGGTTGTAGATGTGTGGTGTTATTCCTAAGGCTTCTGTTCTGTTCCATTGGTCTATATCTCTGTTTTGGTACAAGTACCATGCTGTTTTGGTTATTGTAGCCTTGTAGTATAGTTTGAAGTCAGGTAGCATGATGCCTCCAGCTTTGTTCTTTTTGCTTGGGATTGACTTGGCAATGTGGACTCTTTTTTTGTTCCATATGAACCTTAAAGTAGTTTTTTCCAATTTTGTGAAGAAAGTAATTGGTAGCTCGATGGGTATGGCATTGAATCTATAAATTACTTTTTGCAGTATGGCCATTTTCAAGATATTGATTCTTCCTACCCATGAGCATGGAATGTTCTTCCTTTTGTTTGTGTCCTCTTTTATTTCGTTGAGTTGTAGTTCTCCTTGAAGAGGTCCTTCACATCCCTTGTAAGTTGGATTCCCAGGTATTTTATTCTCTTTGTAGCAATTATGAATGGAAATTAACTCATGATTTGGCTCTCTGTTTGTCTGTTATTGGTGTGTAGGAATGCTTGTGATTTTTGCATATTGATTTTGTATCCTGAGACTTTGCTGAAGTTGCTTATCAGCTTAAGGAGATTTGGGGCTGAGATGATGGGGTTTTCTAAGTATACAATCATATCATCTACCAACAGGGACAATTTGACTTCCTATTTTCCTAATTGAATACCCTTTATTTCTTTCTCTTGTCTGATTGCCCTGGCCAGAACTTCCAACACTATATTTAATAGGAGTGGTGAGAGAGGGCATCCCTGTCTTGTGCCAGTTTTCAAGGGGATTGCTTCCAGTTTTTGCCCATTCAGTATGATATTAGCTGTGGGTTTGTCATAAATATCTCTTATTATTTTGAGATACATTCCATCAATTCCTAGTTTATTGAGAGTTTTTAGCATGAAGGGCTATTGAATTTTGTTGAAGGCCTTTTCTGCATCTATTGAGATAATCATGTGGTTTTTGTCAATGGTTCAGTTTATGTGATGAATTATGTTTATTGATTTGCATGTGTTGAACCAGCCTCGCATGCCAGGGATGAAGCTGCGTTGATCGTGGTGGATAAGCTTTTTGATGTGCTGCTGGATTCGATTTGCTAGTATTTTATTGAGGATTTTTGCATCGATGTTCATCAGGGATATTGACCTGAAATTTTTCTTTTTTGTTGTGTCTCTACCAGGCTTTTGAATCAGGATGATGCTGGCCTCATAAAATGAGTTAGGGAGGATTACCTCTTTTTCTATTAATTGGAATAGTTTCAGAAGGAATGGTAGCAGCTCCTCTTTGTACCCCTGGTAGAATTCGGCTGTGAATCCATCTAGGCCTGGACTTTTTTGGTTGGTAGTCTATTAATTATTGCCGCAATTTCAGAGCCTGTTATTGGTCTATTCAGAGATTCAATTTCTTCCTGGTTTAGTCTTCGGAGGGTGTATGGGCCCAGGAATTTACGCATTTCTTCTAGTGTTCTAGTTTATTTGCATAGAGGTGTTTATAGTATTCTCTGACGGTAGTTTGTATTTCTGTGTGATCAGTGGTGATATCCCCTTTATCATTTTTTGTTGCATCTGTTTGATTCTCCTCTCTTTTCTTCATTATTAGTCTTGCTAGTGGTCTATCAATTTTGTTGATGTTTTCAAAAAAACCAGCTCCTGGACTCATTGGTTTTTTTAAGGGTGTTTTGTGTCTCAGTTCTGCTCTGATCTTGGTGGTTTCTTGCCTTCTGCAAGCTTTTGAATTTGTTTGCTCTTGTTTCTCTAGTTCTTTAAATTGTGATGTTAGGGTATCAATTTTAGATCTTCCCTGCTTTCTCTTGTGGGCATTTAGTGCTATAAATTTCCCGCTACACACTGCTTTAAATGTGTCCCAGAGATGCTGGTACCTTGTTTCTTTGTTCTTATTGGTTTCAAAGAACATCTTCATTTCTGCCTTCATTTAATTATTTACCCAGCAATCATTCAAGATCAGGTTGTTAAGTTTCCATGTGGTTGAGCGGTTTTGAGTGAGTTTCTTAATCCTGAGTTCTAATTTGATTGCACTGTGGTCTGAGAGACAGTTTGTTGTGATTTCTGTTCTTTTACATTTGCTGAGGAGTGCTTTACTTCCAACTATGTGGTCAATTTTGGAATAAGTGTGGTGTGGTGCTGAGAAGAATGTATATTCTGTTGATTTGTGGTGGAGAGTTTTGCAGATGTCTATTAGGTTCTTGGTGCAGAGCTGAGTTCAAGTCCTGGATATCCTTGTTAACCTTCTGTCTCGTTGATCTGTCTAATATTGACAGGGGGGTGTTAAAGTCTCCCATTATTATTGTGTGGGAGTCTAAGTCTCTTTGTAGATCTCTAAGGACTTGCTTTATGAATCTGGGTGTTTCTGTATTGGGTGCATATATATTTAGGATAGTTAGCTTTTCTTGTTGAATTGATCCCTTTACCATTATGTAGTGGCCTCCTTTATCTCTTTTGATCTTTATTGGTTTATTGTCTGTTTTATCAGAGACTGGGATTGCAACCTCTGCTTTTTTTTGCTTTCCATTTGCTTGGTAGATCTTCCTCCATCCTTTATTTTGAGCCTATGTATGTCTCTGCACATGAGATGGGTCTCCTGAATACAGCACACTGATGGGTCTTGACTCTTTATCCAATTTTCCAGTCTATGTCTTTTAATTGGGGTATTTAGCCCATTTACATTTCAGGTTAATATTGTTATGTGTGAATTTGATCTTGTCATTATGATATTAGCTGGTTATTTTGCCCGTTAATTGATGCAGTTTCTTCCTAGCATCGGTGATCTTTACAATTTGGCATGTTTTTGCAGTGGCTGATAACAGTTGTTCCTTTCCATGTTTAGTGCTTCCTTCAGGATCTCTTGTAAGGCTGGCCTGGTGGTGACAAAATCTCTCAGCATTTGCTTGTCTGTAAAGGATTTTATTTCTCCTTCACTTATGAAGCATAGTTTGGCTGGATATGAAATTCTGGGTTGAAAATTCTTTTCTTTAAGAATGTTGAATATTGGCCCCCACTCACTTCTGGCTTGTAGAGTTTCTGCTAAGAGATCTGCTGTTAGTCTGATGGGCTTCCCTTTATGGGTAACCCGACCTTTCTCTCTGGCTGCCCTTAACATTTTTTCCTTCATTTCAACCTTGGTGAATCTGACATTTATGTGTCCTGGGATTGCTCTTCTCAAGGAGTATCTTTGTGGTGTTCTTTGTATTTCCTGAATTTGAATGTTGGCCTGCCTTGCTAGGTTGGGGAAGTTCTCTTGGATAATACCCTGAAGAGTGTTTTCCAACTTGGTTCCATTCTCCTTGTCACTTTCAGGTACACCAATCAAACATAGATTTGGTCTTTCAGATATTCCCATATATCTTGGAGGCTTTGTTTATTTCTTTTTACTCTTTTTCCTCTAAACTTCTCTTCTTGCTTTATTTCATTAATTTGATTTCAATCACTGATACCCTTTCTTCCACTTGACCATATCAGCTATTGAAACTTGTGCATGTGTCATGTAGTTCTCATGCCATGGTTTTCAGCTCCATCAGGTCATTTAAGGTCTTCTCTACACTGTTTATTCAAGTTAGCCATTCCTCTAATCTTTTTTCAAGGTTTTTAGCTTCTTTGTGATGGGTTCGAACATCTTTCTTTAGCTCGGAGAAGTTTGTTATTACCAACCTTCTGAAGCCTACTTCTGTCAGCTCGTCAAAGTCATTCTTCGTCCAGCTTTGTTCCGTTGCTGGTGAGGAGCTGCGATCCTTTGGAAGAGAAGAGGTGCTCTGGTTTTTAGAATTTTCAGCTTTTCTGCTCTGGTTTCTCCCCATCTTTGTGGTTTTATCTACCTTTGGTCTTTGATGTTGGTGACCTACAGATGGGGTTTTGGTGTGGATGTCCTTTTGTTGATGTTGATGCTATTCCCTTCTGTTTGTTTTCCTTCAAACAGTCAGGTCCCTCAGCTGCAGGTCTGTTGGGGTTTGTTGGAGGTGCACTGCAGACCCTGTTTGCCTGGGTATCACCAGCAGAGGCTGCAGAACAGCAAATATTGCTGCCTGATCCTTCCTCTGGAAGTTTGATCCCAGAGGGGCACCGGCCTATATGAGGTGTCAGTCAGCCCCTACTGGGAGGTGTCTCCCAATTAGGCTACATGGGGTTCAGGGACCCACTTGAGGAGGCAGTCTGTCCACTCTCAGAGCTCAAACACCATGCTGGGAGAACCACTGCTCTCTTCAGAGCTGTCAGACATGGATGTGTAAGTCTGCAGAAGTTTCTGCTGCCTTTTTTTCAGCTATGCCCTGCCCCCAGAGGTGGAATCTACAGAGGCAATAGGCCTTGCTGAGCTGCGGTGGGCTCCGCTCAGTTTGAGCTTCCTAGCTGCTTTGTTTACCTACTCAATTCTCAGCTATGGTGGATGCCCCTCCCCCTGCCAGGCTGCTGCCTCACAGGTTGATCTCAGACTGATGTGCTAGCAGTGAGCAATGCTCCGTGGGTGTGGGACCCGCTGAGCCAGGTAGGGGATGTAATCTCCTGGTGTTCCATTTACTAAGACCGTTGGAAAAGCACAGTATTTGGGCTGGAATTTCCTGATTTTCCAGGTACAGTCTGCCATGGCTTCCCTTGGCTAGGAAAGGGAAATCCCCCGACCCCTTGTGCTTTCCAGGTGAGGCGATGCCCCACCCTGTTTCAGCTCACCCTTCATGGGCTGCACCCATTGTCCAACCAGTCCCAATAAGATGAACTAGGTACCTCAGTTGGAAATGCAGAAATCACCCATCTTCTGTGTTGATCACGCTGGGAGCTGCCGATTAGAGCTGTTTCTATTTGGCCATCTTGGAAAGAAATTCCTGAGCAACACATTTCTAAAAAATATATGAGTCAAAGAAGAAAGCTCAAGAGAAATTTTAAAATACTCTGAACTAAATTAAGATAAAAACAACTTATCAAAATTTGTGGAATATTCTGAAACCAGTGGTTAGAGGGGAAACTTACAGTATTAAATGCATATGTTAGAAAAGAGGGAAACTCTAAAATTAATCACTTAAGCTTTCATCTTCGGCAACTAAGCAAAAAGAGCAAAGTAAATCCAAAGTAAGCAGAAGAAAAGAAATAATAAAAATTGGAGCAGAAATCAGTGAAATTGAAAACAGATAAAGAGATAATCAATAAAACTAAAAGCTGGTTCTTTGACAAAATTAATAAAATCAGTAAGTCTCTACCTAAGTTATCTAAGAAAATATAGAAAACACAAATTGCTAATATTAAAAATGAAAGGACTATTACTGCAGATCCCAAAGACATTAAAAGAATAATAAATATTATGAAAACTCTATGCCCACAAATTTGATAATCTCGATTAAATGGACCAATTTCTTGAAAGACACAAGAAACTGTCAAAACTCTCGCAGGAAGAAAGAAACAATTTGAAAAGCCTATATCTATTAGAGAAATTGAATTAATAATTAACCTCATTAGCAGAAATTACCAGGCCCAGATGGGTTCCCTGGTGAATTCTACCAACCATTTAAGACCAGCATCTTTCACTAAAATAAGATGCAAAACTCCTCAACAAAATAATAGCAATTCAAATTCTACAAGGTGTAAAAAGAATTATACACCACAACCAAGTCCTCAATGCTGGTTCAACAATGAAAATTAATTACTGTAATATATCACATCAACAGACTAAAGAAGAAAAATAACATGTTCATATCAATAGATGCAGATAATATCTAATATTCATTCATGATAAAACCTTTAAGTAGACTTGGAATAGAAGGAATCTTCCTTAACTTGATACAAAATATTTACAAAAATCCTACAGCTAACATCATACTTAATGGTAAGATACTTGAAGTTTTCCTACAGCCTGAGAGATCAGGTACAAGGCAAGGATGTCCTCTCATCACTCCTTTTCAGCAACATACTGGAAATCCCAGCTAATGTAATAAGGCAAGAAAAGGAAACAAAAGGTAAGAGATTGAAAAAAAAAAAAAAGAAATCTCTTTGGTCACCAATCACATGACCATGTATGCAGAAAATCTTAAAGAATCAACCAAAGACTTCTGCAACCAGTAATTATAGTAAGGTTCAGGAGACAGCAGTGAACAGGCAGAAGTTTAAATTAAAAATGCAATATCATTTGCATTAGTACCCCTAAAAATAAAATGCCTAGATATAAATCTAGCAAAACATGTAAAAGATGAGGAAAATGATAAACCTCAGATGAAAGTAATCAAAGGGATATATAGACAAAGATTCCACATTCATGAATAGGAAGACAATACTGTCAAAATTCAGTTCTTCCTAATTTGATTTAGAGATTCAGTGCAATCTTAAAGCTATTCATGGATATTAACCAACTGATTCTGAGGTTTATATGGACAGGCAAAAGACCCAAAATAGCCAATATGATATTGAAAGGGGAAAACAAAGTTAGGACTGGTGCAACCTGACTAAGAAATCCTACAAAGCTACAACTAAGATAGTGTGGAATTGGCAAAAGAATAGACAAATGGATCAATGAAACATAATAGAGAGACCAGAAATAGACCCATATAAATATAGTCAACTGACCTGAACAAAGAAGCAGAGGCAATACAATGGAGCAAAGAGTCCTTTCAACAAATGGTGCTAGAACAACTGGATGTCCACATGCAGAAAAAGTGAATCTAGACATAGACCCTACACCCTTCACAAAAATTAACTCAAAATGGATCACAATCCCAAATGTAAAGTACAAAACTATAAAAATTTCAGAGGATAACATAGGAGAAAATGTAGATAAACTTGGGCTTGGCATTTTAGATGCAAAACCAAAGACATAACCCATGAAAGAAAGAACTGGTAAGTCTGGCTTTATTAAAATCAAAAATTTGTGCTCTTTGATAAACACTGTCAGAATGAAAAACTAAGCCACAGCTTGTGAGAAAATATTTGCAAAATACACATTTGATAAAGGATGTTCTAATGTCCAGAGTCATCAGTAGGAGGAACCAAGGCTCACTCTTCTATCCTCTTCTCTTTTCTATCAATACTCTCTCCTTGGTGTTTCACTTTCATATCTTTAAATCTCCTATATATGTTGATGACTTCCAAGTTTTATGTCTCCAATTTATACCTCTCCCCAGAATGACAAATGCATGTGTCCAACTGCCTTTTTTCCATCTCCATTTGGATGTCTAATAAATATTTCAGTCTTAGCCTGTTCAAATCCAAACTCCTGATATCTGCACCTTCCTCTTACCAAAGTCTGCTGCTCCTACAGCTTGCCCCTTATCAAAAGCGATTTTATCTTTCCAATTGCTCAGGCAAAAGAAAAAAAAACCTGTTAGACTTACCCTTGACTTCCTTTTAACACTCCCCACACTCAATCTGTCAATATACCTTTTGGCTGTATTCTCAAAATATGTGCAGCATCTGACCACCTCTGATGTCTACCATTACTCTCAAGATCATCTTGCCCCTTATCACGGCCAGTTTTCCAACTCCCCACCTTTTCTTACCCTCCCACTTATGTGGCTTTCCAAACATTCTAAATTAAAGCTAAATTTTTTGATAGAGCCTCACACGATCTGTACAACTCACTGCCTCCTGACCACATCTCCCATTACCTTCTCCCTTCATTGCCACTCTCCAACCATCTTGACCTCCATGTTAAGCAGGTCAAGTACACTATTTTGCAGGGGTTTTGTACTGGCTGTTCTCTGTGACTAGAATGTTTTTTTCCACAGATATCCAGGAGCCTTTTAGTGGAGTCTTTAGGGTTTTCTAGGTATAGAATCATATTGTCAGTGAAGAGATAGATAGTTTGATTCCTTCTTTTCCTATTTGGATGCCTTTTATTTCTTTCTTTTGCCTGATTTCTCTGGCTAGCACTATCCAGTACTATGTTGAATGGGAGTGATGAGAGTGGATATCCTTGTCTTGTTCTAGTTCTCAAGGAGAATGCTTCCAGCTTTGGCCTGTTCAGTATGGTGTTGGCTGTGGGTTTGTCATAGATGGCTCTTATTATTCTGTGGTATGTTACTTTGATGCCTAGTTTCTTGAGAGTTTTTACCATGAAGTGATGTTGTATTTTATCAAAAGCTTTTTCTGCATCAATTGAGAGGATCATATGGTCTTTGTTTTTAATTCTGTGTATGTGGTGAACCATATTTACTGATTTGCATAAGTTGAGCCAACCTTGCATTCCAGGAATAAAGCCTACTTGATCATGGTAAATTAAATTTTTGTGTACTCTTGTATTTAGTTTGCTAGTTTTTTATTGAGGATTTTTGCATTTATGTTCATCAGGGATATTGGCTTCTAGTTTTCTTCTTGTGTCTTTGCTAGGTTTTGGTATCAGAGTGATGCTAGGTTTTGTAGAATGAGTTAGGGAGGAGCCCTTCCTCAATTTTTTGCAATAGTTTTAGTATCACTGGTACTAGTTCCTCTTTGTGCATCTTATAGAATTTGGCTGTGAATGCATCTGGTCTGGGGCTTTTTTTGGTTGATAGGTTTTCTAAAATTATTATTACTGATTCAATTTCGGAACTTAACATTGATCTGTTCAGTGTTTCAATTTCTTCCTGATTCAGTCTTGGGGGTTTGTATATTTATAGGAATTTATCCATTTTCTCTAGGTTTTCTAGTTTGTGTGCATACAGATGTTCATAATAGTCTCTGAAGATCTTTTGTATTTCTCTGGGGTCATTGTAATGCCACCTTTCTTATTTCTGATTTTGTGTCTGTGTGTGTGTGTGTGTGTGTGTGTGTGTGTTTATCTTCTACTGTTTGTTTTGTGAATCTAGCTAGCACTGAATCCATCTGGTTTATCCTTTCAAAGACCAAGCTTTTGGTTTTGTTGATTTTTTGCATGAATTTTTGGGTCTCAATTTTATTCAGTACTACTTAGATTTTAGTTGTCTGTTTTATTCTGCTAGCTTTTTTTTTGTCTTTGTACTTCCTCTAGTTATGTTGTTAGATTGTTAATTTCAGATCTTTTTAGCTTTTTGAGGTAGGCATTTAATGCCATAAAGTTTCCTCTTAACATTGCTTTTGCTGCATCCCAGAGATTTTGGTATGTTTTGTCTCTGTTTTCATTTATTTCAAAGATTTTTTTGATTTTTGCCTTAATTTCATTGTTTAACCCAAAAGTCATTCAGGAACAAATTTTTCAATTTTCATTTAACTGTGTAGCTTTAAGAGAAGTTCTTGGTATTGATTTATGTTTTTATTCCACTACAGTGTGAGAGTATGGTTAGTATAATTTTGATATTTTAAAAAATTTGTTGAGACCTGCTTTATGGCCAAACATATGGTCAATCTTGAAGAAATGTATATTCTGTGGTTGATATGTGGAGTATTATGTAGATGTGTATTAGATCCAATTGGTCAAGTTCAGAATTTCTTTGTTAGTTTTCTGCCTTGACGATCTGTCAAACGTTGTCAGTGGGGTATTAAAGTCCCCTGCTATTATGGTGTGGCTGCCTAAGTCTTTTAGTAGATTTAGAAGTATTTGTTTTATGGTTCTGGGTGCTCCAATATTGGGTGCATATATATTTAGGATAGTTAAGTCATCTTGTTGAATTGAACACTTCATTATTATGCAGTGCCCTTTGTTGTCCTTTTTTTACTAGTGTTAGTTTAAAGTCTGTTTTATCTGATATAAGAATAGTAGCTCCTACTTGTTTTTGTTTTCTGTTTGCACGGTAGATCTTTCTCCAACCCTTTACTTTGAGCCTATGGGCATCATAATGTGTGAGATGAGTCTTTTGAAGATAGCAGACAGATTGGTCTTTTTTTTTTAAACTTTTTTTTTTTTTTTTTTTTTAACAAGATCTCACTTTGTCACCCAGGCTGGAGTGCAGTGGTGCAATCTTGGCTCACTGCAGCCCTGACCTTCCAGGCTCAAGCGATCGTCCCACCTCAGCTCCCAAGTAGCTGGGTGTGCACCATCATGCCTGGCTAATTTTTTGTATTTTTCATAGAGACAGGGTTTTTCCATGTTGCCCAGGTTGGTCTCAAACTCCTGAGCTGAAGTGATCCACTCACCTCAGAATTACAAAGTGTTGGAATTACAAGCATGAGCCACTGCACCTGACTAGGTCTTGTTTTTAAATCCAGCTTATCACTCTTTACCTTTTAAGTGGGACATTTAGACCATTTACATGCAAGGTTAATTTGTTATGTGAGATTTTGATCCCATTGTGAAGTTGTTAGCTGGTTGCTTTCTAGTTTCTATTGTGTGGTTGCTTTATAGGGCCTGCGGGCTATGGACTTAAGTGTGTTTTTGTGGTAGCAGGTATTATTCTTTTGTTTCCATATTTAGAACTCACTTAAGAATTTCTTGTAAGGCTGGTCTAGTTGTAACAAATTTCTTAGTGCTTGCTTATCTGGAAGAGATTTTATTTCGCCTTTACTTATGAAGCTTACTTAGTTTGACAGCATGTGAAATTCTTCATTAGAATTTCTTTTCTTTAAGAATGCTGAAAATAGGTCCCCAATCTCTCCTGGCTTATGAGGTTTCTGCTGAGAAATTCACTTTTAGCCTGATGGGATACCCTCTGTATGTGATCTGACTTTTTTCCTCTAGCTGCCTTTAAGATATTTCTTTAGCATTGACCTTGGACACTGCATATAGTGTGGTGACTATATGCCTTGGTGATGTTTATTTTCTATAGTATTTCACATGCATTCTCTGGATTTCTTGTATCTGGATGTCTACCCATCTAGCAATTTTAGGGAATTTTTCTTGAATTATTCCCTCAAATATGTTTTCCAGGTTGTTTACTTTTTCTCTTTCTCTCTCAGGAATGCCAATAGTTCATAAGTTTGGTCGCTTTACATAATCTCCTATTTCTTGAAGAATTTGTTCATTTTTAAAAATTATTTATTCTTTATTTTTATCTGACTAGGAAAACTAGACTTGTCTTCAAGATCCATAATTCTTTGTGCTCCTTGGTCCAGTCTATTGACAAAATTTTTAATTCTATTTTGAAATTCCTTAAGCAAGTTTTTAAATTCTGGAAGTTCTGGCTGATTTCTTTTTAAGATGTTTATCTTTTCCTTCATTTCTTGGATTGCTTTAGAAGTTTCTTTGTGTTGATTTTCAACCTTGTCTTGAATTTTCTTTTTCTTTTTTTTTTTTTTTTTAGACAGTCGCGCTCTGTCACCCAGGTTGGAGTGCAGTGGCATTATCTTGGCTCACTACAACCCCCGCCTTCTGGGTTCAAGTGATTCTCCTGCCTCAGCCTCCAAAGTAGCTGGGATTACAGGCACGTGCCACCATGTCCGGTTAATTTTTGTATTTTTAGTAGAGATGGAGTTTTTCCATGTTAGCCAGGCTGGTCTCGAACTCCTGACTTCAGGTGATCCGCCCACCTCAGCCTCCCAAAGTGTTGGGATTACAGGCATGAGCCACTGCGCCCAGCCTGAATTTTTTATCTGTCATTTCTGAGTTTCCACTTTGGCTAGAGGCCGTTGCTGTAGAGCAATCCCTTGGTGTTGTCACTACCTTCCTATTTTCCATGGGGCCATAATTCTTGTGCTGATTCCTTCTCTTCTGGAGATACTGGCACTTCTAATTGTTGTAATTATTTTCACAGGAGTAGGATTATTTATTTTTCTTTTTTCCCCATAATATTATTTTTCTTTTCCTTTCCCTTTATCCCCCTCCTTAGGGGGTGTGAATGCGGAGAATACTATGTAGGGTCTTTCGGCTTCGATTTTATGTAGGGCTGTGCAGTTTGACCTACAAGGCAGTAGATGGCGCTTATAGGTAGGAACCGGCTGTGGGCAACTCGAGGAGGTATATATTTGATCTTTGTTTAATGGCTGAAGTTCTCTGTTGCCTCAGGCAATGAGCTGATTGGAATGAAAGTGGTCTTAGCTCCCTACTCAGCCCTGGGGGCCTACAAGAGTCACAAAGGGAAGCATCAGACTGGGCAGGTCTGCCTACAGGTCATCCAATGGCAGGCACAGGCACCAGCACTGAGGGAGAATCTAATGGGCAGCCACCACGTACCCAAGAGGTGTGCCTAGGCGTGGAGCTGGAAAACCTCCTTTGCCCGAAGTTCTCTGCGTGGGAATGCAGGGTGGCCTAAACTCCTAATCCAGGAGAGTGGGTGCTCCAGATGCTTGGAAAACTGCTAGGCTGGGGAACAGAGAGGTCCCCCTGCACCAAGATCTCTGCACAGGAGGGGTGTAGTGGCTCAGGCTGCTGAACCAGGCAAGCAGGCACTCTGAATGCCTGTCCATCACATTTTAAGTGGCAATTCCTCCCTTCCAACTCCTCCATCTTCCATGCATGTGTTGCATAGTACTTATGACTATTTGACATAATATATATTTTACATATTTATTTATTTTGTCTTTCCCCAACTAGAACATAAGCTCTAAGAAGGCAGGGAATTTTGTCTGTTTGATTCACTACTGTATCCTCTGAACTTAGAACCTTGCCTAGCACATAATAGGTCATCAATAAAAAAATTATTAATTGAAGAGAAGAAAACAGTACTCTAGAGGAACTAAAAAATAAAACAAACAGAAGAGTTTGAATGCAGCATAGAATAGATGAGAGACCGGCCTGCAGAGTTACACTGGAACCAAATTATTATGCATATCTTGGCCATGTTAAAGTATAAATTAAGAATTACATAAGCTACATTATTTACTCAACCTAAGAAACTTTCAGATTGCTAATAAAGGAAAGTCAACTCTGCCTGCATCCACAGGTGGCACTGGCTGTCTTGCATAGCCATTTGAAGTCTGAAATATTGAGATATTCTGGTGTGTGTGCTGTTTGAGGTACTATTTTGGATACATAAACACATACATAGCAATACATATCACACACAAATACATACACACACATACATACATGAGATTTTGAAACAAACAAGAAGGGACAGAAACAATGCAATCAACATCTAGAATGCTCTTGTAAAAGCAAAAGGGTGTACAAATGCATTATTGTGTGTGATCTTTTGAACTTAGAAGCAAATGGATTTAAGAACAGCCTTCTTGAATGAATCTACTTGTAAGTAGAAGATACTGTCCACATAGATTTGAGTTTAATTGTAGTCCATAACCTGACTGTAGAAAATAGTATCTTATAAGCTAAATATCAGCAGCAAAATATTTCTAGTTAATACCTATGATGCATTTATCCTGAATTGATTGGATCTTCTATTACATACAGCTGGCTTAGCTGATCCCTTCTAAACAAAGCTATTTTAAAAGCCCACTGTGATAATCCTTTTACAATACTCTGATGAATGATTTTTAAAGGAATACATTTTATTTGAAGTAATGTGTCCTAAACCACAATGGCCTCTGTCCAATAAGTTCACATATATAGGTTGCTTGGTAATTTCAGATTCATTTTTATCATCTTGGGTTGATGTGTATTGCTAATAATGTAACAACGAGCATATCCATTGCCAGAAGATATTTGACTGTCATGTTTTCAGAAGAAAGGCCATCTCTGTTCCAATGAAAAGACACTCTTCATATGCTTTTGCTACAACACTTCAGGTCTTTCGGAACTGAGGCTCTGTGGAAAACACGAGACTTACATGCATATGCAAGCGGGCATGCTAGCTTGAGATGTAATTGAAGACACATTTCTCCATGGATTGAAGTGTTTTATTGTAAAATGCACTTCCCATTATACTTTTTTGCACATTTAGTTTTTTTCAGAAATGGTTCTTTCCATCATTTCCTTTTTTAAAAAAAATATTTAATAGTGTGAGAGGAGGTCTGTTGTGGTTTTGTTGTGGCTAAACCAGCTGTGGCCCTTCAAATATTCATGTGTTGGAATAATCATATCCTCTTTTCCTGGAAGCAATTCAGTTTTTCTCACAAAAACTCTTAAGGGTTTGCTTCTTCCATTTTCCCTAACTCTGGGTCAATAAGGATTATAAATCTCAGTCAGACTCTTGGTTTATAGAACCCTGGAAACAAAATGGCCACCCATTTTTTAAGACCCCTCTCTGTGAGTCTAGGGATTTTGTGAAAGGGTGCCACCACCTCTTCTCATTCTCTTTTTCTGGAACAGCCACCCATATGTCAGAGAATGGCAAGAACTGAACGTCTCCTAGAGAGAAGAGCCACTCAGCCTGTGGATGATGTTCCATTGTTAGCCCTACTCTGGTCAACAATGCTTCAAGTTGCTGATGGAAATTCAAGTGTCAAGCCAATTTTTATACTCTAGATGGCAAAAAAATGCAGCTAATTCTGAAGGGTTTCTCCTTCCCCTGGCAGCTGGTATGTTTATATAGTGGGGATGAAAGGCCTGACATCTGTGTTTACATTTCTACATTGCAGGGTCCCCCAAACCCACAGTTAGGGCTCATTTATATCCAAGCACCTCTGCCCCAGAATTACAACAGCAAAGTCTTTCAACCTCTCTTCGGCAAGGGACTTTGATCTCCCTGTGCAAAATGCTCTTTGATGAGTTGTGATTAGAAGGGGAGGGCTGGGAAGGTTTTATACTTTGACAGCTTCCTCTTCTCTCTCCACTCCCAACCACACAAGAACATGACCCAGACCTTTAAGTACCCAAACGTCTTTCTATAAATTCCACTGAATCATCAGAATAAAGTTAAACTATTGTGTGACAAAAGTAGTGGGTCTTAAAAAATTTTGCATTTTTGGTAAGTATGCTCTTTGACTCTGATTTCTTATTCCAGGTAGATTAGAATCACCTGGGTTGCTTATTAGATGTAGAATTCCAGAATCCTATGCAACTCCACCAAATGTCAATCTCTAGGTGTGGGCCCAGGAAGCTGTATTTTCACACATTGAAATGAATCTTATGTATATCATTGTTTAAGAACCCCTAGGCTTTTGGGGCAATTGGGAGGGATATTTTAATTTTAAATACTTTCTTGCAAAACATCATCTTATTTCTTCCATCCTCTGACCCTTTCAATGAAATGGGGGTGGTCTCCCCAAGTTGGAAGCGGTGTAACTGGATGACATGAAATCATCTTCTTTGAATGTTTAAATGTCATGCTTAATTTTTCCTCACCACTTTACGGTACCTTCTATTTATAAATTTTTGACTTATAAATTGAGGCAAAGAAGCTTAGCAGGTTAAGAAATTTTCATGAAACCAAGTCTTCTGAAACTTAATATTGGATGTGATCTAAGTTTCACTGCCTGGCTTATGCTATACCTTATCATCTGAAATGACATTCTGCTGGGTTTTTTTAATTGAAATTTTTTATTTAGATAATTGTAGATTCACATGCTGTTGTAATAAATAATCCAGAGAGATGCTTTGTATCCTTTACCCAGTTTCCCCAATGGAACATTTTGTAAAACCATAGTACAGTATCACAACCAGGATTGATATAATCCACAGGCTTTAGCCAGATTTCCCTATTTTTACTTGTTTTGTGTGTGTGTGTGTGTGTGTTTAGTTCTATATAATTTAATGACGTGTGGATTTGAGTATCTATCATCACGGTCAAGAGACTGAACAGTTCCATCTCCACAAGGAACCTTGGGTTGCCCTTTGATAACCATCTCCATCTCTCTCCTGCCCCTTCTCCAAATCTGTGGCAACCACTTTAATCTAGTCTTCGTTTCTAAATTTTTAAAATGTGATATAAATAGAATCATGCATTATGTAACCTTTTCGGATTGGCTTTTCTTCACTCAGTATAATTCCCTGCAGAGTCATCAGGTTGCTACACACATCAATAGTCCATTCCTTTTTATTCCTGCATAGTATTCCATGGTGTGAATGTAACCACAGTTTGTTTAACCATTCACTCAGGAAAGGACTTCTGAGCTATTTCCTGTTTTTGGTTAGGGTGAATAAAGCTTCTCTGAAGATTAATGTACAGGTTTATACAAAATACAAACACCCCACATTTTTTAAACAGTCTCCTCAACTTGTGTAATTGTTTGAGGCCAATCACTGATTTTATCATAGCCATAAAATCTTTCTAGTTAACTTCAGTTTACCTTATACTATCCCCTTCCTGGATACCAAAGAAACACCTAGGTGCACCAAGCTTAGCATTTGCTTATAGTTGTATTATTTTTGTTGTATTTTTTGCCTTCTCAATGAGATTGGGAGATGTTTGAGGACAGGGACCATATCATAGTCCACTTTTGTTTGTTTGTTTGTTTTTGGTTTTTTTTTGTTTGTTTGTTTTTTGTTTTTTTGTTTTTGAGATGGAGCTCACTCTGTTGCCCAGGCTGGAGTACAGTGGCATAATCTCGGCTCGCTGCAACCTACGCCTCCCAGGTTCAAGCAATTCTCTGCCTCAGCTTCCCAAGTAGCTGGGATTACAGGTGCCCACCACCACACCCGACTAATTTTTGTATTTTTAGTAGAGGCGGGGTTTCACCATCTTGGCCAGGCTGGTCTTGAACTCCTGACCTTGTGATCCACCCGCCTCGGCCTCCCAAAGTGCTGGAATTACAGGCGTGAGCCACTGCACCCGGCCCCATATTCCACTTTTTTATAGCCTGTAGTGCCTACTACAGCTGTTAGACATAACCACAAATGAACTAACCAGGCAATAGTTTTAAATTTAATTTGATTTATTGTGCCTCTGTGACAGAGTATATCATGTTACTGTGTGGATATAAGAAAGCATAATGAACATACAATTTAGCTGGAAAACTCAAGCCAACAGGAAAGGATGTGAGGTTGGAAAACAATGACCTACTGTGATTTTGCTGTCAGCTTATGTGGACAGAGAACTGAGAGGACAGTGTGGGCTAGAGAAAGGATGAACAGTTGTTGAGCTGCTGAAGAAAAGAGTTGGTAATCAGGACAGGTAGGTGAGATGTGACCAGACTATGACCAACTCTTATGGACCAAATGCTTGTGTCCTCCACCAGGATTTGTATGTCAAAATCCTAATCCTCAATGTGATGGTATTAGAAGGTTGGGCCTTGGGAGGTAATTAAGTTATGAGAGTGAAGCCCTTGTAAATGGGATCAGTGCTCTTAGAACAGGGTCCCCAGAGAGCTTTTTCACACTCTCCACTGTGTGAAGATATAATGAAAAGCTGGCACTCTGCATCCCAGAAGAGGGCCTTCATGAGACTCGGACCATCCTGGAACCCTGATCTTGGACTTCTAGCCTCTAGAACTGTCAGAGAGAAATTTCTCTCATTTATAAGCCACCCAGCCTATAGTACTTTGTTACAGTGGCCCAGGCTGACTGAGATGCAGGCCTCAAGGTGTACCTATTAGGTATGTGGGCTGATTTCATTTTCTGGAATATATTATTGCCAACAAAAGCTAACTGAGACTTGAGATGTTGAAGTGGATCAATGTGACACTGCTAGGCTGAACTCTAATTCTGCTGGAACGAGGCCCTGCTGGCCTCTAGATGTTTTGGGAGTTTCTGAGCTTTTAGGAAATGTTATGAAACACTGAGATTTATGTCCCTTGAATTGTGTAGGGCCAGTTATTCCTTTTAGAAATAATTTGAATTGGGTCACAGATGTGTTCGATGCTCCAGCAGCTGCTGAGGGGGTCTTTGGGGCTAGCAGATAAAACAATGGAGCACTTGCTCTGCCAGAGGAAAGGCTAGGTGCTGAAAGAACCAAAGAGACTAGCATAAACTCTGGAAGAGGGAGCATGATCCTAGCATAGGGTGAAGCTGCACCTCACCAACCTCCTCACACCCCTGTCCCTTTCCCCTTCCTAAAACATCTGGACAATTCTGCTGTGAGGAACTCCTGCAAAAATAGCTAATCACAAGGATCTTTCTGCTTCCTAGAGGTCAGAGATCCAAGGGAGGGTCAGCAGCTTCATAAACAGTAGCCTGGGTCTGTCAGTGGTCCACAAAGCCAAAGATCACAGAGTAGTGGACATCAGAACAGAACTGTGGTCATCACCACCACACCACATCCAGGACCCTTAAGATCAATTGTTTTGAAGGAGACCCTGCAGGAGATCTTAGATTCAAGATACACACTGTTTTATAAAGGTGATATAATGGTACTTACTCTACAGTGACACCTGGGAGGGATGGATTCTATGAGTTCTGTTATTCTGGGGAAGAATGAAGAGCGAATGCCAATGCCAATCATGACTTAAGATGCTGGCTGTGCTCATCAGTGGCCAGCTGCAGAAGACATTTACATGTACCAATAAAGAGAAGCTAATACTCATAGGGTTTTGTCAATGATCCTATCCTGTACACTTCTGTTTAATTTCCATTTTCAACTTTGAAGGTGAGGCACTTGTTAATATACCTAAACAGCTCTGTTTGTAATTTTAGATGTCTGCAACAGGGAGATTGCTCATAGCTTAAAGGTCCCACGGTAAAAAGCAAAAAATGTGTAATTCCTAAATACATATGAAATTTCAGGCACAAATTCACTTAGAGTATTAATGACTTTAATGAAGACAGGCATCCAACTTAAAATCAGACTTGCAGTAAAAGTGTAAGCAATGCCCTAATTAATATACTTGCTGATTGTTTTCCTTGATAAAGACATTGACTGTTAAGTCTAATGGTGCCTCAAAGATCAACTGAACAGTGAAAAAGGCAACCAGCCAGTGACTTGAGTTTTGTTTTGTTTTTTTTTTTTTTTTGAGATGGAGTCTCGCTCTGTCACCCAGACTAGAGTACAGTGGGGCAATCTTGGCCCGCTGCAACCTCTGCCTCCCGGGTTCAAGCCATTCTCCTGCCTCAGCCTCCTGAGTAGCTGGGATTATAGGCACGTGCCACCACGCCTGGTTAATTTTGTGTATTTTTAGTAGAGATGGGGTTTCACCATGTTAGCCAGGATGGTCTTGATCTCCTGACCTCGTGATCCACCCGCCTTGGCCTCCCAAAGTGCTGGAATTACAGGTGTAAGCCATTGCGCCTGGCCAACTTGAGATCTTTTAACCAAAAAAGTACTTTCTTTCTACTCAGCTCCATAGCAATAACATCAATTATTATTATTATTATCATTGTCATCATTTTATATTATTATTTAACCTAGTTTTGTTTCTTGAATAAATTCAAACATTCTGAGGTGTAGGTGTAGCCTTAAAGTACTCTGTAGAATAAAGCGCATGAAGTACAAGGCAGTGTGATGTTAGAAACATAATTTCCAGTTTCAATTGTTCTTGAATAAAGCTCTTCAGGTTCAAGTTGCATTCTGCCAGGAGTCTTCTTTTCACGCCAACTCAACCCATGGAGAAGAAAGTGGCTGCCTTGACTTTATTGTGAGAAAGGTTGGCCCTCTTAGCTCTGTTTTATAAAGAAGGAAATTACGTACATTAGCCAACATCTCATAGCTGACAAATGATGGAACCTAGGTCTGTGTGGCTCCAGAAATTTCCATTATTTCTCCCATGCCATGCTCAAGAAAGATAATCAGGATATGAGTCACTAGCTTTAGCCCTCTCCACCGAGCATTTTCCAAAAGGGAGAGTAACTCCCTCCCTTGAGAAACAAAGAGAAAGTAAGCAGGAAAATTCCTTGAGGAACACAAAACACTTAATTGCTATTTGTCACTTCTCTTACTCAGGACAAGATTAATTAAACTCTGATCTTTTCATTTGCATGGGCCTAATGTAGATGGCCTAAAAATTGCTTCTTAAAAAAAGAGACTCTTCTGGGAAAATACCATGTGAATAAATCTGAACTCTCTTCGTTCCTTCCTACTGCCTGAACTTGTTTTAGACAACAGAAGTCTATGATTTAAAAACAAAAAAGCCAAACGTTTCAAATCTGATGGTGAAAACCCTTTTCATCATGTTCACAGATACCATCAAGGTTTAAGAAGTATTGCAGTTTATTAAGATGTATATTTTCAAGCTTGATGGAAATGACAGGGTCTCAAGCTGCAGTGTGACTCCAGGCCAAAACTAGAGACAGTTTCCAAATTCCTTATTGTTACACCCAGGAAGAAGCCCTGCACATAGGCTGTAGATTTGTCAAAAACTTAATTCTCCATGACAATTTCCATTGAAGGTAGAGGAAAGTCAATAGCCTGGAGTTCACGTCATCTTGGACAGCGGCTAGAAGATGGTACAATAAAGAAACCATAACCATGATAAACAGTGATTTCCCAATTAGATGTGAGAAAAATAAAGAATCGTTAAAATGACAAAATACCATCAGTCATGAAGGGTTGGCCTAATTAAATAATAGACCAATGTAAACCAGAGATTTATCATCTACCAGCTGTACGATGTGGGTTTATTCAAAACAATGGAAATTGACGTACATTTTACATACAGCCTCCTCTCGTTAGCTTCCTCCTTAACCTTTATCTGGAGGTCACCTAGGAAAATATACCTCCAACCTTAACTAGTTTCTGTATTCTTTCTGGTGTAACCCAGTCTCCAGTAGAGCATTTATGGCCTTGACCTGCCTGGTGGACAGAATGGTGGTTTTTCTTTAGTCTTGCTACAGGCTGCCCTTGCGTGTTTTGCTTTGCTCACTCATGTTCACTGTCAGTGTTGGCATCTGAATGTTTCTTTTGGCAAAACATTCAGAGCAGCAGGGCTCTGAGTGCTGGCCCTGTAGAGTCCTTTGGAAGGGTGTGGATTGGGTGGGGTCCCTGCATGTCACTGGCCCTGCCCACTATTACATCTGCCAGATGGACATGTAGCCATGAGTTCTTTGACCAGGTTAGTCAGTGAATCGATCTGAGGATGGCAGCTTCAGGATGAAATACACTTTCCTCTGCAAATGGCCTTTGTGTTTCTCTTCCTTTGTCATCCTAGGCCACTGACTTCCCAAAGCCTAAAAGCACATGAAGTTCCATGTAATGTGACCTCTTCCAGGACAGCCTGAAAGTTTGCCATTTGAAGGTTCAGTTCTGTTTGCTCTATTGTTTATCCCCAGTTTATTATTCATCTTGCATAGTTTAAAATATTGACTTTCATATCCACTTCCTCCTTAGCTTCACTGAGCTAGCCCAGATATTCATGAACTCAGGTCCTTTTGATAGTGTTGGCTGTCGTCCCATCTTTTTCATCCCACCCAACTGCCTGACAATTTGTCTGTATTCTGCTCAATGTCACAAATATGAAGCTGAGGTCCCTTCCAGGATATTTAAATCACTGTAGTTGGTGGCCATACCTTTGAGAGGATTCTGCTTCCTCCAGTTGTTCTTAATTATCTGAAATTGATGATTTCAGTATTAACAATTGATAATTGATTGACCATTCAATTGTGGTAATAAATGCCAGGCTCCCATCTGACAAATTCCATCTCACCCTTATGTCTAGTACAAATCATATCCTTCTCTAGGCTGTCACTTCAGCACCTGGATGAGGGTGAAGGCCAAACAGTATCACTTGACTGGTATGATCTATGGCAAGTGCAGCAGGATTTGGTGCCCAGAGGAATAAGCCCCTGGCAACACTGCCACAGAGCCTTTGTTTTTGTTTTTATTTTCCACATTAGGTGAAAGCCATCCAACTTTCCCTGATGTTTCCTTCTCTTTTTCATTATGTCCATGTGCATAAGAGGTTAGACCATTTTGGTTAGTCACTAAACAATAAGTAGCAAATGATTAATGATTAACCAAATGATTCAACCACATAGTTTAGGCATAGCCTGAATAACTACTTTCCAAAGACTTCTTATAAATGCCACTGTGTTCAGCTGAGTTGTTGAGCTCTTACTCTTTCTCTCAGTCTCTAGCTTCTTTTTTTGTCCTGACCTTTTCAAGGTTTGTATTGATTCCTTTGTTATGAAAAAGCAATCTGATAAAGTTTTAGTATAGAAAAAATTATCTGATAGAATAGTTTTTATGTTATTTATATGCTAGTCATATAATGTCTATTTATATGTTAGTCATTGTGCTTGGCACTTAGTGTACTGTGGTGAATAAAACACATTCCTTTCCCTCATGGTGCTAGCAGTCTACTAAGACCACAATGAATAGATAAACAAACAAACATATAATTAGAAAGTAGTAGAAGTATGCAAGTGAAGCCCATAATGTAGTGCCTGGAACCTAATGTTAAATAACTGCAAATTATTATTCCTGTTAATAATAATTATTATAATAACTACATAAAGTTGTTACATATACAATATTATTACATAATATATTGTCATTATTATACAAGATAGTGAGTGTTCTGGTTATCTACTTTTGCGTAACCAATCACATGAAAATTTAATGTCTTAAAATAATAACAACCATTTATTTTGCTCATATATCTGCAATTTGGGCAAGGCTTAGTGGCATTAGCTGAGACATTCTCAATTGGAGGCTGGAGGATTCTTTTCCAAGATGGTCCACTTACATGCTTAGTAAGTGAGTGCTAGTTATAACATGGGAGCTCAATCAAGGCTATTGGCTGGAGGCCTCAGTTTCTCCTGACACAGGACTTACAATGGGGCTGCTTGAGCTTCCTGACTACATGGAGGCTGGGTTCCAAGAGTTTTTCAAGTGACAGAAAGTGAAAGCTGTCCTTAAAGCCCTGACCCTAGAAATTATCAGCATCACTTCCACCATATTCTATGAGTCAAGCAGTCACAGAACCTGCCCACTTTGAAGAGGAGAGGCCATAAACACCTATTTTCAATGGGAAGAAGATCAAAGAATGTGTAGCTATTGTTGATCTGGCACGATGGGTTAACATACAAGCTCAAAAATGCGATCATTCCTTTTCATAAAATACCAGCTTATTTGGCTGGAGCACATTTTAAAAGCAATTTTATTTTTCATTTTAGGTTCTTGCATGAAGTAGGTAGCATAATTGGTGTTGCCCTTATTCTGCAGGGAATTGAGACCGATTTTAACTTGCTTAAGGTGCCAGCCATACTGTGTAAACCTAAGGAAGTTTGCTTCTCCTCAGTCCCCAGGTGCTTTCCACAACTTTTTCCAGGTTGTGACTGGGTTTTAACCAGTCACACACACTGGTTTGTGACTCAAGAAGTACATAGTTTTAATGGTCAGATCTGCGCACCACTGGTACCCAAGTTTTACAATATCCAGCTGTGGAATGGATCATCTTGTCTCTGAGGCCTCAGTTACTGAGATCATTGTTCACTTTTGGCGTACCATCTGTTGTCTGGATCTTCCTAAGTGATTTTCTGGGTTGGCTTTCTTTTTCACTGGGAATAGAAGAAGTTGTCAAAAGCCCAATGCATTCTTTTCTGCATTGTAAAACCATCAGGACTTAAGGAAAAATCCTTTAGCAATAATTGATTTGTTCAACTATCATTCAATTTCAAGTATTTTCTCTCTCTTTTTATTAAAAATTACTTAAAAGTTGCGGATGCCCAGCTCTGGTCTTTTGAGTGTGTTCCCATCTACTTTACCTCCTATCCTTAGTGAGTTTGCCACAATTACATTGTAGTTTGAAAACTAATTCCGTTTGAAATGTGTTAAAATCTTTCATTTAACACCAATTCTTTTTAGATATCTTTAAATTCAGACAACTAGACTAAAAAAAAAAGGATTGATTAAACCTGACAAATTTGAGTTGTTGGAAAGTGTTTTAAACAATTGTCTAGGCCTTTGGAAAATCTACTTCATGTTTGTCTCTAGATCCTTTCCTGAATTTTTAGTCTCCTTTTATTTAGAGAAAAGTTGCAACCATATGTTTCTGATTCATTTATAACTAATTTATCTAGAATTAGCTCAAGAAGCTATTGTTTTGTAAGAACATGTACTTTAAAGTTGTATGTAATCCATTTTAAGCCCTTTCTCTTCTTTAAGTAAGGAAAAATTATTTGCCAAACTTTACCTGAAAATCCAAAATTGGTTTGTTTCAAGATGCTGGAGCCATTAACAGTACTGAATGTAAGTCAGGGTATTGCTCCAAACTCTGTTCCTCCATGTTTGCCTAGAATTGGTATGGATACAAATTTGTGAACATGTCATTAGATCATTGGGCAGCACTTGACCAGTCTGCAGTTGAGGTTTCCCCAGGACCTAAAAAACATCCATAGATCTGGTTATGCATAGATTGATGAGTCTACTGACTGGTGAGGCCATTTTAGGACATTAAGAGATTTGGAGATACAATATAGAATTGAATCCCCCATTATTGCAAATGTTTCGGGATTGGAAAAATATCTCCACATGGCAAGATGAACCTTTGTAAACCAAAGAAAGAAACAGTTTGCATGGACTAAATGCAGTTTAAAACATAAAGGAAACAAGATAATGAAAATTTTGAGAAACTAAATCAGTGGAAGAGAGCTGGCACAGAAATGGTGAGGGTGAGGTGAGGAATGGGTCTTTGAATGGTGGTTCTAAGTCTAGCTAACAATCAGAGTCACCTAAATGGACGCTTGTTTCACAAGCACAGATTCCTGTGACACAGGATGGTTTGGTTCAGGTGCCTGTATTTTCTAAAAGCTCCTCAAGTGACTCTGATGATCAACCTAGTTTGGGGACCATATTGTCATTGGAAACATTTGTAAACTTTTCATGCATACAAGCATACATATACCCCCCATTCCCCAACACACACACACACACACGAAAGCACAATTATCACAAAGGAAACTAAAGTCCAGTCTGGGCCACAACAGTCTCTTTTATCCCCTGAAATCTGACTCTGCCTTCCCTCAAACTTTAGGAATAGAAATCAGGTAAGTTAGCCGTTTTACTTCTGCGTTCTTCTATACAATTCAGACTACCTCTTTCACCAGGTCTCAATTCAGGGCCTGAGGTGGGTGGGAGAACAAGACAAAGTAGATAGATAGCTACAGACACCTGCAACTGTGGGGAAGCTCTTCCTTGTGTCTTGAGTATTTTATGTCCAGCTCACAACTTTATTATGTGCTCATGAGAAAAGCCCCAGAGTCATTACCAGGAATCCTCTATCTACACCAGGACTACATTATGTAATTTTATTGCTTTTTGGAATCTTGTCAGTATCCTCATGGAACTCTTAATTGCCCAAAAGGAGTTGAGTAAAGAGGTTGGTGATGATGCCAAGTCCAGTGGGTAAGGATGGTCAGTCCATAACACCAGATTGCCCATCCATTCAGGGCAGTGCCTTCCCAATAGACTGACTGTTTCCAGATTATGTTTGGGAATGGGTCCAACTTTGTTTCAACAACTAAATTCACCAGGTAAAAGCTCTCCTTATGATTTTACTAGACCAGCATTTTCAACAGCCATTAATGAGCCAAGTACTATGCAATTTTATAAATTAAGGGATTCGGGCTATAATTATGTGTAAATCCTCCCCAAATTACCTGCTCTAGTCAGAAGGCATGGTCTGAAAAAGGAAGCAATAATGTTTTGGAAAATCATGACATTCTGTAAATAAACTCTGGCAGCAAAAATTTCTTGGCAAAAGTACTGTTCAAGTCAATAAGCCTCAATTTATTGCTACATGAATCAGAAATTAATTCTTCCTCAGTCATTTCCATACTTCTGAAGTATGACATCATTGGCAGAATCTGAACACTCTATGGGTACCTAGACTCTTCATATAGTAAGTCAAAATGAACGTAAACAGTCGAAGAGGGAAGCACTTAATTTTCTTGAAATTTTCTGGTGAATTGAGTTTACTATAATGAGAATATATGAGGCTGCCAAAGGGTGTGAGGGGGATGGGAGAAGTGGAGTTATTATGACCTTGGTGTCCATAGAGACATTTGTATTCTCTGGGGGATAACAAAGCCAAATACTCAAAAGTCTGTTCACAAGGAGACATTGTTGCTGGGACTACCTTTTATTCAGCTTTTTTGATCCTTTTCTCCATTTCCAAGGAATGATATAATCTCTGATTCTGCTTTTGGAGTCCTTCCCAGCCCATTCCTTTGTTGTCTTCTAACCTTCCATCCATGTGTCAGAGTGGTGTGAAAACATCCAAGCATCCTGCTTAGGAAAATGTATTTGCTGTTGATATTGTTTGGCAAAACACATTGATAGGGTATTTTGATTGTGAAAAGTGAAACCTCAAGTCAAGATCTAGAGGCAGGAGGCAAAATAAAGGGGACATCGAATTGTTCTTACGTGAAAAGATGCGGAAACTTTTTTGTGTGTGAGCAGCCTGAGAGCAAGAGGGGATGAGGGACCCAGAAAAATTGGAAGTGTGGAGCTACAAGATCAAAGGAGAGAGGTTGGCTTAGTAACATGGTGGGCATCAGGGATAGCGGGGGCATGGGCCAAGTTGTTTTATAATGGCAGTGTTTGATATTACATTTTAAATTGTTTGCTGCGTTGCTCTGAGAACAGGAGCCCCTTGGGGTACCATGAACTTGAGTAGAGTTCATTATGTACACTTCCTTGTGTTGGTGATCATTTGGCAGAGGAATTAAAAGGGGATGAGGTGACAGCCCACACTGGGGTCAACCTATGTGGTGAGATGGTTACAGAAGATGAGACACTGGGTAGAAGGCAGACTATTAGAGACAAATGAGCCCCTCAGACGCCTCTACTCTCATGTGAGTCACCTCCCATCTCACAAGGGCCTCTGTGGTCATCTCTCAGCTGATCTTGCTCTTCCCTCTCCTGCCCTTCTACCACCCTTTCTCTACAGCAGCAACTGAGGTGAGCTTTAAAAATGTAAATCTGATCACGATGGCTTCTCATTCCTTTCAGAATAAATTCTAAATTCTCTGCCATGGTCGACCAAGCCCTGTGCAGCCTAGCTCATGTTTGCCCCTCCGACCTCCTCTCTTCCAACTTTCTCCTTCCCTCCCACTGATCTACCCACACTGGGCTCCTTGCCATTTCTCCTAGACACCAACCTCCTCCCCATCTCAAGTTTCTACACTTTGTGGCTCCTCTGCCTGATAAGCTCTTTGCCCAGATGCTGGCATAGCTGGATCCCAGATATCATTCAGATCCTAACTTACATGTCACCTTTGCAACGAGACCTCCCTTGACCATCCTAATTAAAATACTCACCCCTCAACTGCTACTCTTGATTCTTTACTCTGCTTCATTTCTTTTCATTGCACTTATTATCACCTTCCATTTTTATTTATTTGCTTACTTATTTGCTGTCTGTCTCCCTGGGGTTGACAGCCTCTAAAACAGCCTCAGTGTTCTCTGCCTTCTGGTATTTCTCATCTTGAATGTGGGCTGAATCTAGTGACTTCTTTCTAATGAGCAGAATTCAGGAAATGTGATGGGATTAGGTTACAAAAAGAGTGTGACTTGCATCTTGCCTTCTCTTGCCCTCTCTCACTCTGTCTCTGGGGTCCTTGTTCTGGGGGCTGCAAACTGTTATGTTGTGAGTAACCTATGGGGAGGCCCTTGTGGCAAGGAACTGAGGCCTCTGGCCAACAGCCAGCAAGGACCTGAGGCCTGTAAACACCTGAGGCTGTGTGAGTGACTTTGGAAAAAGGTCTCCTCCCAGCTGGCTTGGAGATGACCACAGCTCCAGCTCACACCTTGTAGCATTATGACCCTGAGTCAAAGGCCCCCAGCTGAGCCACACCCAGATTCCTGACCCACAGAAACTGTAGGGCAGTAAATGTTTCTCATTTTAAGTCACTAAGTTTGGGGGTGCTTTGTTATGCCATAATAGATAACACACTGCTCCACTGGAATGAAAACTCCATGTGGGTAGAGACTTTCTCTGTCTTGTTTCGCACTCTCTCCTAAACAAATAGTATAATGCCTGGCACACAAAAGGCACCCAATATATTTTTAGTTTAAATTAGTCAATTAATGCTGGGATCGGAGGGGAGAACACTGAGTTTTTCAAAATATGTTGAATCAGGTCTTGAGCCAACATTGATATTTAAAGTCGAGGCTGTTCTTAAAGTTGACTCCAGAAGTCTCAGGAGTACTCATGTCACAAACATGCCGGTAATACCGGGCTCATAATACTAATCTCTTGAGCACGATTATTGATGCTGGTCTCTGTTGCTGAGCAAACTTCCACTGACGAGCCCAAGCTGAGGGTGGGGCCAAATGTTACCCAGTTGCTGTGTGCATTTGGAAGAATGACTCAAACCTCCCACACTTCCTTCATCTGTAAAGACCTCACTGGGATGTTGGTAATACAGAGAATAAAATACGTAATGGGCTAAGGTTTGCTCTCAATAAATGGTGGTCTCCCCTCCCTCAGGGAGCTTGTTATCTAAGTGAGGAGACAAGATCTGTGCATAAGGAAGATGATTCACAACACTCCACATGAAGCATAATGTGATGTTACATACCAGATGTTTTCCAGGCAGGAGTTACAATGGAATAATTAATTATTTTATGGTTCTTCTTTTCTGTAGGGTGTTGGGTGCACATTTGTCACCTGGGAATACTACCAGCAAGCCTCATATTTTTTCTGCAATAAATGCTGGAAAGGAAAAAGAAATGCTGAAAATGATGAAGTAATTCCAATTCTGCTGATAGAGACCTGGAAATGCACTAGGGAAAAATGACAAGAGTGTAACACACTGCTGCTGATTATGTCATAATGATTATTTTATGCAGTTTGAAGAAGACTCACTGTTCTAAAGAACCAGCATCCATTTCCAGGAAAGAGCAGGGATTCTCCATCCATACCTCCATGGGATGAACCACATTGAAAATAATGATTTCCTTCTAATAGCTTACTCTACATTATATAAAGAATTCCTTGGGATTCTAAAAAAACCCTAATAATATAGTAATAATAACAACAGAGGTTTGTTTTTGCTATTTGTAGTCTAATATTCAGATTGTGAGCAGCTGTTTTGGAAGGCAAGATGAGTGAATAGATGTGAAGTCGTCTTAGAAATGTCCAGGCTTCCAAAAGAAATTTCACTTTTAAAAGAAAATAGCCTAATGTGAACCACATTAGAATCAGCACATCTAATCCTACGGAGAAAAAGTGACCATGGCTGTCTACACATATAGGCAGGTCATTCAAGCTCATTCAAAAATTCCACTTTCACTGGTGGTCTGTCTGTGTCCACATGGTGACAAATGGCCCCGGCAGGGTTTTTGAGGTGTTGGCACCACCAGTGAGTGCCAGATGGAATGTGGTGAAAGTTCTGATTTGTACCTTTCAGACTAAAGGTACTTTCCAGAATGGACGGGTCCTTCTGGCTGCCTTTTGTAAGTGCAGCCACAGGTATTCTGTTGAAGCCTGTGGGTGAGAAAGACATAAACAGGTGCTATAAATTTGTCAGACCAGGAAGCCACAGGCCGTTTAGTAAATGGTAAACCCAATGGCCCAAAAGAACAAAGGGGTCTCTTTTCATCAGAATGATCAGGCTCATTCAACAAATATTTATTGAGCACCCACTTTCTGCCAGATGGAAGAGCCACTGACAAGGCCTCTTATTTAAAGAGTGCCTGAAGTGAGGAAGCAAACCCCCAAATCATCTGGGATGGTATGAACTGAACTCTGGACCGCAACATGATGGAAAGGAGGAGCTGGGGTCCCAAGGGCAGTCCAGACAACCTGAACCTGTGACACTCACCCTGCCCACACACTCTCAGAGCTGCAGCTTTCACGGGGGTGAGTTTTCTGCCTTGATTTACTCAGGCCAAGACCTTTCATTTTCTGGAGAAAATACAGGTTTTTCTGTAGTATTTCACAAACAAGGCAATTCTCTCAGGGAGGTGAAACAGCATTGCTTCTCAACTGAAATCTGAATTTCATCTTCCTAAGTTTATATCGTTGAGTCACAATTATTGAGTCATAAAGACCAAAAAGGATGTTGAAAGTTAATTTATTTACCACACTATGGCTTAGACTATTCTAGAAATATGAAAATATCTCCTATTAAAGCAGACTTTCTGAGGAGAAACCATTGCTTTTTCAACTAACGTTTTATCATGTTTTATTGCCTTCATAGTTAACTATTTTTTTAAATCATATCTAACATAAGTCCCTCCAGCAGCATTTTATATCTCTTTTACAATACTTTGCCCTGGATAGTTGAATAATAGTTCATCAAGCCTCATATAACAGTAATTAAATTGTCACCTTGGTGTTTTTCAGACCCAATTCTTGCTAATTCTTTGTAGGTGACATGAATGCTTGTAAATGAGCTTGCTGAATGGGAGACCAAGAACGATGATATTGAGCTGTTACTACATGCCAGACATTTAACCCTTTCATCCAGGTTATCTCAATCATTCCTTACAGAAAGGCTTTTGAGGTAGGTTCAATCATTTCTCGCATTTTATAAGTGGGAAAACTGAGACTCTACGAGAGGTCAATATTTTACACTAGACCCCCACTGTTGGAAGGGGTGGAGCTGAGATGTATTTCCAGTTAATTACACAGATAAGACTGCCCACTTTTTCTATGAATATTTCCAACTATTAGATTGAGTGAACCTTAATTAATCAACATATTATTTTAAAAATAACTTGCTCATGTTCTAATGCCTGTTTGTCACTCAAGTGTTTGCAAAATCAGGGAATAATTTTTTTCTAGACTTTTACTCCTTTTCCAGATATAAGCTCTTAAAAACCTTTGTTTAATCTTTGACTTTAAATCCACAAAACATAATAGCTGGTGAGATACCTAATACCTTTGCTATTTTCTTTGAGGATACAAGTCTTGATATTTATCTCTTTAAGCCAGTAGCTCTCAACCTTGGCTGTGCCTTAGAATCACTTACAGGAGCTTTTAAAGATCCTGATGCTGGACCACACCCAAGGCCAATTAAATTAGGATTGCTGAGGGTGATACCCAGGTGATTACAATGAACATCCCAGGTTGAAACCACTGATTTAAACAACTCTTCCCTGGACTTTCCCGTACCTCCATTTCACCTGGCCTGCTGTGGCTTTCGCTTATCTAGTTAGAACTGTAATTTGGCCAGTTCATCGCTCATTCCCAAAGGGGATCTCATTACCTGTCTCTAATACAGAGTCTGAAAAAGCTAAATATTCTGTCTTCCAGATGTCCTTGCAACTGGAGGTGCCATATGATACAGTTCTGCCCAAAGACAAGAAAGTGAATGTCTGTTGAGGGCTTCCTATAAGGCCAATACATACAGGTGTTCCCAACAACAGGTAAGTCAATTCAGCTGGTTGGATTTTTCACTTTTCATCTGAATGTTTACATGTATCTGAATGTTTCCATAGACATAGACTGAGCGTGTGACTTGAGTCAAAGTTAATTTGAGTAAGAAACCAAGGGAGAATTTTATTTCTTTTTATTGATGCCTCAGTCTCTTTCCATTTTTTCATAGAGACCCAGGAGTCCATGTTAAAAGTGTCCTAAAGAGGAGGTAAAGGCTAAGGAATTTGAGAACCCTAAGATTTTCTTTGAAATTCTGTGGAGATGATGCTAAGAGGATCACTTATAAATGCTTATTGGATGTAATTTCCATGTTGGACAGGTGATATTTCCAGGGAGAAGCTTAAGGGATTGTAGGTAATATAAAGTCTCAAGGTAGAAAACACTGACTCTGAGACTGTGTATTTATAATGTGTGTGTGCATGTGTATGTGTAATTCATTTGCTGATCTTTGTTTAACTTTTTATTAAACTATAATGTATGTGCAGAAAAAAATGCACATATTATAACATAGAGCTTAAAGAATTTTCACAAATGACCATATCTTTGAACCCAATACCCAGGTCACAAAACAGAACATTACCAGAACCCTAAAAACCCTTGTTCTCCCTTCTAATAACTACCTTTTTGGCCAACAATAACTACCAGGCTTCCATTCTTACCTTTTTACAAAACAAACCAATGAGTGGAAGCGCAAGGTCACCCCTTCTCCTGTTTTCACTTGCTCGCGATTGACATGGGGAAGTAAAACCTGTACTATGGCACATTTAATTATGGGAAAATGAAAAGAAAGAAATAAAAACCAGACCAACAAAGCAAAGATTTAAGTTGGCATCGCTTTCCATATCATTGTGATGCCGGCAGACACTCAATAAACATATCAGCATTGTTAAAATGATTTATCAGCCAAATAGTTGAATGTAAAATATTATCAATACAGGTGTCATCATTGATCTTTCTTGGGTCTCACTGCTGAAGAATGGGGCTGTAAGATGATTTCAACAAACAATCCTTGACAGGAAACCAAAGGCAACAAGGCACAGGGACAGACAGCTGACAAATGCAGTATGGGGCCATTAAAGCATGTGATGAATTTGCCAGGAAAGTATATATTTGTGCAAGAGGTGAGCTCATATCTCCCATAAATTTGTCAGCCGTGACACAGTGTTCTCCGGCTTGGCATGAGTAATGCCTTGCTATTTGCGCCTTTGTCTGGCAAAAGCTCTATCAGTCACTCCAGGGTTATTTACAAAGAAACGTGTCTATCAGTTACAAGGACATGACTTTGCTGCTAAAAGATAACAAAAGAAGAAATCAGGCAGTGGCCTCTCAGCGAGGGATGCGTCTTTTCCAGACAAGCTCTGGACTGGAATGAATCAGATGGACGGCAATTGGCCGGGCTGGCCCAGTGCCTGGCATGACCAGCCTTAGTGC
This sequence comes from Homo sapiens, assembly GCF_000001405.40. NCBI lineage: Eukaryota > Metazoa > Chordata > Mammalia > Primates > Hominidae > Homo > Homo sapiens. The sequence continues at coordinate 67,561,475 of NC_000002.12, read as the reverse complement.
ATTTATCCACACTGATTAGATTAGAAATTATTAATAGGGGGCTACGGAGTAGAGCAAAAGGTCATTTAGAGTTTAATTCTGTTCTCAGATAACTTCATTTCGGCTGATGGGATTGTTATTGTAGGGGTTTTATATGTTTATAGGAAACAATATACTCAATAATGAAGTCCTGCCTCCTTCTGCAAGGTCAGGAAAGCTATTGTGTAGCTAGATTGAAGTCTTCACAATTGTGTTAATTAAGTAACAGTGATTGGACTTGGTCTTCTCTTGAAATGCATTTAAGAGCCTAAAAGCTGCTGAGAATGTATTCTTTCAATATAAATATATAGTAAAGCAAGTGAGACCAGAAAGCAGCTGACGATTGAGTAAACAGAAGAGCTGACATGAAGCTTTTACTTAAGACAGGAGCCTGGTTGGCAGATGTAACTTCTTGCCACATAAATACAAATGTCTTGTCAGTTTATGATTAAACATAACAGGTCCCTTTTTCTTACTCAATTCCTGATGAATCTGAAAGATAAAGCTGTAGAAAGTATAGTTGATGGTCTCATCAGTTACTTTGTTGCCTTGCAGGCCTGCCCATTTGAGGCAGATGATCAGAGTACGGTAAGAGGCATGTCCTTCTCAGATTAAAGGGCCATAGCCTTGGTCTTGGCTCATAGTCCAGGGTCATTCTGGAGAGGGAACCCAGCTTTGTCCCCTCCTTTGGAGGGCTTATAACTCAGATATTAACATTTGCTGAAGATGGTTGTAATTTTTTTTGTTCTGAGGTACAAGATCTCTTCTAAATAGCTAAAAAAGAATTTAGTTGATTCTAAGTGAAAAGTGAGTTCATGGAAAGCACTTTGTTGCCATGTGTTTCTTAAAGACCACAGAAGACTTTTGGGCTCCAGTTAAGCAAGTCCCCTTCGATTTGGCTCCAGATGCAGTGATACCCCACGAAGGGGAAGTTTAAAGTGAAACTTGGCAACTGGTGATTGAGTCTTATCTTCCCAACTCTCCTCCAACGCCCCCACCCACACATATAAGAGAACCACCATCCAAAGACAGAACTTAGGAGAGTTGTTGAATTGAAATGATAGTTTCATTGATGTAAGTTTTGTAAAATACCTTTAAGGCAGAGATTCTCAAATGGAAGTGATTTTGTCCCCCAAGGGACATTTGACAATGTCTGGAGACATTGGGGTTGTAACAACTAGGAGTGGATGATTGCTACCGGCATCTAGTGAGTGGAGCCAGAGATGCTGGTAAACATTCTGAAATACCTGCCCCCTACATAGAACAAACAGTCATCCAGGCCAAAATGTCAATAGTGTGAAGGTTGAGGAACCCTGCTCTCAAGAACCTTTGAATCAATGAAGGATGAGGAGTTGGGAGAGGTTACTCTCTCTAGGGAATGGGTTACCATACAGAATTTCTACTTAGAAAAAAAATCTATAATTATGACATTATAAATAATCATACTAGAATTTGGAAAAATTTCTTATAAAATGTGCTTGGCCAGGCACGGTGGCTCACACCGGTAATTCCAGCACTTTGGGAGGCTGAGGCAGGCAGATCACGAGGTCAGATCGAGACCATCCTGGCTAACATGGTGAAACCCCATCTCTACTAAAAATACAAAAAATTAGCCAGGCGTGGTGGCGGGCGCCTGTAGTCACAGCTACTCGGGAGGCTGAGGCAGGAGAATGGTGTGAACCCAGGAGGCGGAGCTTGCAGTGAGCCAAGATTGTGCCACTGCACTCCAGCCTGGGCAAAAGAGTGAGACTCTGTCTCAAAAAAAATAAAAATAAAATAAATAAATAAATAAATAAATAAAATGTGCTCATTTCAATGAAAACTTGGGAGATAGAAAAAATTGCTTTTTTTGTGCCACATGATTTTAGAGTTATTTGCTACATGTGCTGCATGATTTTAGAGTTATTGTGGTGTGATGAAATGTCAAGACTCAAAAGCTTTGTACGAATATGCATGAGGTGGCATGAAGTACTGGAAGGAAGACTAAACTGAGATCCCATATATCTAAATGCAACCTTGTCATTGATGAAACATGAGCCTGGTCAAGTTCTTTAACCCGTGTAGGCCTCAGTTACTGTTTCTGGCCAGACACTGAGACTGAGAAGCTTGACATCACTACTTGGCTATTCCTTCCTCAACCACAGTCATAGCCAGGACAAGGATTTCTCCTTATTTCTGAACCTAACAGTCATCCCTTCCTTTACATTACCAGTGGCCTGACTTTAGTTTGGGTCTTTGTTGCTTCATGTCTGGACTGTTGTAGTGGTTTCCTAGCCGATGGTTTACTCTTGGACATATGCTATGAAATGCTGCCATTTTGTCTGTTTAAATCATTACTTTTTTCATGTCACTCCTTTCAAATTCTTCAGTGGCTTCCCGTTGCCTCTAACAGTTACTCTTGGTGTGACACCCCCATCCCTCCCTGATAAGCCTAAGAATGCTTTTCTATCTTTGTCCCAGGTGTTTGCCCTACTTGGGTCTTTGCTGTCTCAATCATGTTAATGCACTTACTACCTTCTTCATAATGGCATATCCTAGAATGAAAGTCTTATCGCTCAGCATTTGTTCAGAAGCACCCTCCTTCCTGGAACGTTCCCTCTCTATTGTTCTCTCTTATCCTTCTTTCAAATCTGAAATCCAGAGCATCTCAAGAAAGCTTAATGAGATTTCCAGTAATATCTCTGTCCTCTAAGTTCCTATGTACTTATGATTGTCTGAGCAGTATGCATAGTACTTACTGTATTTGACTTTGTATAAAATTTTTCTTCTCCCTTCATTTACATCTTTCATCCCTTCTCAACTAAGAGAAAAGAGTCCACCACACTGAGTAGGCTTTACAGGATCTAATAGGGGGTTCAATGGGAAAGGTAAATAAATGTTTTATACCATCTTCTGGGTTTCTTGCACATTCATGATTGGCTAAAACTAAGACATTTTGGGAGAGAATTGTAGCAATGTATTCACACACATAAATTAAAACGTAAAGTCTTTCAATAGGCTGTAAGCCTCATCGTGAGAGTCACAATGCCCAAGGCACCTTGTGTCCTCTTGGCTTTGATGTAAAAGATGTCCAAAGAAGGCTTAGGTGGATGATTTTATTCCGTACATGCTTTTCTATGTCAAAATTATCAGTGAAATAAAAGTAGTATCCAGGATTGGGGGACTTTCGGTTACTACAGAAAGCACTTTGCATTTAAAAAAATATTTTACTAGCATAATTTTTTTGTTATTTTTGAGAGAAACATCTCTGTTGAAATGTGTCTCTTGTAATCCAAAAGTGAAAGTTTTCTTTGAAGGTCTCAGTTGACTCTTGTAACACATTCCAAAGACAATGGATTCCACTAGACTCCTAAACTTAAACAAAATGATCGAATTTTGACATGGAGTTGGAGAAAGTGATCCATATTGCTTAGTGTTTTGGGAGGGTGCTTTTTGTTGTTTGTTTGTTTTTCTTTAGAAAGCTGTCTGGGATATAGATATAATGTGTGATTTTATGCCACACCAGCATCAAAGTGTTCTTTTCATCTTTCCTTTTGACTTAAGCGTACTCATGATTAATGTATGCCAATAGATTTTAAAGATGCAGCCATCTGCCTTGCCTTACCTGTAAGAGTTTGTTTGTTCTTACCTCCTTTGTAGGTTCCCAAAGTTTTATACATCCTTTATGTATAAAAAGGATGGCATGGCTGTCTATATACTGCAATATTCACGTCAGGATTTCCAAGTCTTTGTTACGACATAGGTTTTTTTTTTTTTTTAAACTGGAGTCACCAACATGATTGCTAAAGTTAGATACACTTCTTTATTATTACCTGACTTGTTTTGTTTTTAATCTATGCATTTGCTAATGTTACTCCCTTTGACTAGACTGCTTCCCTTTTAAAAGGACAATATAGCTAAATGCAATGTTTCTTAAAGTGTGGTCCCTGGACCCGCAACATCGGCATCATATGAGAACCTGTTAGAAAGGCAAACTCCCGTCTTACTTATTGAATTAAAAACTCTAGGGCTGGATTTTAACAAGCCCTCCAGAGCTTCTGATGGAAGAATAAGACAGAGAACCACTGGCTTTATTGTTCACACTGTGGCCTCTAGGGCAGGCTGCTTGAATTCAGATATTTAACCTTCAAGTCACTTAACTTTCCTGTGCCTCGGTTTCCTTCATCTATGAATGGAATAATAATAGTACTATCCATATAGAGTTTTGGTGAAATTAGACTGAGATAATACATTTTAAAAATTTAGTAAGTCCTGGCACCTGGGGAGTACTTATAAACTTTAGCTGTTTTTTTCAATTTTTTTTCCATTCTCTAGGCTTACAGCACTTCTTCCTCTTGATCATCTTTCCAATTCTTGATGGGCTGACCCCTTCCCCTGTCTTGAACATCCCTGACACCTCTCCTGATGTTGTCAATGCAGGGAGAAGGGTGCATATATTTTTCTGTAGTCAAATACTGAGGTTTCCCCTCATTAACTTATTTTTTTCTTGAAAACCTGTACTTAATGAGGAACAAACAAAGAGGCAGAATACAATGCACTTATTTTTTTCTTAGGTCTGGTTTCTATTTAAAATTTAATCTAATTTTTTAAGGTCCAACTGTTTTTTTTAGGCCTTGGGAATATGAACCGTACTTGTTTAGGCCTTGGGAATGTGAGTCTGTACTAGCATAATTGATATGAGGATGGATGGTTGGGGGGTGTTTTCTGCCTGTCTTCAATGATGAATCCTTCTTGTTTGTTCTAGATGCTTCTGGACTTGTTATCCTGTGTCATTTCTACCTGGTGCCAGTTTTTGACAAATGATAGTAGCAAGTTGTGGTATGCTACCTCAGGTTCCTATTTTCCCTGAGTGCTTGGATGTAATAATTTTAGAGACAGCCAAATGGTTAATGAGTCTTGCCCTCAGGAGCTCAGCACAGAGGGAATCCTCACTAGCCTATCAGATGCCTCCTTGGAAAATGGTGAAAGTGTGAGAGAGCAAGATGAATGGACATTTGTATATCACATTCTTTGAGAATTGAATAGGGGATTTATGGTGTTCCCTGACTTGACACACTTCACACTTGTCATGTTGGCACATTGCATTATACTCTGCTGCCCATGGGGCTTTTGATGATGTTTCAGAAACAGGTAATAGATGTTTCTGTGCTGTATCCATGCATTTGCAGAGAAAGATCCAATATTAAAAACAAAGGTACAGTAGAATCCATCGCTATCAACCAAACACAAAAGCCTACCTCTGCTCTCTGCTGTCTCGTTAGTCTCAATTCCTTACCCGACATATATAGCCCTTCTCCAACTAGATATGGTCCCCCTGAAATAACAGCATAGCCCATAATCAGTGCTGTTGTTTTATGCACGGTTTAACATTGATTTGGGAGTGGCGCAATTGGTGACCACTGTTCTGGCAGCACAGTGCAGTAGAAAGAACACTGGATTAAGTATCATGAGCTCTTCATGTTAACCGGGGACCTCCTGGGTGTGAGCTTGGATGAATCTCCAATGGCCGTGGCCTAGTTGCCTCGTGGAACACCGGTGCACAGAAACTCCTGACCAGCCTCCCTCCCAGGAGGAAGACATTAGAACTTGTTCTGAAAAGTATACTTTTCATACTTTTTTGATTTGCTAAGTATGGAAGTGAGAGAAAACCACCTAATTGACTATTCGTGAGGCAGTTGGAATACAAATGTATTTACCCTCAATTTTACAGAAAGAGAAACAGGGCCTTTAAAATGGTGAGGAAGTTTTTTCAAGGAACACTGTAAGTGATAGCCAAAGAAGGTCTTGACTTCTGTCTTCTGCTTACTAGTTGAGGTTCCCTGAGATTTCTATATCTGCCTTAAACCCACACCCCTTAGTCCTTACTGCCACCACAGGCCTGGGCAGTAAGGAATCAGCAACAGCTATGCTGCGGTCAGGGTAAGAGGTCTTTTGCTCATCTTTTGGGTGAAATTCTGCAGCAATCCTTGAAAAAGAAGGCTGCAATAATAGCTGTTACTAAATTTTCTAATAGCCAGGCAAAAAAGAGGCCACAGATGCATTTAGTTTTATGTAAAAATGTTTTAAATGAAGATTTCTTTTACAACTGAGTTTATGAATGGAGAGTCTAACTGGTTGCATATAAATAGTGAGCACTATATGTTTACCACCTTCTGTGAAATTAGGACAGTATTTGTAGATCTTTTTCATATGTACCCTCTCTTCACCAATAGAGCATCAGAAAGAGAAGAAACTTTAATTTTTCATTCTCTGTCATCTTCTCAAATTCCAGAGGTCAATGCTCATTAGATATAGACTTATCAACTTCAAGTGAAAACAGGTTGAAAACATCTAGAATAAAATAAAGAGAAGATTTCTGAGCCTCATAGTCTCTCATCGCATCTCCCAAGTAAATTAGGATCCCTTTAAGACATTATCTGTCAGGATTAACTACACATATTCCCCAACTTCAATATTCCTGCTGCTATTTAGGGCTTTTGTAGGGCTGCTTAAGGTTCTTATTTAAGCCCTAATGTTAAATCCCGTGATGCTGGAGTTGCTGACAGCTCTGCCTCTGTGTCATGTGCTTTAAGCATGCAGTCTAGCATCTTTTCTTTCCTATTCATGCCACCGGGGTAATACAGTTTCCCCAGTATCCTCCTGAAAAGATCTTGAATCAAGAGGTAAGTCCTGAAAAACATGCAATGGATCATCAAAAGAAGCCGTAGTGGTGAAGAGAGGACTGTGAATTGCAGAGTGACCAATATCTAAGTCTCAGTCAAGTAAGCACTCTAGTTAAGTTATACTGTTGAGTTCATAAGAAGGGTGCATGCTATGTGTAACAGCATAGCATAGTTCTATGTATGTAAGTCATAATTATTTAATTTTTGTGTTCACCCTGACCTTGCTTTTGTATTAATTAGCTATTACTGTGAAACAGATTATGCCAAAATTTAGCAGCTTAAAATGATACACATTTATGATCTCATAGTTTCTGTGGTTCAGGAATCCAGGCACAGCTTAGCTGGGTCTTTTGCATTATAGTTTTTTACAAGCTTGCAATCAAGGCTTTAGTCTAGGGGTTGCATTCTCATCTGAAGCCAGGATTGGGAAAGGATGTGTACCCAAAGCCACTCTCATGGTTGATGGTAGGACTCAGTTCCTCTACGGGCATTGTACTGAGGGCTTCAGTTCCTTGCCAGCTATTGACTGCAGGCCACCCTCCATTATTTGCTGTGTGACCGCTCTAACATGGCAGCTTCCTTCATCCAAATGGGCAAACTCTGAAGACTGCTATAGAATGAATGTTTGTTTTCCCCAAATGCATGTGTTGAAAACCCAATCCCCAATGTGATAGTATTAGGAGGTAAGGCCTTTGGCAGGTGATTAGGTAATGAGGGAGGGAGGAGCCCTCATGAATGGGATTAATGCCCTTATTAAAAGGACCCCAGTGAGGTGTTTCTTTCTTCTGCCATGTTAGGACACAGCAAGAAGATGGCTGTCTATGAACCTGAATATGTCTAGCCCTCACCAGACACTGAATCTGAGAGAACCTTGATCTTGGATTTCCAGCCTCCAGAGTTGTGAGAGCTAAATTTCTGTTGTTTGTAAACCACCCAGTCTATGGTATTCTGTTACAGCAGCCTGAACAGGCTAATATAAAGACAATAAGGAGAATTTGCTAGCAAGATGGAAGCCACAATCTTTTGTAACCTAATCACAGAAGTGACAGCCTATCACTTTTGCCTTATTGTGTTTATTAGAAGCAAGTCACTAGGTCTAGCCTACCCTCAGGGGAAAGAAATTCCACCAGGGCACAAATGCCAGGAGATGGGTATCAGTGGAGACCATCTGAGAAGTCTGCCTACTAAGGCTTTCCATGTCTACCTCCGAACAAGGGAATCTATCATGATTATTGCATGTGCCCTGAGCACTGGGTTTAGATGACATTAAGCAGAATCAAGGTAATTGTTCAGGAAACCTTCAGCGGGAGAGTCTGCCCTGTGTCTAGTTTCTCTTTTGCTTCAGAAAATACTTACTTGAATTGTTTCTAACTTAATAATACTTTGTGTTACCTGAGGGTCTCTAAAGGCTTGGTAAGCATCAGAACAAAAAATTTCTTCTCCACTTTCTAGGAGTTCTTAGATCATTATTTTGCTGGTACAGTAACTGGCTCTCCTAATCCACTGTGAAGCTTGCTTATTTACTGTGCGGATGGTTTGGACCATCAAAAGTGTAGAGTTAAAATAACCAGGGGAGAGAATATTAGACCCAGAATCAAAGTAGCCTAAAGTTACCTCTTTAGGTACCTTGTTTCTCCCATGTGCAAACTGTAAGCTCAAGTGTCTTTTCTCAGGTGGTCACAATGTAGTTTGAGACTAGAGGGATTGTGGATGAAGATGCTCTGAGTTATTTAGAAGAGATGCACTACATCAGTAATGGATGGTTGTTATTTGATTAAAATGGCTAATTTTAAAATCTTCATTTTCTCTCAGTTATATTGCTCCTATGTTATGTCAAACACTGCTCATGTCTTGCCTTGTTCCCCTCTCCCTCTGTTCTGCATGCTACAGCTGTAATAGTGTTTATGAGATGCTAAACTGACCATATCACTCCTCTACTAAAACTTTACAATGATATGCAAAGGTCATCATACTAGAGTGTCAAGTGAACAAAGCAGAGAGTTATATACACATATTGCTTTTTTTTTTTTTTTTTTTTTGAGACGGAGTCTGGCTCCGTGCCCAGGCTGGAGTGCAGTGACGCGATCTCGGCTCACCACAACCTCCGCCTCCCTGGTTCAAGCGATTCTCCTGCCTCAGCCTCCCAAGGAGTTGGGACTACAGGTGTGTGCCACCACGCCCAGCTAATTTTTGTATTTTTAGTAGAGACAGGGTTTCACCATTTTGGCCAGCATGGTCTCAATCACTTGACCTTGTGATCTGCCTGCCTTGGCCTCCCAAAGTGCATATTTAATAAATAAATAATAAATAAATAATTACGGTGCTTTATATATATAAGCAATATGTATTAATTATATATTAAATATATAAAGCATATAATACATATAATATAATATATAATATATAAAGCATATATATATTATAAAGCATATTTTCCAAAGGAGACTCAAGAAATTTGTATTAGTGGTTCCCACGGCTAAGTGAAAGAATAGATAAAGACTCTCTTTTAAACTGTAAACCTTTAGTACTTTCAAATTTTATGCCATGTGACTACACAACTGAATTAAAAACAAAACCAAACAAAACTCTTCTATGGCCCTGAATACCTTTAGGAGAAATTCAAATTCCTAACCTGGAAGACTCTCGCAATAGGATCCTTTGCCCACTTTACATAATTTTCTGCTGCTCACTATCCCGCAACCCCTTCCCTATATTCACCTTAAGGGAAGTATGCTTTTCTGCTGCCGTGTACTGCTTTCTCTGCAGCAGACCTACTGAGCCAGGTGCAGGCCCCACACGTGACACCTTCTTGTCGCTGCACTTTGGGCTTTACTATTCCTTCTTCTTGGCATGACTTTTCACCACTCTTCACCCAGTTAAGTCATCCTCCAGGAAGCTCTTTCTGATTCCCCCACTATACCATGTGCCATTTCTTTGTACACATTTTGATTGCAGCATATACTGCATTATATTCACAGCAGGTACCAGGCTCAAGCTACAAACTCAGGGATGCAAGAACTGTGCATTTTAATTTTTTTCTGCAACTAAGCTTATCTAGCATAACTTTTGTCTTAGGTGAAGTTCCCCACAAACAGATGCTGAGATGAGGATTTGTGTGGAAGCAATTTATTAAGGAAGTACTCCAGGAGAAACTGAGGGGCATTGGAGAGCAGGAGAGTAAGGAGAAGACATCAGGCAAGGGTACAGTTTCAGACAAAGTCCTCCTGATTTCAGCCTGATCCTGCGGGGAAACGTATTATACAGTAAACTCATAATCCTGGTTCAGTTTTTATTGTCTGTCTCCCTTTTTATAAGCTCCACGAGGGCAGGAATCTTTTTCTACTTGCTCATGGATATAATCTAAGCAATTACAACAGTGCCTACTAACAGAAATCACTAACTATTATCTTTATTAAGTGAATTAATAAACTGCAACCTTCTCCTTGTTGCTTCTCCTTGAGAATATGCCTTCTCCTTGAGAAGCATATTCATTTGCTCACCCTAACAAATTATGGGCGTCTACTATATTTTCAGCTCTAGGCTCTGAGAATAGAATAATGAACAAAACAGTTAGTATCCCTGCCCTCATGGAGCTTGTAATGGGGAATATGGGAAGCATTTGGCTTCTCACTGGAACACAGTGGGTGCAGACAAAATCTGCAAGAATATGGCAGCCACTCTGCATAGATACCTTTACATCCTTCTCTACTGAATCCATCCTAACCTGGGTGCAAAGTTTACAAGAAGTCTACCACCTCCCCGGTCTTTTCCTTGGTGATTTCATTCAACCTCATGCTTTAAAATACCAGCTACATGATGATGATGCCAAATTCATTTCTCCTGCTCAGAATTCTCTCCTAAATGCCAATTGTCCAGGAAATAAGGTGCAGTTCCTTTGCCATTGGATCTTTCCAAAGTGTCTGTCACAGGAACTTAAACCAGCCTCCAATTCTTTTCCTTTTTCTCTTAATCTCCTTCTTCTCCTCCTGTATCATTGAGAGGGGTGGTTGTGGGGGCAGGAGGAGGAGGAGGACTGAGCTGGACTTGGCATCATCCTGAATTATTCCAAACCTATTGTTTATGTCATACCTTCTAGGCCCTAGGTCCTGCTGACTCTGGATTTGGTCTTCAAAAAGCGTCTCTTCTGCTTTTCTGCTTTAACAATCCTAATAACTAATTTAAGGAGGAAGAGGGCCATGGAGTAAAAAGGAAATTACAGAGAATGAAGAGAAAATCAGCTATTATATCTAAACATGATCCCACATTATATTGAAATTAGCTGTTTAAGGGTCTCTTTCTATTACATTTAAGCACTTTGGGAGCAGGAGCTATGCCTATTCATCTTTGTAACATCTGTAGTTGGTACAATCCTTACTCACCATAAATGCACTGGTTGGACTGAACCAAAGATACTTGAAAACTCTGCAACTTTATACCCTTTTTTCTAGCAAAAAAAGGCAGTATGTATTCTTAGTTAAGAGCATGGACCCTAAATGCAGTCTATGTGGGTTAAAATTCTGGTTCTCTCCCTTATTAGCAGTTTGACCCTGACCAAATTACTTACTCTGTTCCTGCCCCACTTTCCTTATGTACAAAATAAGAACATGGATGTTATTCCTTCTGTAATATTGTTCTTGTAAAGTTAAATAGGTTAATACTTGTAAAGTGCTCAGGTGAGCTTTGGTACAGACTGTATATATGTGTTAGCTGGAAGAAAAAGCATATTCCTTCTTCTTAAAACTCCCCTGTCTTTGTCAACCTGGTTAAGTGTGCTTTCCTATCTTCTTCAAGTTTCCTTTGGAAAGATTTTTTATGCTGTCTCCCCCAGAAAGTATCCCTTTCCTCAGGTTGAGTATTGTTCATTTATGTTCCTTCTCTTAGCCATCTGTTCTCCCACCTTTTATAGAACACGTCTGGCCGGGCACGGTGGCTCATGCCTGTAATCCCAGCACTTTGGGAGGCCAAGGCGGGTGGATCACCTGAGGTCAGGAGTTTGAGACCAGTCTGGCCAACATGGCAAAACACCATCTCTACTAAAAATACAAAAAAGCTAGCCAGGAGTGGTGGTGGGCACCTGTAATCCCAGCTACTCAGGGGGCTGAGGCAGGAGAATGTCTTGAACCCAGCAGGCGGAGGTTGCAGTGAGCCAAGATCACGCCACTGCACTCCAGCCTTGGCAACAGAACGAGACTCCATCTCAAAAATAAATAAAATAAAATAAAATAAAATAAAATAAAATATAAAACACATTCTATTGTATTCTGAAGGGGATAGTGCTACATTTCCTTAGAACTGGCCTATAATCTCTTACTTATCTTTACATCCTCAGAACTTATCACCGTACGTGGCACAAAATAGATAACAAAGAAATACTAAATCTCCTTCTACTTCCTTCCTGCCAAGTTTAACTCAACATCCAGGGACAAATCTGTACCATAGTGAGTAAAGATTCATCTGCTGTAATTACTACTCTCAAAACTAGCTTGAAGGCACAGCCACCCTTGCACCCAATGCCTACATTTTCCATACCTGGGATCAGTCTTGCCCACAATGAATGGGATTTGTAGTCACTTCAATAAGCTCAGAGAATGTGGCTCAGTGGGGCAGAATGCCTTTGCAGGAGATATATGTGCTGTTGCCCTCTTTGAACTGTATTATAGAATGATTCATCTTCCATGAGCCACATAACCTCCAATCAGGGTTCCCATCCACCCTCATCTTTCATTCCTTCTTCAGTTGCCCATTTTTTCTCCCCTCTTCCTGTTTCATCTGTCTCACCTCCTGTGATGCCTGTGCAGGCATACAGACACGCACACACACCTTTGATCCTGCTGACATCAATGGCACTAAGGAAAGAAGTTCAATATGTCCACTGGCGTCAAAACATAGTAATAACAATCCTTCAAAATGACAATCACAGGCAGCCTAGGGGCATTCAGGGGCTCTTCTGCTTTGTGCTTGCTGGCGTCTTTAGTGTTTTTCTTTGGTGTTTAAAAGCACAGATAACTGTAGTTTGCTCTACCTGAGAGGTGCTAGTTTGCTGGCATTCAACAAACAGACAGTTATGGCCCTCCTGTGGTGAGGAAAAGGCAGAGTAGGGGGTTGTTTTGTGCCCCATCTCAGATTCCAGCAGAGCAGGATCTCCCGTTTGCAACCAGTTACTCAGCTGCATTCATGTTTGTTATTGTGTTGACAAGGAAAAAGGTACCATTTCTGGCAGCACCTCTTAGCTTCCTGAGCTGCCTCAGGCACTTAGACAATGCAGGAGGCACACACTGACTTGATTGCTACCTGACACCTCTTCTGCTTATCTAAGCCCAAAGTACCCGCTGGGGGTCCAAAAAGCAACATCCTAACTAGGCAGCTGTTCACCAGATCTCCCTCTACCTTCCTGTAGCTTCTGCTACACCCTTCCTGCCCAGTATAATCCAACATCCAGGGACAATGAAACAGACTTCCCTTTGACTCCTAAGACAAGCCATGTCCACTTTCCCTAGTAGAGAACCAAGGTAGACACTGTTGATGCTCTTTTGTGTTTATTTTTTCTGATTTTCTCTTCTTTGTCAGCAGGAGCAAAGCAAACCTCAAACCTCAAAATTGAATACCACTTTGAGCCACAAGAAGCTGGACTTTTCTAACTCTGATTCGAAATTTAATGTTCTGTTGATGGCAGACATCTAAATTGTTGTCTGATTCCTTTAACCAGCCACCTCACCTACCAACCAGAAAGCTTCATTTTCTAATGAAGCTTTTCTTAGGGATCCATCAACTATGTTAAATCAACATTCAGTGATTTATAAATGAATGAAACACATACAGATTAGCTGTTCTTCTGAAAACACACTGGAGGTACAACACTGGCAAAAATATTCTTGATTTAGTGTTGTTAAGGGCACTAGAAACACAGATTGTCATATCTAAAGATGGGACATTTCTAGATGCACTGCCATATAACTGGCACAATTGTGTTAAATGCCATTAGTCCCCCTTGTTCTTTTGATGGAATGTGGAAATGATACTAGTTTCTGTGTATTTTCATCACATTTCCAAAGACGAGCATTTGACCATCTTCTTTTGTAGTAACCAGAGAGAGGAAGAAGGAAAAAAAGTAAGAATATGAGTTTAGAAGTTATGAAACTCAGCATCCGTATACTTTAGAATTTTTTTAAATTTTGTATGAAAACATACTAATATGGTTTGGCTGTGTCCCCATCCAAATCTCATCCTGAATTGTAGCTTCCATAATTACCAAGTGTCATGGAAGGGACCTGGTGGGAGGTAACTGAATCATGGGGGTGGGTTTTTCCCATGCTGTTCTCATGATAGTGAATAAGTTTCCCACGATCTGATGGTTTTACAAAGGGGAGAGCCCCTGCACATGCTCTCTTGCCAGCTGAAATGTAAGATGTGACTTTGCTTCTCCTTTACTTTCCACCATCATTATGAGGCCTCCCCAGCCATGTGGAACTGCGAGTCCATTAAACCTCTCTCCTTTATAAATTACCCAGTGTCGGGTGTGTCTTTATTAGCAGTGTGAAAACAAACTAATACAGTAAATTGGTACTGGGTGTGGGGTGCTGCTGTAAAGATATCAAAAATGTGGAAGTGACCTTGGAACTAGGTAACAGGCAGAGGTTGGAACAGTTTGGAGGGCACAGAAGACAGGAAGATGCGGAAAAGTTTGGGACTTCCTAGAGACTTGTTGAATGGTTTTGACCAAAATGCTGATAGTGATATGGACAATAAAGTCCAGGCTAAGCTGGTCTCAGATGGAAATGAGGAACTTGTTGGGAACTGGAGCAAAGGTGACTCTTGTTATGCTTTAGCAAAGAGACTGGCAGCATTTTGTCCCTGCCCTAGAGATCTGTGGAACTTTGAACTTGAGAGAGATGATTTGGAGTATCTGGTAGAAGAAATTTCTAAGTGGCAAAGACGTCACCGAGCATAAAAGTTTGGGAAATTTGCAGCCTGATGATGCAGTAGAAAAGAAAAACCCATTTTCTGGGGAGAAATTCAAGCTGGCTGCAGAAATTTGCATAAGTAATGAGGAGCCAAATGCTAATCACCAAGACCTTGAGAAACATGTCTCCAGGGCATGTCAGAGACCTTCATGACAACCCATTCCATCACAGATCTGGAGGCCTAGGAGGGAAAAATGGTTTTGTGGGCTGGGCCCAGGGCCCCTCTGCCCTATGCAGCCTACAAACATGGTGCCCTGCATTCCAGCTGTTTCAGCTCCACCTGTGGCTAAATGAGGCCAATGTACAGTTCAGGCCATTATTTTAGAGGGTGCAAGTCCAAAGCCTTGGCAGCTTCCATATGGTGTTGGGCCTGTGTGTACACAGAAGTCAAGAATTAATGTTTGGGAACCTCCACCTAGATTTCAGAAGATGTATGGAAATGCCTGGATGTCTAAGCACAAGTTTGCTACAGGGTTGGGGCCCTCATGGAGAACCTCTGCTAGGGCAGAGTGGAAGGGAAATGTGGGGTTGGAGCCCCCACACAGAGTCCACTATGGAGCACTGCCTAGTGGAGCTGTGAAAAGAGAGCTACCATCCTCCAGACTCCAGAATGGTAGATCCACCAACAGCTTGCATCATGTGCCTGGAAAAGCCACAGACACTAAATGCCAGCCTGTGAAAGCAGGCAAAAGGGGAGCTGTACCCTGCAAAGCCACAGGGAGGGGAGATGCCCAAGGCTGTGGGAACCCAGCTCATGTATCAGCATTGCCTGGATGTGAAACATGGAGTCAAAGGAGATCATTTTGGAACTTTAAGGTTTAATGACTGCCCTATTGGATTTCAGACTTGCATGGGGCCTCTAGCCCCTTTGTTTTGGCCAATTTCTTCCATTTGGAATGGGTATATTTACCCAATACCTGTACCCTCATTGTATCTGGGAAGTAACTAACTTGCTTTTGATTTTACAGGATCATAGGCTGAAGGGACTTGCCTTGTCTCAGATGAGACTTTGGATTGTGGACTTTTGAGTTAATGCTGAAATGAGTTAACACTTTAGGGGACTGCTGGGAAGGCATGATTGATTTTGAAATGTGAGGACATGAGATTTTGGAGGGGCAAAGGTGGAATGACATGGTTTGGCTGTTTCTCCACCCAAATCTCGTCTTGAATTATAGCTCCTGTAATTCCCACATGTCATGGGAGGGACCTGGTGGGAGGTAATTGAATCATGAGGGTGCATCTTTCCCATGTTGTTCTCATGATAGTCAATAAGTCTCATGAGATATGATAGTTTTATAAAGGGGAGCTCCCATGCACCTGCTCTCTTGCCAGCCACCAGGTAAGACATGACTTTGCTTCTCTTTTGCCTTCCGCCATGATTGTGAGGCCTCCCAAGCTATGTGGAACTGTGAGTCCATTAAACCTCTTTCCTTTATAAATTACCCAGTCTTGGGTATGTCTTTATTAGCAGCATAAAAACAAACTGATACAAGTACATTTTGGGCTTTGGGGGAAAGTTCATGTTAAAGTTGGTAGATTTTTTTTTCCAAGATGGCAGATATTTTTCCAAGATGGTGTGCTTTGTTAGCATGCCTCATTTGCTCAGAAAGAGGAAAATCGTATGTAGAGACTCATAGTGTGAACTTTTATCCAAGAAGGAACATGGCAACTCAACAGAAAAAGTGAAAGTTCAGATACTTTTAAAACAGCAGCAGATGGGAACTTGCACCATGAGTCAGGTAGAAAACTCTGAGTCTCCAGAGGGTGGAAGATGGAGGGGCTGTCTCTGTGGTACACATTCCCACTGGGGAGCTGGGCAGTCCAGGCCATGGGAGAGCACCTCACCCTGCCCAGAACTGGAGCTGATTTGGTGGGTGGTGGGGAGTATATAAGAAGAAGTAGCATTAGGATGTGCTTTGCATACACTCCCAGACCCAATGGGGACAGAAGGATCCTGTCCCCATTGGCTCTGATCCTACTCATAGAGGACGCTCTATGATCCTAACTCATAGAGGACACTATGGAAATCTCCCAGCTAATTCAGATGCTGGTCACAGATTGGGAGAAGATCCCAAGTGATATTTGTGATCTAATCAGGAGTGGGGATGAGCTATCTAGGCCAGAACCAAGAGGTGAGCAGGAAGCATGCTCTTGCCCTGGCTGAGAGCTGCATGCCCCTGCTTCTTAGGCTGAACCCAGAAGGATGTGGCCTGGTTTCTGTCTCCAGCAGGAGTCTTGAAGCTTGGGGTAGTTTTGCATTCTGAGCACAGACAGCTGAAGGCCCAGCTGGCTGTGGCAGCTTTCTGCCAGCAGAAGTCCATGGATTTAAAATCTGCTCTGTCAAGGACGTGGGAGCTGGGTGCATCTCACTGCCAACTGCCGCTCCTCTTTCTATGTGTGGTGTCTTTTGTGCAGCAGAGGCAGTTCTGCTTCTCCCTGGAACATTACCCCAGCAACCAGGGAACTGCTGTCTGACTCCCATAGGGATTGCCACTTGTGTCTGCACTTGGGGAACCAGATCATAGACTTGTCTGACCCAGTCCCCACCTAGCTTTGCAACTCCATCTGCCTTGGTAGCAGAACCTAAACAGGGACTTTTGGGAGTTTCATAGCCCAGTCCATTGCCTAGGACATCTGAATATCCCCCATAGGTAAAATAGACCAAGTGCAAGTCCCACAGCCACCATCACAGCTGTCTCTCTCCTGCAAGTGCCACTTCCTGGCCAGAGGTCAACCAGCACAGCCCACTACAACATCTGCTGGCACAATAACACAGCACATGGGAGGAAGAAAACTTTTGTATGACCTCTGCTAACACCATTGCCCCCACTATTCCAGCCACTCAGGAGGCCTTGAGCCTATTCATGTTCCCAGTATATTACTACTACAGCTGTTAATTGAGAAAGCCATCACACTAAAGCTTTGTAAAGCCAAGGAAATCTTACGATGTCTACACCAATACCCTGCTATTCCCATCTTGGCTGGTGCTTCCACCCACTGCTGGGAGACCAGAGGACAGGTCATCCTGGTTCAGCTCCACCCAACATTGCCCCCTCTGGAGCTAAGAGCAGAGCCCTAGCTACTGCACATCCCACAGACCAGTCCATAGCCCGAGGCATCAGAGAGCTACTCCAAACGGCTGCCCAGAGATGTCAGTGACCAGTTCTCCTCAGAAGGAAGAGCCAAAATTACAGGTGAATAATCATAGTCCAAATGGAATGTTAAAGGGAAAGTTCTGGAACCTACCAGAGATTTCACTGGAAGAATCTACAACACACACAAAAGAAAGACACAAGAAGCTGACAGAGATCAAACCCTGAGAAAGCTAGTATTCCATAAAAGGGTAGGGAGTATTTTCAGCCTCTTTAACTCTTGTGGCAGACTGCTGGTTATCATAATTCAAGAAGAGATTCTTTGCCCTCATAAGCCCAAGTACTGGAGTGGGCTGCAATTTGGGGACTTCTTCAGAGCATTACACTGGGCTACCAGCTCATGCTGGGATCCTTCCTTTTCCCCCTGGACCTGGGCTGTAGTAGCGGGCACAATACTGGGTGTGCACTCATTGTGGGACTTCGCTTTGCTCGGAGACCTTCAAACCTTGTCTCTTCACATCACCATATCCTTTGCAACCATTCCCCAGCACAGCCTGGACTGTGACAGCCCCACAGGGTGGCTGGACCCAGAGGAGCAGTGGGCTTCACAGTAAGTAGTCTGGCTCTCAGGAATTGCCACACTTAGGGTAAGGGGGAGTGTGACATGCCAAGAGAGCACCGCATGGAACAAAGGGAACCAGAGTGCAAGCTTTTTTATGTCTCAGAAATTCCTGCTTGTGCCTTTTTCAGCAAAGGCAGTTCTGGGCTCAGTGGGGGAAGACTTGAGGTTCCTTCCCAGATGTCAAACAGCCCCAGTGCTCCAAAAAGGACTTGGGGAAGGAGACTTCTCCTTCCTCCCACCCACTGCTGCAAACATCTGGGGTTTCTCCCATGGGAGTTCCATGCAGGTACTATAGACAATCTTACTGGAGCATTTTGGGGTGACTGTGTCCCCATGGGAGGTGCACCCTCCAGGGTCAGGCTTGTGTGAGAGGTGGAGTCCCTCTGTCTCTCCACATGGAATTTCAGTGTTCCTATAGATGGACAGAGGTGACTGTCTGATCTGAATATCTGGAACACTGGGTCAGGGGCTTCGTGAGGAGATAGATAGCTTTTCTGTTGGCCTGGTAATGGAGCTGAGGTGGCTCCCTTTCTTTTCACTGTAAAAACCTCAGTGCATTTCACCAGAAGCTCCCCCGGACACCATCGACATGGATGGGACTTTTGTCCCCAATTGGGGTATTGCGTATACACACCTGCTTCAGCCACAGGTAGTTCTTATCTGTGAGTGTCTCTTATTGGCTTGAAAGCTGAACTGTTCAACCCAGTGAAAAAATTACTGGGGAAGAAAAAGTGTGCACCACTGGGGAATGAGAGAAGCTTCACCACTGGGGAATGAGATGAGCTTCATGAGACCTCTGTCATCCTGGCCCCATGTAAGACAGTGAACCTGCTCAGACACCTAGCACATTGCTACTGCAAGTGGCATCTGAGAAAGCCATCATACAAAGATTCTCTGTTACCAAGGAACTCATATAGTCTTTGCCACTGAAAGCACTCAGAGCCAAAGCTAGGTGGTCATAAACTATACATATATTATAGTCAAAACCTCAAGGGGGAAAAAAACTCAAGTCCCATCAGAAATAAATTTGAAAACAATATGAAGAAATAGTCTATTCAGATATGAAGGGACCAGAAAGATAATTCTAGCAATAGGAAAAAACAGAGTTTTACAACACCCCCAAAGTATCACACTAACTCTCCAGCAATAATCCAAACTAAAATGAAAACTTTGAAATACCAGATAAATAATTCAAAATATTGATTACAAAGCTGCTTAATGAGATCCAATAGAAAGTTGAAAACCAACATAAATAAATAAAAAAAATTAAGGACATGAATAAAAATTTTTCTAAAGAAAGTATATTCTTAAAAAGACCAGACAGAACTTCTGGAAATGAAAGACTCATTCAGATAATTATAAAATGCAGTGGAAACTTTTACCACTAAACTAGACCAAGGAGAAGAAAGAATTCTAGAGCTCCAAGAGGAGCGTTTTGAATTAACCCCCAAACCAACAAAAATTAAAAAAAAAAATAAAAGAAATGAACACAGTCTCCAAGAAATATAGGATAATATGAAACATCCAATCCTAAGAATCAAAAGTATTCCTGAAAGAGAAAAAGAAAAAAACACAAGAACTTGGAAGATATATTTGAAGGAATAATTGAGGAAAACTTCCCTGGTCTTGCCAGAGATTTAGACATCCAGATACAAAAGACTCAAAGAATTCCTGGAATAGTAATTGCAAAAAGAACATCACCAAGGCATACAGTCATTAGGCTACCTAAAGTCAATGGAAGGGTAAGAATTCTAAGAAAAGTGAGAAAAAAATCAAATAACTTATAAAGGAAAACCTGTCTGACTAACAGCAGACTTCTCGGCCAAAACTTTATAAACCAGAAGGGACTGTGGTTTTATCTTTAGTTTCCTTAAGCAGAATAACTGTCAGCCAAAAATGTTGTATCCTGAAGGCTGCATTTCTTACATGAAGGAAGAATAGTCTTTCCCAGATCACCAAACACTGGAGGAATTTGTCACCACTAGACTGGCACTAGAAAAAAATGCTAAAAGGAGTTCTAAATATTGAAATGAAAGGTTGACACTCACCAGTATGAAAACACTGAAAACTGTAAAACTCAAAGGGTTTAAAAACAGTAACACAATGGAGAATACAAAGCAACTAGGTAACAATCAACATAATGACTGGAACAGTATCTTACATATCAGTATTAACTTTGAATGTAAGTAGCCTAAATGCCTAACTGAAAAAATATAGATTGGTAGAATGGATTGAAAAACACAATCCAGGCTAGGCACTGTGGCTGCAATCCCAACAATTTGGGAAGCCGATGTGGGAGAATTGCTTGGGGCCAGGTCTTATTGCCAAGACAAACCTAGGCAACATTACAAGGCCTGTTTATACAAAAAATAAAGCAAATACTAGCTGGGCATGGTAGTGTGGGTCTGTAGTCCCAGCTACACAGGAGGCTGGAATTGGAGGATCACTGGAACCCAGGAGTTTGAGATTATAATGAGCTATGATTGTGCTACTGCACTCCAGCTTGAACAACAAAGTGAGACCTTATCTCAGAACCAAAAAAACAAAATCCACAATCCAAATATCTGCTGCCTTTAAGAGACTCACTTAACTCTTAAATATTTTTATAGACTGAAAACAAAGGGGTAGAGAAAAATATTCCACACAAATGGAAACCAAAAGCAAGCATAAGTAGCTATTCTTATATCATATAAAACAGACTTTAAATCAACAACAGTAAACAAAGATTTAAAAATTATAATGATAAATAGATGAATTAAACAAAAAGATATAACAATCCTAAATATATTTGCATCTAACACTGGAGCTCCCAGATTTATAGAACAGATAATACTAGGCCGAAAAAGAGAGGTAGACAGCAATACAGTAATAGTGTGGGACTTCAATACTCCACTGACAGCACTAGACAGATTATTGAGGAAGAAATTCTACAAAGAAGCACTGGACTTAAACTTGACTCTAGAACAAATGGCCCTAACAGACATTTACAGAAATTTCTATCCTTAAACTGCAGAATATACATTCTTATTCTTATTACATGGAACATTTTCTGAGATAGACTGTATGATAGGCCACAAAACAAGTGTAATAAATTTTTAAAAATTGAAATTATATCAAATATCTTCTCAGACCACAATGCAATAAAGCTAGAAATCAATTCTAAAAGGAACTCTCAAAACTCTACAAATACATGGAAAGTAAACAACCTGCTCCTGAACGATCTTTGGATCAATGATGAAATCAAAATGGAAACTAAAAAATTTTTCAAAATAAATAATAACCAGTGACACAAGTTATCAAAATATCTGGAACACAGCAGGAGTGCTATGTGGGGAGTTTATAGTGCTAAATGCTTACATCAAAAAGGCCAAACAATCACGAATTGACAACCCAACATCACACCTCACAGAACTAAAAATACAAGAACAAACCAAACCCAAAGCTAGCAGAAGAAAAGAAATAACAAAGCTCAGAGCAAAACTAAATGAAACTGAAACCAAAAAATCACAATACAAAGACTCAATGAAACAAAATTTGATTATTTGAAAAGATAAACAGAATTGATAGGCCAATAGCTAAATTAACCAAAAAAGAGAGAGAGGATTCAAGTAAACTCAGTCAGAAATAAAAAGAAGACATTATCACTGATAACACAAAAATACAAAAGATCATCCAAGACTACTATGAATACCTCTATGCACACAAACTAGAAAATCTTGAAGAGATGAATAAATTCCTGGAAACATACAATCCCCCAAGCTTGAATCAGGAAGAAAAGCAATCCTGGACAGACCAATGACAAGTAGTGAGATTGAATCCATAATAAAAAAATCTCCCCCTCCACACCCCCAGAAAGCTCAAGACTGGAGAGATTCACAGCTGAATTCTACTTGATGTTCAAATAACTGATACCAATCCTACTGAAAGTATTCAAAAAGATTGAGAAGGAGAGAATCCTCCCTAACTCATTCTATGAAACAAGTATCATCCTCATACCAAAGCCCAGAAAGGACATAACAATAACAAAAACTACAGATCAATATCACTAATGAACATAAATGCAAAAATCCTCAATAATTACTAGCAAACTGAATCCAATAGTACATCAAAAAGATACTTCACCACGATCAAGTGGGTTTCATCCTAGGAATTCAGGGATGGTACAACATATACAAGTCAATAAATGTGATTCACCATATAAACAGAATTAAAAACAAAAATTATTATTTCAGTAGAAGCAGAAAAAGCATTTGATAAAACCTAGCATCCCTTCATGATAAAACTTCTCAGCAAACAAGGCACAGAAGGAATATACATCAAACTAATGAAAGCCACATATGAGAAACCCACAACCAGCATCATACTAAATGGGGAAAAGTTGAAAGCATTTCTTCTCAGAACAGGAACAAAAAAAGGATGCTCATTTTCAACAATTCTATTCAACATGGCACTGAAAGTGCTAGCCAGAACAATAGGGAAAGAGGAAGAAATTAGGGGCATCTAAATTTGCAAAGAGGTAATCAAACTATCTCTGGTGATGATATAATCTGATACCTAGAAAACTCTAAACACTCCTCCAACAAAATTCCTAGATCTGGTAGATGAATTCAGTAAAGTCTCAGGTTACAAAATCAATGTATGCAAATCAACAGCACTGCTATACACCAATAACAATCAAGCTGATAAGCAAATCAAGAACTTAATTCATTTTACAATAGCTGAAAAAAAATACCTAAGAATCTACTTAACCAAGAAGGTGAAAGATCTCTACAAGAAAAAGTTAAAAGCATGGAGAAAATAAATCATAGATGACACAAACAAATGGAAAAACATTTCACACTCATGAAATGGAAGAATCAATAGTGTAGAAATGATCAGACTGCCCAAAGCAGTGTAGAGATTTAATGCAATTCTCTTCAAAATAACAATGTCTTTTTTCACAGATAAAACAATCTCTAAAGTTCATATGGAACCAAAGAAGAGCCTGAACAGCCAAAACAATCCTAAGCAAAAGGAGTAAATCTGGAGGCATCACATTACCTGACTTCAAATTATATTACAAGACTACAGTAAACAAAACAGCATGGCACTGGTATAAAAGTACCAGTGGGTACATAGACCAATGGGACAGAATAGAGACCCCAGAAATAAAGCCAAATACCTACAATCAACTGATCTTTGACAAAACAGACAAAAACATACACCTGGGAAAGGACATTCTATTCCATAAACGATGCTGGGAAAATTGTGTGGCCCCATGCAGAAGAATGAAACAGAATCTCTATCTTTCACCATATATAAAAATAAACTCAAAACGGATTAAAGACTTAAATGTAAGACCTAAAACTTTAAAAATTCTGGAAGAAAACCTAGGAAAAATTCCTCTGAACATTGGTCTAGGCAATGAATTTATGACCAAAACTACAAAATCAAATGCAACAAAAACAAAAATAAATAAATGGGACTTAACTAAACCAAAAAACTACTTCACAATGAAAGAAATAATCAACAGAGCAAACAGACAGCCTACAGTATGGGAGAAAGTATTTACAAACTATATATTTGAAAAAGGACTAATATCCAGAATCCATAAGGAACTCAAATCAGCAAATAATAATTAAAAAAACAAATAATCCCATTAAAGTAGGAAAATGACATGAACAAATATTTTTCAAAAGAAGATATACAAATGGCCAACAAACATATTTTAAAAAGTTCAACCTCCCTAATCATCAGGGAAATGCAAGTTAAAACCACAATGAGATACCAACTTACCTCATTCAGAAAGGCCATTATTAAACAGTTGAAAAACAACAGATGTTGGCATAGGTGTAATGAAAAGGGAACACTTATAAACTATCGGTGAAAATATAAATTAGTAAAATCTCTGTGGAAAACAGTATGGAGATTTCTCAAAGAACTAAAAGTAGATCTACCATTTGATTCAGCAATCCCACTGCTAGGTATCTACCCAAAGGAAAATAAGCCGTTATATCAAAAAGACATCTGCACTCATGTGTTTATTGTAGCACAATTCGCAATTGCAAAGACATGGTGTATTAGTCAGTTCTTGCATTGCTGTATACCTGAGACTGGATAATTTATAAAGGAAAGATTGGCTCACAGTTCTGCAGGCTGTACAGGAAGCATGGCAGCATCTGCTCTACTTCTGGGGAGGACTAAGGAAACTTACAATCATGGCAGAAGGGAAAGGGAGAATGAGCACCTCACACAGCCAGAGCAGGAGGAAGAGAGAGGGTGCAGAGGTGCTATACACTTTCAAGCAACCAGATCTCATGATAACTCGCTCACTCACTGTCACGAGAACGGAACAGGGGATGGTGCTAAACCATTCATAAAGGACCACCCCCATGGTAGGAGGACCATCACCTCTTATCAGGCCCCACCTCCAACACCTCCTACCAGGCCCCACCTCCAATACTGGGGATTACAATTTGACATGAGATTTGATGGGGATGCAGAACCAAACCATATAATATGGAATCAACCTAAGCACCCGTCAACCAATGAGTGGATAAAGAGAATGTGGTATAGATAGATAGAGAATATTCCGTGGTGTGTGTGTGTATGAAATACTACTGAAATACTACTCAGCCATAGAAAAGAACAAAAGAGTGTCTTTTGCAGCAACTTGGATGGAATTGGAGGCTATTCTTCTACGTGAAGTAACTCAGGAATAGAAAATCAAGTATCTCATGTTCTCACTTATAAGTGGGAGCTAAACTATGGGTACACAAAGGCATACATAGTGGTATAGTGGACACTGAAGACTCAGAAAGGGGAAAAGTGGTAGGAGATGAGGGATAAAAAATTATCTATTGGGTATAAAATACACTATTTGGGTGTTGACTATACCAAATGTCCAGACTTCACCACGATACAGTTCATCCATATAACCAAAAACCACTTGTACTCCTAAAGCTATTGAAATAAAAAGTGAATAAATTTGGTAGACATCTTCAGCAAAGTAATATAAAAAATATTATGCATCTCCTTAGCTTTCAAAACTGGCTTACAATGAGATAAAAATCAGCAATGTATTTAGAGCTTAAAATTGTTCAAAATAGGACAAAACCTACCAAAGCTATGTATTTGTCATTTGTGACAATTATTATTAATACATGATTTTTGGATATGGAGATCCTCCTTATACTGACACATGGGTCATTCAGAAAGCTAATCACAAGCTAAGAACAATGATCTTTATTGGCCATCTAAAAATCATTTCCTAAGCTATTCCTTTTAAAAAAACCAGTTAGCTGAACTTTGGCCATCCACTTCTGTTATAGAAGGGGTCAAGTGTGTTGGCTTCCTACTTATAGAGAATATAATAATGGCTAACTATAATTAAATGCTTATCTTAGCCAGGAACTCTTCTGAGCCCTTCATATTATTTCCAATTTAATCTTCATATGAACCCTATGAATTAAGTTACTATTGTTATCCCCATTTTACAGATAAGGAAACTAAGACAGAGAATTTTAAAAACTTGCCCCATTGATAGATTGAAGATTTGAACTCACCACTATGCTAATCCAAATATCAGAGCTAAATTATTTATTAGAAATAACTTTTCCCATTGATGAGAAAAAATGAGGTCTAAGATGGGAGTACCTTGCTTAAGTTTATATAACTAACATGGAAGGACATGGAGTATAGTGAGAAGAGCACCAAACATGGATTTTAGACAAGAGTAAGGTTTTAATTCCCGTGGTTTCATTTCTTGTTTTGAAACCAAAAAAAAATCACTTTCTTCTATTGATGTAACTTCCTCCTATTGATATTCAGTGTTAGTACATGCAAATTTGAGATCATTCAATATGTAGCAATACCTTTCAATATGTAGCTACCAATATGTAGCAAATACCCAGCACTGCTATGTGTGGGAATAGAATACACCTCCCCTTGAGGCACTCACAATCTAGTGGAGAAGCAGTTGGAAACATGGAATTATGCATATGCTACATTGTTTCAGAGAAGTAAGTGCAAGGTAAAAGATGCCTTCCCTCCAAAATAGTATGGTTTTTGTAGCTGGACTTGAGAAATTGATATAATTGAGTGTGTGGAAGAGCAGGTTGCTCACATGTGGATAAATGCTAAGAGATTATTTTAGAGAGGAAGGTGGGGCAAGTCCTGCATGTCATTCTAAGTAGTTTACACTAGGTCATGTGGGCCATGCAAGGTTATTCAAGAATTTTAATCATAGGGGTGATCTATTCCAGTTTGCATTTTAGCAAGTTCACACTGCTAGCAACCTGAAAGATGGTTTGAAGGTGGCACCGTTAGAGATAAGAGATTGCAAGAGTTCAAATAAGTAGTGATAGGCTGAACAAAGGCAAGCATAGAGGCCAGGAGATAATGGAAGGGTTTGAGAGATATTTAGGAATTAGAATCAAAAGAACCTTGTTATTAGATATGGTAAGAATCAAGGTTATATACAGTCTCTATTGTTCAAGTTGTCTCTTACAAGGTGGTGGATGGTGACAACATTTGACAAGATGGAGAACAAAGACTGATGATCAGTATGGGCAAATTTTGAGGGGAAGGCAATACATTCTGTTCTCTATATGTATAGTTTGGTGAACAAGTGAGACATCTAGGAGATTTCTAGGAGGCTGTTTGAAATAAGGATGAGGAACTTTGGAAAGATATTCATGATATAAATACAGATTTGACTCATCCCTGCCAGAGCCATGAGCATGAATGTCATCTCCAGGGAAAGTGAATGGAATGTGAATGAAAGGAAGTGGGACCCCGAGCGACGCCATCATTCTGGAAAAAGGCAAATGAAGGGCTAACGGGTGGCCCAGAGAAAATTCACACAGAGAAATCAGCAAGAGACTAGGGACAGAAGAATGTTGCTTAAGCCAGCAGGTGGAAGGGCTTTAAGGAGTTGGTTGTTCAGAGGGTCAAGTGTTCCTCAGACATCAGAATGACAGGAACTGGCAATTAGATGGCCATAGTTATCCTGGTGAGAGGAGTTTCATGGAAGCATGTGTTAGGGCAAAAGCTATAATGCAGTGAGTTGAAGGGTATATGAGATGTGAGGCCGTGAATGTAAGCACCTATTTCAAGTACAGCTACAAAGTGGAGCTGTGAGGTGGTACAGTAGCTAGAAGAGTCAATAACATTAAGGGAGGGTTTTCTAAGGTGGAAGATAGATGAGCATGTTTTTAACCTTCAGAGGAGCCAGCAGTAAAGAAAGATTGATACTGTGGTAAAGACGGCTTAATAAATGGAGTAAGGAGGTAGAATTTGGTGTGCTCCGGAGCTCAGATGCAAGAATCAGCCTTAGCCTGAATAAGGATATTTCTTTGTTTGCTGTGTATAAAGTTTTTAAAATTTCTTTAATAATTTATTGAAGTCATAGATATAAATACATGGTATCAAATCTATTAGTACAGAAGTAGGTGATATACAACAATAATCATCTTTACCACTCTACTTTCCTCAGTAAACTCTACTTTCCCCCATTAGACAGAAGGAATTTTTTCACACTAAAAATGGATTTATGGTTTTGTATTGATTAATAAACAATATACATGCAATACAAACAGTTTAATAGTACCCATACAAATATAAAGAAAGTAAATGTTGCTTAAAATCCTAGCCTTCTAAAATAATCACATGGCAGGGACCATTCTTGCATCTATCTATGTATCTATCTATCTATCTATCTACCTATGTATGTATGTATGTATGTATGTATGTATGTATGTATCTATCTATCTATCTATCTATCATCTATGTATCTATCTATCCATCCATTCATCCATCCATCCATCCATCTTCCCATCTATCTATTTCTTTTCCCTACCCTTCTCTAGCCCATGTAAGTTTAATACCACCATTCTATCTTATTAACTATAAGCCCTGCTAACAGCCTAGTGGGTGCTCTTCTGGCCTTACATACAGCTCCTATATTTATATAATCTCATATGTATAATTTATATAATCTCATATATAATTATATATTTATATAATCATATAGATAGATTCTATATTTATAGAAATTTATATATTATATATTTTATACCTATATAACTTTCGTTGGTCACTGTTCTATTTTTTAAAAATAAGATTATGTAACACATACTTTTCTGTGTCTTGCTTTTCTCACTCAATAATGCATTGCGGAATCACTCCAAGTCATTTGGTATTGCTCTAGCTCATTCTTTTGATATACAATATTCTGATATGTGGCTATATTTCAATATATTTAGACATTCTCTTATTATAGAATGTTTACTTTCAATCCACTGCAGATTTGTGATAAATACCATTGTACATATGCTCTTTTATATTAGTACATTTATTTCTATGAAATAGACTGCCAGAGTAAAATTGCAGGATCTAAGAGTATGTGTATTTTTAATTTTCATAGCTGTTGCCTAGTTGCCTGGTGTGTTGTGTATGGTGCTTTTTTTTAGAGTGCTTCCTTATGTTGCAGAGGCTAAAAAGCTAAAGCTTACATTTTCCAGAATCCGTTGCAGTCAGAATGTGACTTAGTTTGGCTAGTCATATTTATGCAAACTTTGAAATGCAGAAGTGAAGTGGAGACTTTGTTTCTGCTGATTATGCATTTTTTAGATGGAATATAAGGACATGGAAATATTTGGCTTTTTGTTTTCCTTTGGAAGCAAAATGAATGTCCCATGTCTAGAAATAAACCAAATGTCCATCAACAATGAAATGGAAATTAAGTTGTGGAACAGTCAGGCAATGGAATACTATGCATCAGCAGAAATAAATTAGCTAAAACTATTCATATCAACCAGAAATAGCTCAAAAACACCTTCTGGTGGGACAGAAGGAAGTCATAAAAGAAAATATATAATATAGTTGACTCTTGTGGTGCCCCTTACTCCACACCTTTAGTTCACCTGGGTTCAGGTGGACAGTTCCATGCAGTGGCCTGTGTCCCACCTCAAGGTCACAATGAGGGGCCTCTGCTTTTCTGCCTTAGGCCTTTCTTGGAGCCATGAGAAGCCACTCAGCTTGAGCCTGCAGGGGAGTTAAGCCCCTAAGAGCAACTCTCTGCCAAACGGAGATAATGTCAGTGAATAAATGCCCAGTCTCCTTTCCTTTGGTCTGGAGGGCCAATTCTGAAATGCATTTTACACAGTTGTATAGAGAGTACCCAACAGGACTGTGTCTGAGTTGCCCACATTGGCAACGAGCTTAACAATGTATTTTTATTTTACATTCTTCCTTCTCTAGTCTCTACCCCACCCCTACACCTCTCCTTCCTGGGATCACCTCCAAAATACACTACCTGCACCCAAATCTTTTTCTCAGGCACTATTTTCAGGGAAACTCAAACTACGGCATACAGTATGGCCCTATTCGCATGCAATTCAAAAACAGGCAAATTAAATATTGTGTAGATAGATATGCATGTGAGATAAAACTATGAAAGAAAGCAAGATAATAGTTAATATAAGATTAATATACTATGCTCATTCCTGGGAGAAGGGAAGAAGCTATCCTCTGGGAAAGACATTCAATGTCTTCAAAGATACTAGTCTTATTTTATTCTTTAACTTGTGTTACTTACGTGACATCTGTTTTATTACGTCTTAAAATGATCAGTTCTTGACTTTTTAGTCTCAGGAACCCTTTACACTCTTAAAGAATATTTCAGACTCCAAAAGACATTTGTTTATAGGAGTTACATCAAATGATAATTACTGTATTCAAAATTAAAACTGAGCAATCTTTTAAATATTGATGTTTATTTGTTTGAAAATTACAATAATAAACCCACTACCTGATAAATAACTTATATTTATGAAAATAAGTATTTAAAAAAACAAAAAACAAAAAATTCAGTAAGAGTGACATTGTTTTGCATTTTTTCAAATGTCTTTAATGTCTAGGTTAATAGAAAACAGCTAGGTTCTTATATCTGCTCTATCCTTCTCTTCAGCCTATAGAATTATGCCATTTGGTTGAAGAATAATGAAGAAAATCTAGCTTCAAATCCTATGCAATTGGAAAATGGGGAAATAGTTCAATGGTTAAAACAAATTAATTATGTATGTTCTTTGATCGTATACCCAAATTTGACAAGTGCTAGTTTCTTAAAGGTTAGTTGCAATGTGGCATCTAAAACTACATAAGTGGATTTTTAATACCCTGTTACATTAAAATCCATTGGTCTTCTTGAACTTTGAATGGATCTTTTACTCACCCATGATGTTACATTGGAAAATAGTGATTCTCTGAATTATGCAAATCTTTCAATGTTGACATATTTCATTCTAGAATATCAAAAAATCACATGTGAGAAAATCACCACTGATGTAATTAGAAAAAAGTCTTTAAATATTGGGAACTGTCAAGCACATAATGGTGAATACATATTTTCCAAAATTCTAATTATTTGCTTTAAAGCACAAATTTTACAATGGGCGACAAATGCTATCAATTGTTTTCCTTGCAGTGTCAGGCTCTCTTCATTCATTTTTGAGAAAATATCTGCTAGATACCCAAGGCTGAATAATCTTAGTTTGTCTGTCAGTCATTCTTCCAAGCACAAATAATGGTTCAAGAACAAAGCAGCTACTTCAGCTCACAACACAAAACATACAAGTGTTTCACCTCAAGGCAACCATCATACTTCTTTGTGCAACAGAAGTTCTTTGTGCATACATGTCATTTTGTTGCACGTACTTGAGTTAAGATTTAATAAAGTCAGTAATATTTACAGACTCATTAAAGCATTTGTAAAGTGAAGCTGGCATTCTTTTATCTGTGAGTGCATGGTGAGGAGAAATACAGTGAATACTAGCAGAGTTTGGTGCTATTGCCTTGGTTCAGACTCCAGGGTTTTTACTCACCATTGTTTTTGCATCAGTGCAAATGTCAACACAGTAAAAACGGCAAATGTCTTAGTATTATTATGAAAATAGTTTGACCTCATGGGACCCCTGAAAGTGTTTCAGGGATTTGTAAATCATACTTTGAAAACATTAAGTTGTATTTACATTATATACATTTTAAAAGTATATGTTTCCCTATAATCAAAAAGACAAAATTCCTGTGCTGCCAAGTAAATATTTTACAGTTTTTTGGTGACCTTTGCTAATTGTATAAAAAGCATGTTGGATGGGGTTTTCTCCTATTTTCTTTTGGCCATACCACTCCCCACTTCCCATCTCCCAACCATGCAAGCACTTGGCTTTTTAAAAAAATTGATAAACTTTATTTTTTAAAGCAGTTTTAGGTTCACAGCAACATTGAGCAGGAAGTAAAGAGAGTCTCCACATACCTTCTGATATAGTTGGCTCTGTGTTCCCACCCAGATATCACCTTGAATTGTAATAATCCCCATGTGTTGTGGGAGGGACCCAGTGGGAGGTAATTGAAACATGGTGGCAGGGCTTTCCTGTGCTGTTCTTGTGATAGTGAATAAGTCTCATGAGATCTGATGGTTTTATAAAGGGGAGTTCTCCTGGACATACCCTCTTGCCTGTCACCATGTAAGACATGACTTTGCTCCTCCTTTGCCTTCCGCCATGATTATGACTTCCCCAGCCATGTGGAACTGTGAGTCCATTAAACCTCTATTTCTTTTTTTTTTTTTTTTTTTTTTTTGAGATGGAGTCTTGCTCTGTTGCCCAGGCTGGAGTGCAGTGGCATGATCTTGGTTCACCGCAACTTCTGCTTCCCAGATTCAAGCGATTCTTCTGCCTCAGCCTCCTGAGTAGGTGGGATTACAGGCACCTGCCACTATGCCTGGCTAATTTTTTTGTATTTTTAGTAGAAATGGGGTTTCACCATGTTACCCAGTCTTGGGTATGTCTTTATTAGCAGCATGAGAACAGATTAATACTCCCTTGTTCCCATACATACACAACCTCCCCCATTATAGACATCCTGCACCACAGTGGTACATGTTCCAATCAATAAACCTACATTGACACATCATTATCACCCAAATTCCATAGTTTATGTTAGATTTCACTTGTGATGTTGTACATTCTACTGCTTTGGACAAATGTATAATGGCATGTATCCATCATTGCAAGACCATAGACAGTAGTAGTGTTTTTTTCTTTGTTTGTGTTTGAGATGGAGTCTTGCTCTGTCACCCAGGCTGGAGTGCAGTGGTGCGATCTCGGCTCACTGCAAGCTCCGCCTCCTGGGTTCATGCCATTCTCCTGTCTCAGCCTCCCAAGTAGCTGGGACTACAGGTGCCTGCCACCACACCTGGCTAACTTTTTGTATTTTTAGTAGAGACGGGGTTTCAGCATGTTAGCCAGGGTGGTCTCGAACTCCTGACCTCATGATCCAGCCGGCTTGGCCTCCCAAAGTGCTCGGATTACAGGCGTGAGCCACCGAGCTGACCAGCAATTGTATTTGTACTCACTCAAACCCATTTCCAATTATATGCAAATTAAGGTGCAGGTTAATGCAAATTGAGGGCAAAGGTTACTTAGAACTTTCTAGGAAAGGGGCGGTAACTTCTAGGTCGTTGCCACAAAAATGAGCAGTAAGTTTCAGCTCATTGCCATGATGCTGGTGGGAGTGTCTTATGCTAATGAGCAATGAGGTAGCTAGGGATCTCTTTTGTCAGTATCTGCTCATTTCCTCCAGTTTCTTTGCTTTATCGTGTCTGGACTAGATCCTGTTTTTGTTAGCAGGGTAGTGACAGAAAACAAGTCCCGCCAGTCTTGTACCGGTTTCACTGCCCTAAAAATCCTCTATGCTCTACCTATTCATCCCTTCCTCCTTAATCTCTGGCAATCATTGACCCTTGTACTGTCTCCATAGTTTTGCCTTTTTCAGAATGTCAGATAGTTTGAATAATATAGTATGTAACCTTTTCCTTGGCTTCTTTCACTTAGTAATATGAATTCAAGTTTCTTCCCTGTCTTTTTATGGCTTGATAGCTTATTTTTTTTTCTAGTAGTGAATAATGATAATAAATATTCTATTGTCTGGATATAATACAGTTTTTTTCATGCATTGGCTTACTGAAAGACCTTTTGGTTGCTTCCGTGTTTTGACAATTATGAATAAACCTGCTATAAGCATCTGTTTGCAGGTTTTTATGTAAATATAAGTTTTCAATTTAATTGGGTAGATACCAAGGAGTATACTTTATGGATTGTATGGTAAGAGTGTCTTTAGTTTTGAAAGAAATTGCCACACTGTCTTCCCCAGTGACTGGACCACGTTGCATTTTAATAAGCAATGAATGAAAGTTCCTGTTGCTCCACATCCTTGCCAGCATTTGGTGTTGTCAGTGTTCCAGATTTTGGCCGTTCTAATAGGTGTCTAGTGGTATCTTACTTTTATTTTGCAATTGCCTGGTGATATATCATAGGGAGAATTTTTTCATATGCTTATTTGACATTTGTATATCTTCTTTGGTGAGGTGTCTGTTAAGGTATTTGGCCCATTTGCTAAGCAGGTTGTTTTATTGCTGAGTTTTAAGACTTCTTTGTAATTTTGGATAACAGTCATTTATGAAATGTATCTTTTGCAAATAGTTTCTCCAAGTCTGTGCTTATCTTCTCATCCTCTTTGTATTGTCATTTGATGAGCAAATGTTTTAAATTTTAATTAAATCCAACTTATCAATTATTTCTTTCATGGGTTTTGTACTTTTGTTGTTGTTGTAGCTAAAAAGTCACTGCCATACCCAAAGTCAGTCAGGTTTCCTCCTGTGTTACCTTCTAGGAGTTTTATAGTTTTGAATTTTACATTTAGGTCTGTGATCCAGTTTGAGTTAATTTTTGTGAATGGTGTAAAATATGTTTCTAGGTTCATTTTTTTTTTTTTTACATGTAGATGTCCAGTCTCCATGTTCCAACACCATTTGTTGAAAAGACTATTTTTGCTCCATGGTTTTGCCTTTGCTCCTTTGTCAGAGATCAGTTGAATCTACTTATGTATGTGTATTTCTGGGTTATTCATCAGTTCCACTGACCTATTTGTCTGTTTGTTCATCAAAACTACACTGTCTCAATTACTATACCTAATAATGTCAGTCCAACTTTGTTCCTTTCCTTCAGTGTTGTGTGTCTGGGTCTTTTGCCTCTCCCTATAAACTTTAGAATCAATAATAATTATTTGCTGAAATTTTTATTACAAATGCATTGAATCTACAGATAAAGTTGGGAAGAACTGACATCTTGACAATTCAGGAGTGTGGCATATCTTTCTATTATTTGGTTCTTCTTTGATGTCTTCCATCAGAGTTTTATAGTTTTCCCCATACAGATCTTTCACATATTTTGTTAGGTAGCGTTTAGCTTTTATACTCCTAAAAAGTTTAAAACCTTTTGACCTACACATTTGATGCCACCATTTGGACTTGGGTTCATTTTGACAATGCTTAAAAACCAAGTCATTAAACTTCAGAGTTTTAGACTATTAAATAAAGTTTTTAGCAGACTCCTTCACAACATGTTTACCAAGGAGATGTCAAATAAATTCTGGAGAACCATCCTAGAGATGGGCTGAAGAATGACATGATAATCAGGGATGTCTATCGAGGACGTAACTATTTTAACTGAACCACTTTAAAATGTTGGCAACAGTATGGCCCACGTCAAAAGAATTGCGTAATATATCCTGTTTGTGTAATTATTTCTATGAAAATGCAAGTTGGAAGCTGGAATCTAGTCTGAGGGAAAATCCAGTGTAGCTCAAGTGTTCCAGTTGGTAAACCCCAGAGCACATAAATATGATTCTTGGATTCTCTAACTATGAGGACTTCATTTCATTCTGTACCATGAGCCAGAAGCTGTAGTTATTTTCTACTCTTGCTCTTTCTCTCTGCTCAAATAATTGTGGCACTATTTATGCTCTTCCAGCTCATGCATTTCATATCTCCCATTTGTTTCTAGAGTGAATATTTCATGTGGATTTTCAATATCATTTTTAGTGATTCATAATCACATTCTACAAGCCAATATTTTTCATGCTCGGTTTCAGGCCCCAGTGTAGTATTTTTGCAGTGCTTTTCAACTGATTTTGGCTTTTCAGGAGGCCAAAACATAATCCAACAACCCACAACTAAAAACAATAATAAATTAGTGGTTAGATGCTATGATTCAACCATATGTTTTGTTCTCACTGAGAAAATCTCTTGGGTAATTTTAGAAAACAAATTAAAAAGTAATAAATTTTTAAATGATTAAGGTTTTTATTTGTATATGCAACTACTCTTTTTGTCATGATATGTACTGCATATTTAGACATTTGGTCCTAATTTTTAAAATCCAAAATCTCATGGTATTATTTGTAATAAGAATATATTTCTAATCATCCCTGTATTTTTAAGCATGTGGGGTTAGGTTTCAGCCCAAGGTTTGTGTTGTAGATAATTGTGCATGGCTTTTAATATTACAGTTTTGAAGATGCAAAGCTGTGGTTTAATATGCTTCTTTCCTTCGTTATTGTTTTTGTAAATGGTGCCCATTTTTGTAGCACCTCTCTTTCTTTTATACAGTGATCCCTCGCTGTTTTACAAAACATACCTAGTAACCAAAAAAAGAAACAAAAAAGAAAGAAAGAAAAGAAAAGAAAAGAAATTGCTGTGAATGAACATTTGCTATTTGTGACTTGTTTTCCATGAATTCTGCAATGATGTTGTGGTTTAATACTGGTTTCCAATCAGCTCTCAGATTATTCTTATTTCACAGGAATTCAGCAAAATCATGGCTCCATCTCTGTGATATTTTGACACTTGTCAAAGAATGCACAAGTCAGTGAAACCAGCAATTTTTTTCAGATATTTCATTCCTCATATGGTGGTTTTGTTGAATTCAAATGCTTAAAAATAATTATTTTACATTATTAATTTTATGGCAATAGCTAAAGCCAGAGATGATTATGTTTGGTGCTTCTCATTATGCCTCTTATTAAAAAAAAAAAAGGAGTTCTACAACTTTGAAAGTTAGCAAAATACATAGTGGGAAAAGACTCCAGTTTTAAATCAGAAGTCCCAACTTTAAATTCCATTTCTGTACCATACTACTATTGGATCATAAGCAAGCCACTTAACCTAGGCTTCAGTTTTTATCAAGTCAGGCTCATTGACTTATGTAGCTATTGTGAAGATCAAATATTAGTGACTGTACTATTATGGAATTAATTGTTGACACTAATCTTGGCTCATGAATCACTGTGCAAGGCAATCTAGTTCTAATAGCAGTATGTGTCCTTTCTCCCCAATGAGGTATACAGCTTCCTAGGAGCAGATATTATATCTGCCCAAATCAGAGTTAGCATATGTAAGAGAGTCAGTAAAATACTTCCTGAATTCAACTGAGGCAATTCCATGAAGAAAAAGGAACCACAAGAGGGAACATCATGAGGTAGGGGTTCTTGTCATTGTTCTGCCACCCATTTTGAATGTGTTAACTTATCACTCAAGGTCTGTATAGTTTGTTTGTGAAACGACATTGAATCAACTGGCTAGGATCCCTAAGTATGTGTCTTACATTGAAATTACCGGGCACCTGATGAGCTTTCTCTGGAAATCTCCAACTAGGCCACTTCCTGTTGCAGAAGTGGAAAGAACTTTGTTTCAAAGCACATACATCTGTGAACCTCCCAGCTCTTCACTCCTGGCACGGAATATCAGTGTCTGGATGTGGCGTTCTTCATCCTTGTTTATAAACACTGAAACATGCCTCTTCCTGATTAAAGACAATTACCTATTCCCTCTCTTTTCCACTTCAGTTATATTCTCCCTGAGGCCAGGAAAGGAGCTCACCTCTGACCTTGTGTGATTTTCCCATATTAGCTCACCAGAGAGTGACTGAATTGCAAATCAGATCCTCTTTTCTGTTACTCAGAATTTTACTTGATCTTGCCTACTGCAAAGTTGCAATTAGGCTGTCTGAGAAGTGTAAATCAAATCCATTTAACCTCTCTCAGGAAGATGGCAAACGCTCAATACCAAGTTCCCTATCTTTTCCATGGCCATTTGTATTAAAATGCTGACAAATGCTTACTTCTCTCCATCTGATCAGCTTCTCAGGTTCTCATCCTTTGCCATTATTTTCTATTTAAAAAGCTGTTCACATACATGTCTCTTTCCCCCAGGTTCTAGTACCCCAGATGTGATACATGCATGAGGGGGCTAGAACTTCCTGCAAGGGTGCAGGGGAGCAGGGAAGTGGGGGGTAGCGTGGGGTCAGTGGTTGCGGGGAGGTGATGAAAGGGCCCAGCTGCCCTGGCTGATGTGGAGGCTCACATTTGGCTATAGAGACTGCCCAAGGCTCATGGTGATTTCTGTTCTCAAACCAGATAAATCAAGACTTCCCACTATCCAACTGTAAAGTTCCCAATCATCAACAACTTCATGCCCACCCTCCACCACAAAGGGAAAGGAAACTGCCCTTAGCATCCCTGAAGGGATTTTGCCTTGCTTGTGTCTCAAAACTCTTCTGTGCTCTGTGACCCAGGATGTCAGCGTATCATCAAACAACACTCTGATTTTTTTTTTTTTTTTACCTTATCTCCTGTTCTTAGACCTTGGCCTCTCTTCCTCAGTGTACTGAATCAGCTTTTGCTATAATTTTGGTGACTCATATTGGCCCTGATCATTATTGGAATCCCGTAAGTTTCATATTCTGCTCCAAGAAACATTTGGATAAATTGAGAAAAACTAATAGCCTTTCATGGTAATAACAGTCTACTCCCTTCATGATGTCAACAAATGCTATCAGAGTCCACACAAGACCTCCCAAACATTTCTGATGATCAGAGACAAGATACCGTCTTATATACCAAAAACCTCAGGTGAGAAACAGAAGTAAACTGGCAAGCCATCCCTGAAGCTCCAGACAGCAAACACAGCAAGCATGCAGCTTCCCCTTCTGTCTGGAGGAATCTTGTGCTAAGCAGCACCTACCCACAAGCCTTTGTTTCTCTACAGATGGAAAAGCTCCTGCCATCCTGGGCAGCACATGGTAGAGGGGAGGCAGCCACTGACCTTCTGGGTAATCTGTCATGACGACCTGATAGCAGACCGGCAGGATGCTCCAAACTGTCACCAAAGATGTCACGAGTGCTTCTGAGGCTCAAGAATCTAATTTTCCTTACTTAAAATAAAAGGACTGAATGCTGGATGAATAACCCTTTTTTTCACCCCCTAAACAAATCTCATAGGGAATCCTAATATATAAAATAACCAAAGTGCAAGCCCTGGGTTAAAGCCGAGGATGGGTGCTAGAGATGGGCTAGAGCATGTCTGCTTAGCTTTCTTCCACTATCCCAGCCATTTAAAGACCACAAGTTAGCTTCCTGGAATTCAGTTTGACAAACACTTAGGCTAGATCATTGTCAGGGGACCTTCATTTCAAGCTCCATGGAGTAGGTCGGGGACTCTGCCTTGGTCATCCCTGAATCCCCACAGCCATGGTTCTAGCACACAGTAAGCACTAAAAACCAAAACCCAAAAACCCGTATGATAATGTATGTCTACAGACATTCGATGAATGGATGAATAAAAGATTTTTCAGATACCATGAGATGTGTTTATCTATTTAAGATTATAACTCCATTGACCAATAGAGTTGGGTTTTAAGCTATAACCCCCCAATCTGACCATCTACTATATACCTTCCCTTCCCCCAACTTTTCTCTCTACACATATAAAAACTCAGCCTTATCTTCTCTGAGATTGCATCTCAAACACCAAATGAAAATGTCTCCCAAATGGGCAGACAGCTTGTTTATACAGAAATAATTGCTTCAGCACAGTGTCCTCCTTTACAGGAAAACTGGAAGAAAATGCTGAGTAGGCAGATTCCTCCTCCTTTGCATTAGGAAGAAATTTAAAACCTGTTTCAGTTGTTTCTTTGGCCTTGTGTAAAAATAAGGCTTTTCTCCCCAACCTTGGGGCTAAGTAAAAAATAAATAAATAAATAAATCTAAACCTGGCTTACAGTTTCTCTGAGCTCCCAAAATAAGTCCATGCGATTTTGAAATGTATTCTTCCCCCTTCTTTTCTTAAGTTGGAACCAGTCAGAGATGAGTGGATGTTCATTTGGCAGCTTGAAACTGCTGAGAAAGGTGGAAACAATATGGATGTCTTGGCATCATTCACTCTCCCTCTCTTCCCTCTCCCCAGAAGAGGCTGTAATGCTAAGTGTGGATCCTGCCAACTAAGCCAAGGCTGGATCTTGAGGCAGGCCATCAGGTGGTTAATCCACCAAGAAGCCCGCCGGCTGTTTGAGTTTATTACCATTTATCATTATGTCTGCCTTAAATAAAAATTCTTTAATCACCTAATACTATTTTTATTGGCATGTTGTCAGAATGTGGGGAAGAATGGAGGGGAATTCATTTCATGTCTTGCGGAACATTACTTTGGTAAAGTATTAGGACAAGTCTATGCCTTCTTCCTTTGAAAAATAAGATACAAAACCAATTAAAGTTAAGTGATTACTGAAATGCATCTAATTAGAATTAACTTACACACATCAAACCATGATGGCAGCTTCTGCAGAAAAAAAAAAAATCCTGTTTGGTGTTGATACAGAAGATAATTGATATCACAGGGCCTCTGCATCTCAGGCAATTGCTTAAGAAAGCACCTTCACAGCTCAGAGCCTTCTCTCCCTTTGGGTTGGGGTACATTTTCGTCAATCTGACAAGTTCTGTCACATATTATCAGACAATTGATCACCGGCTCCTTGCAAGTCTTAATCCATCGTTTGATCACATATCAAGAAAAATTGCTTTTTATGTCTTCCATCTTGGCCATGAGAAAGGGGAAGAAAGCAGAGACTTAGGCTTCTGGCTCCAGCTCATTACTTTTTTGCAAATGATAGATGGGTTCACTAGGCAATTTAACTTTAAAATGATCCTTTCCCCTTTCTCAAATAAGCAAATACAAGGAGCTTTGCAGCATAAGCTGAGTGAAAGGGACTTTGCCTACTGTTCCTTTTGTATCTCTATAATAGGTGCCCATGTGTGGAGAGGGGCATGTAGGGTTACTAAATATGTATTTACTTAGTATTACTGCATCTGCTTCTAAATAATAGGACTTAAAGTGGACACACACAGAGAGACTAACTTGCACTCTCCAGGACATAGCTATAATCATTTTACACATTTCTTTTAGAGCACTTATGTTATATTAAAAAAATATGAAATGACTTCTAATATGCAAAAGGAAAACAAAAACATACACCTAAATTCAAGAGTATTAGATAATGACACAGTAAAACCAATTCTAAAAACAAACAAAAAAAGTAAATTACTTCCCGTACCATGAATCCAGTTACATTATTGTCAAATTCCTGACCTTATATACACAGCAATAAAGATTCTAGCTTTCTCATCTTAGTATAGAACCTAACAATACAGAAGTGGTGCTGTTTCTAGTAGCTGATTGCTACTTACTATCAAAAACAAAAAGTTTAATTACCAACAAAGGAATAGCTATAACCTCAAAGTTTTTGAGGGATTCCATTTAAGTTGTCAAAATCCTGGTGATCTCTAAACAGTATTTCCAAAACACACAATGTTCAAAGATTCCTATTGTGTTCTCTGAGGCCAAGATGGAAAACTCTTCAAGTCCCCATGGCTTTCCCCACCTCTCCTCCACTAAAAACATCCTTGGGAATCCTTCACTATTGTACATGATCTGTAATTTGAAGACACAAAGAAGAGAGGTTCAGTGGCCGTGTGCTTAAGAAAAATGAAGGTGTGCTCAGAGATACGTGATTAGTGCTTTTCCCGTGTCATGGCAACTCAATGAGATAACAAAATTTCCAATACCTACTACAATTTCCAATTTCCAATTTCCAACAGTATGTCGTTGGCCCACAAACTTTTGTCAATGAACGGCAAACACCGTAAGGCCAGAAACTGTGCCCCAAGCCCTAGCACAGGGTGTGTCAGGCATAAGAAGAGTGCTACAAAAATACCTGTTCAGATGAAATGCAAATAAGGTCTGTAGTTTAGTTAAAAGTATTGTATCAACGTCACTTTCCTGGTTTTGATCCTAGTACTTATCATCAGGAGAAGGTGAGGAAAGGATATATGGGAACTCTCCATTCTCTTTATGCAACTTCCAAGTGAGTCTAAAGTTATGCCGAAATACAGTTTAAAACAATATCTGTTGAAAAGCAAATCAATCTCTGATCCTTTGAGCCTGCTGAATGTGGTACACACTTGAGGCACTGATGCCTCAAGGCTGCTCTGGGCAATCTCATACACCCTTTTCTGTTGTTTTTATCGCACCTCTTTTCCACTTAGAGCCCCTGGTACCAAGCCCAGGTTCTAGTTCTGCCACAGGTCCTCTGGATGTGCCCCTATATTGGATCTTCCTTAAAGTTCAATCCTTAGCTCTTCATGAGGAATTTTGGCTTAGACTTCCCTCCCATATTTACCTCTTTCTGCTACAGCCTTCTCATTGGCCTTCTCAGCATTTAGTTTCTCTTTTGCCCAAACATTGTGTGTGTGTGTGTGTGTGTGTTGCTGAGGGTGCATGCAGAATGAAAGTAATGGAGGTGAGGTTAAGAATTTAGTCCATGGTAACCTGCATCTGAAATATGTTTCTTTTTGAAAGGAGCAATTTTTTGCAGGGAAGAGATTGTGCCTAGTTCATCAGATCCATCAAACTGAACTCTTTCACCTCACTATATATTTCTTGAAGGTGCTGTTAGAGTTGTTGACGTTTACCTTGTTCCACATCTGTTCTCACCACTGGGTGTCAAGAGCATGATCCTTGTCAACATCAATATCAGAGACAGTAGATGTATTCAGACTTCATCTTGGAGCCAAATAGCACGATCTGGGCATTTATCTGAAACCTAATCAGGAATCATTTCAGACCCTCAATGTCTTTCCCACCACCCTCCTCATCCAAGAAGCAGTGGAGTACAGTGATTAATGACACAGGCACTGGGGCTATATTGTTTTGAATCCAGCTCTGCTTCCCAGCAGTGTGACTGAACATGTTACTTAATCTCTCTGCCCTTTAGTTTTGCCATCTGTAAAATGGGAATAATAATTGTGTTTAACTCATAGAGATTGTGTGAGAATTATGAGAGCTAGTACTTTGCAAAGCATCAGGGCTTGGCCCTGGTTGGCACTCAGTGAATGTAACTTCTTTGCTCTATCTAATGCCTTTTCTGCCCCCTTTTTTTTTTTCACTTTTCTCTGGATCTCCCTCTACTACCTACATTACTATGGTGACACATGCTTAAAAATACACAAATTAGGCCAGGTGTGGTTGCTCATGCCTATAATCTCAGCACTTTGTAGAAGCCAAAGTGGGAGGATCACTTGAGCCCAGGAGTTTGAGATCAGCCTGGGCAATATAGGGAGACCTCATCAGTACAAAAAATAAAACATTGGCTGGTCATGGTGATGTGCACCTGTAGTCCCAGCTACTCGGGAGGCTGATGCAGGAGGATGGCTTGCGCCCAGGAGTTTGAGATTGCAGTGAGCTATGATCACACCACTGCACTCCAGCCTGGGCAACAGAGTGACACCCTATCTCAAAAACTTTTTTTTAATATTTGCTTTGAAAATTTCCCTAAACTTCTGGAAATGAAACCAACCCAATACTCTCATAGATAGTTCTTTTTGTCTAACATAAATTGATCCTTCTGGTCTTAAAGCTTGAAACTTGTATTTATTTAATCTGAGTTCCTTCCTCAGGAAAGGACCTTTAGGCCTCTCAAAAAAAGTATCAAAGAACTGACACTCACCAGATCACCATGGGTACCCCTCATTCATCAGTATTGCTTCCTTGTCCCTCCCTAGTTCTTGTCTTCTTACACATTGTTACATTTATTCCCTGCTCTATAAACCCCTGGTTTTAGTCAGTCAGGAAGATGGATGTGAGACTGGGCTCCCATCTCCTCAGCTGTAGCACCCAATTAAAGCCTTCTTCCTTGCCAATACTCAGTGTCTCAGTGATTGGCTTTCTGTGTAGTGAGCATCAGGATCTAGAACAAACTCTGGTGTTTTGGTAATAGAAATAATACGAGATAATCAATGGAGTCTCAGAAATAAGGTTTGGAATTAATCAGTATCAAAAGAAAAAACCTGCTACAGAGTCACTCAAATTTCTGGATCTGTTACTCATACAATGGGTGGGTTTGATCTCTTGGTGAGTGACAGTCCAATCACAACCAAAGAGGATTTAACAATGCGATTTTATTACTTGCAACAAAGAGGGCACTGAGGATAGCTCCCACAGCACTGCCTTCTTGACCAAAGGTGAACACAGGGCTTTTATTCAGCTAGTTAGCTGAGTTACTATATGTAGAGGTGGAGTAAAGGCAGCACAGGTGCAGTCACTGATCATGCTTCCACATGCATCACATATGTACAAAATGGCAAATAAGTTCCTCCCTGGGTGAGGTTTTTAGGGTGGTAATGAGGAAAGCTCCCCAAAGTTCATCTCCAAGTCAGGCACCTCTGGATCCAACCAGTTTTTGTTTTTCCAGGACTGAGCTTCTACCTCGAACTTTTTGAAATAAGAGCTCAAGATGCAACAGTTACAAATGGGTACTTTTTCACAGTGATACCCAAAAACCTGGGGACCCTGGGTTACAAATCTACAGATCAGATTACTGTTTGGATGAAGGCTGGGATGGAACGCTGCTGAGCATCATTCTTTGTGGAGACACAGCCAAAGCCCTGGGAACTGCTTGGGCTGGTTTTTCCTTGTAACTTACTCACAGTGCTTTGACGTGGGAGGTGTTGGGGTGGATTTGGAGTCTAGGCTGGATGTCACCCTGCTGAGAAAGATAGGCT
Organism: Homo sapiens; assembly: GCF_000001405.40. Taxonomy (NCBI): domain Eukaryota; kingdom Metazoa; phylum Chordata; class Mammalia; order Primates; family Hominidae; genus Homo; species Homo sapiens. The sequence goes on along the minus strand of NC_000002.12, from coordinate 67,517,350 downwards.
TAAAACCATAGTTGAATGTTTCCTTTTTTAAAATGTTGACATTAAACAATTGGCACTTGGCTGACCCCAGCTCCCAGTTGCTAAATGTGGTGTGTATAGCCATAAAGCATGCTTATGTAGCCACATTGATTGAGTGGAATTATGTTTTCAAAAGTCCCTTGGTTTTCCCAGTCTTTTCAGGGATGAGTATTATCTACAAACACTTGAAGTAATGACATCATAATCCCAGCTAAATGGTGTCCAATCTATCTCACCCTCTCCAATCAAACATATAAAGTAATGAAAACTTGTTGCTTGGGTACTGTCTCATAAGCCCCAGAAATGCAGATTTAAAAGTCATACTTTGGTAGTATTTATTAAGTTTGTATGATCTGCTATCCTAGAAGCTTTTAGAACAAACAATGAGTTATAGCTAAAACCAATGTGAGGGAGCAATAGATTCAAATTAGAAGAGATAAAATTAAATTTTCATGTATCATAAATGAAATATCCATTAGGGACTTCTTAGGTGACCTTCAGGTTCAGCAGATTCTGTATTAAAACTTCCACCCCGAAAGAGATTGGTGTGGGGCCTGGTGACATGCATTTTAGGTACTGCGGAAGAAAAGGCCCAGCCAGCTACAGTAAACAAATGTTAACTAGTTTTGGAGAAATGCTATTGACAGTAAAATTCTAATTTTACTCCAGCTCCCAGAACAGATGTACCTCCTAGTCCATAGACTGCAATACTTAACTGCAGCTACTCAGCTGTGACCTTCAGCCCCAGGCTCACTGCAATAAAATTTTCATGCAACCATATGGAAGAATATTTTAATAGAGATTTACTGTCAGTAACCGTCCCAAAGGAGCAAATAAGGAAGCTGTAACATATTGCGTACAGTAAATCAGGGGGACTTCAATGGAAAAACGAAACCTCCCGGAGGCAAGCATCTTTAAAATTACAGGCAACACTTTGTACAAATATGTGTACAAAGGACTAGATTTGCACTCAGTTAAGTAGCTCAAAATGGTTTCGATTTGCAGATATATTTATTTAGAATTTATTTATTGGATTTTATAAGTGGCAAGCACTTACCTGTCAGGGCTGAATGCGTATGTGTCTCCCTTCCCTGGGGCAAAACGGAAGTGAAGGAGGATGACTTTAACTGAAAATCTTACCGAACCAGGGAACGTGGCAGGCAACATAAATTGCACCCTCTCTATAGCCAGGTTTACTTCAATTTAGGGTGAGGTATTAACACCAAAGACAAAGTATTCTCCTAGCCAGTACATTAACAGTACTGGATGAGTTAGTTGAATGGTTGAAAATCCAGCTTAAACAATAACGAGGGAGACGTGTAGATTAAAACTCCCAGTGGGGGCAGAATATGTTCAGAGTCCCTCCGTGCATCCTTGATTATATTTCACCCAACATTTTTGCACGTAAAAATGTCTTCTTAGATTGTGAAGCTATAACAGGGCAATTTTTGTCTAAATGGGTCTTGGGCTGGTTGGAATCAGTAAATCAGATCTCATTCTCATCTTCTCCTGACCCTGTGTTTATTTGGAGCTGTGAGTCCACAGCAGAGGGCCATGGGTGAGCTGAGCAGCAAAAACAGTGCTTAGGCTTGTCACCTGCTCCATGGCTCTGCACTTTAGTTCACTTAGTTACCATCACTGCACTGTTTTCTTGCTAGGCTTCAGCTCTTACTGTTAAGAGCCTTTCAGCTTCAGATATTTGTTTCCTGAGGGCAAACAAGCAGCCATCTCTCCCCCTCTACTCAACTGGTGGAAACTCTAATGTGAGGAGCAGTAATTCAGAGATAAATAGACCGAACACTGTCCATGACAGTTCATATTTTATGGTGGAAAGAAGGCCTAAAACTTACAAAACTCACGTGTAGGAGGCATAGCTTGAATGCTTCATCCATGATACATAATGAACGAAGATGTCTTGGCGTCAAACCGAAAATCAAAATATCCAAGTGACAGTGAATAAGGGAATCGGATGATAAATCTTTATGGTTTGCTAAATGCCCGTGGGTTGTGGCATTTGACAAAGAGTGACAACAATAGAAGAATTGTCATATCTGATAAATGTGTCTTGGGCATTCCATTCTTCTGTTGAAATAGTCCCATTACTATAAAACACAGGTAACACACCACGTACAGATTCAAAACAGGTTAGGTTACTCACTAAAAGCGGATTATCTTGACTAATCAGAACCTGGCTGGAAACTTAATGCAATAGTAAGAAGGCCTGAAATGTTAGTTCATGCTACCAGATTAATGTATAAATCATGTTACATGGCCAAAAACTAGCAAGTGAATCACCAGGTTTTTCAGTGTTTCAATTAATGTACTTTTTCACAGTTGGATATTTGTATTCTATGAACCCTTTAACTACACTCTATTTTACATTGAAATTGAAATTGAAACTAGAAATGCCACTTGAAAAATGTTACTTTGGGGACACAAACATATGTATAATAGGTCTGCTTTGTACCTTTGAGGGAAAGGCTGATCTGATTCAGATAAATCCCCAGAGTCCTTGCATTATTTGGCTGTGACCACTTTTAGAATCATTCTTTTTGACTTTTTAAGGAATAGAATGGGCATGGAAACACAATTTTGCTCTGTATTTAATTTTGTGAGTTTACCAAGAAGGGTGAGTCATGTCTTACTTTATTGAGCCCATCTCTAAAACAAATGATGTCAGCATGCTTATTCACAAAGGGCTCAAGTTTTCCCTCTATCTCCTGGAAGACTCAATGGCCTAGGCTATCTCCATACCCAAAGTTGTTTTTTTTTGTTGTTGTTGTTTTTTGTTGTAGTTTTTTTTTTTTTTTTTAAGAGAAAGTTTGGCTCTTGTTGTCCAGGCTGGAGTGTAGTGGTACGATTTTGGCTCACCGCAACCTCCGCCTCTTGGGTTCAAGCGATTCTCCTGCCTTAGCCTCCTGAGTAGCTGGGATTACAGGCATGTGCCACCACACTCGGCTAATTTTGTAATTTTAGTAGAGACAGGGTCAGGCTGGTCTTGAATCCCCGACCTCAGATGATTCGCCCACCTCGGCCTCCCAAAGTGCTGGGATTACAGGCATGAGAGTCCCCCACAACTGGCCTACCCAAAGCTTTTGATAATCCTGGGCAGCACCGCTCATCCCTCCACTCTTCAGCCCATTCTCCATTCTGGGTAAGTTGGTCTCCTTTCTGTCTTCCATAGGTTCTATTTTCAATTTTCTTACACCTTCGGGTCACTCGGCTCCAGAGTAGAATTGTTTTCCTCTCTTGACACCTCTCCAAACCTTAGCGATCCTTGAAGAGACAGTTCAGAGCCCCAGGTACCCAAATAATTCCATCTAACCATTATAGGCCCATCACTAATGCTAAAGGCCAAGTAGTTTTCCCCTGAATAGCTAATATATCTTGAGAACACCGATAGTTGTTTAATAAATACCCATTGATAACTTATTTGTTGAATTTTTGACCTTCTTCTCTTCATTTTCATTACTTTGCCATATACTTCAGACTTCCAAGAATGTGGAAGAGCGTATTCTGAAGAAACTTTTATTTTTATTCCTCCCACTGGAAGCATGCTAGAAAGTACTATCTCCCTCAATTCCTTACCAAAATCCATGGATGCTCAAATCCCTTATATGAAATGGTGTAGTATTTGCATATAAGCTATGCACATGCTCCTATACACTTTAAATCATCTCTAGATTAGGTATAATATCTAATGCAATTTAAATGCTATATATATAAATGGTAGTTATACTGTGTTGTTTAGAGAATAATGACAAGAACAAAAAGTCCGTACATGTTCAGTACACATGCAGTCATTGTAGGCCTAACTACATTTTCTTTCAGTGGTTGGTTGAATCTGCAGATGCAGTACGGAGTGTGTACTGTCCTTATTACTTATTGCAGTTTCCCACCTGTGGGAATCAGTTTACAAGCTACAAACAATATGAGCAAAATGTAACAACACACCCAACCAACAAACAAAAGCTCCCAAGATAAAAGTGGCATACATCTAGAATGAGTAAAATAAACTGTTAATCAGAAAGGTACTCATGACATATAATGAACTCCTCACAGCTAGATGTTATCAAACAGATTTACTCAAAAATCTGGGAGAGGGGATTTCTGAAAAGAATGGGAGTTTGGGTTTAATTATCTGGGCTCCTATTATAAATTGTTTGAATTTAACCAATTATTAAAATGATTTTCGTAGTACTGGGAGGTGGGTATTTTTTTTTTGTTTTGCCTTTTGTTTTTTAGAGACAGGATCTGGCTCTGTTGCCTAGGCAGGAGGGCAGTGGCGTGATCTTGGCTGACTGCACTGAAGTGATCATCCCACCTCAGCCTCTCAATAGCTGGGACTACAGGTGCACACCACTAATTTTTTGTATTTTATTTTATTTTTTTGTAAAGATAGGGTCTTACTATGTTTCCCAGGCTGGTCTTGAGCTCTTGGGCTCAAGTGATCCTCCTGCTTTGGCTTTCCAAAGTGTTGGAATTACAGGTGTGAGCTGCTGTGCCCAGCCAAGCTAGTTTTTTAAAAAATATATATTCCGAATGCTTTAAATTTATAGCCAGAGTTAGAAGATTAATTCAAAGAAATATGAAAATAACTTATTGTTAGTTGATTGCTTGATAAAAATTAAACTGATGGTTTTTTGAACTGGCTTGAGTCTGTGGACACAGACACAGAGCACTTTGAAAATCAATCTCATTCTTAGAACATGCATCTATGATTTAATTAACCTGTATACTTAAATGGGATGGCTACAGTGCACATTGTAATAAACAAATATTTATATGCCCATCAGTCTTGTCAATTTTCTTGTCTGTGATTTGTTAACCTTTGGTACATCAAGAGAAGCAGTGATCGTATTGCTGTCTAGGGAGTCCCAGGGAGCTCTACCACTGCAGGGGGACCCCTGCCAAGGACAGAAACTAGGCTGTCTTTGCAGGGGCCTGCTTTCAGACCATCAGAATTGATATTTCACAAGCAGGCACCAATACAGCAGTACTGACTATAAGCTGGCAGGCATCTGTTCTCATTGTTTGTTATCTAAATTTTGTTGATTGCTAAATATCTTGAATGATACTCCTCAACAATGTTTGCACACCACATGCTTGGGTTAAGTAAGCCAAACATCTAATAAGTGTAATTTATTTTTTATTTTAGTGTAATCTTTTGATCCATATCCAGAGAAACCATGAAATTTTGTGTTTTCATTATTCGTATTTCAGTGTGGTCAGCCTAAGAAGAAAATTTTGAAATGAAGGTAGAAAATGTACTCACCTAAAAACTGTTCAGATGTGTACACATTTCAATGTAATAGGTACGTTAGACTTTGTAAAAACTTCATTCATTTGTAAGAATTTAGGAAAGTTTTAATTATAAGATCCTTAAAAATTAATGCCGTGCTGCCTTTTTCAAGTGAATAGAGGGAGATATTTTCTGGTTTATGAATGTCTTCTAAGCAAACTTACTTGTTGCTTATAAGTAAATAAATACTTTGAAAATGTTTGAAAGAAGTTTATTTACTTATGGTACATGTTGCTTTTGGAGTTATTTTTACCCTTCTAATTAGGGAGGCAAGCTTTTTTCCCCTAGAGAATAAAAAAGAAACTTCTACCTTACCTAAAAGAACACACATTTTTTAATCAGCAAAGTCTGCATCAATATTTTGTACATATCAAGAAATGTTTGGAGTACTTCAGAGTTATAATCCCAGAGATATATTGTGGTTAAATTGACTGTGTTGTGATAAAAGTGTGATTCCTTTAGTTCTCAATTTTAGCAATGAATTTTTCATAAACTTGTTGACTGTTTTGCTGTATCTTCCTTTAGCCAGGAGCATACCTAACTGCCCCAATGTGCTTTAGAGAGAAGAATATTGGATGGTAGGCAGGAGATAGAGGATTTGGGGTCATTTCAATCTTCAGGCATTTAAGAAGCAGTGTCATCAAGAGCTGCACTCAGCCTCCTATGCTAGTCCACAGCAAGGGTGACCCTAATCATATCCATAAAAAAGCCTGGGCCTCTTTCGAGGTAAGATATTGGATCAATCCATAAGAGCAATGGTATTGTTATTAATATTCTTCTTCTTAATGTTATTATCATTATTTGAGATAATTACATGAGCTAAAATCACTCATGTACAACTCCCTTGTGTGGGGCAAGCAGACAATGAAAAGCATGAAATAGTTTGTCTATAGTACGGTTTGAGCTTCTCTCCTTGTCCTCTCAGAGTTGTCTGCCTGAATCTTGTTTAGTGTGACTGATCATTCTAGAGGCTGGGGAAAGCATGGAGATAAAGTGTGGAGGTTATGATGAGGAATGAAAAGCCCTGTCAGATTGCAGGGTGAAACTGATCTTCAACGAGACCTCCCCCATACCCCCTACCTCCACTGTTTCACAACTTGTATTCCCAGAACATGAGTATTGAGATTTCATTTGCCTTGGAGCTCTTCCAGAAATTAACAGCGTTAAGAAGAACCATTCTATTAAGTCAGGATGGTGTCCAATAAAAGCAATGAATGATTGGAAAATGGACTGTTTTAATGCTGTTCAGTAAAACCATCATGAATGTTCTTAATTATGCAATTCCCTCCTTCCTGTGTAATTGGTTCATTCAATTTTTTTCTCTCATGGCATAGAATAATCTGAATTAGGGGTAAGAGTCTTTTAATATTGTTATATTTGATTAATATTTGAAGATGATGAGGTGAAATATGTAAAAGTGTAGGATGATTTGGACTCCCCTAGACAACCAAAGAGCATAAAGGCTCATAGGACTGACAATAATGGAAAAATAATTATACTCTTCAGAGGCATCTAAGCTCTGCTCTCAAGAATAGAGCACTCCATTTTTTAAAACTTTAATCATCTGGTTTTGAATCATTAATACAATCACATATTCAAAATACAGTCATGTGTCACTTGACAATGAGGATACCTTCTGAGAAATGTGTCATTAGGCAATTTCGTCATTCTGTGAACATCATAGCATGCACTGATACAAACCTAGATGTTCTAGCCTACTACGTGCCTAGGCTGTATGGTATAACCTATTGCTCTAGACTACAAATGTGTACAGCATGTTACTGGACAGAATATTTTAGGCAATTGTAATGCAATGGTAAGTATTTTTATATCTAGACATATCTAAAAGAAAAGGTATAGTACAAATAAGGTATGAAATATTTTTTAAAATGGTACACCTGTGTGAGGCACTTACAGTAAGTGGAGTTTGCAGGACTGCAAGTTGGGTGAGTCAGTGGGTGACGGGTGCGTGAATGTGAAGGCCTAGAATGTGACTGTAGAGTACTATAGAGTTTATAAACACTACACGTAGGCAACACTAAATTTATTTTAGAAAATTTCTTTCTTCACTAATAGATCAACCTTAGCTTACTGTACCACCTTTTTTACTTTATAAACTTCAAAATTAAAAGAAAACTTTTTGACCCTTTTGTAACAACACAGCTTAAAACACAAACACATTGTACAGCTGTATTAAAATATTTTTTCTATCCTTATTCCATAAACTTTTTCCTATTTAAAAAGTTTTTATTTTTTACTTTCTAAACTTTTTTTGTTAAAAAGCAGACAGAGACACACACATTAGCCTAGACCTACACAGAGTCAGAATCGTCAAGACGTACGTACCTAGGTGATGAGAATTTTTCAGCTCCATTATAATCTTATGGGACCACCACCATATATGCCATCCATTATTGACCAGAACATCCCTGTACAGCACATGACTGACTTGTACAGTAAAAACTCAAGAGGTTCAAAAGGGTAAATAGTGAAAAATCTCCCTCTTTCCTGGCACTCAAAGCAATCAATGTTATCAGATGTGCATCATGCTCTCAGAGATATTTTATGTACATTCAGGCAAATACATGTAAGCCTTCATTTGTTTTTCTCTCACTTGCGTGAAAGGCAGCATTCTCTACTAAAATTCTGTATTTGAGCACCTAGTTCAGGTAATGGGGATACAGTGGTAAACAAAACCAAGTCCAGCCAGGAAGTTTCCATTTCCATGGCAGGAAGCAGGCACCAAGCAAGCAATGAACAAGGCGGCTTCAGGTAGTGAGTGTGTGACTCTGACTGGCAGAGAATGGGGTGCTGGCTCACTGAGATGGGGTAGTCATGAAGGTTCACCAGGGAAGTAAGAAGTTCAAAGAAAGAAGACACTTTTCCCCTCTTCTATTCATCTGGCTAAACATGTAGTTAAACTGAGCAGTTAACCTCCACACAGGCCCACAACACACACATGGAGACATGGGAGTCAGAGCACACTTCACCAACATGCCGACTCCTCATGGCAATTTGGTGACCAAAAATTTCAAATGCATGCTCACCACTGCCTGACCATGCTTGAAACCCTGTGCTATACTCCCCTTGGATGCAAAAAGCTATGGATAATAGAGGCCCTAAGGAATTCATTCGCAGATATGATATTTCGTGAAATGTCTACAAAGAGGCTGGGACTATACCATTCACAGCTGTTTCTCATCTGTGCTCATTGCTCTGATCATATAATTTGGTCCTTCTACAAAACCAGCAATTGAATAGGGAGGATTAGATTATTCTCTTACTGTGGTCTGTATGCCAAGAAAATTGGAATGGCAAGGAGAGGTTAGATTGCTAAAATAATGATTCTAAAGGACGGCGGTAAGACAAGTAGAAATTCACAGACCAATCAATTGAAGTCATATTGGGATACAAAAGTTAAAAAAAAATCTGTGCACTTTATTAGTCCATTTTCACACTGCTATGAAGAAATACCTAAGATTGGGTGATTTATGAAGGAAAGAGGTTTAATTGATTCACAGCTCAGCATTGCTGGGGAGGCCTCAGGAAACTTACAATCATGGTGGAAGACAAAGAAGAAGCAGGTGCTTTCTAGATACACAATCATGTCATCTGCAAACAGGAACAATTTGACTTCCTCTTTTCCTAATTGAATACCCTTTATTTCCTTCTCCTGCCTGATTGCCCTGGCCAGAACTTCCAACACTATATTGAATAGGAGTGGTGAGAGAGGGCATCCCTGTCTTGTGCCAGTTTTCAAAGGGAATGCTTCCAGTTTTTGCCCATTCAGTATGATATTGGCTGTGGGTTTGTCATAGATAGCTCTTATTATTTTGAGATACGTCCCATCAATACCTAATTTATTGAGAGTTTTTAGCATGAAACGTTGTTGAATTTTGTCAAAGGCCTTTTCTGCATCTATTGAGATAATCATGTGGTTTTTGTCATTGGTTCTGTTTATATGCTGGATTATGTTTATTGATTTGCGTATATTGAACCAGCCTTGCATCCCAGGGATGAAGCCCACTTGATCATGGTGGATAAGCTTTTTGATATGCTGCTGGATTCAGTTTGCCAGTATTTTATTGAGGATTTTTGCATCGATGTTCATCAGGGATATGAGTCTAAAATTCTCTTTTTTTTGTTGTGTCTCTGCCAGGCTTTGGTATCAGGATGATGGTGGTCTCATAAAATGAGTTAGGGAGGATTCCCTCTTTTTCTATTGATTGGAATAGTTTCAGAAGGAATGGTACCAGTTCCTCCTTGTACCTCTGGTAGAATTCGGCTGTGAATCCATCTGGTCCTGGACTTTTTTTGGTTGGTAAGCTATTAAATATTGCCTCAATTTCAGGGCCTGTTATTGGTCTATTCAGATATTCAACTTCTTCTTGGTTTAGTCTTGGGAAGGTGTATGTGTTGAGGAATTTATCCATTTCTTCTAGACTTTCTAGTTTATTTGTGTAGAGGTGTTTATAGTATTCTCTGATGGTAGTTTGTATTTCTGTGGGATCGGTGGTGATATCCCCTTTATCATTTTTTATTGCATCTATTTGATTCTTCTCTCTTTTCTTCTTTATTAGTCTTGTTAGCAGTCTATCAATTTTGTTGATCTTTTCAAAAAAACCAGCTCCTGGATTCACTGATTTTTTGAAGGGTTTTTTGTGTCTCTATCTCCTTCAGTTCTGCTCTGATCTTAGTTATTTCCTGCCTTTTGCTAGCTTTTGAATGTGTTTGCTCTCACTTCTCTAGTTCTTTTAATTGTGATGTTAGGGTGTCAATTTTAGATCTTTCCTGCTTTCTCTTGTGGGCATTTAGTGCTATAAATTTCCTGCTACACACTGCTTTGAATGTGTCCCAGAGGTTGTGGTATGTTGTGTCTTTGTTCTCATTGGTTTCAAAGAACATCTTTATTTCTGCCTTCATTTTGAAAACCCCATCGTCTCAGCCCAAAATCTCCTTAAGCTGATAGGCAACTTCAGCAAAGTCTCAGGATACAAAATCAATGTACAAAAATCACAAGCTTTCTTATACACCAACAACAGACAAACAGAGAGCCAAATCATGAGTGAACTCCCATTCACAATTGCTTCCAAGAGAATAAAATACCTAGGAATCCAACTTACAAGGGATGTGAAGGACCTCTTCAAGGAGAACTACAAACCACTGCTCAAGGAAATAAAAGAGGATACAAACAAATGGAAGAACATTCCATGCTCATGGGTAGGAAGAATCAATATCGTGAAAATGGCCATACTCCCCAAGGTGATTTACAGATTCAACGCCATCCCCATCAAGCTACCAATGACTTTCTTCACAGAATTGGAAAAAACTACTTTAAAGTTCATATGGAACCAAAAAAGAGCCCGCATCACCAAGTCAATCCTAAGCCAAAAGAACAAAGCTGGAGGCATCACGCTACCTGACTTCAAACTATACTACAAGGCTACAGTAACCAAAACAGCATGGTACTGGTACCAAAACAGAGATATAGACCAATGGAACAGAACAGAGCCCTCAGAAATAATGCCACATATCTACAACTATCTGATCTTTGACAAACCTGACAAAAACAAGCAATGGGGAAAGGATTCCCTATTTAATAAATGGTGCTAGGAAAACTGGCTAGCCATATGTAGAAAGCTGAAACTGGATCCCTTCCTTACACCTTATACAAAAATTAATTCAAGATGGATTAAAGACTTAAATGTTAGACCTAAAACCATAAAAACCCTAGAAGAAAACCTAGGCAATACCATTCAGGACATAGGCATGGGCAAGGACTTCATGTCTAAAACACCAAAAGCAATGGCAACAGAAGCCAAAATTGAGAAATGGGATCTAATTAAACTAAAGAGCTTCTGCACAGCCAAAGAAACTACCATCAGAGTGAACAGGCAACCTACAGAATGGGAGGAAATTTTCGCAATCTACTCACCTGACAAAGGGCTAATATTCAGAATCCACAATGAACTCAAACAAATTTACAAGAAAAAAAACAACCCCATCAAAAAGTGGGCAAAGGATATGAACAGACGCTTCTCAAAAGAAGATATTTATGCAGCCAAAAGACACATGAAGAAATGCTCATCATCACTGGCCATCAGAGAAATGCAAATCAAAACCACAATGAAATACCATCTCACACCAGTTAGGATGGCAATCATTCAAAAGTCAGGAAACAACAGGCGCTGGAGAGGATGTGGAGAAATAGGAACACTTTTACACTGTTGGTGGGACTGTAAACTAGTTCAACCATTGTGGAAGACAGTGTGGCGATTCCTCAGGGATCTAGAACTAGAAATACCATTTGACCCTGCCATCCCATTACTGGGTATATACCCAAAGGATTATAAATCATGCTGCTATAAAGGCACATACACACGTATGTTTATTGCAGCACTATTCACAATAGCAAAGACTTGGAACCAACCCAAATGTCCAACAATGATAGACTGGATGAAGAAAATGTGGCACATATACACCATGGAATACTATGCAGCCATAAAAAATGCTGAGTTCGTGTCCTTTGTCGGGACATGGATGAAGCTGGAAACCATCATTCTCAGCAAACTATCACAAGGACAAAAAACCAAACACTGCATGTTCTCACTCATAGGTGGGAATTGAACAATGAGAACACATGGACACAGGAAGGGGAACATCACACACTGGGGCCTGTTGTGGGGTGAAGGGAGGGGGGAGGGATAGCATTAGGAGATATACCTAATGTTAAATGACGAGTTAATGGGTGCAGCACACCAACATGGCACATGTATACATATGTAACAAACCTGCACGTAGTGCACATGTACCCTAGAACTTAAAGTATAATAAAAAGATAAAACCAAAAAAAAAGAAGCAGGCGCTGTCTTCACAGGGTGGCAGGATGGAGTGAGTGCAAGCAGGGGAAATGCCAAATGCTTATGAAACGATCAGATCTCGTGAGACTCACTTACTATCATGAGAAATGCATGAAGAAAACCGCCCCCCATGATCCAGTTACCTCCACTTGGTCCTGCCCTTGACACATGGGGGTTATCATTCAAGGTAAGATTTGGGTGAGGACATGGAACCAAACTGTATCATGCACATTTAGACATTTAAAAAAAATCCTAACTTTCATCACCAAATAGCTTGGATACTAACTATAACTGGTTATTGGACTAGTTTTTTTCAAATTTCTTCCAAATGTGTAGTAAGATCTAGAAATATCCCCAAAAGGCTATTTGCTGTACTTTCCTACAGGTGTGTGAAAACATCAATTTCCATGTCTTGGAAATAACTGAGGAGTGTATGGGTTAGTTTAGAAATGTTGGTCACTTCTAAAAGTGGCGAAATACATGCCACTTGAGGTTTGGTGTTATACCAGATGATGAAACTCTCCTGAAAGTAGTATATTGTTTGATGGCACAAAACTTACTTAAGATTTATATGGTAATTTTTTTCATCATTAAAGGCCTTAATTATCATCAAATTGTAAAATAGATGTAAAAGGGAAAGAATATTAGGTTAATTTTGAAGCAATTCCTTCCCTCTTCTCCCCTACCACATGATATAGGAAGTTGCCCTCTGTACTGGTCTGTTTTCATGCTGCTGATAAAGACATACCTGAGACTGGGAAGAAAAAGAGGTTTAATTGGACTTACAGTTCCCCATGGCTGGGGAGGCCTCAGAATTATGGCAGGGGGTGAAAGGCACTTCTTACATGGCAGTGGCAAGAGAAAATGAGGAAGAAGCAAAAGTGGAAATCCCTGATAAACCCATCAGATCTCATAAGATTTATTCATTATCATAAGAATAGCACAGAAAAGACTGGACCTCATGATTCAATTACCTCCCCCTGGGTCCCTCCCACAACATGTGGGAATTCTGGGAGATACAATTCAAGCTGTGATTTGGGTTGGGACACAGCAAAACCATATCACTCTCTTCTATGGTCCCTTATCACATCTTATATATAATCCGTCCTTCATATCCATGGGTTTTGCATCCATGGATTCCACCAGCTGTGGCTAGAAAATACTCGGGGGAAATAAAAGTGTCTGCATTGAATTTGTGCAGACTTTTTTTTTGCTCTGTAATCCCTAACAATACAGTATAACAAATTTTTGTGTGTTAATAGCATTTACTTAGTATTAGGCATCGTAAGTAATCTAGACATGATTTAAATGATATGGGAGGTATGTGTGTATGCAATTACTACATTGTTTTATATAAGGGACTTGAGTATTTGCAGATTTTGGTCTCTGCAAGGGGATCCTGCATAGTGAGGGATGACTATATTTATGTTTCTCATGGTAGACATGGAGGAAAGAAGTTCCTCCCCTCACCCCATGCCAACCAATTATTTGTGCTTTCTAGTTGTTTGGATCTTAGATATATGGAATTTCCCACCTCTAGTTAGCCTGCTCTGGAATAAAGCCGAAGTTCCTTGCACTGCTGTTACTGCTGTTAGACCTTTCTCAGCAGACCTCAGATATGAGCCCTTTCCGGTAAAAAGCAAGTGGACTTTTATTTCAGATCACTTTTATATCTATCATCAGATCTCACCCCCAGAAATCCCAATGGGGTGAGGCAGCTCAAACAGTTATATTGATAGAGTGATGGAAGCACCAATACGTTGGATGTCCAGTTCAGGGCTGCCCAGGATTAGAGACTGCCCTGAGGTCCCTGACATATAAGTTAGATGCCTTCCATGGAATGGGTCTCCTATGAGCTGGGCTGGGAAAGTGAGCTCTAGAGAACTAGAAATTCCCCTGAAGTTGTGATGCAATGACTACAGATTACCTCTAATGCCAGAGGAATTCCAGCTTTTTGTAAAAGAGGCAATGAGCATGGGAAACATCGGGTGTTACTCACTTCCCTTTTTTCATGAGAAAGGAATCTTCTCTTTTGGAGCCCTTTTCCTCCATCAGGGCCTGGGATGGTGGGTTAAAGGTCACCAAGATGGGTACTGGAGCTGACTTTGTATTTATGTTTCTATGCAGAGTGATTTGTGTTACTAGCATCTGTGGACACATTCTGTCTCCTCAGTGCAACAATAGGTTCTTCTCTCCATTCCACACAACGAAGCTGGTCCAGGACAGATTCCAAAGTTAAAGATTTGTTTGCCAAATGAAGACAAAGTTCAGAAAATGCTTCAAGGTCTCTCCCTCTATCTCTTTGCTTTCTTTTGCCAAACTCTCCAGTTTACTCCCAAAGAGCACGGCAAATTCACTCATGGTTTGGATAGCAGTTGGGGCAGGTATACTGCTTTACGTTCTTCACATGCCAGAAAACAACATATCCATTTCCTCTCAAAGGTTAAGCCTTCTTGGCTAGGGGTAGGGAGTTGTTTACAGAAGACTGGGTCAGATCATGCTTTCTGTGCAGTTACCTAAGTGAAGGGGGAACAGACTAGAAATTAGCCATCTCGCAGTTTTACTGCCTAGGGGTGGAGAAAGGGAAGGCTGAATGTGGCTGCAATTTGACAGAACACACAAATACAGAGAAAGTTCTGGAAAGTTTTCTCACAGCTTTACCAGTACTTTTTCACTTGCCTGAGGTCATTTCCTCTTATCTTATAATCCATTGTTTTCTAAGAGAAATTTCATAAAAGAAAGCCTTTTTTAATAGCCCGACTGAAGCTCCCGTGATGAAAACAATAAAAATTCTCATTTGAAAGTGATTCTTTTTCCACTTCTAGGACAACCAGGGGAATAAAATCACACCATGTGCAGCAGCCCAGACCTTATGATTGTCAAGACCAAGTTAAATTTGAAGGTTTAGAGGCTCAAAAGCATCACAACGGTTTCTAACCCCAGAAGGGTTGCTTCAGTGGGATTCTTTTGAAGTAAAATCTACATCTAGTTACAGGGGACACTTTCTGCCATCCACCAAATATTGATATTTCCTTATAGCTTTCAGCATCTATTCCACTTTCTTCTTCCGTCTTCAGGTTCTGCTTCTTTCCTTCACTATTCTCTGCAGGTTCTAGATGGTCCATATTGTGCTACGTGTGATAGGTGATTATTTTTGGTGGTGGAAATGGGGAAAGACAAGAAGAAGACAGAAATTAAAATCTGGAGAGATAAATGAGTTTTAAAAAATAATCCTTAATATTCTATGACATGAAGGAAGAATATAATACTAAAAATGTGTTTTGAAGCCAACCTGTATTAGTTCGTTCTTGCACTGCTATAAAGAACTGCCAGAGACTGGGTAATTTATAAAGAAAGGGTGTTTAATTGATTCACAGTTCCACATGGCTGGGGAGGCCTCAGGGAACTTAGAATCATGGCAGAAGGGGAAGCAGTTACACCTTACATGCTGGCAGGTGAGACAGAGCGTGTAAGCCCAGGGGAAACTGCCATTTATAAAACCATCAGATCTCATAAGAATTCCCTCAGTATCATGAGAACAGCATGGGGAAACTGCTCCCATGGTCCAGTCACCTCCAACTAGGTCTCTCCCTCAACACCTGGGGATTACAATTCAAGTTGAGATTTGGGTAGGGACACAAAGCCTAACCATAGCACACCCCTCCTAGACAGAGAGTAGAGTCTTGCTTTTATTTTTCAGCTCTGTGCATATGGGAAGCAGACTGAATTCATAGGAATGTGGCAATCCTGTACTGTTCCCTGGCCAATCTTACTGCTACATTGAGCTCTTCATGTTTTAAAGAATCTCTTCATAAATTGGCAGCCATGGTTAGCTAAATGATTAAAAGGAGAAGAGAAATATTTAGCCTCCTGAGTCAGTTGGATATACGGTAGCAGACAAGTCAGGTGAAGTTTTCTTACAGAATGCATGCCATGCTGCATATGGGGAAGGAAATTTCCCAACATCCCAGAGGTCCTGCTCAGGACTCTTTTAGAGCTCTAATTCTTTCTTTCCTTGTTTGGCCTCACAGGTGCTCCATCGACTCTAACTTACCCTCCCAGTCTTATCTGTGATGAAAGGTTCCAGGTATTTCCCCTTTTACAAGGAATAACTTGTCATTTCCAAAAGATATTCTGTGTTCTCTTGCCTCAGTGTCTCTGCCCACCATTGGGAATGCTATTCCTCACCATCCTCCTTTCCTGGTCAAATTCAGATCCACTGTTCAATGGAAATGTTATCTTCAACTTGTGAAGCAGTCTGCAACCCTTCCAGATGGACATACCCTTTGCTCGTTGGTGACCCCAAGCCTTCCATGAACGTTGCTCTTTTGGTTTGTTAGGCTAAGGCTGGGAATGTGCATGACTGGCTCCGCAGGTGGTTTCCTGAGAGCAGCTTCCATAGTAGCCTTACTCATCACTGTGTCTTCCAGTCTTCCTAGCACAGGGCCGTCTTGCTGCACACACTCCATGTATGTTTATTAAATTCACTGGAATGTGATAACATTGTTAATGATCACGTAGGAGTGTAAGAACAACATAATACAGAAATATGCTAAAAGGAAAAGAGGAAGCCTAAACACTGAGGTTCTTGGAAGACTCACGGGATGTGCCAAGTGCCTCTACTGAGAGACAAATAGAAAGGAGAAAATGATGAGCTTTTGAAAAAAATCTAGTGTGTTTTTTCTGTCTTTCCAATGGGCTTGAAAATTGTTTTCTGTAGAGGAATCATCGGCTGGACTATCTGGATGAAAAGAATCCCCACCTCCATGATAACAGGATGTCCCATAGTGCCCACAAAAGGTGCAAGCACCCAGGTACCTGCTGGTGACAGTTGGATCGCCCATCATAGTAAGGACTTGAGAGGCCACCTTTGGTAGATTTCTTATTGAAAGGAAACTGCAGCATGAATGGAAGCACGAGGCAGCACACTCCCAGGCTTTTCAAGTACAGGAGTTAAATAAATAATTTTACAGACTGAGACAGGTCAACAATTTTCTGGAACTGATTATTTACTATAGATAAATATTTATAGAGCCACAAAAAGCACTGGGGTAACAACAGTGAAAAAGACAGACAGCGTTTCTTTCCCTGTCCTCCCTGGAACTCTGCTGGCTACCCTTGCCGTTTTTCTGTTAATCAAACTTCCTATTATAAATCTGTGGTAAGAGAATTGTGTCTCAGATATTCCCAGAAGTGTCAGGGAAGAAAATATGCCACCACCAACCAGCAGACAAAAAAATTAACCACCTGGGAAAATTAATAGAATTGTGCTTAAATGAAGGTGTTACATAAAACAAACAAACAAAACTATGAGTTCTGCCCCATTCTCAGAAAATTAGGTCTATATTTTTACATCTTTCTGAGTGCACCTGGGGGTGGAAGCGAGTAGGTTCCACCTCCAAGGCCGAGTGGCTTCAAAGGTCTCCTGCTGAGGGGGTTGGGTGGCACATCCATGCTTTAATTCAGAGTATTCTCTGTCCCAAGCTCTCTGAGAAAGATGAGCCATCACTGTTTCCCACACTCTGATTTATTCCTTCACCTACAGAGACCTAGCTCAGTACCTTGCATATAGCAAATGCTCAATAAATATTGACCATATTCATGATTAAGTGACAGCCATTTAATTGAGAAGCGGAAATGTGACATTTATAGATGTCCACATTTGTTGGGCACGGTTATAGGTGATACAGCCTCAGGAAAGAAGCCGTAGGTCTTCAGCAACCTAACACTTTGGGAAAAGAGAAATTTCTGATCTATATTTTAGAATTTATATTTTAGAGTCCTGTTGCTCAAAGTGGGCCAACTATAGGATATCACTGTGTGATCAAAAATCAGAGGAGGTAGGGAAAGGACTTATATTGAAATGCACATGGATATAATGTAGTGTAAAATGCAAAATTCACAAGAAAATAAAACCTGACACTTCAGAGAAATTTTGCCTGCCTGTAGACCCACAGCTTTTGCAAAATGCTTTTTAAGGGGCATTTCCAGGAAATTATTGAGCAATGTCTACTTCAGGCACAAAATTCATGCTGCTGGGGCAGCTCACAACTTGTTTTCTAGACTCATGGTTTGTTTTTGTGGGGGGAGGGGAAAGAAAATCTCCCTTTCCCCAGATCACGTGAAATCTTCCAAGGTTTCTAAAGTTTCCATCTTCAGTCTCTCTCATGCCAGCCCAATCAATACACATAGTGATAAATACAGACTTTTGAAGTTATTATCTGGGTATTTCAGACCACAACCTCACCTATCTAAATAATTCTGGCAAAGTTGTGTGTTCTCATGCAAGAGCAAGATAAATCCTTGAGTTGCCATTTCATATGTGTCTGCAGATACTGACTCCAGGTTTCCAGAAGCCTAGGGAGGGTGGAGCGGGGTGGAGGGAGAGGAGGGTAATGTCTTACACAAAAGTAGTGAAATGCTTCTGTGAGCAGCGAGTTCAGGTTTACAAGAGTATCATTTCAAAGGGAAAGCCAGGATGCAAAGTGCATAATTTTGCAACTGGTTCTCTTCAGCCTCCAGCATTATAGTTGCCTAGATGAGAATTCTTGTCTTCTTAAAATGCATTCTCTGCCTTCAAGTTAGATGATGTGTTTTATAGAAGAGAAACAAAAAAGAAAATATCCATTTCTTTGTATTTAGCAAGGTTTCCTGGGTGGTATCTTTATGCTTCTCATCTTTCCACATCAGACCCCCCAATCTTTCCCCTCTTTGATCTCACCTACCACCATGATTGGGTTAGTTCAACATATATTTTCAGTTACTAAAGTGTTTTAGATACTGTATCAGGCAGGATGGATTCAAAGATGAATGAAGCAACCCCTGTCCACTAGCAGCTATGTTCTCAAATGATTTCAACATAGTAGGTAAGTGCTAAGATAGAGGTAGGAACCTGGAGGGGTTTCCAGAACACAGCTACAAGCATCTGTCAAAAGATGGTGCTGTTATAATGATTTCTCATACATTTTTCTTTTCTCCTATGTTGCCTTCAAATTCCTTGAAGACAGGATCCGTGTACTTGCTACTTCCCTATTTCTCTCCTAGATGATGTTCTCAATAAATGTTAATTGAAATGGTTCTAGATCCATGGTTTACAATGCTGTCACTTTAATATTGGTCTTTTGTGAAGTTCTTACAATTTAGACTCTGACAACACTAGGAGAAAGAGAGACCCCCAAATTCAGGTTGGTTGGCAAATTCATTATCTGGCATTAATATTGTACCTCTCTGAAAGACCAAGGACATGTACTTGCTTCAGTAGTAAGAAGAGCTCCGTGGGGGGCTTAATTTGGAAATACTGTTGACTGTTCATGACTACGACGTTGCTCAAGTTGGGAAAAGCATGTGTGGTGTTCAATGTGATCTTAACATTGTAGTCGATCAGAAAGGGGGCACAAGCACGATAGTTGCTGTTTAATGATGTATGAAAAAGCTTGGTAAAGTGCAGCATTAACAAAAGCTGAATCAGGTGCAGAACCAAGACCTGATAAAATATTGAGACCTTTGTGGCCAAGGCCACATCTCCCAACTTGGAAAGTGATGAGCATCAAGTGCCATCACAGAGTACAGAAACTACGGTAGATCCATGGAGTCAGAGCAATGGACAGGAATGCTGCCTTTGGAAAAGGGAGTGACTGATGAGACAAATAAGGCTTTCACCTGGATATATTCATAAAGCCTCTTACTGTTCAGTCTATGTGTGGTTTATTTTTAAATCTTCTGTTTTGTCAATCTACTGAAGCAAACCTACAAACTTAGAAAACAAACAAAGACTCTAGTCAACAAAAGTAATCTGTATTAGTTAGAGTTGCAGATGATAAGTAAGTCTTGGATCCTTTAAAGAAATGTCAACAGCAAAACTCCTATTACTATTATTGTTCTGCTTTTACAAATGCAAACTAGTAGTGGCAATATCTTTGGTTTAAAATGCTTAGTGTAATATGAGACACCCAACTTATCTGTATTGTTCTAATAGGTGGCTTATAATAAGCTGTGGGTTTAGAAAGGACAATGGATTTTATGTCCTCCCAGGAAGATTTTATTGAACTAAAGAAAAACTGTTAGAAAATAATGGAAGTCTGTATCTCCTTGCTTATTAGAAGGAGTTTCAAGGCCTATTTCTTCATAATTTCTATCTAATCAATCATGTTTCTTGTCTTGGTGAATTATGGTCTCATGGATTGACATTTATGAGTATTTCTTGATAAGGCTAGAGGGTAAAGTCCAAGACATAATATTATCCAGATCTTACATGAACATCTCTTCAACTTGTTCTGTTGCTTTGTGAAGATGCCAAATTCAGTGAGGGACATGAATCCTATCCCTGAAACGCTTAAAGCAGGATTGGTGAAACAAGACATAACTATACTTAGAACACTGTTTAGAGAGATAGGGCAAGAAAGTAAAGGTTTTATTCTTTTTTCTTTTTCCAAATGAATTATACTGACAAGAAATATACTAGTTTGGAAGGAAGGAGAGCTAACTTTATGTTATTCAGGAAAGTTGGTGGATGTGAAATTGGCAGTGGCTCTGAAGGAGCCAGCTTTTGAAGGCAGAGAAGGAAACAGAAGGACCTATTACATGGAGATGAACCCCAGCAAATGAGCAGGGCAAGAGTGTCCAGATAGGCTGGGGCAATGGGAATAATACCTAAACTAGAGTAGCTGGAGTAGATGATATGCAGGTGTTGTAGGACTGTTTGTGACAGAGGCATGAGGTAAGGTAGATAGCGATCACTTTTCATGTCAGCCTAAGGAGTTAGCATTTTATCCAACATCCAAGGTATTATCCATTGCTAAAGTATTTCAAGATTGCCTTGGTCAATAATAACAGAATGTTTAAAAAATCTTTACCCCCAAAATTGAATGTTGGCTCCTATTTCAAATATTTCTCCATAAGGCAAATGGAACATTTGAATGTTTATACTTTTTGTCACTGTTTATACCAAGTGCATTTTTATTTATTTTATGTGGTTGATCTTTAAAGTAGTGCTGGGGTATATTGTCTAGTCCAATCTGTTGGCAGAGATGGAAAAATATCTGAATGCTTTTGTGACATGAAAATTTATTTGGGGACTTAAATAGAAATCTCAAGAGGAAAGCGCATAGGATATTATTGATTTTATTTTTATTTTCTATTACAACCGAGCATTAAGGAGGAATCAGTTAAAGCAAGAACTCTGATCATAAATTATTCTATGGAAGAGCCATTGTTAAAGTTCTGGCAGAGCTGAAAGGCTCCCAAATAGAGTATGCTTTGTGCATGAGACTCATAAATACAATGAACCAAATCCTCATCTTATTTTACTCTTCATTTATCCGCATGATGGTGTTTACTTTAGGTAAAGGGATATTTTATTTTACTATTAATATCTGAATTGAGCCAAATTGTTGGGGCATGGTATGTTTGAAAGTAGCTGATGGACATCAACAAATGTAGAGCATTAGTTAATCAAAGGGCTTGAGTTATTTCATCGTTAAAATTAATTGGAAGTTTTTCATCCTTGCCCCATGCATAAGGGAGCAAGGCATCTATGGTTGCATGGGCAACACTTGAAAGAAAGTCGTAAGGGCTATACATATGGCAAATAGTAGACAGATTCATCATGCCCAGGTTTTGCTGGTATTTGCCACCCAGGTCAGCATTTTGCATCTACCTGGATCTAAAGTATTTGACACTGGCTCACCGTGCAATAGTTATTTCAGAATTAAGATTGTTTACGTGTTTCCCTTGGATGCCAATGGAAGCTAAAAACAGTGGCTCATTTGTAGACTTGAAAATCCCCAACCGTAAACCTGACAGCCATATTCTTCTTATTCCACTTTTCTTGCTAGCTTCTCTTCTCTCTCCCCTCTCCTCCACCTCCCTTCCTCTCACCTCTTTACATCCCATTGTTTTCTCTAGTCATCCATATCTCGTCCCTATTGTATACTCCACCTGAGAAAAGAGAGGAAGTGAGCTGAAGCCTATTTTTTTTCCACTTTGGGGGTCAATTTTTAACCTTTTGGTGTATAGCTGCTGAAAGGGAAGGTTGTAACTTGTTCTCTACCTGTAGAAACTCTTGCATGAGGCAATTTTCACATTCCTAAGGTGGCCGCCTAATATTTTCTTGCCTCCTGATTCCATCTGAATCCATGGAAATTATAAGTCCATATATTACTTGGACTTAAAGAAGGAGTGTTTGACCTCTACTGTCTTCGATAAAATATTTAGGCACCTAAATGCCTAAGCTACATTTGGATGCAGCCAACATGACTATAAACTCCTCAAGTTTCACTGAGTCCTGTTTCCAGTGTTTTTACATCTTCTGCCAATCTTTGGGAGGATGCATTTTATAGCCTCCAGGTCAGCATGCATATTGCAGTGTTCCCTGGTTTCCAAATTGGCACAGGGAAAGTGAGAAAGCATTCAGTAACAACCTGCAAAACCTCTCCTAGCAATGTTTCTCCTTAACCTAGTGGTCCCACATTTTTTTTTTTTTTTTTTTTTTTTTTTTTGAGATGGAGTCTTGCTCTGTCGCCCAGGCTGGAGTGCAGTGGCGCGATCTCGGCTCACTGCAAGCTCCTGCTCCCGGGTTGACGCCATTCTCCTGCCTCAGCCTCCCGAGTAGCTGGGACTACAGGCGCCCGCCTGTACTAATTTTTTGTACGCCCGGCTAATTTTTTGTACTTTTAGTAGAGACAGGGTTTCACCGTGTTAGCCAGGATGGTCTCAATCTCCTGACCTCGTGATCCACCCGCCTCGGCCTCCCAAAGTGCTGAGATTATAGGCGTGAGCCACCGCGCCTGGCTGGTCCCACATGTTTTAAACCCAGATTTTAAAGTGCTGATAAGGGTGGCTTGAGATCCACAGATGGTTCTCCAAACATGAGATCATTACACTTATAACTCTCTACCTCTTATTCCCATGTCATTTTGCACAGCACTTTTGTAGACAGTACACACAGACGGAGTTTTGAGAGGGTTCTTTGCTCCAGTGCATGAGACCTCATCTCCTGTCTCAGCCTCCAGAAGCCCCAGGACACATGTCCTTTGAGGATAATTCTGGCTCTTTCCAAGCCATAGTCTACACAGTCTTCTTTTCAGAAATTCCTTTTATCAATGAAATTAAATGTACTTGAGCGGCCTGGGTAACACAGTGAGATTTTGTCTCTACAAAAAAAAATAAAATAGAAGTTAGCTGGGCATAGATAGAAGTGCATACCTGTAGTCCTAATTACTTGGGTGGCTAAGGATTGCTTGAACCCAGGAGTTTCAGGCTGCAGTGAGCTATGATCATGTCACTGCACTCCAGCCTGGGTAAAAGAGCGAGAATCTATCTAAAACAAACAAACAAAAAAAACCATGAAGGACATGAGTTTTTGTTCCTCCTCAGTTCAATTTTAAACACATATTTTGAAACATGTTCTATATGCTTTATTATAAGTTTGCTTACATGAAAAAAGACAAGTTTGGATCCTGTTTTTATGACTGAGGGCTCTATTAGGAAGGTGCAAAAATTGTATTTGTATTTTACTTTCATAAAAAGAAAAATGGCAGGCCCTGGGCTAAGTGCTTTATTTATATTATTTCATTTATTTAACCCCCCTCCAATAACTTTATGGGTATCGTATTCTTTGTTTTTTCACATTATGAAAGAGGAAACAAAAACCCAAGAAAGTTTAAGTGAGTTGTTCAAGGTCACACAGCTCATATTGGGAGGAGCAGAGTCCCAATCCTGCAGTTCTGATACACAAATGAGTAAATAAAAAAGAAAGTCATTCCCTTTCTTCTGTACCATGGCAGCCTCCCTAATGCATAATTTGCTTTTTTACTCTTGTGTTTTAGATGTCTTAATCTCTGGATTGGATGCTTTCTCCTTTTTCTTTCTAAAGAAAAAAACGAAAAAAAAAAGCATCTCTACTTTCTTGGCCTTCTACAAGCATGAAAAGCACTTAACTGCAGAGAGGGGGAATGTGGGATATTGGAAAGGTCAGAGGTGTTCACGAGGTCTCCTCTGTATTTTTACTCATGGACCTGGTAGGATGATGCAGTGCCCAGGCCTTCCTGAAAGCAAGAAGCTCTCTGGAGAGTTGTTCCCTTCCCATAAATAAAAGGTGCTGTGAAAATTCAGGGACACTGAACATTGGAGGAAGGGTTGGACAGAAGCTAGCAAAGATCCACAAAGCACCAGATCCCACAGCAGCCCCTCTTTCCGCCAGCACCCTGCCTGTCCTCTCCCCAGCCTTCTAGGTCTTTCACTGACGATTATCTCATTCTGTTTTCAAAAGAACGCTGAGTGATATAGTCCTGTTATCTCCATTTCATAGATGAGGAAACTTGGGTTTAGCCAGATAGCTAATTTTTCCATGGTTTTTGCAGTTACTAAGTAAAAGAGCTGGTTGGGAATGGGAGACCAACTGTGAGACCTGAGTGTCCTGTGGTGTGGGACTTTCGGTGCTAAACCTCTGACAGTCCCAGTACTCTGGGACCACTGATCATCCTAGAATGGAAACTGGTGGTGCCTAACTCCAACCCTTGTGCTTAACATCTTTATGGCACCATCCCATAAAATTTCCCCTTTAACTCAAAGTCACTGATAATATTCAATGTATGCAAAATAAGGACAAGCATCTGCCAGTTCTAGAAAGGTTCTTCGGTGATGGGTTTGTAACTCCTTTTTCTACCCTTCTGCAAATCCTTTTCCTTCCTTCTCTGCCCATCTCTTCTCCCCAAATAGCTGGTAGCCATAGGTGCCTTGAGCGTCTTATTCATTGGAGCTCCTGGGAGTGTTGGAATTTGTTAAGAGTTCTTGGTGGGGCGCAGTGGCTTACACCTGTCATCCCAACATTTTGGGAGGCGGGTGGATCATGAGGTCAGGAGATTGAGACTATCCTGGCCAACATGGTGAAATCACGTCTCAACTAAAATACAGAAAATTAGCTGGGCATGGTGGCATGCACCTGTAGTCCCAGCTACTTGGGAGGCTGAGGCAGGGGAATCACTTGAACCTGGGAGGCGGAGGTTGCAGTGAGCCAAAATTGCACCACTGCACTTCTGCCTAGTGACAGAGCAAGACTCCATCTCAAAAAAAAAAAAAAAAAAAAAGAGTTCTAGGGTGAAGAAGAGAAACCAAGCTGCCAGTAGGAATCATTTCTGTCTTAAGTTTCTGCTAAATTGCTTAAGAAATCTCAGAAGAAAGGAACCCCGATCCATAAACCTGCAGTAATGTGCTGTGATTCCTCTTTTGTAGTGCTAACTATATATTCTATTCCATACCTACATTTATACTCACAGTTTCACATGCCTTTTCTTAAAGAAGCACCCCAAAGTTGGCTAAGCTTCAGGTCCAACAAGCCCAGATCTGCTTATGGATTTGGATTTGACCCTTTGTGGTTCCACCCAGGTCTCTCTCCCTGTCCTGAACAGGGCCTCAAATTATCTCTAGCCATGCTACGTGTATTCTCTCAATAGAAACTTTTGAACAATCCTTCAATACCTGCATATTTATTTATTTATTTATTTATAAGTTATATACATAAGCTACATATGAAAATCTGCAAAAATTAAAATTTAAAAGATGAGATAAAGTTTTAAAAGATTTTAAAACTTCTAAGTATTGTTAAATAAATAGAAGTTTTAGTACTGTCTTCTCCATCCCACATGGACATTCTTTGGTGTGTGCAACCAGTTAGGAGACCATGTTAACCATTGTTTTTTGATCTGTGTTTTCTAGAACTGGGTATACAGTAACAATCCAGGGATTGTACAGACAAATATTAAATATTATGCCTTCTTGAGGCTGCAACTGTCCTTCCCTACCCTCAATTAAAAATTCTTTGAAGCAACCTTATTCATCTAATTGATAAACTTTATAATAAATAAATGTTACTAGATTGGGGTTTCACAATATATTTTTGAAAATAGGCTCTGCTATTAAAAATGTTTCAGATCCATTTCTCTATTTATGACATTATACTCACTAGCTACCACTACAGAAATACCTGATGGACTCGGCCATTCTAAGGAGCTAATGGCCAATAATTACTTATGTAGCATCCCTCCAGAGGTATATGAATTTTAGCCAACATTTTTTGAAGATTTTCGGGAGTAACTGCAGGAATCACTAGAATGATGGGATCAGTTAAGAGTATGTGGGAGAGAGTTTTTTGAGACAATGTCAAGATCTCACTTGGAGATGCTTCTGGGGCACCCAACTATTGGTGAATTGGGCCAGGTTAGCATACTTCTCCTCCAGGGTCATCTCTTCTCAGATATAGCGAGCTAAGCTCAAATCCTTGCTTTGTACAGGCAGGAGGAGGTGACTGCTGAATTGGAAAGTTGGACCTCTGCATAAATCTAAGAACTCAGGGTATATCTCCATCTCTACCACTTACAAACAATATGTCCTTGGACAAGTCACTTTCCGGACTTCACGCCCTACAGCAGGAATCTCAGATCTTTCTTTGAAGCATAGGGGCTGGACAATGTCATCTTGAGCTCCTCTGAAACACTAAGGTCTGTGCTTTTATTACTACAGTGTTGCTGTATGCTGGAGAAGTCTGTGGATAGGGTTGGTGCCCGAGTTATAACTCACTTTGTATATGCCCATGTGGGGTTTATGCCAGGTGGCTCCACCTTTACATTTGGGTTTAATCTCATAAACAATTTCCTTTTTATTCAATGAATCCCTGATGCACATGTGTCTCTGAATAAGAATTTTTAAAGCCTTTCCCATGGGCAAGTTCTAGTCTGCCTGCCTAGCCCTGAATTAAATGAATAATTAGCCGTACATAATGATCTGTATATTAATCCCTGAATCATAAGATTGAAAAACTCCTTGAGAGGCTTTGTATTTTCCTACGTGTGTTCTTGCTTTCACATATAAGATTCCCATTATTTAGTCTGTGCTCTCCGTAGCTTTGGCTGTAAACACCCTCCCAGCTTTCAAGGGCAGCACTTAACTGCCATCATCTCCACAAAACCTTCCTGCATTTACCTGATCAGAACCAACGTCCTGCTATGCATTGGACCTCTTGCAGGTTGCTCATCCCCTTATCCCTTGGGGTATCATTATTCTTGGACATTGCTGCTCCTCCTCTACTATCACATGCCTTTGCTTATTGACATTTATGCACCCTTGCTGTTATTAATGCCCTTCCTTTCTCTTTTACCTCCTCCTACTTCTTCCATGTAAACAGGCATCTAACACCCCTCTATTCCTTGAATCTGAACTTCTTCTTATGATCATTGTTAGGGACACAGTGAATGTGTAATTCTTGAAATGCATCAGGGTGTTGTATTTTTCCTTATAAATTGATAGTGCATTTTACTAAAGGCCCCTTTAGTGTCGTGCCTGTATAAAAAGATTCTCATTCTGCCAAATAACCTCTTCTGAATCACTGAGCACCCAAATACAAGCCATTCTTACCCTCAAACCGGGAAATCCAACCTCCTGTCCTGTATACAGGACATTTGACATGATGTGAGGTTGGAGTTTAACTTCCACTAAGTAGATATTTTGAAGATGAATAATAAAAGGGATTACTGAAATCACTGACGCAGCTTCATGGCACTGTCTAGAGAGGCCCGGAAGGAAAGCCTGAGGACTGCCAGCTACCTAAGATGATAATTAGCTTACAAAGCGCAGGCGTTGGAAGGACCTCCCTGCGGCCCTTCCTCTCCTGTGCTTACAGAAAGGGAAGCTTGAGGAATGCGTCTGGAGGCTGGTATAGGCATCATTCTTCTTCCGTAGAGCCTTCATGGATGATCAAGCTACCCTGATACAAAGATCCCTGGTTCTGTTTATTCATCCACTTCATGGACGGGGCAGCCAGCAGCAGAGGCTTGTGCCTGGTTATGAGCTGTAGTCAAAGCAGGTACTTAGTGTTTTAAATGAGCTCCACAGAAAGCAACAGAAGAGAATCATTTGATTCAAATCATGGCCCTTTGAAAATTTGCTTTATGTAATGGAATAGGCCTAATGTAGAATTGAAGCAGAAACTTTAGGGCCCAATGGAGACCCAGTTTAGTATCAGCTGTCGTTTATTGAGCACCTACTATGTGCTAGGACTGTGCTAGACTCTCCAATATACAACAATTCATCCGTAAAATGGAGGTTATAATGCCTATCCCCTAAGGGTTGCTGTAAGGATGAAGTGACTTATTTCACACAATATTTGGCACCTGGTTTGCCCTCATAAATAGCTTTGCCCTTGTCTCATCTTCATCAAAAGCTGGTGCAGTAACAGGCATCCAATCTAGGATGTCATTTGTCTCGTCAGCTTGGAAACTTAAGGTCTCATGCATGGAAAATAATAACAGTGCTACTAAATTCATAACATGTTACAATTTACATAGTGCATTTGCATGTGTCCTCTTTAATATTCAAATCCTACAATTGAAGTAAGAATTCATTTCTCCATTTTGGAGATAAGTATTTGGGATTGAGAGCCCTGCAATGATTTGTTCAAGGTCACACGATTAACCCAGGCCTGAAACCCATCAAAACTCCCTGGTGGAAGAGGCACTCACAAGAGAGCATGTTCTCTCATTGAAAACAGTGTTCTCAAGGTTATGACTGTAATGGCACCGCATTAGCCTCCTGCTCCTAATTTAAAATATCTTTCCCCTCACCCAGTGTGGTCCTGTAATCCTCCCACTAGGGTTACACACTTGAGTTAAGGTATTGAGTTTCCAAAAGGTCTTTGTAAACATAAAACTATTGTAAAATATACAACTATTTCCCTCAGGCTGGGTAACATCCTAGGCCAGTGCACCTCAAACTTTTCCAAATAATGCATTCACATATATGTGACTGTATTCAGTTCTTGTGGCCATTGTAACAAATTGCTACAAACTTTATGGCTTAAAAACAACCTAAATGTACTATATTACCGCTCTGGTGGCCAGAAATCCTAAGTCAGTATGACTGAGCTGGGATCAAGGTGTCAGCAGGGCTGTGTTCCCTCTGAGGCTACAAGGGGGAATCTGTTCCTCGCCTCTTCCAGCTTCAGTGGCTGAGCATTCCTGGGCTTGCGGCCCAATTTCTGCCTCTATCTTCAGCTTGCCTTCTCCTCTTTTGTGTCTGTGTGTCTATTTCAAATCTTCCTACAGCAGCTTTATAAGGATACATGTTGATTGTATTTAGGGTCTACCTAGATAACTCAGGAAAATCACCTCCTCCGAAGATCCTTAACTTAATTACATTTTTTGCCATATAAGGCAATATTCACTCCTTTGCTATATAAGGTGTTATTCACAGGTCTGGGAATTATAAAATGAATATATCCTTGAGGGCCACCATTCAGCCCACTCTAATGGCTTAAGGGAATGTCTCATTTGTAGAAGACTGTGATCATGGAAGCCAAAGCTTGGGCCATTCCCCAGAAGAGCAGTCCACTTTCTCAGTACCTAGGTCCTTAGTCTGAGGTTGGAACTTTCTCATGTCAAACAATCCTGTTTAATGCCTGGCACCTTAGGTATGAGTGGTAAATATTACAGATTCTAAGACGTTATCTCCTCTTGAATACCTCTATCTACCCACCAACCTTCCCCAGTCCCCCACTACTTCCAAAAGATATTTTCTACCCATTCGTCAAGGCCCAACTACAATCCTTAATCACAAGGCTACTCCTGAGCTCCAGGATGTAGTACAAATAATTCCTTCCACTTATGAATTTCAATAGTATTTCATGTGTCTCTTTTATGTAATTGTTTCATGACATACATCACTTTTTACCTTGCATCATCCTAACACATATACTTCATCTCTCTTCCTAAATTCTGAGTTCTCTGACACTGAATCCATCTCTTACCAGGGCCACCACAATAGTTTTCTAATCTATCACCATCTTTCACTTTTGCTTGCTTACAGTAAATTCTTCACACAGCAACCAGAGTGATCTCTTTATGATAAAAATCAGGTTACACTATTTCCCTACTTAAAAGATTTTGATGGCTTCCTGTCACTCTCAGAATAAAATCCAAACTCCTTGCTCTGGCCTGTAAGAACCTGCAAGAGTTGTAAACCCTCCCTCAACCAGCTGTATTAGTCCATTTTCAAGCTGCTGATAAAGACTTACCCCAGACTGGGTGATTTATAAAGAAAAAGAGGTTTAATGGACTCACAGTTCCATGTGGCTGAGGAGGCCTCACAATCATGGTGGAAGGTGAAAGCCACATCTTACATGGCAGCAGGCAAGAGAGAATGAGAGCCAAGTGAAAGGGGAAACCCCTTATAAAACCATCAGATCTCATGAGACTTATTCACAATCATGAGAACAGTATGGGCGAAACCACCCCATGATTCAATTATCTCCCACTGGGTTCCTACCACAACACATGGGAATTATGGGCACTACAATTCAAGATGAGATTTGGGTTGGGTGGGGTTACAGCCAAACTATATCATCAACCAACCCCACCTTCCACTACTTTCCCCTAGGACCCTGCCTTTTGGTAAATTCGAAGAAGCAGTATCCTAAGAGACCTTCTACAACACTGAAATCCCCTGGGTAGACTCTTACCAAATAGCACCACTTCCCCTTGGAACAGGCTTATGCAGCCTGTTCCAGAGCACACACCTCCCTTGGCAGGTGGAGCCCAAGCTGGATCCAGCCCCCAGCTGAGTCATTGCCACTAAGTGCCTCTCTGTAGGCCACAACCTGCATTTCCTAGTGTCAATAGATTCCTTTCCCTGATTCTAAAGATGAATATATGCAAGTAGAAAAGTTAAGCCATGTAATAAAGGGTAAAGGAGGAGGTAATAAGAGTGTTCATCACAGCATTATTTGTAATGATGAAAAACTGCACATGACCTACATAGTTATCAGTAGAGAAGTGATTGATTTATGTTAAATCCAGCTACAGAAAACTAAGCTGCTGTTATAAAGAATAAGGCACTGGTTGCCTAGGGCTGGAAAGTTGGGGGGAAATGGGAAGTGACTGCACATGAATGCAGGGTTTTCTTGGAGAGTGGTGATGAAAATGTTCTAAGACCAATTGTGAGGATTACACAACTTTTCATATACAAAAAACATTGAATCACACACTTTAAATGGGTGAATTTTATGCTACATGAATTATATCTCAATAAAGCTGTTAAAAAGAATATGATAGAATTACATGAACCAATAAAGATAATCATGCCATTACTTTTAAAATAAAAACAAGTTATAGAAGGAAAAATTTAAATATATATTTTCATTTTCAGAAAGCAAGGTAGATAAATATATGTACATGTGCACATACATTAATGCATATATACACGTGTGTGTGTGTGTGAAAGAGAGATAGAGACAGAGACAGAGACAGAAAGAGGAAGAAATAAAAGTGCTTTCCTGAATAATAAACTCTGGGCATTTGGAATGATGGAGGGGTTAAAAGGTGATGTTATTTTTTCATTCCTCATCAATTAAGAATAATTTTAGCTGCAAGTACTTACATACCATACAAATGGGAAACAAGGAGGAGTTAATTTTTCTCACAAGTAGACTTCTGCTTGCCTCAGTGTCAAGGCTTGATGCTATCAGGACTGGCATCTCCGGAATGCCTTTGGTTTTCCCTTATGCCTGTGAGATCAGTGATGGAGTGTTGGCTGCTGCTTCACTAGACAACAAACTGAAGAGCCTTCTTAGGTTCCTGTGGGCCCCCACACGTTTTCACTTTGCCTTACCACCAGAATTGTGTCACATGGTCACTCTAGTTGCAAGGAAAGCTGGGAAAGTGTTTTCCTTTTCCAATCTGAAGAGGGAAGGTACTGCGGGAAGAAAGGGTGAAAATAAATGCTGGGTCAGCCAAACAACAGTATTTACCCCAAAGCACCACGCAGTGGTAGCCATTGCAGTTTTTCAAGAAGATTTCTTTTTCTTTTTTTCTTTTTTTTTTTTTTTTGGTAGCTAAATAATAATAAAAAACTAAATCCTACCACCCAAAGTTAGGCACTGTTATTATTTTGATTATATTGTTATATTTCTCTCTCTTCCCTCCCTTTTTTGTTTTTATTTTTGTTGAAATAGGTTCTTGCTCTGTCTCCCAGGCTCAACCACAGTGTTATGATTATAGCACAGTGCAACCTCCACCTCCTGGGCTTAAGCAATCCTCCCATCTCTGTTTCCCAAGTAGCTGGGACCACAGGTGCACACAACCACACCCAGCTAAATTTCTTCATTTTTAACTTTTTTTCTGGAGACGGGTTCTCCCTATATTGCCCATGCTGGTCTCCAACTCCTGGACTCAAGAGATCCTCCCACCTCAGCCTCCCGAAGTGCTGGGATTACAGACATGAACCACCATGCCCAGCCTTTTCTCTCTCTCTTTCTGTACATACATAGTCATGCATTGCTTAACAACAGGGATACATTCTGAGAAATGTAGTTAGGCAGTTTTGTCATTGTGTAAATATCATGGAATATAGTTACACAAACCTAGATGGTATAGCCCGCTATACACTTAAGCTATATGGTACGACCTACTGCTTCTAGGCTACAAACCTGTAGGGCATGTTACTGTATGGAATACTGTAGCCAATTGTTACTATTGTAACACAATTGTAAATATTTGTTTATCTGAACATGTCTAAACAGAGAAAACTACAGTAAAAATATGGTATTATACAGTAAACTTACAGGACGACTGTCTTATATGTGGGCCTCCATTGACCATTATGCAGTACCTAACTGTATACATAGATGTTTATATATGCAGAGGTGCATATAGGCATGCCTTGGAGATATTGTGGGTTCAGTTCCAGACCTTCCCAATAAAGTGGATACCACAATCAAGTGAGTCATATGAAGTTCTTGGTGTCTCAGTGCATACAAAAGTTGTTTACCATAGACAATTAAGACAAGTATGTGACAGAATTGTCTAAAAATGGACATACTTAATTTAAAAATACTTTATTGCTAAAAAATGTTGATGATCTTCTGAGCCTTCAGCAAGTCATAATCTTTTTGCTGGTGAGAGGTCTTGCCTTGATGTTAATGGCTGCTGATTAATCAGTTTAGTGGTTTCTGAAGGTTGGGGTGGCTATGGCAGTTTCTTAAAATAATTCAACAATCAAGTCTGCCATATCTATGGACTCTTCCTTTCATGAAAGATTTCTCTGTACCATGCAATGTTGTTTGATCACATTTTAGTGCACATTAGAACTTCTTTCCAAATGGGGGATAATCCTCTCAAACACTGCTGCTCCTTTATCAACTAAGTTTATGAAATATCCTAAATCTTTTGTTGCCATTTCAACAATGATTACAGCGTCTTCACCAGTAGATTCCATCTCAAGAAACTGCTCTTTTTGGTCATCCATAAGAGACAACTCCTCACCTGTTAAAGTTTTATCATGAGATTGCAGCAATTCAGGGACATCTTCAGGCTCCACTTCTAATTCTAGTTCTCTTGCCATTTCTACCACATCTATAGTTACTTCCTCCACTGATGTCTCAAACTCCTCACAGTCATCCCTGGGGGTTGGAATCAACTTCTTCCAAATTCCTGTTAATGTGGATATTTTGACCTTTCATGAATCACTAATGTTCTTAATGACACCTAAAACAGTGAGTCCTTTCTAAAAGATTTTCAATTTACCTTGCTCAGATCGAGCAGAGGAATCACTATATATGGCAACTATAACCATGCAAAATATATTTCTCAAATAATAAGAGTTGAAAGTCAAAATTACTCCTGGATCCATAGGCTGCAGAATGGATGTTGTTAGCAGGCGTGAAAACAACGTTCATCTTCTTGTACAGCTCCATCAGAGCTCTTGGTTGACTAGCTGCATTGTCAATGAGCAGTACTATTTTGAAAGGAATTTTTTTTCCTGAGCAGTAGGTCTCAAGAGTGGGCTTAAAATATTTATTAAACTATGCTGTAAAAAGATGTGCAATCATCAAACTTGTTCCATTTATAGAGCAAAGGAAGAGTAGATTTAGCATAGTTCTTAAGAGCCCTGGAATTTTCAGAATGGTCAATAATCATTGGCTCCAACTGAAAGTCACTAGATGCAATAGTCCCTACCAAGGAAGTCAGTCTGTCCTTTGAAGCTTTGAAGCCAGGCATTCTAGCTTGAGAGTCCATGATGACATCCTCTCCCAATATGAGGCTGTTTTATCTGCATTGAGTATTTGTTGCTTAGTGTAGTCACTATCATCAATGATCTTAACTAGATCTTCTGGATAACTTGCTGCAGCTTCTCCATCAGCACTTGCTGCTTCATCTTGCACTTTTATGTTATGGACATGGCTTTTTTTTTTAAGCCTCCTGAAGAAACCTCTGCTTGCTTCAGACTTTTCTTCTGCAGCTTCTTCACCTCTCTCAGCCTTCATATAATTGAAAACAGTTAGGGTCTTGCTCTAGGTTAGGCTTTGGCTTAAGAGAATGTTGAGGCTGGTTTGATCTTCTACCCAAACCATTAAACTTTCTCCATATCAGCAATAAGTCTGTTTCTCCATCTTATCCTTTGTATGTTCACTGGAATAACACTTTTAATTTTCTGGAAAAACTTTTCCATTGCATTCACAACTCAGCTAACTGGCCCAAGAGGCCTTGCTTTCAGCCTGTCTTGGATTTCCACATGCCTTCCTCACTAAGCTTAATCATTTCTAGCTTTTGATTTCAAGTGAAGGCATGAGATTCTTCCTTTCACTGGAACACTCAGAGGCCATTGTAGGGTTATTAACTGGTCTAATTTCAATATTGCTATGTCTCAGGGTATAGGGACGCCCAAGGAGAAGGAGAAAGGAGGGAATGGCTGATCAATGGAGCAATCAGAACACACAGAACATTCATCAGATAAGTTTGCCGTCTTATATGAGCATTGTTCATGGCCCCCCAAAACAATTAAAATAGTAACATCAATGATTACAGATTACCAAAACATATATAATAATAATAACAAAGTTTGAAATATTATGAGAATTACCAAAATGTGACACAGAGACACAAAGTGAGCATTGCTGTTGCAAAAATGCTGCCAGCAGATGTGGTTGATGCAGGGTTGCTATGAAACTACAATTTGTAAAAGATGGAATATTTGTGAAGCACAATAAAGTGAGGCCCAATCAAAGTACACCTGTGTGTAACCTTATTTAAATAGAATCACACTCTGCTTCTTTTCTAATCTGCTGCTTTTCACTAAAAAAAAACAAACAAACTGACCCGTGTCAATGAATATGGATAACATCAGCCTTTTTTTTTTCTTTTTGATACAATGATTTTTATTTTATTTTATTATTATTACACTTTAAGTTTTAGGGTACATGTGCACAATGTGCAAGTTAGTTACATATGTATACATGTGCCATGCTGGTGTGCTGCACCCATTAACTCATCATTTAGCATTAGGTGTATCTCCTAATGCTATCCCTCCCCTCTCCCCCTACCTCACAACAGTCCCCAGAGTGTGATGGTCCCCTTCCTGTGTCCATGTGTTCTCATTGTTCAATTCCCACGTATGAGTGAGAATATGCAGTGTTTGGTTTTTTGTTCTTGCGATAGTTTACTGAGAATGATGATTTCCGATTTCATCCATGTCCCTACAAAGGACATGAACTCATCATTTATTATGGCTGCATAGTATTCCATGGTGTATATGTGCCACATTTTCTTAATCCAGTCTATCATTGTTGGACATTTGGGTTGGTTCCAAGTCTTTGCTATTGTGAATAGTGCCGCAATAAACATACGTGTGCATGTGTCTTTATAGCAGCATGATTTAAAGTCCTTTGGGTATATACCCAATAATGGGATGACTGGGTCAAATGGTATTTCTAGTTCTAGATCCCTGAGGAATCGCCACACTGACTTCCACAATGGTTGAACTAGTTTACAGTCCCACCAACAGTGTAAAAGTGTTCCTATTTCTCCACATCCTCTCCAGCGCCTGTTGTTTCCTGACTTTTTAATGATTGCCATTCTAACTGGTGTGAGATGGTGTCTCATTGTGGTTTTGATTAGCATTTCTCTGATGGCCAGTGATGGTGAGCATTTTTTCATGTGTTTTTTGTCTGCATAAATGTCTTCTTTTGAGAAGTGTCTGTTCATGTCCTTCGCCCACTTTTTGATGGGGTTGTTTGTTTTTTTCTCGTAAATTTGTTTGAGTTCATTGTAGATTCTGGATATTAGCCCTTTGTCAGATGAGTAGGTTGTGAAAATTTTCTCCCATTTTGTAGGTTGAACATCAGCCTTTTAATCACTGCATTTCTATTTCATCATTTTAATTTAAGCAATTCTCTATTTGTAGACATTCATATTGTTTCCAATTTTTCATTAACTTAAACAATACTGCAGTGAACATCTTTATTTTGGCACTATAATAAAATAGCGTATGTCTCTTTGGATACCCTCACATTGCTAGTCAAACACAGGAAAAAAAATTGACATGAGAGGTGCTTACAGTGATCAAAATAATAAATAAAATCAGGATTTCTCTTGTTTTTTTCCCATGAATATTTTTTCTCTTTCTCAAAACAACAAAGAACATCTAAATAAAAATATCTCAAAAGGATTCCCTTTAAATAAAGGAAAAGCTGAAACCATGAATTCAAAAGAGATTCTAGAGCAAAGAAGCTCTCCTTCCTGATACTCGTTTCCTGGATTTAAAAATAAAAGTCCATTTCTTTAGTTGTTTTAAAAGGGAGAACTGCTATGATATTTGTACTGAAAAGGAAAGATTACATTAAGGGCTGACACAAATTGACAAAAGCCAGAAGATTCAAACTGAACACTATCCCTCTATCCCTAACTCAAGCATTTTAAAGCAAAAAATAATTTTAACAAAAGGACTGTGCTCCATTAAAAGATTTAGTGGTGACTCAGTAGGACAGCTAAAAACACATCTAGCATTACATGCTTCCATGATAGGTACTGAAAACATTTTAAAGAATAGATTAAAAGAGCATAATGGGAGAGACTTCGCTGAATTAATGACTGGGAAGAATATGATTCTGGTAAATCTGACACATACAACAGTCCAGCATCTGCAAACGCAGATGAGAGGAAGACATAAAACAACCTTGTAAGAAACCTGCACAAAAGTGTCTGCATTTTACTGTCCATAAATATCTGGTAGTTGGGGTGAGGTAGGAGCCGATAGACTGTAAATAATCTGTGTGCGTGCTTATACTAATTACTGTTAAGGACAACACAACCCATTTATTCTCCAAGTGAGCCATTCTGAATAATCATTCATATTTGGATTTGCTCTCATCCAATGTCTAGTCTTTGCCAGTGCCTTCTATATCTAGATCATTTGTAAGGGACCTATTCCACCTTACCGTGCTTTTCCTCTTCAAAATCTTTACCACCTTCCATTGCTTCCCTCCTCCACTCATACCAAACCCCCTACCTGCTCCCAGAGCTTAAAACCACAAGTTCTTTTCTGGAATCCTCTCAAGACAACAGAGCTAAAAGAGTTAGTGGAAGAGCCCTCTACTCAGACATGATGAGACCACTTGTTAATCAGTTAATCCAAAGTTTGTTCAAGTGGGGAATGATTTAAAATGATATTACACTTAAACATTTATTTTAATGCACGTCCATTTTGCAGCTGTTGATGCAGGGGTGAGGGTCCTTCCTCCTGTCTGGGTCCTCTGGAATTCCACAGCATCTTTCTTATATAAACCATATCCATAATATATTTCTACAATTTCCAGTTTGGAAATTTCTCTGAAAAAAATATGATACTTGCAAAGCACTTTGACTGCCAAAAGAATGTCCACATTGTTTTGCAGCTTTTTCCAATTGTTCACAGTTGTCTGGCCCACCCCATTTCAACAGCCTACTTTTTTTTTTTTTTTTTAACAATCCTACTTTAAACAAAAATCAACTATATTAAGTCTTTCAATGTGCTTGGCTAAATTTTCATAGATTCATGAAAATACATTCATAGCTTCATATTTTATTAAATGACATAATTATAATAAAAAGTACAATGATGGCCAGGTGCAGTGGCTCATGCCTGTAATTCCAGCACTTTGGGAGGCCAAGGCGGGTGGATCACGAGGTCAGGAGTTTGAGACCAGCTTGGCCAATATGGTGATACCCCGTCTCTACTAAAAATACAAAAATTAGCCCATTGTGGTGGTACACACCTGTAGTCCCAGCTACTCGGGAGGCTGAGGCAGAAGAATCACTTGAACCCAGGAGGCAGAGGTTGCAGGGAGCCGAGATCACGCCACTGCACTTCAGCTTGGGCAACAGTGCGAGACTCCATCTCGAAAAAAAAAAAAAAGTACAATGACTTAAGGAGGTTTAGGGACAAACTGTAGATACCATTGGTCCTCAATGAGAAGACACTAGCATTCATCCTGTGGAGGGTTTTATGCAGTGAACAGAGAGCATTTGCTAATCAGGTGGGTCTGATCTGGCAAAGCAGTTAAGTGGGGGCCGTTTAAGAAAGTGTTTGCGGTAGATCTATCAAGTTAAAAATTTTGGAGCCTGTACAATTTCTGATGATTGGCAGAGAAACCCAGGATATAGCTTATCGCCACAAACTCAGTGTGTGACCACAGATAGCAGTGATATTCGAAAGTATCCAAAAACATCAACCAGGCTGGGCACTGTCCAATTAGAACACATGCTGCCCATTAACCACCTGTAAAGATATACTGTGTGTTCTAGTTGAATATCAGCTCTGATGTGGAAAAGCTGACATTCGCGACCTTATTCACTTGCAAATGAAAATACAAGAGCGGTTGGTCAAGCAATACTCTAAGTTCCTTCTAACTCTGACATTCCTTATTGAGCTATGTACACCCCTAATTAATTTCCTTCCATGGGATTAATCATTTTTCTGATTCAATTGTTTGTTCTTTTTCTGGATGGGGGTCATCTCGGAATTGTCGTTGAGACATAGATTCTTGTGGGCAATAACAAGAAGACAAAGCAAGGGAGGCATGACAAGGTATACATTAAATGTAAATGTATAGTGTATATTTTCTATATGCCACGGTATCAAACAGATCTGCTTGCACATACTCATAACCACATACTCACATCCTCCCACCTGATTCTCTAGGGGTCTGTGTTCTGCATGTTTTATTTTGTTTTTTAACCTGGGGATGATGCTAATTTTCATGGCTTGCTTCGTTTA
This sequence comes from Homo sapiens, assembly GCF_000001405.40. Taxonomy (NCBI): domain Eukaryota; kingdom Metazoa; phylum Chordata; class Mammalia; order Primates; family Hominidae; genus Homo; species Homo sapiens. The sequence continues at coordinate 67,478,098 of NC_000002.12, read as the reverse complement.
CACAGATTGGAGCATGTTTTCCACATACAGCTTCTTGTTTGCCAACAAGCCCAGCTGTTGGGGGGCATAGAAGATCACCCAATTATAGAAAACAGTCTTGAATACCTTTTCATGTTTCCCTCGCCTACCCTGGAGGCTCTTTTCCAACAACTACAATTTTAAGGGCCTTTTTCATTTACAGGAAACATTTACTTCTTTATTACTTTTGTTTGTTTGTTTCCAACTCATCCTAAAAGAGTTTACCATAGCGTAGGTAGGGGACCCTTTTCAGTTCTCCTCTAACAGCCCACAGGGAAAGCAAAACCAGGAGAAACCAAGGCCATGTGACCAGATGAGAGCAGGCTTTTATTTTGAACTCCCTAAAAAGGGAAACAGGACCCAACAGATTTGAACATTTGCTTGGAAAAAAAAAAAGAAAAGAAAAAAATCTCCAAACTACTTTACGGTGTTAGCCCAGGCTCCTGTATGCCAAGTCCCAGCCCATAATAAATTTTATTGCAATGTTATAAACTCCTGAAAAGAGGAACTTGGAATGAAAGTGCTGACACAAGCTGCCAGAGCCAGGCCACTTCATTCTTGTGGACTCTGTCCTGACATCAGCACACGTCTAAGGCAAAACCCCCAAAACTGAAAAAAAATGTTTTGCCCGACGGATTCTTTGATTCTCTCTTAATTTTAGTTAAAAAGAACGGGGGAGGGGACCTCATCAATGAGAAACGAGCACTCTTGCAAACAATACATGACTGCATGTGGATGCTCCTGGCTTATAGCTCAAAGAGTTATTCAGCTGAAGTTAAATTCATTTTGCAAATGAAGCCAACCTTTTTTGAGGGGTGGGGGGGGGGTGATTATTCATTTAAATGACAGCTTTATGTACTATAATTACAGTCATTAATGAAGGCACAATTATTTTATCATACATTACCAAGATCAAAGAAGATTTCTCAAGAATAAGTTGTCAGCATATAGAGTCAATACAGAAATTAGACCAAATATGAACTGTAACATTTTGCTTAAATAATGCCCTAGAGGTTAAAGAAACAATGAGTTAAAGTTGTAGAGGGAGAAAATTTAAAAGACACACTAGAGGTCACTGTTGCTACTTGAGCTGAAGATGTATCCACACACATACACACCCAGGCACACAGGCGCACACACACGTGCGTGTGCTCACACACACACAGGTATGTATATATATAAAATATGCATATTTTAATAGGTTCTGTGCCTATCAGAAAAACTCTAAAAAGATCAGTTACCTTCATTAAATTAAAAAAAAATCCATCATGGTATTTTTTTCTGGTGGTTATGTGGACAGTTGGCTATAAAAAGATGAAATGTAAAAATAAATCTTAATTTTGAGGATTTCTTTCATGACCAAGGACATATCAAATACTTCACCTCTGATGAAAGATTTTGCACCTACTCTGCATTTTGAAAAACACCTTTCATCTATATGTTCATTTGGATTAGAAAGTAAAAGTAATTGAGGAATTATGGTCAGTATGCCTCTTCTTATTAGGGGAAGACGATTCCCTCTTTTAAAAATTTTTCAAATTTTAAGATTGTTAAATAGGGATGATATATTTAGTCCTATCTTTGAAGCTGTAAGGAGAAAGTTGTTTAGGTATGGCAAGTCTGTGAAAAATCTTGGAACAAGTATGGGAATTGTTAGTGTAACATTTCAACTCTACATTCATAAAAGGAAATTATTTTAGGAAAAACGACGGGTGGGCCTTTGTAAATGTAATGAGTTTAACAGGAAGAACTCCCTTATTCGTAGCTCCTGAAGAAGTCTCAGGCTCCGTACTGTGCTCCAAGACTTTTGGTGCACAGTATGTGCATATTGTTGATAGAGAAGGAGCAGATCTATTTCAGAGCCCAAAGGCTGGCTCCTGAGTGGATTAGCAGAAAAACTCAAGGCTGGATGATCTATCCCAAGAATAGCATCTCATTGCCAAGGAAGGAAATCCAGAAGACATATTCATGCTGTTCAGTATTCTTCTTAGAGTATTGGTTTCAGACATGTGTACTGGCAAGTGAAGGATCAACCTGGAGGTGTAAATTTCAAAGCTAGGCTCGCAAACAACGTTTCCAGAAAGATGCCCATTTCATCTCTCTTGTTTTCTATTCTTTGCACGTGATGCATGCCTTTGTTTGATAATGCAAGACCTGTAGCAAAGGACAAATAAGGGGAAAGGGTGAGAAAACTATCTCATTTCTTTGCTGAACCTCTTCTTTGTTCTCCATTGTGTTTTTTGATTTGTCCATGCAAATCACAGTCCTGGGAGTAATTAAAGTTCAGAGAGCTAACTAATAGCTCCTCAGTAACCGGATATTTTCTACGAATTTCATGGGTGTGGGTAAAATGGATTTTAAATATAATTTGAATATTTTAATGGAGAATTACACATTTTTAATAGAATTTGCCAAATATCCTCTGTTAAATTCATGTTAGTGACGGAAGAAGACTATTAGGATGCTCGCAACCTCAATGTGAATCAAAAGTAACTGCTTTGCCCACGAGACAGTGCAGCATGGAAGAGGTAATCTGGATGCTGGACTTTTGGTGCTTCCTCTACTACCCAGCCAAGGTGAACTTGGGCAAGCCCTTGACCTTCGCAAGGCTAATTTCTCACTTGTAAGAAGGAGCTAATAATTTCTGTCTTCTCAGGCAGGATGACATAAATTAATAGGTGTAAAGTGGTTGGTACCAGGCTTGGAATGGGAAAATTTTGGTAAGTGTCATTCATCTTCATTGTCATAACAGAAGTCCCCTGAACTCCTTGACACCTATCAAGAAGGGACAGATGCTGTGTTTACACCCACAAGCAGGTATGAAACAACAGCAACATAAGAAAACAACATTTGAATTCAACAGCTTGTTATTTGGGGGTGAGGAGGACAGGTTTTAATTAACAGTTGTATTTTTGTTTTTCCAAACAGCTTTGTGTTTACCAATTCAAACTTGGACTTCAGAGAAAACAGAGAGCACTCTACTATGATAACACAGAACTAGTACCATAATTTTTTTTGGTTAAGAAAGGTATGTACGTTCTGGAAGTTACCTGGGTAGAATAAAAAACAGAATAAAAGTGGAAAGAACAAAAGAATTTAAAAAATGAATAGAATTTATTTTCAAATAAATGTGCATTTTGTTAACCAAAATAATAAACATTAAATGTGTTTGTGTTTTGTGCCACATAACTATTTTTTAATGTCCTATTATTCACAGCCTAGTTAGAGGACCAGGGGTTCATTGAAGTCAGCATGTTTAAGAGCAGTCCCACAATTCTTACCAGGCTGAAAACCACTGCCTTCACCAGCTCTGGTTGCAATTATCATATGCAATACATTTTGTTTTAAATGGAAGCTTTTATAATGAAATTTAGAAGCCAGCGTCATTTCTCTTCCTTTGCTTTCTACTAAAAAAGAATTTGAGGACAGACAATAAAGGAAATGGCAAGGAACTATTCTATGACCTTGGGCAAATCTCTTCGGTAGTTCGGCCTTGTATACACACACATATGCCCACACACATGCACACACCCCCTTCGTTTTATATTCTTCTGCAAAGCCATGTCAAACAAAAAGTTGGATGGAGATTTGGCAATTCCTTGGTTATTTTGAAAAATGGATATATTGATCAAATTGAATGGGTACCAAATTTTCTAATTATGCAAATAATTGCTAAGTCTTCAATGTAGCTTGCTTAAGAAGTACTGCCCAGAGAAGGGGAAATGAAGAGTTTCTTTCTCACTTGGGTATACAATGAGAATTTGTAGAGAGCTGTAAGCACCTCAGCCGAGAAATGATGCAGAAGGAGAAAACGTGGGCTGGGTGCGGTGGCTCATGCCTGTAATCCCAGCACTTTGGGAGGCCGAGGCGGGCAGATCATGAGGTCAGGAGATCGAGATCATCCTGGCTAACACAGTGAAACCCCGTCTCTACTAAAAAATACAAAAAATTAGCCGGGCATGGTGGCGGCCGCCTGTAGTCCCAGCTACTCCGGAGGCTGAGGCAGGAGAATTGCTTGAACTCGGGAGGCGGAGCTTGCAGTGAGCCAAGATGGCGCCACTGCACTGCAGCCTGGGCGACAGAGCGAGACTCCTTCTGGAAAAAAAAAAAAAAAAAAAAAAAAAAGTAGAAAACGTGATACCCTTTTCATCTTACTATAATGAAAGTACTGGAACTGCCTTTTACACTAGATTAAAACATTTTTAAAACCCTTGTTCCTAGCCACACCCTAGAACACTGTTTCTGAGTTGCCTTTATTTCATTAACATTCTGGGTCAGCAAGAACAGGGCTTGGACAGAAATACAGCAAGATGGCTACCTATCACTTGCAGAGGAAAAAAAAAATTCAGGATCATTCCCCAAGTGAATTAAAAACATAATAACAAAAAATCCTCCAGTTAGTGATTCTTCTTTGCTGCCTGTAGGCAGTTCTTTGATTGTGGGATATCTGATGGGTGTTGGTGGGGAGAGCCAGTTTAGTTGTGTTTACATGAAATAAAAGGTAGAAGCTGCACAACTGTACCCGAGAAGCTAGGAAGGTCCCCCCCGATGCGGCAGCTGTGCTGTGAATGCCTTCAGGTACTTGATTTTTCCCTTTGTTGACATCAGTGTAGCCACATTAGGGACTCTTAGTGTCACAGTTAGACTTTGGAAATAAATACAGTATAGCAGCTCTCCAGGGACCTCTGCTGAGAAAGAGACATCAAATGGTGAGGAGATGGTGAGGAGGAGTGGCTTGCCTGGAGAGCCAAGGAGCTCCTTAAAGTGGGCTCTGGACTGAGGAGCAGTGAGCAGGCTCAGAATGAAAAGAGAGCAACAAAAAGGACTGAAGAGTTGACACCCACTGTCACTTTTTGCCTCGCTCATGAATTTGGCACGTGCCTTTGGAGAATTCAGTGCAAAAAGACCTCCCACCAAAGAGTGATGTCTGTTGCTTTGTATAGAGGTTTGGATTCCCTAGTTGGCTCTGCCCCTTTCTGCTCATGACTTGAAACAAGTCACTTCTCTCTAGACTTTAGAACTTTTCAATGCAACAAGGAAATCATATTCAGATGTGCTCATGTGTCTTGGGATGAAGTGGGAGGTAGGAGAAATTGAGTTCTTGGACTCAAGTACAGTGATGTGGATCCAGCAATAACCCTTTCATGGAAGCACGGTCTTCTCTGGTTCTCAAAATTCAGGCCACAGATATTGTCATCATGATCAGCTGAGAGCCTGTTTGTAAAGGTATGGTGCTCTGGGTCCACCCAGGATCCACGGAGTCAGCATCTCTGAGCATGGATCCTAGGAATCTGGATTGTAGCTGGCCCCTGGCTACTTTTTCTTTCTTAGTACATTATTGTGAGAAATATCACCAGCTCATCACCAGCTCTTATTCTTAACAAGGGCTAAAAGTGCTTAGTTTCATATGGATCCTCTCTTACTGGCTTATGTATTGAGCAGTACATGGTTCCACTTTTATTAAAGAACATTAGGAAAAGGTAATTTATTTCATGGTTTAGTCCACAAATCTGATTTTGAGAGAATGGAATGAAGAGTGTGAGGGGTGATCAAGAAATTTTTAATCAGTTGAGTGGAACATAGGGATGACGTCTACGTCCCAACCACATCTCCCCTAGCATGGATTCAGTCACTTCTGCTAATCTCACTTTCAATTACAAGCACAGGTTTTAAAGCCAGTGAATACTATAAGGTGTGTTGTCAGCTTGTTGTTTTTCTTTAAGCTACTCTGTACGTTCTGAATAATTACTTTGAAATGATTATTTTGAAGTTATACATTGGCTTTTTTAACTGCCATTGTCCTTGCAATTACAAGAAACACAGAATTTTCCACTCCTTCAAGATTGTTAAAAATCCTTACAGAAGAAACAGTCACACTCTGTGTGCCAAAGGGCACAAAGAAAGATGCATCAACTTTTAAATATCTATATTGCTCACTTTATACTACCTACCTTTTTGTACCATGTATAAAAATGTGTAAAATAATACAAATTTAAAATACATATATGTCTAGGTTAAGGAAAAAGCATACTGCACAAAAATGTCTTTGTATAAGTTCTCCATAAGATAGGGTTAGGAGATATTTATAGTTTTGCCGATGACTTAATACTTACTGCCCTAGGAATTCATTCATCCTTCCAACTGCCTTGAGAGGCCTTTGAAACAATAAAGCATATTTGTGACCACACTGGGAGTGGAGTCCAGGCCCCACATAGCAGACCTGAGACGCCTTGGCCCAAGGAGCTTAACTGATGTCAAATGTAAACCACTTTTCAAAAGCGTGTTATCAGGTCCACACCAGACTATCCATTTTGATAATCTCATTCCATTTTTCATTTTATTGTTGAAAGAAGAAATAGATTAATGAGAGTCTAAATCCCCCCAGAAAGAAAATCTTCCTTATAAGGCATGCCCGAAGAGAGATTTGAGAAAATTACTTGCTCTGCCTTTGTTTTGCCAAGTAAGGTAACATTTAGATCATTTATATTTGAAAAATTCTTAAGCCAGGTCAGTGTAGTCTGCTAGATTAAATCTGGAGGGGGAAAAAAAAACAAGAAGAAGATCATGAGGATGAGGATGATGACTACGACAACGATGATGATGTAAACTATAAATCTCCCAGACCCTGGTTTGCTTGTGTGTTTGAAGACTAGGGGCAAACCCCTGTGATCCATCTCAGATCCAACAAGAAAAAAGCGGCCCCAAATTGCATTTGAAAATGGTGCACCACATGAAAGAAACATTTGTCTAAAGAGAATTTAAAATGATCAGCTTCTAACTATACGAGAAATATTCTTTCAAGTATCCCAGAACAATAAGAGAAAGTCTTACAGAGAATGGTAATCAGAATCATGGAGTGATCTGTGACAGAACAGAAGGAGCCTTAGATAGAAATCATCATGGTAACATCATTTTGGTAATACCACATTGCTAACATCATTTTACAAATGAAGAAGTTAGAATCTAAAAAGGTACCCTTCACAGTTTCAGAAAACCTGCCTTCATTAGTCCTGTAGTGCAGTGAAGCTGAAGATTCCACAGCAGCTTCAGAAGGAAATACCAAGGTTTGAAAACTTCAGTGGCCCAAAGTTGGAACAAGAGCCCTGCCTTCCAGACCTCGAGACCAGAAGACTGGATTTGAAGCTCTATGAAAAATTTCATTTTTCAACCAATCGGAGGACAATTGGATGCTCAGTGCAGGTATAGTAAAGTGTTGTTTCTGACCAAATATTCCCACCCTCAATGAAGTTATAGAAAACCATATTCCTGCCCTAAACAAGTTTAGTATCCAAGGGTCATTTTTCAACTTTACTTCCTCCAAAATCCCAAGGTGATTCTCAGAGGTTATCACTGCTGTTAAAAATCCAAGGTTTCAGCAAAAGAAGCTCCATTTGGCTGATAGCAGAATTGCAATACTGGATTCTTTTTGTCACCCTTCTCCCCAGGGCATCACAGTGCCAGGCTCCTGTCAGTTTAATTGGGAACCACTGATATAGACAAATCATCAATGACACAGGAGTTCATAATAAATTGACTGTATTGGCCAGGCGCAGTGGCTCATGCCTGTAATCCCAGCACTTAAGGAGGTTGAAGTGGGCAGATCATCTGAGGTCAGGAGTTCAAGATCAGTCTGGCCAACGTGGTAAAACCCTGTCTACTAAAAAAAATTAAATAATTAGCTGGACATGTTGGCATGTGCCTGTAATCCAAGCTATTTGGGAGGCTGAGGTAGGAGAATTGCTTGAACCTGGGAGGCGGAGGTTGCAGTGAGCTGAGATCAAGATCGTATCATCGCACTCTAGCCTGGGGAACAGAGCAAGATTCCATCTCCAAAAAAAGAAAAGAAATGGACTGCATTGCCTCTGGAGGAGGGGCTGGATCAGATCTAGCTCATTATTTGCCATCAATAATTGGGGCACAGGCTATATGGTTGAAGCACTGCATCTCACTTGGATTATGTTCTATGCATCTTATTGTAGACATTCTGATATCTGTATTTAGAACCATCCAATATCTGTCACCACCATTCCCACAGAACACTGGGAGGAGAGCTGAATCTGTATTCACCTAGCACACACCACAAGAAGCAGTCTTGGCCACGCACAGCACATCATGCAAGTCGGTGAAGCCCCTTCTGGGACAGAAAGGGAGGTGCATAAAGCTGGATTCTGGCACAAAGTCTCAGCCAGGAAGGAACCACATGCGTTCTCTATCGGGTGAGCACTTTGCCTTGAGGTTTGGTGAGTTGCAGTGTTGTGCACCTAAGGCTGTCCCCATTAAGCTGCCTCCTAGCAAATTTAAAACCACTATGACACAGACACCTGTGCAAAAGGAAATTAACTAAGACCCTGCACTGATGTTCCCTTCGGAGCTCTTACCACCCTCTAAGAAGGGCTACATATCACCCTGTGAGAGGGCAGACATGGCTGTGGGAGCTGTCTAGACCTGCTGTGGTGAAGAAGGACTCTACTGTCTTAACATCGACTGTATTTCTTATGTCAGTATTGTCTCCCAATTTTAACATGACTGAATTGTTAAAGGATTTTTTTTTTTTTTTTTTTGCCTTGCCTACAAAATGACACAAGTCCTCTCCTTTTCTGGTTTCCATTATATTCCATTGTGTGGTCCTGCACAGAGTCAACTTTCATTCCAAGATTTTGCATTTCTATGTAATACTACTCAATAGCTATAGTGCATAAACATATGTTTAGGCACTTTGAGAAACATTTTTAAATTAAAATGCCTTATGTCAATCAGAGGCAGGCAGTATCCAGGATGTGCATGAAGCTGAGCGTGTGGATTATGTATTCCAGGGAAAACATCCTTGTAGTCATTGTGCATGCTCCATGGCCGCTTTTCAAGGTGAAATGTCTCTGCCACTAAAATAACATTTTTATTTAGTCAAGACACTAAAAGCAGTTAGAGGCCAGTATTGATTGATCACTTGCCAATGTTCAATTTTTAAATCAAAGTTATTTTGGACTTACTATTGTATGAGCTCCCCAAACATCCATAGTCACTTTATTTGCATTTTACATGTATTCAAAATAACTACTTACTTTCTCCCTTTAAAAAAATTGATTGAAGAAACATTTGCTCTCAAGATGAAAAACATTACACTGCAAAGCAATCTGTCATAGCTGAATGATGATTCCCTTGATATAATGGTTCTTAATGAAAATTGTGAGGAATTTTCTACTCTATAAGCTTCAAGAGGCTTGGGTATGGAGGACATGGGTCCCCCACCGCAGCAATAAGAATAACATAGGCCTTCCAGATATGCCCATCTTGAGAGGTGATGACATGTGCTTGTTTTTGAGTCCTCAAAGTTTGTTCCCTAATTATTTCAGATATTCTCTCCTTAGTAATTATTTTGGATGTTCTCCTCCCTCTGAAATAAGAGGAAAAGTCACTTTCATACAAAATACACAGTGTTGCAAAAGGATAGGACTGTAGCAATCTGCCAACAATTAGAGACGGAACCACGTAAACCAAAAAGCTCAAAGCTTATTAGTCATTATTGACATTATTTTTAAAGTTTTCAAGTGCAAGCACTAATTAAAAGGATAAGATTCTAACCGTTTAATTAAGTTTGATGAGTTATAGAATTTTTGAGGATGGTAAGCAAGTATTTGCCTGGGTTGCATCATCAAAGGCATCAGATGAAGAATTGTTTCAATCTAAGGCATGTTTCTCAATAAATGCTTCATTTACACAAGCTAGAATTTTCAATTCTTATCCAATGTTATATATAGTTGTCTAGATGAATCTTTGAATTACTGTGTAACTATTAATAACTGTTCACAATGCACATTGTATATCTACCTTGTACCTAAAGGCCATGATAATGATTATAGAAATAAAAATGAATGAAATGGTCCACATTCAAAGACATACTATCTAGTAAAGGAAACAGATGTAAAACAAACAAATACCATACAGTGTACCAATCTCATTTGTATCTGTACAAAGATAGCCCAGAGGAAGAAATGACAATTTTTTTTCTGTAGAAGTCAAGGAAAAGGTAAACCCAAGCAGAATCTTTATTTTATTTTATTTTATTTTATTTTATTTGAGATGGAGTCTTGCTCTGTCACCAGGCTGGAGTGCAGTGGCGTGATCTCGGCTCATTGCAACCTCCACCTCCCGGGTGCAAGCAATTCTCCTGCCTCAGCCTCCCGAGTAGCTGGGATTACAGGCACCCGCCACCACACCCAGCTAATTTTTGTATTTTTAATAGAGACGGGGTTTCACCATGTTGGCCAGGAGGGTCTTGATCTCCTGACCTCGTGATCTGCCCACCTTAGCCTCCCAAAGTGCTGGGATTACAGGCATGAGCAAATCTTAAAATATTAATAGAAGCATGCTACAGTCACAAAAGGAAGATGATTTGTACACAGGAAATAATGTTTAGGAGAGCATTAAAGAATGAAACACCAGAGAGAGAAAAAGGGAAGAGAGAGATACAAAACTTCAAACAGCTTTGTGTAGTTAGAACGCAGGCAGCAAGAGGAGGGAGATGAGGCTGGCCATGCTGTCAGGAACTAAATCATGCAAAGCCTTTTGTGCAATACAAAGAAACTTGGCTTTGATTCTGTGGACAATGGTGAACCATGAAAAAGTTTGTGATTTAAAAAATATTACTCTAGAGGCACTTTGGAGGCTGGATTAGGGATTTCAAGGGAGACAGATTAGAATCAGGAAGGCTCTATGGGTGGTCATTATATAGTCCAAATGAAAGATAAAGTGGATCTTAAATAGAGTGAATAAAATAAATATGAGAACTACTAGAAAGGAAGACTTGATTGATTGAATTTGGAGTCAGAGAGAGGAATGGAAGACTTTGAGCCTTAGCAAAGAACCTCGGTATAGCATTTAAGAAAGGGTGGCATTCACAAATGCAGAGGTTAGAGGTAGTCTTGAAATTGTTTTTAATTACTCATTAGCAGAAATGATCATTATTCTCAACTCATACTCAGGTTCCAGAGATAGGGAAGTGGCATGTTCCATCATACACCACCGCACTTGGCAGATTCCTGGGAAAACAATCAGTAACTCCCCTGTAGGCCCTGTGAGAACAGCTCAGAAGCTACAGTCAACAGAGTTGGGCCAGAGCTGTCCCTACTTAAAACAACCAGTAGGGATGAAAAAAATTCAGTAAGTCGTTTGGTTGTTTGGTCTACATGACACTGCCCCCTACTATCTCTGAACCTGGAAGAAAGTCCTACATACACACAAGCACACACAGAGACACACACAAACACATCAGAACAATTGGAGGAGTATTCTCACGGATATAATTGGATATTTTGACTGTAAATGCCATGTCCATGGAAACGAAGATGATCTCAGTACTGGGGAACCTACTCATCTCAAGAGCAAACATTTGTTTCAGATATGTTCTGAAATGCCAATATTTGTTAGAGGAGAATTTGCTTCTGGATATTTCTCTAATTTCTGCCTTTGCTGCTGTTGCTGTTCCAAAAATCTTAGGCTTTTCCAATACAATTATTCCCTGAATATAAAAATATAGATACCTAGCTATGACCCAGGTATTGTGATGAGTTTTACATAACTTACCTCATTTAATCCCCACAACGACCTACAGATATATACTGACACTATCCTAATTTTTTTTTTCTTGAGATGGAGTCTTTCTCTGTCCCCCAGGCTGGAGTGCAGTGGCACAATCTCAGCTCATTGCAAGCTCTGCCTCCTGGGTTGATGCCGTTCTCCTGCCTCAGCCTCCCAAGTAGCTGGGACTACAGGTGCCTGCCACCACACCTGGCTAATTTTTTATATTTTTAGTAGAGATGGGGTTTCACCATGTTATCCAGGATGGTCTCGATCTCCTGACCTCGTGATCTGCCCGCCTCAGCCTCCCAAAGTGCTGGGATTACAGGCGTGAGCCACCACGCCCAGGCCTATCTTAAATTTTTAGATAAAGAAACAGAAGCACAGAGAGGTTAAATGACTTGCGCAAGGTCACACAGCTAGGAAATGTACAGACAGGGTTCAACCCCAAGAAGCCTGGCTGCTTATCCAAATGATCTTATCCAAATGCACTTCCCATGTTCAGTTTATTTGGATTTACCATTGGACCATATTTCCTTGGACACAAGATTACAACACAACCATTTCAATTATTGCCAACCCTTTGTCATTTACAAGCTCAAAGTGCAAATCTGTAGTCACATGATCCCATGCAAATTTCAGAAAGCCTAAAATGATGAGCTCACACACCCAGTCTGGTGACTTTACATTGAGATCCAGCTAAACTGCATGAATTATCAAGGCTAAAATTAGGACTCTTACATCTTAGCTAACACCTGCCTCTCTCTGTGCTAAAATATAATTAGCTGCTTTTCCTGGGGGAAATTGTAAAACTGAATGCAATTAAACAAAAGGAGAGACAGCAGATTGTACAGCAAAACAAAACAAAACAAAAAGTACTTAAAAAGCCAAGATAGATACATATTCAAAGGTAGCAATTTCAGAGGCAAGGCAGACCTTTCTTATTTTGCAGTAATGTTCTGAATGGCAAAGAGCATGGCCTTTGGCACATGCTTGGTCCTCCATGTTTGTTCACTGCTATGCACACTGTTTGGGGTTGAATTAGGACTTTGGCAGGGCAGCCATTCTCTAGCTATGGTTGTATATTCATTGATGACCCCAAAAAGCAGGTGATCTGTGCCATCCAGTCCACATGCCTCACACCCAAATAGCCCAGTGGAAAGATCCCTCAAGTGCCACATGTGAGTCCTGGATGCTCGTAGAGGCTCTTGTGCTAGCTAAAGTTGTGGGATGTGGTTCCAGTTGCTTGACTTCTCTTGGTCTAGCTTTTCTTGCACTGAAATGACAAGAAAATGATCCCTGCCCTATTTTCCTCAGGAGAATACAGTGAGACTCAGAAAGGGCTAAAAACAAATAGGCCACTTTACTCAAGTTTTGCCAATGAAATGCCTAGAATACAACCATTTGTAGAAATAAGTTCACAAGTGGTTGAAAAGGCAATGAGCAAAATTCTAGGGGAAGACTCCATTACTTAAGACAAAGACATCACCTTTCCCAAACAGGATGTAGAAACTGCCACTGTCCAAAAGGTAGGCCAAAAAATAAAACCCACCAACAAGCAAACAAACCAACCCATGGTCCAGTCACTAACCATGAAAAGGTTTGTAAGTGCATCAGAGGAGATTAATCCTTAACTGGAGAGAAATAATAATCAAGGTATATGTGTACCACAAAACATTGTAGCTGGGAAAAAGAGACTTTAGGGAGGAGAAACAGGAAGAAGAAAACTAAAGCTTAGTGTTAGTCTCATACTACAACATGTCAGCCCAAGATACTATGGGCTGTTTTACTGAACAGGGCAAAGCTGCTTTAATTTAGCGGTGTTTATTTGGAAAGGTTTGCTATCCCAGTGCTCTTTGCAGTACACCACATATGCTGGTGTGTTTTTTGGCTGTACCTGGAGGCGTGCTGTGGGCTGACGAATGTCCAGGTGTGAAAATTCACGTTAGCCATGTATATGCACTGTGGATTTATTTCTTTGCACTTTTTTTGCCCTCCTAATTGAAATAGTAAAATTGACTATACTCAAAGCTTGAATAGTCCCCCAGACATTAGTGTTATAAATTAATGATTAGAAATATAATTCCTTGTATACGTCTTTCTGCCATCGCATCTTTCAAATGCAAAGTCAGTATGGAATAAGAATCAGAGAAATGTAACCTGACATTGAACTTGAAACCAAACACATTGACAAAACAAAAGAACACAAGCAGAAAAAAAGAAAAGGGAACTTTGAAAATCATCTTCATAAGGCATTCTGAATCTGCAACAATCTATTTTTCCAGATTAACAAATCTTGGTCTCTTCTAGGTGTTTTGAACTAGATTACTGACTGGCCATCTGTGGCAGGCCCACTCCTGGATGTCATGCCCCTGTTAATGAAATCTGGGCGTGCGCTCGTAAACAGACCTGGTGAATGGTAGACGTCAGCCATTGCGTGATGGACAATCATCAATCATCCATTGTCAGTTATTTCTGTCCCAGTGAGTAAGCCTTTATTTAAAGCATTAAGTAAGAATGTTGCCAGACCACAGGAACAAGCCCTGAGCTGTTTGCAGGTGCTGCTATTCACAGCTGCCAATTAAACCCCTGACATTTCCATATTGGCCATGAGGCACAGCATATGCTTTTGACATACCAATTCTTTAAAAAAAAAAAAATCACCAATCTCAGATTATCAATACATGCCTTTTTCTTTTTCCATGGTTACTACATGAAGCTTTTTAAAATTGTTTATTTTACAAATAGAGGAAGGAGAATCAGAAAAAGTTCTAGTGAACTGAATTATTAAGATGTGCACATAATATTCTTTCTTGTGGGAAAGTGGCTGGCATTTCTGATGTGAAAAGTCTTCCCTGATGCCTAAATCTACATAGCAAAGTCTCCTATCAGGACTTCAACATTAAAAAATATTTTTCTTGCCTTTTTACTTATATTTTTTTCTTTTTGATTCTCAAATAGTAATACTATTTTAATGTAATCCAGTACATTAAAACTAGATATTGCAATTTTGATTATGATTCTGTGTCTTTCATTGAGATGCAAAATGATTATAGTTTGCAAGTGTGCCTTGTATTTAAATAATTTCATGAAATTTGCAGAGACTTTTTATTTAGTCTCAAATGTAAGTACATGAAAGGGTGTGTTCCTAGGCAAAGGGTGTGTTCCTAGGCAAAGGGTGTGTTCCTAGGTAAAGGGTGTGTTCCTGTGTGTTACATCATGGCTTTACATTCACATATTTCCAGGTTGGAAGATAAAAGCATCCAACCACTCTCAGAGGATCATAGGCGTAGTGGATGTATTCACCTATAAGTACTATAAATAGGCAGGGGCAGGGGAGAAGAGCCTACATGCACCTTTCAGGAATATTTCACTGTTTTTTATTGATTTTCACTTTTTCTAGATATGGGTAGCTCTTGATAAGAAATGAATTGTGGTGACAATCATGAAAATTTTAACTAAATCATTCTTTCTGGTTAGTCTTTAGAAAATAAAGGCATGTTCTATGTGGTTTCCTATTGTTTTGCCAACAATAGCATCAAAATCATCTGTGATTAAGTATGAGTCTCTATTTTCAAGGTTGAGCAACAGACCTTGATATGGAACTACCACCCTCTTCTTTCCCCATCCTCTGTCCATAGAGCTGAGCTGAACAGAGTTACTTCCACATTTTCTTGAAATCTCTAAATCCCGCTACTTTCAGGGACATTTGTTGAGGAAAGCAAAGTTGACAAGCTAGGATTTCTTTCAAATAAACTGAGCTGATGACTGTAGCAGGTGAGTTTTTTTTTCCCATAGCGATAATTTTACATTCTTTTCCTGCTTCTGAGAGGAGGAAAACGTTGCCATCTTATTTGACAGATGCTCAGTAGTGTTTCATCTTTAAAAAGAGAGAATATTTGTTATTGCCATCTATGTAATGAAAGAGTACTTAAAAAGAGCAGTCTTTTTTTTTTTTTTTTTTTAAGAGACAGGGTCTCTCTATGTTGCCCAGGCTGGAGTGCAGTGACTATTCACAGGTGCAATCAGAGCTCATCATAGTCTCCAAACTCCTGCTCTCAAGTGATCTTCCTGCCTCAGCTTACGTAGTAGTGGAGACAGCAGGTATGTGTCTGGCTAAAAGAGCTATCTTTTAATAAAAATATTTTTCCTCTGTAAATTAATTTTGTCGTAAGAGCTGCCTCACCAACCTAATGTATGGTGAAGACCTGAACAAGAGTGAAAATTTTAGCATTATATGAAGATGCAATGGCTTGCAATGGCCTTGAGCCCTTGGGCTACATGAACACTTACCACTGAACAGAGCTGAGGATGCTGAGCTGTGGCATTGGCTTTAGGCTGTTCATTTGTGATAATGTCTTCCCACAGGCTTTGTGATACAAAATGAAAGGAAAGGTCTGGATTTGCCGCCCTGATGCTCTGTGCCTAACTAGCACCCTATGCGCCGCTTATCTCCACTTGATTCCAGGTCTTCCAAGTGCCCCTGGTTGTAGTCATAATGATAGTAATAGTGATGAGGACAATGATCACAATAATAATAATGGAAGCCATCATTATGGCAGGCAGCTTTGGACTGTAGTTGAGAGTGCAGATTCCGTAGCGAGCCAGACTGGTTTTAATCTTGCCTCTGCCAATTACAAGCCATGAGACCCTGGTCAAGTTACTTAATCCATTTGTTCTTCAGTTGCTTTCTCTGTGAAATGGAGGGAGTAATAGCAACTACCTCATTGGTACATCGAATGCTTAGAGCAGTACCTGGAACATCTGGGACATACTTCAGGAAGTGCTAGAGGAGTGTTAGATAAAATAAATGAGTATTCCTAGTATATCTGCACAGGAGATTTCATCTTAATTCTAATGCATTTTTGCTATACACACACACACACACACACACACACACACACACACACACACACATATATATATATATATATATATATATATATATAGAGAGAGAGAGAGAGAGAGAGAGAGAGAGAGTTATTCCAGTTTTTCAGGTGGGGGAATTGAGGCTGTATGAGGTTAAGTAATATCTCCCAAGGCTGCCAGCTAGTGATTTGCCAAATGGTGATTTTAACCTGGGTTGGTGTAATTTCAAAACCCATGCTCTTTCCATCTCCAGGCTTCCTATCCTATGCAGTCATTTCACAACCGTATACCAATGATCAAAAGAAAAGTGGCAAGGGATTGAAGGAAATAGAAACAGAATAAGAAACCTCAGAGAAAGCAAGAATTTCACAGTGTAAGGGCATCAGGAAATCCTCTAAGGACAGAGGTAGATAAACACTTTCCCAAGGTCAGAAGCCCAGCAGTCACCACACTTATAGATCCTGAGTTCACTCATTCATTCATTTGACAGATATGTATGTTCCTTATATTTCCACAAAAGGGTTGGCAACCTCATGTGTAGCCATTTAATAAGAGCATGTGTTCTATGTAACTTTGTCAAAGAAAGAGGCCCAGGAAAGCCACAGGAAAAGATACTGATGGGAAGATGCCAGGAGTTTCCTGGTGATTGAATCTGATTTGGTAAGTTCTGGGGCTGCTGCTTCTCCCCTGCTTGGATCTCTGAAGGTAGAGAAGGCAAGGAATGGGACAAGGGAAGGGCTGGCTGTCCCAAGACTGGGTGTCATCAGCACATACAAGTTGTCTTTATCGAGGCTAACTGGTATTGGTTTTGGCAGTATTGACGTGGTGATGTTATGTTTCCAATGTTTCCAAGTTCGAAAGACATAGGTCTTTTATTTCCTTTCTGCCTACTAAGATTATTTAGGCTCCACACATGCAAAGCAGAGTATTATGCAATAAATTAATCATATCAGAGCAAAGTAGCCACTGAAAAATTGCCAAACACCATAAACATTGGTCAAAATGGAGTCCAACCATTTGCACGGAGAATAATTGGACCTGTGGATTCACTTGAGGTAACTAAGCAACTTTTCGTTATGAATTATAAAGCTTTTCAAGCATAAAATGATATCTGAGAGGAGTGCATTACCTAAAAGGTTTCGATAAGCAATGAAGGGAGCTTTAAAATATGCAGCAGGGATCAATCATTCAGCTGTATGGCATTACTTATACTTTGCAGCATCACCTACATTCCTTGATAAACAATTTCCCATAACCTCTGAGCATTCTCATTATTTTCATCAGCACCCCAACATAAGAAGTGACAAAAATGTCAGATGATGTTTTATTTACTAATATATAACAAATTCTAGTGGAAGTAGACACTCTATGACAAAATGGAGGTAAATGAAGCACATTTCCCAGCATCAAAAATGATTCACACTGTTCAAAAAAAGATATAAAGCCTGCTGTTCATGATGAATTTTAATTGGAAATGTTACTCATCATGAACATGAATTTCTTTTGTTTGGAAGATAACATGTCCTGCTGCTATAACTGAAGAGCAGTTGGCTTTCCCTGAAAAAATGAGAAGTTGAAACAGACTTTTTGACATCCAAAAAGAAAGTAGAAATACCTTCTAGTTATCTTGGTGTCATCCGGCAAAGCAAGTATTCTGATGTTTCTTACGGTCATCATTTTGTGTAAGACATTTTCATCAGTTACATGAGAAATCAAGCCCAGCATTCTGACTCAGATATGAGGCAGTTCTGCCTTCCTGTACCTGTTAATGAAAAAACAGAACAAAATGAAATGAGAGCATCAATTCCAAAAATAACCTGATGGTAGGGAAGCATCCCTCACTTGGAATTAGCTTTGGACTTCTACCCAAGATGCTGCAGGATAGGATATAAAGAAGCAGAGAAGAAAGGATCACTGACAATTGTACAGTCTCTTTTCTTTATTAAAAAGAGGGCCTGGAATGTGATCCATCAATGTTGACGGATGCTAGGTAGAGGAGAAAGGGAACTATAAAAGGCCAGAGAAAGTGGATTTGAAACTGGTGAGATACATGAAGACCACAAAGGTTAAAAAACAAAGTTGGGCCAGGTGCAGTGGCTCACGCATGTAATCCCAGCACTTTGGGAAGCCAAGGTGGGTGGATCATTTGAGGTCAGGAGTTCAAGATCAGCCTGGCCAATATGGTGAAACCCTGTCTCCATTAAAAAATACAAAAAAAATTAGCCAGGTGTGGTGGCACACACTTGTAGTCCCAGCTACTCAAGAGGCTGAGGCACAAGAATTGCTTGAAACCCGGGAGGCGACGCTACAGTGAGCCAAGATCGCACCATTGCACTCCAGCCTGGGCAATACACTCCAGCCTGGGTGACAGATTGAGACTCTGCCTCAAAAATAATAATAATAATAATAATAACAACAGCGAAAAAAAACCCCACCAACAACAAAGTTGGACATATGAAAACATAGTTTCATGACCCCATGTCGTTTGCATAAATAAAATCACTTACCAACCTTAATGTGATTCGGGAAATGATTTGGTTTAGCAAGGTTTAAACTAGTGCAATGGACATCCATCCCATGCTTGGGGAGGTGAACTACTTCTCTGGACTAAGAGGAACAGGGTAGCTGCAGCCTGCCACTTTGGAACTCAATATCAAAACATCAATTTGCATGATGGAATCTTGGCCAGCTTGCTTTGTGGGGGCGGTCCAAAGCAGTGGGTGCTCTACAGATACACAAATTGATTACTTCAATTACCAAGATCAATTTTCCAGAATAGAGTGAAGTCTATGGAAATGTTTCTCAAAAGGTCATTTAAAATGAGCTTAAATGACCCACTAGGCCCTGCATTGATAATAGCACCTAACCATACATGTAACTCTCCCTCTCCTGTATCTTTGCCTACAGGAGATCTGAGGCTCAAAGCACCCAACTGGAACCTGGTAAAACAACCACCAAATTGCATTGTTCCCTCTGCTCTGATGAATCTCCCCATAAGCTCACATGATTCAGTTCTTAGTCCAAACTAGGGTTTGCTCCTATAAGTAAAAGGTCATATATTTTATGTTTCTAAAAAATTAAATAGGTGTTATTTTAATTGTGGCTCTCCTTTTCCAACTGGCCTGCCATGTTTGTTTTTTTTTTTTTTGCAAATGTTGTGTGTCGTGTAAACACACAGACCATTCTCCATTCAAAGATGCTATACATTTATATACAACACAGTTATCCACGTGTATAATGTCTCTTGCACAAACACACAAAAATATAAGAGGGCTCCTTGCCCTCTTAAAATCCGTTCAGATGGCCAGGTGCGGTGGCTCACGCTTGTAATCCCAGCACTTTGGGAGGCCGAGGTGGGCCGATCACCTGAGGTCAGGAGTTCGAGACCAGCCTGGCCAACATGGCAAAACCCCGTCTCTACTAAAAACACAAAAATTTGCCGGGTGTGATGGTGGGTGCCTGTAATCCCAGCTACTCGGGAGGCTGAGGTGGGAGAATCGCTTGGACCTGGGAGGCAGAGGTTGCAGTGAGCCAAGATCATGCCATTGCACTCCAGCCTTGGTGACAGAGTGAGACTCCATCTCAAAAAAAAAAAAAAAAAAAATCCTTTCAGTTTGCATAGATGATTTTCTTTACATGTTTTCAACCTACCTAATGGCAAACCTCACCTCATTCTACGCTAGTCTAATTAATTTGACAGGACTGGAAACTTGTTCTTCCTGTTCGCACTTCTTATTCATCTCTTCAGAATGCCCTGTAGAGAGGATGAAGTACAATAAAGCAGTCTTTACCAAATGCCTCAATGCTAAATGCCCTTTTAGGCTGACACGGCACAATACCGGCAATGAGGAGATCTGACTTTAGGGCAGCCTAAGAAAAATGACATTTTCTAGAATATCATCTATTGAAACTGGTCTTGAAGAAGAAAACAATGTCCATTTCCCCTGGAGTTTTGCTGTGGGCTCTGGGGACTCCAATTTATCCCTACTGTATCTGAAATCTTTGCTAAAGAAATGACAGAGGTATCATATTTTGCAAAATAAGTCCTCAATCCTCAATGGCAAATGTGGAGATAATTTTAGGATTTTTAAGCACTGAAAGTGTAACCAGAAACATATCAGATATTTTGTGAAGGGGTGGATTGAAATGCAGAATTGACAAATACAAAGGGAGAGAGCTTTTCTTTTTTTGGTTAACTTTGAAAATTTCCTCAAGAGAGCAAACTTTTGATAGGGGGCAAAGATTCTTACAAGGTTGGTACAGGTGGGTAATTAATAAGAGTGAATTTATCTGCATACATTATTTAAATACCTAAAGCATTTCTCTGCTTTAATGATAAATTACAATCGGTAAAATCTGTTGGCTGCCTTCAAGCTAACTAATGGATCACTAATCAGCAACAGTCGAATCATCCTAGCTGAAGTGGAATAAATATCTCTAAGGATGCTGCAGCTCATCTTTACAGTCTAAACCTGTAAAGATGCTTGCATGTATTTCTGTGTTCTTTTACTACATGTGTGTATATGGATGCACACACTCATGTGTGCACTTGCATGCATTAAAAACCTATTCTTTGATACCTTCTTTTCTGCCCTTGACGGCTCTATCCCCCTTGGTCTGTTGTATAAGAAAGATCATTCCTGGAACTAATTAATCCTTAAAGAGATCAGCTGATACATCTCATTGTTAGCAATACATTTTTAATTGTTCATTTTACTCAAGCACCATTTGAACACAAGTCAATTTGCAATTTCATTAGAGAACCAAAAAGGCCTGGGGTCTATTCCTGTTTTTGTTTGTTTTTTTTTTAAAGAAAAGGATAAAAAACAGGCAAAATTTCATGAAGGATGTTAATCCTCTAATTAATTTTATGTAATCAAGCAAGAATTAATGTGTGCTGCTATTTGAGCCGAAGTCTTTTTGCCAAGAAGTGCATTTTGTCATACCTTCCCCTCCAGAGAAACGTCTTTACAAGCTTTGCAGCCAAATACCCTGGCAACTAATGACTAGCTTTGGAGCAACATTCACAGACCATTTGCTTTGATGACATTTGGAGGCTTTGCTCTTCTCATTCCAATTCTATTGTAAATAGAGTACACATGCCATACAGCCTTTGAAAACTAATCAATACAGTAAGATTTGTCAGGTTGCAGCTGACTAGTATCACATCTTTTAACTCTTTTCTTAGCTGACTTGTACACATTTTTAAGTCAAACCTTATGAAGGGAGTTGGGTAGATCATCCTTTCCATATTTACAGGCTCCCTGCTGTAACATGGATCTTTCTTCTATATTTTAACATCAAAAGCTCACAATCTATGTAAGTTAACCTTCCATAAAACTAAAATTATATGGTCATCATACGTAATCTGATGATTGATTACAGCTGTCACAAAGTCACAAATTGTGACTGTTTACTACAGTTGCACCATGAAAATTATTGCGTACTTTAAAAAAATCCGTTTAGAGAAAATAAACAGCTTCTATTCATAGGTTGCAGAACCGAAGCATACATGTTTTCTTTGTGACTTTTGGCTCCCTTAGAATCAATGTTAAAACCCACTTAGGTCTGATTTTTCATTTCAGTGTCTTTGTGTAATGTGCCTCCACCATACCTCATCTAATTTAATAAGATGCAAGCTAAGGAAGTACTTAAGTTACTTATCAAGGGTTTTAGATGACACATTATTATTGTATTCAAAAGTCAATATTTGCTAATCATGTTAGTACAGGAACTGTTCCAGGCCTACAATTCTTAAATTGCAGAGATATTTAAGATTAATTAAACCTATCTCCCCATCCTCTCTCTCTCCACCTTTATGGAGTAAGTAAATCAATGACATCCTAAACAAGCCCAGAGAGCCAGAGCTTCAAGTCTGAAGTCCATTTACATCTTTAAGCCTCTGTTTGCTTCAGTCCTCAAGAGTTGAGTTTTGCCATTCCTCCACTGCTTGGGGAATATTTGCATGTTATGAGAGCAAAGTTCAAAAATTCACTTGATGTAATTAGAGAAGAGTGACCAGTCCTGGGCATATAGCATGGACTCCACTGCTTTTTTAAGTCAGGAGAATATTGAAGTAACATATGGCCTGATTTCTTTTTTCTTTTTATATGACAACTTCTGGGTAAACGTGTGGCAGGCAAAGTTGAAAAGTCATCTTCCGCTTCTGAAACTGGGCAGGATGAGAACAGGTGACTAGATCCAAACCCTGGCAGGTTATGCTCTTGCGTCATTGTTCCAGTGACATCCTGACCCCTCTTTTATATAAACCATGGAGCAGAGAGAGCCAACTGTTTAAATGCCAAGATTCCCTTCACTTTTGAACAGTACATTCATTGTAAAACAACCATTTCTGATCTAATGTTATATACAGAGCCCAGGACTTGACTGAGATTAAGTGATAAATGAGTTTGACATCTTATTAACATGTATTGACTAGCAGAAAACTGAGAAACATAGAACTTTACTGATGACTTATGGCAGCTGCTAGTTCAGTTCCCTCCGGGGGAAAAAACTAGTGCATTAACCCAATATGGCACCTAGGATATATTTACAAGTAGTTAGTGAAAGCAATAATGCTATGCAAACTGGATATCTGGAACACGAATCAATATAGACCAGCTAATTAAGTTATAAATGCATCGATTTTATTTTGAATATGTCCTCAAATAGAGTCTGCGAGAAGCATACTGAAATGGGGCTTTTAAACTGAGAAAAGCAACAATCAGATTATTCTCTGGCAATCTCCAATCAATCCAGAAGGGTTTGGTAAAATACTCTGATGCATATTCTATATAATCAGAATGACATGTCCTATTAATATTCCAATTACTGTTGAACTATTAGCAATGCCTGAGTCTGGTGTCTTAGAGCCTCATAGTGGTAATCCGGGAAACTCATGTCATCTTTTGTATTCATTCAGTTTAAAATGAAACAATTTTCCCTTTAAAGGATTTTTATTAAACATTATTTTATGCATGGATTTAACATCCTAATTGATTTAGGTGGACTATCAGAATGAGTTGCTAACTTAACTCTTTTTGTTCTTTTCTTCACTGAAAGAGGTCAGCAGCTCTGATCTTATTTATAAATTTAAATGCCAATTTTTAGCATGGTGAGTTATTATTAAAATAATAGTTATTCATGTTCACAAAAGACTCTATTCACATTGTAAAAGCCAGGAATCTAATAATTTAATAAACTAGACTAGAGTAAGAAAGGGCCAGAGTTGTCAACCTCATCTTAGAACATATAAAAATCATAAAATCAGAGAAATGAAAGTGACTTTACAAAAAGCACTGAGATGTTTCCACACCTCTGAATATTTTCTCAACCTAAATTTTGCTCATTTTTACTTTAAAACTCACTATACACAGGGATCTATCCAATATCATAAATAAAATACTGTTCATAAGCAAAATATAAAACTAATTGAAAAAGTCAACATTGGGTATTATATTCATATATATATATATATATATATATATATATATATATGTTTGGCCTTTTAGGAAGTTTGCTTTATCTTAAATTTAGTTAAATAGGGTTGTGTGATGATATGGTCTAGATTCATTTTTCTTATCTTACACTTGCAGTGGCTTCTCCCATGAATATCATGGATATGGTACTCAGTACTGGTGCCTTGGCACAGGATGGGTGAAGTGGAGATAGAAAGAAGTGCCTGGGTGTGGAGGTACAGTCTAAGTGATTAATAATTTGAACTTGGGGTATAGTGAAAAGAGAGAAATCAAGGATGATAACAGAGTTCTGGCTTGAGCAACTGAGTAGATGGCCATTTCTAAAGACGGAAAATACTGGGGCGATAGGGTTGAGTTTTGTGGAGTATTGATGTAATAAAGAGTTCTCTTTGGAAGTAGGTAATTTTGAGATGCCCGAGTGGAAGTGTCAAGATCACATCTAGATCATTAGATGTGATCTAGTTGGTTATTGGAATCTGAGTAAGCTCAGCAGTAAGGTCTTGACTAGTCTTGTCAACTTGAGCATTGTCAGCTTCTAGATGGTATTTTAAACTATGGAAATGGATGAGCTCCCCCAAGGCATGAGTGCAGAAAGAGAAGAGGGACTGGAAAGCACCCAGCTGAGTCACCATTTAAAAAGATTTTTTAAAGATAAGCAGTAAGCATTTGTGTAGAGATCAGAGAGTCTGCTCCAGAACACTGGAGCAAATGATCCAAGATGAGATATAAAAGGCCTTCCTTTCCTCATACCCTAAACTGTGTTAAATTGAGACATTCGTTTGTGAGGGATTGCTTCATTGTTGTTTTTTTTTTTGTTTTCTTGTTTTGTTTTGTTTTTTCTTAGTGAAGCTTTCAATTTGAAAAGCCAAGCGATTGATTTGAAAATGAGTATAATAAAATATTTAAAAGAGGCAGGGGGACCTGCTACTCTCACTGCTGCCTCAGGGCCTTTGCAGTTGCTGTTCCTTCTGTCTGGGATACTCCACCCTCAGAAGACATATGGCTCACTCCTTATGTTCTTCTGGGGTCCGTGCAAATGTCACCCTTTCAATGAGGACTTTACTGACCACCTTATTTAGAATAGGAACCCCATCACTATCTATCCCCCTGTATCTGCTTGATTTTTCTCTATAGAATGTATCACCATGTGATATACACTTACTTGTTTATTTGTGTATTTCGGTCTCCTGTCACTAGAATGTAAGCCCCATGAGGGCAAGGATTTTGTTTTGTTTTTCTGCTGTGACCAGAACATTCAGAAAAATGCTTGACACACAATAGGTGCCTAATAAGTATTTGAAAAAAAAAAATGAACGAGCAAAGGTTCATTATAATGCAAAAAAAATGATTTTTTTTAAAAAAAAGAATAACCGGCCGGGCATGGTGGCTCATGCCTGTAATCTCAGCACTTTGGGAGGCCAAGGTGGGTGGATCACCTGAGGTTGGGGGTTCAAGACTAGCTTGACCAACGTGGAGAAACCCCGTCTCTACTAAAAATACAAAATTAGCTGGGCGTGGTGGTGCATGCCTGTAGTCCTAGCTACTCAGGAGGCTGAGGCAGGAGAATTGCTTGAACCTGGGAGGCAGAGGTTGTGGTAAGCCAAGATCACACCATTGCACTACAGCCTAGGCAACACGAGCAAAACTCCATCTAAAAAAAAAAAAAAAAAAAAAAGAATAACCAATGAAATAGGAGGAAAACCTGGAGGTATTTCAGAAGCCAAAAGAAAAAAAGGGACAAACAGAGTTATCAAATATGTTGAACGCTTCTACAGAGCCCAGTGAGATCACAAAGCAACTTGATCATCAGATTTGCCACCATGAGAGTCATTGCTGACTTGACGAGAGCAATTCCAGAGTAGTGGTGGGAGCAGGAGTCAGAGTGATTAGGGCTGAAGAAAGAATGGGAGGTGAGGGAGTAGAAACTGTCAGTAGGTAATCAACCTGAGAAGTTTTGTTGTGAAGAAAAGTAGACATACAAGGCAGTAGCTGAAGGGGACTATGAGACCAAAGGAGGGTGTGTTATTAATGTCTTCTCTGGATTTTTAAAATGGTGTATTGATTATCATCTGCTGCAGTAATGCTGCTTAAAAAACATCCACAAGGCCAGGCACCGTGGCTCACGCCTGTAATCCCAGAACTTTGGGAGGGCAAGACCAGAGGGTCGCTTGAGCCCAGGAGGTAGAGGCTGCGGTGAGCTATGATTGTGCCACTGCATTCCAGCCTGGCAACAGAGCAAGAATCTGTATTTTTAAAAAGTAATTAATTAATTAAAAATCCACAAAAATCTTAGCAGCATTGGACAACACACATTCATTTATTCTCTGTCTGGAGTCATTAGCTAGGTGGCTCTGCTCCATGTCTGAATTTTGGCTGGTTGTTGGTTGATCTAGGCTGTCCTCAACTGGGATGACTGGGATGACTTAAGCATGGCTCATGTCCCTTATTCTCTAGCAGGCTAGTCTAAGCATGTTCTCATTGTGACGTCTAGAGCATGACACATAAACAGAAACAGGCGAGTCTTCCTGAGCCCTAGGTTCAGAACTGGCACACTGCCACTTTTTCCTCATTCTGTTGACCAAAGCAAGTCAGGAGCCCAAACTAGAGTCGAAGGAAGGTGTGATATGTATTGTGAAATATATATTTGGTTTTCCTCCCATTTCCTGACATACAACCCCTAAAATCTTTAGAATCTCTAGCTGATGTCTTTTTGTATGCTAATGACGGCTGGGAGCCCCTAGGCAGCTTCATGATGAGGACTGTCACTGGAAAGACCAAGGCAGATTAGAGGGTTGGAACTTTCAGCCCACACTGGCAACTCTGGGAAGAGAAGAGAGGTTGAAGGTTAAAGAGGATCACCAATGGCCAATGACGTAATCAATCATACTTATGTAACAAAGCCTCTATAAAAACCTAAAAAAACAGGGTTTGGATGAGCTTCCAGATAGCTCATGTGGAGTTTCCTGGAGGGTGTTGGGCCAGGAGATGGCATGGAAGCTCCAGGCCGCTTCCCCTTACCTCACCCTATGCATCTCTCCGTCTGTATTTTTTGTAATAATCTTTGTAATAAATCAGTAAATGTGTTTCCCTGAGTTCTGTGAGCCATGCTAGCAAATTAATCAAGCCCAAAGAACCCTGTTTTATAGTTTTATAACCAGTTGGTCACAAACACATAGGTAAAATAAAATATCCTGGGGCTTGTAATTGGCATTCAAAGTGTGTCGGGGCAGGGGGCAGTTTTGGGGACTGAGCCCTCAACCCACAAGATCTGATGCTATCTCCAAGTAGATAGTGTCAGAATTGAATTGGAGGACAGCCAGCTGGTGTCCACTGCAGAACTGATCAATTGCTTGCTGGTGGGGAGAAATCCCCACACATCTGGTGTCAGAAGTGTGTTGTGAGAGGATAGTGAAAGAAAGATTTTTTTTTTTTTTTTTTTTTTTTTACTTAGGAGGTATTTCAATTACTATTGCAATGAAATAAACTATCCCAAAACTTAGCGACATGAAATAATCATTTCATTATGCTTATAATTTCTTTGGGTTGGGAACTCAGACAGGACACAGTGGGCTTGGCTTGCCTCTCTGCTCCATGATATCTGCAGCCTGAGCTGGGAAGATGCAAAGGCTATTGGCTGGAATCACCTAGAGGCATTTTTAGTTATGTGTGACGGTGATGTTGGTTGTCAGCTGGAACTATAGCTGAGGCTGTTGCCAGGTCCATGAGTGTGTGGCTCCTCCTTGTGGGTGAGGCTTTCTCACAGCTTGGCGGCCTCAGAATATTTGGACTTCTTTTTGTCTTCGTTGTTTTTTTTTGTTTTTGTTTTTGTTTTTTTGAGATGAAGTCTCGCTCTTTCGCCCATGCTGGAGTGCAGTGGCACGATCTTGGCTCACTGCAACCTCTGCCTCCCAGGTTCAAGTGATTCTCCTGCCTCACCCTCCCTAGTATCTGGGACTACAGGCGCGTTCCACCATGCCCGGCTAATTTTTTGTATTTTTAGTAGAGACAGGGTTTCACCATGTTAGCCAGGATGGTCTCGATCTCCTGACCTTGTGATCTGCTCATCTCGGCCTCCCAAAGTGCTGGGATTACAGGCATGAGCCACCTCGCCCAGGATTGGACTTCTTAAATGGCAGCTCAGGGCTCAAAAGGCTAGTGTCCTGGTGAACAAGGCCAAAGCCATGTCACCTTTTATGACCTGTCACACTGTATCACTTCTTACACATTTTATTGGCTATGAACTGTAGGGGAGGAAAAATTCCTTTTCTCACCCATTGCAAGGGTCATGGCTGACACCCCTATAACAAAAGACAAATAAGAGAAAAGCATACAGATATATTTAATATAAGTTTTATGTTACATAGGCGCCTCCAGAGAGGAAGACCCAAAGACCCAGGGAAAACTGTGGACAGTCACATAGAAATATGATTAGAAGACAAAAGGATGTGATCTAATGGCAATAAACTGGGTGAGGTGGGGTGAGACTTTAGCAAAGCCTTTTTCATTCAGACTCTTCTTGACCTCTCTGTGTGACATTTCTTTTCTCCAGGTGTAGGTCAGGACACCTGCCACAGGAAGGTCTTCAGGGGAGAAAGGGTCAGAGAATGACCTTCCTATGTTTTATGTCCTGCTTTATGGAAGGAAGAGTGAGGGGAATTTCAGTTTCTATGACCTGCTTCAAAAGAGAGGGGACAGGAGCAGGTCAGAGAGATCTTCCTGCTTCCGCAGATTTTGTCAATTTCCTTAAATGGAAACTACTTAGTATGCCATGGTGCCATATTTTGGGGGTAGCATTTCCTGCACACCACCAGAAAGAACCAATTATCAAGGCTGCTCTAGATTCAAGTACAGGGGAATTACACTCCGCTGCTTGACTGGAAAGCAGTAAGTTTAAGAAGAGGTGGGAACAGACACATGTGCAACTGTGAAAGAAGATCCAGCAGTTTACTTTGTGATACTTTTTGGGGGTCTGTAAACCAAATTGTACTTCACTGGATGTTGCTCTTCCCTGTCTAGTCATTCTACCTGAGAGCAGTTGACAAAGACTATAAGGCTCTTTACCCTATCCGCCCCCACCAAAAAAGGTATTTTTCACATGAGAATGGAGGCTTCACAATAAAGATTTCATCCAAGTTGACTCTATGTGGTTGATTTTGAGGTAAAGTCATTGAAGATGCTCATAGGCGTGGCTGCTGTGAGAAAGCTTCTCTATATTTACAAGCTATAATACAGAGAATATACCTGCAAGTCTCAGCAAGCACAGTGTTAAAAGGGGTGATTCTAAATGTCTGAGTCAGTGATATCCAGAGCCTTCTCCTGGGACATTTCTAGGGTGACCTTGACATCCAGAAACTCCAGTGCAGCAGTGCCTCACAGACTATATTTAACTTAAGATTAATTTTGCAAGGCTATGATAGGTCTTTGCAAGTATTTGATCATGCAGTATAACTTTGGCCATAGATATCTGCATAGGACTGATTTCATTTCTTAAATTTACATGTAACTTATGCCATTATTTTAACAAATCACATTTATATAGGTTTGTATGCTAAACCTAAGCAGCTAGAAAATAAACATAACTTTTAAAAGTAGGTTTTTCCTTTTCTTATAGGTTTTCTGAACTAGACTACTGAAGATAAGACCACTGAAAATAAGTTGACATCTGTTATAAATTTATACTATATATTTATGGTATCTAAAACCATGTACAACTATATATAATACAATAAATATATATGATAAATTTTATGTATATATTATATATTATTTATACATTATAGATTAATATATATTTAATATATTTTAAACCAATTCATTTTAAAAAGAAAGTTTCAATTATTTTGTGTTACATATCAGCTGTAAATAAAAAAGAAATACTAAATTGTTGAAAAATATACTATTTTAAGAATATGGATTTTTTATGAGTAAGTTGAGGTATTTATACATATCTCATTAAACATTATTAATATTTATAAAGTATTTTATAGTTAAAAAAGTTTTTTGAATGATCCTCCACATAGGCCTCTGTGGTATGTATGGCAGCATTATTGTTTCATACTTATTTTACAAAGATAAAACTGAGGGTCAGAACATTTAAGTGACTTAGTTTCACAAAGTAAGACAATGGCAGAGCTCAAATTTTAACCTAGTTTCTATTGCACGTCATTAAATGAATTATGTATGGTTTATAAAGGTATGGCTAAGTTTACATGTTTCTATACATGTACGCAATCACATGGATCAATTTTATGTAATCCACAATTACATATCAATTTATGTATATGTAGAAATGAATACACTAATAATTATTTAGATTTTAAGCAAAAATACTCACATACTTTTATAGATACAAACATATACCTATTTTTCATCTACCTATCTCTCAGACTTCCATGTGCTGACTGAAAATGTTTGCATCCAGTAAACATTTTGATTAGATAATTTTTTAAGGATTGTAGATAATGAAGATGGCTTTAGATTTTTGAAAGTTTAACGTAGAACTTTAACATTCAAACCTGGCATTCTACTCACTCTCTTTTTGGAGCTAATGGAATTCAGCAGTTAACATTTTATGAAAATGTATGAGGAAGTGCCAAGACAAAGAAAGTTGTGTTTATACATAATCCACCCTTGACTTCCACAAAGCTTTGATATAATGGGCAACATGTAAGACTCCTCCATAGACTCAGGGGCAAAGAAGTTAAGACTAAAGCCAAATGGCCAGGCATAAAAAAGGTAGTGTGTGTGTCTAAGTGGAAGGGAGATGGGAGATGTTCTCAAAAGCAGAGAGGGTCTCCAGGAATAGTTTACTTTTTAATAATAATACCATAATGATCCAATGGGAGGAAATAGCAAAGAGGAAGGAGAGTCAATGATACTAAACTACAAAAGCTCAGGCCTAAACTCATGAAATGCAAATGTACTTTTTTCCCCCAAAGCACCTGAGGAATAAAGTCAAAAAAAGAGTTAAGATCATGCGTTAGTGGCTGGAACACATGAGACAGTTTTATGTATCTTTGACTTACCACAGCTCTAGGCTTCTAAGCCATTCTAAGACACTCTTTTTGAAGGGAAACACTACATTAAATGTGCACGTTGACTCTAGAACATATTCTGGTTGCAGAAATGTAAAAATATGTGTGTTGGGGGTGGGGGTAGTGCATCTTAAAATTGAGGAAATAAGGTAAATATTTTCCTCGAACCATTTAGAATAAGAGAGAAGTATTTGGTGAATAGCCTCAAATGATAACAAGGCTTAACAGAGAGCAGAACACTCAGTGAGGTACAATTAAACAAGCAGTTAAATAATCTAACATACAAGTGCTTAAACAAACAATCACAGACTGTCCTGTCACTGCTCAGTGTGCAGAGCATGAGTCAGAAGAAATTATTTCAGCGCCATTGAAAGGAAAAGCCATGTTGTGCTCAATTCTGGTTGACTTACTGCAAATAAGGATATTAGAGAAAATGAGACGTTTATGGCAGAAGGTAGATAAAGGTATTCAGTGACTCAAGGAAATTAATTATAGAGGAAAAATTAAAAAAACTAGGTGTGCCTGTGATGACCTCATTGAGGTAAGCTAGGATGACAGCTGTTGCAAGGGTGGATACCCTGAAGGGATCTGCATTGATTACAGCTCTAAAGGAAAGCATACTAGTCCTCAAGAGAGGCAGGCATGAGCAAAATTTAATTGATAGCTCTCATCCATCCCTTGATATTAGTTAATATAGGAAAGAAACAGTTCTGATAAGTGATTAAGATGAATGCAAACAATCTAAATATGGACCTGATTAAGAATTCAGACAGAAAAATAAACTATTATGGAGGCACATCTTTTAACATTTACTTCATCTGGACTTTTGCTGACCCTGAAAAAATTCTTTACTTAAGGAGAGGGGAAAAAATGTACCCTCTTATTGTCTAGAACTGGTGTCTGAATTCAGGCTCTAAGTTGACTTTATATCCAACAAAGTTTTAGTATCAGGCAAGTTTTTTTTTCTTTGTTTATTCCTGGGATTAAAATAGTACACAAACTGACAAAAGTAGTTCAGACACCACATGTCAGCTGTGACACACCACGCTGTGATTCTCATACTCATCAACCCCTAAATAACTTTGAGACTAGAACTGTGTGACGTCCCTCAGGTGTCTGCTCCCTCTCTCATTTTAGTTATTTGCTTCTAGAGCACAGTGATTTCAGCTTTCAGTGGAAGAAAACAGAAGGGAAAAAAAAAGTGCCCCAACTTTATAAAAACCCAGAATAAACATGAACAATAGGTAAGGTAAACACTCATCTGACTTAAGAGGTTGATCAAGATGGCTCTGCGGAATATTTTTATGATGGTTTGCCAACTGAGATGGTTTGCCAAACCTTGGCATTCAAGAGGCAGATTTAGGCGGTATTAAATAAAAGTATCGGGACAGCCCAGAATTGACCCAGAAAATAACTCAGTGAAACACAAATGCTCTTAAAACCTCACCATCCTGTGATTGAGAGTAAGGTCACATTTAACAGTAATGGCTGATATTCCTGGAGTAAAGAAGGATTTTCTTAAAACAACATTACATAATCTAGTTCCTAAAAAGTTTAAACCTTTATATAACTAAAGGCAATATTAACAGAGTTGAAGTGAGTGAAAAATGAAAAAATACTAAAATATAGTTTAAACCTAAACAAAAAGGTTATTATCTTAATATAAAAGGCTACTATCTTCATCTATAGAAGTTCTTGCAAAAAAAGAAAAGATTGATAATTGCAGGAATAAATGGACTACTGATAAAAATAAAACAGCTGTTTAATTAGCAATACAAAAGAAAACATTGAAGTAATATGCCCTACCTCTTATGAAAATAAATTGTTAGTACTCTGAACTTGGCAAGATGCAGAGGGAATGAGAAACTCTCTTAGATGAGAGATGAGAAATGAGGTTTTAAATTGGAAACTTTCTGGTGGGTGATTTGGTAAGGTAAATAAAAAAATTTTAATGTGTATGTTTTGCTGAGCAATTCCACTCCAGGGAATATATTCCAATGAAGGAGTTGGATAAATACACAAAGATTATGTGTACATATGTAATAATTTTACAATAATAAAATAATACAGGAAGGTTGAAAATAACTGTAATGTTTATTAGTAAAGTTTCATAAATAAAGCCTGGTAGTTCCATAAAATGAAAAACTGTAAAGACATCAAAAGGATAAAGTGATTATTATGTAGAGTTTTAAAAATATAAGTGTGGTTCAACACTAAGAAATTGAGTAGTATAATTTCCTATGTTAACATTATAAAAGAGTATATGAGCATACATATAAATATTTGTGATAGACCCAACAATGGCCCTCCAAAGGAAATCCAGGAAATGTGAACATGGAGGCAGAGATTTAAATGATGCAGCCAAAAACCAAGGAATGCCAGCAGCCACCAGAAGCTAGAAGAGGCCAGGAACAGACCTTCCCCTGGGCACTCCAGAGGAATGCAGCCCTGTCCACACCTTGATGTCAACACAGTGGAACCACTTCTGGACTTCTGGCCTCCAGGACTGTGAGATAATAAATTTCTATTGCTTTAAGCCACCAAGTTTCTGGTAATTTGTGAAAAGCACAGGAAACAAATACAGATTTTGGTAATGAAAATGTGATGCTGCTGTAATACATAAAAATGTGGAAGTGGCTTTGGAATTTGATAATGGGCAGAATCTGGAAGAATTTTGAGGGGCATGACAGATAAAGCCTAGATTGTTGTAAACAGGCTGTTGGTAGAAAAATGGTTGCTGAGGATGCTGCTGGTGAGGACTAATAAGGAAGTGAGGAGCGTGATAGAGAAAGCCTGTATTATCCTAGAGAATACATATATTGTCATAAAGAGGATGTTAATAGAAAGATGAATGTTAAAGCTGATGCTAGTGCAGACTTAGAAGGAAATGAGACATATGATTTTGTAAACTCCGGGAAAGGGGATCCTTACTATGTAGTGGCAGAAAGTCTAGCTGAATTGTGTTCTACAGTTTTGTATGGAAAGCAGAACTTAGAAGCAACATCCTTTGATATTTAGCTGAGGATATTTCCAAGAAGAATATTGATGGTGAAGCCAGGTTTCTTCTTGCTTCTTGTAGTAAAATGTGAGAAGAGATAAACTGACAGGAAAACTGTTAAATAAAGAGGGACTAGGGCTTGATGATATTGGAAATTCTCAACCTATCAGACTGCAAAGGACAGAAAAAGTAGTATATTCACTGTAAGGAAGGTGTGCTCTGGAGAGAAGGCCCAGGGTGTGGCTGGACAACATTTTGCTGAAGAGATTACGTGAGTGGCTCATGATTCCTCTCAACTATCTGCAGAAGTGAAGAATGGAGATGGGGTGACCCAGGAAAGATCTGTGGGAGACCTTCTTGTCTAATTGTGTGAATTTTATGATATATACAGGAGACCCACAGGTTTTTGAGAATGTTATACCAACATTACCAGTTATATAAACACTGCCAGCTTGAATCAAAAGGAATAAAGGATGAATGGAGGAAGATTGTTTTACTCCCCAAATTCTACAAGCAAGAAACTGGCTGATGAAACTACTCAGCTGCAAATGTGTGTTACCCTTCAAGGAAAAGAAGGTATGGCCCTTAGGGTAGAAACTTGGGCCCAGAGGGTGGAGCCATGGAAATGTCTATTGTATAAAATGTGTAGGTATTTTTACATAAATACTATGTTATATAAATAGTTCATAAATACTATTTTACATAAAACAATATTTATGTAAAAATATCTGCTTTATTAAAAATTTTATCTCATTTTCTTTTATTTAATTCGACACCGTGATTTAAAAATTCAAATGTATTAATATGAACGCATCTAAGCTGATGTTCCCACCTCCCAATACTTCTAGTAGATATTCTTGTATATGTCCCTTGTGCTGGTCAGAGAGTAGCACTCTATGGCAGCAAATGGTAGGATTGTAATTTCTGACGCCCTATTGTCAGGTGGACCATGTGCCTGGTTTGGGCCAATGAATTGTATAAAGAGTAACATATATCATTTCTGGGCTAGGGCATTTAGTTGCCCATGGAGGACCCCCACAAGTACATGCTTTTCACCCCTGGTACAGGGATGAGTCATGTTCAAAAAGAGCCTGCTCTGCCAGCATAGTTTTCAAGAGACTGGATGAGCAGAGAGGCCTCTGCCAATGTGTAATGGAACATGGTATGAACAAGAAATTAACTTGTATTGTTTCAAACTATTGAGATTGGGGATTCTTTGTCTCACAACACAACTGAACTTATCCTGACAGATATATCTTCTAAGACACTTTTGGGGAATATATTTGGGATATATACCGGGGAGTGGAATTGCTACGTATATTTCTAATTTACTGTCAGATTGCTCTCCAGGATGGCTAGCCCAGTCTATACTTTCTATATCCCCTATGCTTGCCAACACTGGGCATTTTCCAGCTCCTAGTTTGTCAGTCTAATTAAAATAAATGGATATCTCAATGTTTATTTCTTTGTTTTTCCCTGATAAAAATTAAGTTAAGCAATTATTATGCTCATTAGCCTTTGGGGTTTTGTTGCCTATGATTTTTTTTTGTTTATATCCCTTGTCCATTTTTCTATCAAATTTGCTGGGTTTTTGTTGATTTGAAGGACTTCCTTTTATTTTATAGATAAAAAAATCCCTTCTCAGATTTAGAAATAACAAATATCTTCTCTCATTCTGCCATATGTCTACTTATGATAACCTCAATTGAACAGAAATCTTTAATACAATCCAATGCGTCCATTTTCTGTCTCATTTTTTTGCACTTCTTCAATTTTATTTAAGAAATCCTTTCCCACTCTTAGGTCACAAAAATATATATTTATGTATTCCCTATTCTAAAGCCTGGAACACTAACATGTTAAAGTATTAAGTGTTTGAGTGATATGATTTCCGGTACTCTTGTTTTTTTATATATATTTTTTCAGCAGTCAGTATGTGTCAGATACTCTGCAAAATATTTATTTTATTTAATTCTTACAGGATTCCTTTAAGGAAGTTGTCATGAGAAATCCCATTTCGCAGAGAAGGAAATTGAGCCTCACAGAGCCATGTAAATTTTTGCAATCATACAGCTAATAAGTGACAGAACTGGAATTCCAATCAGGTGGTCTGACTTCAGAATCCAGCCTCTGAGCCATCACACTCAAGTGTGCTGTTCTCACATATCCTATTCTCAACAGACACACTTTACTCCCTTGAGACCCCTCACGATTTTTGTGTGTGGCATGCTCTGCTGAGTCAATGTGTCTTTGATATTTTTAGGGGCAGAGAAGTGCTTGAGCATGTCCTTTCCTCCCTACTTCTTGAGATAATCCCTTCTCATTCTTCAGTGAAGCCTACCCGCGATGACACTTCACTTAGAACCCTTCCTTCCCCGATCCCCCAACACCAGACAAAGTTAGCAGCTTGTGCTTGGCTCCATGATAGCATTTTGTACGGTGTTGTTGCCACTTCCACTTCTACAGGGCTTCCAATACACCTCAAGTTCCTTGACATCCTGGAGAGAATACAAAAATGGTCTCGCTAAAATGTATTTCCCCAACATCTAGCATAAAACATCTATAGAAACAGGTAACTCTTTGTTGAGAACACACCACACACAACTGTGTTTGATGTCATTGTTCATAGATGTAGACAACAAAAAACACAGATGATAATTACAGGTTGTGATGAAAGCCATGGAGGAAATAAGCCAGGGGATGAGATTACCAATTAATAAAGGAGGCCCCCTTGGGCAGGAAAGACAGAGCCTTCTCTAGAAGGCAGAGTTTGAACAGAGGTCTGCAGGATAGTAATAAGCCAGCCATTAAGAGGATGGGAGACAAAACATCTCAGGTACCCCACAAATATATCTATGTACTATATATTTAAAATTAAAAATAAAAAATTTTAAAAAATTTAAAATAAATTAAAAATTAAAAAATTTTAATAAGTAAATCAATAAATTTAAAAAAGAGAGAATGGGAGACAGAACAGTGCAGGCTGAGAGAAGAGTGAGTACCTGGAGAAAGGGTTGATGTTGATAAGGAACTAAAATGTGGTCATTGTGGCTGACCATAAGCAAGCAAGGAGGAAAGTGGAATAAGATGAAGTGAATAAGGGGGACAGGAGTCAAATTAAGCCAGACCCTGAAGGTCATGGGACTGAGTCTGGTTTTATTCTAAAAACAAAGAGAAATAGAGGACAGTTCACAAGTGCCCCCACTTGATAGTATTTGTAACTTTATGAGTCAGCTCTGGCTGCAGTTTGGAGAGTGGACTAGAGAGGAAGGAGATTGGAAGCTGGGACCTGTGAGAGGCTGATGCCATCGGCCGGAAGGGATGATGGTGCCCTGGGTACCAGCAGTTACAGTGGAGGTGGAGAGAAGAGTATGGATTTAGGATTTATTTTAAAATTAAGAAAGACAGGACTTTGTCACAGATTTGCTGTGGTGATGAGAGGAAAGGTAGGGTTAAAGATGCCCCCCACATCTTTCGCTTGAGCATCTGAGAACATCATGGTAGCCAGTCCTTATTTAATCACCTGTATGTGTTACAGTAATGGTTCATATTTATCCAGAGTTTAATGTGTGCCATGTATGTGCTTCACATGTATTATGTCATTCTTCGCAACATCCGTATATGAGGTAGGTCCTGTTATTATCGCTGTCTTAAGGATGAGAAAAGTACAGCTGAGCAAGGTTAACTTCCCCAAGTTCCAAGACTTGTTTGCAAGTGTTGGAACCAGAGTTTAAATGCAACTACTCTGAACCTGGAGCCTCCTTGGAAAGACAATGAATAATCATACTTCAGGAACCTGTTATTCCATATTTGAATTGCCAAAATTTGTAATGCTAGCTTCTTTGTTGTCCTCAAGTTGATTCGGATGGTGACCATTTTGCTGCAGTCTCTATCCTCATCCAAGTCATAGAAGAACAAGAGAAGTATTGACAAGTTATTGTTCTATTTTTGCTAAAAAAACATAGTAATGCAGATGAATTGGAATTAGAAGTGGAAATAAAATTTGAGGATTTTGTCTGAATTTTATACATACCTCTCTAATTAATATAAATAAGATATTTAATCATATATAAATTTAATCTACATTAAAATGATTTTAGAGATGAGCGCTTTGGGTGCAGTTTCTCTTCACCCATTACTAATTAGAGTTAGGAGAACACTGTTGACATGAATCAGAGTGTATTATTTTTCTTTTTTTGAGACAGAGTCTTGCTCTCTTGCCCAGGCTGGAGTGCAGTGGCACAATCTTGGCTTACTGCAACCTCTCCCTCCCAGGTTCAAGCGATTTTCCTCCCTCAGCCTCTCGAACAGCTGGGATTATAGGCACCCACCACCACACCCAGATAATTTTTGTATTTTTAGTAGAGACGGGGTTTCACCATGTTGGCTGGGCTGGTCTCGAACTCCTGACCTCAAGTGATCCATCTGCCTTGGCCTTCCAAAGTGCTGGGATTGCAGGAGTGAGCCACCGCACCTGGCCCAGAGTGTATTATTAAATACAACATTACTCCTACTTTATTGGATTGTTTCTTTTCCGACACTTCTGGAACTCCTCCTTCTCCCCACTCAGCAACTCATGCATCTTTGACCCATGACTCTGCTTTTTCCACACTCACTCTTGATATCACCGGCTGTGTGACTTCAATTCTCTCCACCTGCCAGGTCCTGACACCCTTTTTGCCTTGAACTCTCTCAGAGTTCTGTGCCGCATTTCTTGTCCACTTAGCTCCCAACAAGGGAGGGAGAAGGGAAAGAGTGTGCTTTAGGGAGGGAGGAGAGTAGGCATGGTGAGAGATGACAATGACAATGGTGATGATGATGATGACATTTATTAGCCATAAGAGGAGAAAAGCCAAGTCAAAATCCTATTTAAGATATTTAAGGTAAGTTTTGCCTGTACTCTTTGTGCAGGCCGTGTGAGACAAATGAACATTCAGATTCTGAACACTGATCTGTTACTGTTTGTAGATAGAGTTCACTGTTCTGTGCTCAATTTAATATTTGTAATTGAGCATGCATTGCTTAGGGGCCATAATCCCTGTATCTAACTCTCTAAGTCCTATCCTTTGTATACACAGAGAATAAAACATAGTCTAGCCAGGTGCAGTATGGGAAAGGCCAGTAGAAGTCACAGAGGTATGCTTGGCTGTGAGGGTTTATAGGATAAAAGGGGGAAGAAAGTCCTAACTGAATACTCACAGTTAAGAAGACCTCTAAAAAAAATGGAGGTCAGATTAATGCCTAAAGGAAAGAATAATTTTTTTTTACACTATCTCCAATTCTTCTGACTCCCGCCCCCTATACCAGGGTGTCCCTTTTAGAGAATAAAACAGGTAGCAGGATCATAACGCTAGAATACAGAGAGAATTAAAAAACAGAAGAGGGGGAGGAGTGAAAGCCACTGACTAATTAATCCTCCATTTTTCACATCAGGGAAAACCTTGGCATCCAGTGATGATGAATCAATGCTGCTGACAGATGCATCGTGTTGGGATCCCAATCATCTAATTCTTCCATCAACAGAAATGACAGGTAATTACCAGATTATCGGAAGGTTTAAAAAAAACAGGAGAGAATACCACACAAGCACTAGTACCATTGCCTGACTCATCCTGTTTAAAGATTTAGGACTATCTTCTGAATTGATCCACACTCCTGGAGAGGACTGGGATGAGGGTGGAAGGAGTCAGTTAAATACTGCAGGTCAGTTCCTCTTAAGAGAGAACTCTTTTTTGATTAGCAAAAACAAAACAAGCCAAAAAACCTCTGAAGGGTCATGGCATTTGGGGAAAGATAGGTCTTAAGATGTGGCCAGTTATGAGATAAGGGTAAATAAGGACAGCACTGAATTGCTCTGCATAAGAAACTGGGAAGAACTTTTAGTTTCCAGGGACAGGCATAAGAGAGGGGCTGAGGAAGTCTAGAGATGGAAGAAGATGGAAGACCACCATCAAGAAAAAGTCACAAAATGAGAAATTCTCAATAGTACAAATAGCCAAGGAACTCTTAAGAACTCGATGTCTAATATTAATCTTATCTGTAGTGCTATCACTCAGTGTAACTACTCACCAAATCAACAGTAAAAGTCTATTACACATGGACCTTTGATAAGTGTCTTGTTTGGACTATATTTTGAATTAAAAACAGAGGGTTCTGTTCTATGTTGGGCCAACAAAAGAAAGAGAAGGGAGGTCAGAGACAAATGAGATAAAAAAATCAGTTGAAACTAAAAATTCAAACTAGATATAATTATAAGAAATAAGTCCCACAGTATCCTTAAAGATACTAGGTTGCTCAGTGCATTTTCCTCCACAGTGAGATGGAGACTCAAATTGTCTAAAACTTAAATGTTAAAAACCCTTTAAGGCTACAGGGAAAAAAAATACAGAAGTAAAGAAAGAAAAATGCAGTAGTGATATGTTCTGTTTGTTGGTGTTACAATAAACAGTTAAAAATAACTTATTTTTTCTGGTTTTCTGAAATGTATATACTAACTGTTCATTGCTTTAAAATGGAAACAATTGTTTTGACTTAAGAAGATGCTCTATCTTGTTTTCTGAATAAATGTGGAGAAGAAAAAGTAAATTATTCCCCAAAGGTGGTTTATGCAGACCCTGTACTGTGGGCACAGTTTCCTTAATGTTCACCCTAGACCCAACTGTTGATTTTGAGTATTACTTGCAAAATAAACAGTGGGCCAAAAGCAAAACATTGACAAAATTGAGGTTGATCTGATTTATTCTAAAAGCAGAGACTTGCCTAAGGCAAAATTCCTTAGGTAAACATTCCAACAGCAGAAAGACCGCTATGAGCTTGTACTTAAACCAGGTGAATTTTCATTCATAAAATTCTTTCCTGCTCCTATTACAACATCATGAAAAAATGAAAAACTGCTGCCCTTGGACTTTCAATTTAGTATTTATGTGCTTTGTAGGAAATAAGTGACTGTGTGAAAAATGTATAAGACACTCAATTAATTTTTGTTCATGTGGTAAGTTTTAATAAATGTATTTGAAATCACATTGAACCAACATTGGAAATCAAGTCTTAATTTTAAAAAACAGATTTTGCTGTCTATCTAATACATGTTTAGATATTTTTAGATGGAAGGTCAGGCTATTATTGATCTATGGTATATAAATTTGTTGTTGTTTCAGTGTTTACTAGTGATTGATAAATTTCATCTCATATATCAAATCTCTCCTTTTCTTTTCCAACCCTTTGCTCCAAGGAGGTCAGTCCACCTAAACATTTTTTCACAAGAGTAGTGCTCATCTATTTCTATACAAATCAGTGGTCTGGTTTTCCTCTTGTTAATTTATAAACAATATTTTTCTGCATTTGAATTATGGTGTTTTCAAAAATTAAGTTTCCAAACTTTTGAGAGGGAAAATAAAACAAATGCCCAATGGCTCCTTATTCCCTCTCACATTAAGTGCTTAGTACATTTTTCAATAGCCTCGATAGTCTACGTTCCCCGCACTCCTCCACACTGTGCTTCTTAGCCAACATACCTATGTTTCCAGACAGAATACGACAACATAGCATTTCAGCTCCTCTTCATTCCTTTGCTCATGATGTTCTTCCCAGTGCCTTGTTTTCCATTCTTGGCCTGAACTTTTATGGCTCAAGGTCTCTCATGAGGTGGCAGTCAAGCTGTGAGCTGATGCGATAGTCATCTCTAGCCTTGACTGGCGTTAAGGAATCCACTTAAAAGCTCACTCACATGGTTACTGGCTGTTGGCCGAGGCCTCCATTCCTCACCACATGGCCTCTCCATAAGCTGCCCAAGTGTCCTCACATCTGGCTTCCTCCAGACTTATTAATGAGAGAGAGAGGGAGAGAGAAAGGGGAGGAAAGAGTAAGGGAGAGAAAATAATTTTTAATGAGAGAGAAAAAAAGAGAGAGAGGATTAAAAGAGAGTGAGAGAGAGAATAAGAGAAAAGCCACACAAGAAAGTGAATACCAGGAGGTGGGGCTTCCTAGGAGTCATCTTGGGGGCTGGCTACCATAGCTACCACACTTAGAAGCCCAGACTGGGGCCTGGCTTCTTGTAGTTCTTTAATCATCACTCTTTCATGATTTCTTTCTTCTCAGAACATCTTTAGAACAAATTCTCTGCCACAGTTAGGTTTTAATGATGCCACTTTCTGAAATTTTTAAATTTGTTTCACTTTAATCTTTTCTAGTGCAATATAAGCTCCTTAAGTATGATAACTAAGGCTTACTTCAATTATGGAATACACTTATTTCATAATTCCTATCTCATTTTTAGCAATATCAGGCTTAATAAATATTTAGATGAGTCTACTTTAGGGTAGCCTTGTTCAGTGGTTGTGAACACTGGATGGCTATTAAAATCACCTGGGGAGCTTTTAAAAAAATACTGATGCACAGGTGAAATTCCCAAATGGATATTGGTATTTGCTTAAATGACTCCAACATGATTCCAATGGGCAGTCAGTGGCTTAGAATAAATACTTTCTGCTTCAATTATAAGATTAAAGGGAACCTATTTTCAATTATGTCTTTTTGTTCATTATCCTGAAATCTCACGAAACAAAATATTTGAAACTTTTTATACAGTTCTCTTAATTAAAATAATTGAGATATTAAGTTTGCCTAAGCCCATTTGTGAAACCAGTTTCATTCACATATATAGTTTTTTTCTTCATATTATGTCAGAAATAGAAATTTGCATAATTACTTTGCTAAAATGTGCAATTACCATGTCATCTAATAGAAAAATCAAATCACCAAATATAATTAAGAAACAATTGCCCAAAAAACAAAAACAACCAAAATGGCTATAACTGCAGTTCAAAAATTATTTCCCATAGACAATTAAAATTGATAGTTTGAAGATTGCTTTCACCCCAGCCATTTAGGATCTGTCAGAAGAGAAAGTGTAAATTTCAGTTGAAGTTCTTAAATCTCTTCCTTTCTTTTACATTTTCCATGAGGCTTTTAAATTTCCCATCAAT
Source organism: Homo sapiens (assembly GCF_000001405.40). Lineage (NCBI taxonomy): Eukaryota > Metazoa > Chordata > Mammalia > Primates > Hominidae > Homo > Homo sapiens. The sequence goes on along the minus strand of NC_000002.12, from coordinate 67,435,143 downwards.
TCTGCATCCAAAAGCTCAAGGTCCACCCTCCCCAACCACAATCCACAATCCTGAAAAGGATGGAGTAAAAGGAGCGGAGCCCTTCTGATACAAAAGAGTTTTTCAAAGACATGGCTTCTGTGGCTTGAGACGTCACAAGAAAAAGAGATTCTTTACTGCCTGGTTAGAAAAATCAGCTGTTTTCAATTGCTTATTTAATGTTATTAGACTTAGTTCTTTTACCTCTCTAATTCTCATCCCCTAATTTGAAGAAATAAGTCATGGGCTCATTTACCTCTTAAAAATAAGATGTTTCTGGGCTAGAAGGAGCTCCTTTGAAACTGTTAACTAATTCAAGTCAGAGGCTAAGGTTTAGGTCAATGATTCTCAAATGCGGTGCACATCCTTTACATTTTTTGTAAAGTATTTATCTAGGTTCTATACCAGTCCTAATCAGCATCTTATAAAATTTGCACCTATGGGCACTGAGAGATTTTAAGACAGAACTAAGCTTTTCTCTGCATCTTGGCACCTGGGGTATTTCTGGAATCCTCTCCCTGTCCAGCATAAATAGATCAGACTAACAAAAAGTAAATGACTGTTGAAAGCAAATTGAGACAAAGTAAAATTGCAACTCTTAAACAGAAAATAGAAATTCTGTTTATCATTGGTGTTTCTGATTAATAGATTAAATAATGCAGAATTATAGAGTTTATAATAGTGCTTAAGAGGAGACCAAAACAGAACTCACCCAGAAAATTTTCTCCTATATTTCTAAAGCAATCCAAAAAATCTCCGTCATGCTAAAATGCTTAAAAGCCAAATTTCTGCACCACAGACAAAAATGAACAGGATTTGACATCATACATTTTGCCTTCTTACCTTATTTTTAGCCTCATGTCAAACTGTATCTCAATTTCCTCTCATTTAGGCCAGATTCTTTTGGTCTCAATTTATTGAAAGCTTAATTTTTAAATAGGGACTTTATATATTACCTCTAAAGTCACTAGTTTAGCACTTTAATTCTCCTGTTTCTTGTTGGATTTTATAAAATAGAACAAAATGCAGTAAGTTGTTTACACAATTGTCAAAACATTCCTGCATAAGATGGCAATGCTGTCAAAATAAACTATTAGCCTGCAAGCGGGTCCAGAAAATGAGTACCTCAGTTGTCCATTCAACTGATGAATGAAAATCTGTTGGGCATAGAATTCTAGGAGTATTAATGTGTAATACGTGAAAGTACAGGTTTTAAATATGCACCCTGCAGAGAAATTTTCCCCCAGTAGTTGAGATATAATTTGTTACAATTAAACGTAGTTACCATGTTACCTAAATTCATTTATTATATATTTTATTCTAAATATTTGACTGGTTAAGAAAACCAAAAAACAATTGTGACTTAAGAAAACTAAAAAACAGTAGTGAGAGATCAGAGATATAACTAACTGAGAGCTTCTTAAACAGTCAAAAACAAATAGAAATTCAAATGGAATTGTGTTTGAAAAGTATATTTCCTGAAATACGCTTTAATAGTCTCAATTGGAACAAGCTAATGGAGGTAACTTCTACAGTGTTAATATAATGTCTCAAATGAGTTGACATAAAAAATACAAGTGATATTGTAAAGTTAGTATTTTCTCATTTTCTTCCTGGAAATGACCAGAGAAAGAGATGAAATAAACTACCTTTTTGGGGCAAAAGTAGTACTAAAACCATAAACTAAGAAGTAAGTGTAGGGTTCCTGTAAGAGTGGCGATCAAGCAGAGATGTGTGCAGAAGGGACCAGAGAAAAAACATTATAGCTTCAGATCTAAGAAAGAGTCAACAAAATACACCTCTTAAAAGACAGGGGCACTCTCTGGGGTGCAAAATCCAAATGCTTTGTTGAAAACAGTGGGAATAGGATTCATATACCGGAGGCAGGAACTCCCCTGGACCTGGTTTACTTCTGAGAATAAAAAAGATGGCAATAAAACAGGAATTATGCACATTAACTACATTTGGAGAAGGAAGTAGTGAGAGCCAAAATTTGGCAATGTGAAAAACTTCCATAGTGTCTATTCCCATTGTCTTGAGAAAATTAAAGATTAGACAAATTCATATACAAAATTCTGGGTCAGTCCCAGGATAATTCTGCTAACATGGAATGTAGCCCTGAAATCTCATACACAAAACTCCTGAAGATAAACCTATCTTGGATAAATTCATCCACTTTAATCATAAATAATGAAACAAGGAAACACCATCAGAGCCACACAAATATATTACAAGGAAAACGAGGAAAACAAGAGAAATATCTTACAAATGAAAAATATTCGAAAAAAGAAGTTCTATTGTAGCAGAAAAATTGGGACCAAATTATTTACCAGAAATTTTAAAAGTTCAATCAAGCAATATCTTCTATAAAGAAAGAGGATGAAAAAGATATTTAAGAACTCAAGGAAGAGGCCATAAGGCAATAGGAAGAGATAAAATATAAATTCAACTATAAAGTGAAAGAGAAAAATAACAAAACCATTAAGAAAATAAAGGTAAAATAGGAAGAAGTGCAATGGAGAAAAAATGCAGAAAACACAATAATACACATAAAAGAAATAAGAAAAGTAAGGCAATGAAATGGAAATTAAAAAGTAAAATGAACTAGAGGCAAACTGACCCAAGATTTGAATACAGTGCTCCCTAAAAAATTTTTTTAAAACATGTAATTTACAGTAGTTTAAGAATATTTTACTGAAATAAAAGATTTGGATTCATAGAGTGAAAGAGCAATCTTTGTGAAAGAAATATGTATTCAAAATAATAGACCAGGCTCGGTGGCTCACGCCTGTAATCCTAGCACTTTGGGAGTCCGAGGCGGGTGGATTGTCTAAGCTTAGGCGTTCGAGACCAGCCTGGGCAACACCGTAAAACCCCATCTCTACTAAAATACAAAAAAAAAAAAAAAAAAATAGCCAGGTGTGGTGGCACACTCCCGTAGTCCCAGCTACTCAGGAGGTTGAGGCAGGAGAATTGCTTGAAGCTGGGAGGCGGAGGTTGCAGTGAGCCAAGATTGCACCACTGCACTCCAGCCTGGGTGACAGAGCAAGACTCCATTTCTAAAAAATAATAATAATAATAATAAACAAGACACATCCTAGAAAACTTACAGAATTCTAATGAAAATGAAATGAAGATTTGGATAACAAAACATCAAGGGATGGGGTGGGGTATCACAGTGTGCTCAGGCTTTTCCATAGAGAAATTCAAAGCTAGACATTGTATAGGAATCCTACAACATCCTTAGGAAAAGAAAGTGGGTAGAAGGTGGGGAACCAAGAATTTTATACCCAGTAAAACTATGATTTTAAAAATAAAGCAATATACTAAAACCGTAAGAACTCAGAAAATATTGTCCCCATGGGTCCTTCTTGAGTAATCACAAGAATAAGAACATTTATAGAAAAGATGATTGATGACAGCATTTGCTGTCTTAACACTGAGGACTAAGAGTTAAAAAAATATGTAGGAATAGAGTTATAGGGAAGTACAAGCATCATAAGCTCTTGCAGTATAGAAATATATAACTAACAAAAATGGAAAAGGCAGGGGGAAAGAAGATGAGAAGTAGTATAAGCTTTTCTATTTCCTCATCTTTAATAGCTGCAGATCAAAGCACATCACTGAAAGCTAACAAATCATTAGTAAAGATATAATTATAGAGACAGTGGTTAATAGCATGAAAGATAGATAAGATAATCAACCCAAATCAAATGATACAGGAGAGGGAACAGAGAAGGAAAAAAGAAACATCTTTATCATTGCTTATGATAACAACTTAGGTATGTTTAAAGAAATGGGGAAATAGAAGATTAGTGAATTATATGATGTTCTTGTCATAAAGATACTCATTAGAACAAAAATGAAAACTTTCTAATTATTAGGAGACATAAATAAACATATGTATAAAGGGAGCCTACATGAAAGATTTTTAACAGGCATAAAAGGAAAGAGTAAAACTTAACATGACAACTAAGACTAACTACATCTATCATTCATCATAAGTATAAATAAGTTAACTCAGCCATTAAGAGAAAGTGGTACCTAACTCTGTAGGGTAAAAAAGACACACCTGAAATACAGAAGTTCAGAGGGAAAAATAGAAGGATGAGCAAAAGTTTTCCAGGTGAATACATGTAAAGAGAAAGCAAAGGTCACAATTTTCATATCAAACAGGATTGAATTTAGGTTCCAAATCACTGAATAAGACAAAGAAGTTTATTTTCTAAAACCACAGGGTAAAATTCGGAATGGAAATATAATAACAATGTCTGTACACCAAATAATATAGTAAGTACACTGTTCAAAAGACAGAAACTATTGCAACCATCCCCCTTTTCTTTAGGATATAGGAAGTCACAAGAGAAGGTTTATCTCATACTAAAAATGAGATACAGCTGGATAATCTAAAAAAAATACTGTTCTTGAACCTATCAAAGAGTGAGGTTACAGGGCAACCTACTGAGTTGAATTAAAAAACATGAGAAGTTCCTCACACACAAACTGCCTAACATTTGGCAGAGCAGGATAGGAGGAGGTGGCCTTCATTTTGCTAATTATACTCTCTTTTTGTCATCTGTTCTTTTAATTTTTTTCTTTATCCGCCTTCTTTTAGGTTGGGTATTTTTATGGTGTTAATCTACCTCCAGTATTAGCTTTCTAGTTCTCCCTTTTTTATTGAAAAAAAAAAGTATTAGAGTCGGGTATGGTGGCTCACACCTGTAATCCCAAAAGTTTGGGAGGCCAAGACCCGATCACTTGAGGCCAGGAGTTTGAAATTGGCCTGAGCATCAAAGCCAGACCTCATCTCTACAAAAAATATTTAAAACACTAGCCAGCCATGGTGGCACTGCTTGTAATCCCAGTTTCTTGGGAGGCTGAGGCAGGAGGATCACTTAAATACAGGAGGTCAAGACTGCAGTGAGCTATGATGGCACCACTGCACTGCAGCCTGGGCAACAGAGCAAGATCTTGTCTCTAAAAAAAAAAAAAAACACGTATTTTTATTTTTAGTTTTTCTTCTAGGTTTTTCAAGAGATATCTTTAACATCATATTTTGCCTAAATAATTTTGTATTACTTATGTATAAGAAACTTAAAACAGCATACTTTGATTTCCTCTTTTATACTTTATAAATTGGATTTGAATTCTACATATTTTATAATCTCACAATACATTGTTAATATTTTACTTAAGATAGTCAATTATCTTTTCATGAATTTACCTAAAATGATTTGAGAAGACATAGAAATTCTGAACAAACCAATTACCATAAAATAAATAAAATTATTAAATAGCTATTTCTCCAAAAGTACCAGACCATACATTTTCAAAAATGAATTCTGTGAGGAACAAATTGTCTCATGCTATTTAAATTATTTTAGCATATAGTAAAGAAAGAAAATCTTCTAACTCCTTTATAAGGTGGCCATATAATTGATGCCAATGTATAAAATAGATTTCACACACACAAAAACTGGTGACCAATGTCACCCAAAGAATCCCGAATAACATATTAGAAAACAGAATCCATCAAGGCATTACAAGAATATATCAGAGTATGACTGAGTGGGGTTGGATTATCTAGTACAGTAAGTTCTCATTTAACATCATCAGTAGGGTCTTGGAAATCATGACTTTAAGCAAAAGCACTTAGAACAACCAATTTAACCACAGGCTAATTGAAGTAAACAAGAGTTAAGTTCCTACTACATATTTCTGGTAAAAAAGCAGCACCAAACTTCTAAAACAAGACCCAAAACACTTCTAATATTAAACATTGATATAAAAATGAGCTACACATACATTTAAGAAAGATTAATAAATACAAGTAAGATCATTTTTTACCCACTTATTCCAGTTCAAGGTAGCGGGTGGCCAGAGCCTATCTCGGCAGCTCAGGGTGCAAGGTGGGAACCAGCCCTGACCAGGACCTCCTCCTATGGCAGGGCACACTCACACCCACACACACGCTCACTCCCTCTGGGCTCATGTAGACATACAGATTCACCTAAGCTGCACATCTCTGGGATGTGGGAGGAAGCTGAGTAGGTAACCTATGCAGCCATGGGGAGAATGTCCAGACAGTGGCCACTGATGGGAAGTGACTTTTTTTTTTTTTCCCATCAGTGTTATAATGAAACAACATTGAACAAAATGACATTATTCCAGGACCTTCTGTACTATAAGGATGTTTTAATGTTCAAAAATCTAATAATATAAATATAAAATTGAAAACAGAAAAGAAGAGATAACTCACAAAAACTTCACTTGTTGGTAATAAAAACTTTAAATAACAGTGGCTTACATAAAATAAGTTTACTTCTCTCTCCTCAAATAGATTAAGCATAAGCAGTTGCTTAATAAACAGTGGTACCTTGGTTTTGAAGAAATTATGGCCCCAGCTAAAATTAGTGGACTCTAGTAATAAAGGTAAAAAGAGATGATAGATATTGGGAGCATCAAATAGTATGTGCTGTAGTTATCTTCATTAACAATGATAATAAGACATTTGAAAAAAAAGCAATATTTGCTTTTTAAGAAAAACTCAATAAGATAAATAGTATAACAAAAACTATTAGCAGTATAAAAGCCTGAAATGTAATTAAAAAGAAAACTGAAAGCATCTTCATTAAAGCCAGGAATAAATGGCTGGGCGCGGTGGCTCACACCTGGAATCCCAGCACTTTGGGAGGGAGGATCACGAGGTCAGGAGTTTAAGACCAGCCTGGCCAACATGGTGAAACCCTGTCTCTACTAAAAATACAAAAATTAGCCGGGCATGGTGGTGCGCACCTGTAATCCCAGCTACTCAGGAGGCTGAGGCAGGAGCATTGCTTGATCCTGGGAGGCAGAGGTTGCAGTAAGCCAAAATTATGCCACTGCACTCCACCCTGGGTGACAGAGCAAGACTCCATCTAAAAAAAAAAAAAAAAAAAAAGGAATAATAAAAAATAAATAAAAAAATGTTTTGTTTTCAAACTTTAAAATGATCTAAACCTATTGATATTAGCACATTCTTTATTAAATTTTCCATTCAATTTTCTAAAATATGGGCAAAATATATTAAAATATTCAAATAATTGCACACACACCACATTACAAGGATGGTAATGCTGACAGAACAGAACTTATGCTTTCATGAGGTACATACGTATAATTTTAATGAGTGTGGCATACTAAAAGGCATAGGCCTATTGATGTGCGGCATTTACACATTAAAAAATTTTAGGTTTAAAGCTGTATTTTGTTTCTAAAATAGTTGAGAATAGTTTAATAAAATTAAACATTTTGTCATATTATTTAAATTCTTTTATTATAATCCATGCTTTAGGTATACCTTGATCCAAATGCTCAAATAATGTCCTGGGGTCAGTCTCTCCATCTGTCTGTCTGTACTTCTGTCTCTCACCTCTGTGTTTCTCTGTTGACTTCATCTTAGCCAAGTTCTCTCCATATAATGAGAAAGATGGATCCTAACATTCCCACATTTACCTCGTTTTCAAGCTCAACCTCTTACAAAAAGACAAGGATGAGTTCATGTCCTTTGTAGCGACATGGATGAAGACCCCACTCTGTTCCCATCTCCCTCACTAAGCAAGAAGCTTGATTATTCCTGCTCCATCACATGCAACCCTTGGGCAGGGAAGTGACCTCTTAATTGACAACACTACCAGAATCATGTGACTTACAAGAGAGGCAGTTTCTAAAAAGAAGAAATACGGACAGACAAAAAAGTAACATTTTTATTTTCTTGAATTAGCTCTTGTCCAAAAAAAAAAGCTCTTTATCATTATTCTAGACTTACTGTTTGTTTTCTGAGACAGCAAGAAACAACACAGTTCCTTTCAACACCAGGCAACTAACTATGTCATATGACAAACATGTTTGCCTGTTTTGAAACGTTGGTTGTGGTCTTTATATTTAAGAGAAGACAATACTGCTGATCAAAGGGGTGGATTACCTTAGGAAAGGATTATTGAAATCTCACATAATTCTCATATTTTTGCTTTGAAGTTGTATATATTCCAAATTAAGGAGAACTAAATACTTTAAGCAACCTATGGGATAAAATATAGGAATAGTTCTATGTGTCTGGGAAATGTTCTAAAATTGGTTAATTAAGCTTAAAATAACAAATAATCGATTCAAATGGTGTCACATGACAGCCAGAAAATATTACAATGTATCCAGAACATTCCCATGAAAGCTCACATATTTAGAACACACATTTCTCCTGCCATGTCAACCTTGGTTATGCACTTATAGCATTTTCATTTCTCTGATGCTGGGTTCTTGATCAAGTTTCTGCTTCTGTTCTGTGTCTAGAACAATCAATGCATGTGTCACAATACTGTGAACCCAGTTGAAAAAGTCAGTTTATAAACTTAACCATGGAAATCTTGGGTTTGAAACCTCTCTATCATTTAGTTAAAAGAGGATAAGCTAAATATTGTGTTACTTTTCTTCTTCAGGTGCCTATGTTAAAAAGGGAAGCTGTGAGCATAAACCTTCAAAGACCTACAGGTAAAATGTACCCTGCATTGAAAATGTTTCTCTAAATAAACATTTTATAATATTAAAATTTTATATTAGAGTTTTTGCCTATTTGGATGACAAATTTTGTCTATTTCCCTCAGCCTAATGAGTAGCTGGGACTACAGACGCATGCCACCACGCCCAGCTAATTTTTGTATTTTTAGTAGAGACAGGGTTTCACCGTGTTGGCCAGGCTGGTCTCAAACTCCTGACCTCAAGGGATCTGCCCACCTCAGCCTCCCAAAGTGCTGGGATTACAGGTGTGAGTCACCACGCCCAGCCACAAAACCTCTTTTTAAAGTTGACTATTCAATTTATAGGTCCTCAACTTTCACACATATATCCTATATGTTTTATGAGGAAAAAGAAGGGATAATTGTAGGCAGTATTAACATAATTAATGTAACACAAACAAAATAACCCAAACAAGATTGTATGTAACAAATCAGTTAAAAAACCAGACACACCGAAAAGCACTTTTAACAGCTACCATACCCTGCAACAACTATATTGACATCAAAATGGTTTTGGGCTTATTTGTTTTAAAATAAGTCAAATCTGATTACATATTAGAGTAGCTGCTACAAGACTGAAAAGAAAAGCCTCCACGACAAAATAAATCAAAGGCTATATATTGAAATAGAATGTGCATAAAGAGGGAATTACATTACACTGAAGTATAGCAGTAACTGCTCTGCTCATATAAAGAATTGAGGGGGCAGGGGGAGAGAGAGCATCAGGATAAACAGCTAATGCATGCAGGGCTTAATACCTAGATGATGGGTTGATTGGGGCAGCAAACCACCGTGACATACGTTTACCTATGTAACAAACCTGTACATCCTACACATATATCCCAGAACTTAAAATAAAATTAAAAGAATTGCACCATCAGCATAGAATTGAAAATGAAAGCTTAAGCAAATATTAACAAATAAAGCAGTAATAAAACAAGACAAGTCATAGTTTAATTTAAAATAAATCTGAAATGATAGTAATATTTGTATAAACTCTTTAGTTGGGCAAAAGACTGAAAATATTAAGTTTTAAATTTTTTAGGTTCTTTTTTATATATGTATTAATTAAAATTATATATGTACTTAACGAAAGTCTTCTCTTGGTAAAAGCTAAGAATTCTATCAATAAAAGTTATAGATTATTGCTACCTCAAATTATGGCTAAATGATATTATTATTTTTAATATTTATAACATGAAGCATGCATACTGTAATTATTCTTTTTGTGGGATATAGATTTATACAAAAGTTAAATTAGTCTGAGTGTAGTGGGTCAGGTCTATAATCTCAGCACTTTGGGAGGCCAAAGTGGATGGATCACTTGAGTCCAGGAGTTTGAGACCAGCCTGGCCAACATGGTGAAACCCTGCCTCTACTAAAAATACAAAAATTAGCTAGGTGTGGGGGCGGGCAGCTGCAATCCCAGCTACTTGGGAGGCTGAGGCAGAAGAATCATTTGAACCTGGGAGGCAGAGGTTGTAGTGAGCCAAAATCACGTCACTGCACTCCAGCCTGGGCAACAGAGTGAGACTCTGTCTCAAAAAAAAACAAACAATAAAAAAATGAAAATTTAAATTAGGAAGTGACTATTGTTACAAATATCATCTTTACAGAAAACAATCCACACAATTCCTATAAATGTCAATCATCCATTATGAACTCTAAATATTATTTGGTATTATTACATTTAATACTTCCAGGAAGCCATCTATTATATCAAGTTAACTAGTGCAAGCCTTATAGTTAAAATGTTGGTATTGAATTGAAACATTATGGTTTTCAAAATATATTAACAATAGTAGCACATATACACAAAACCGAGTGTACGCGTGCATGTATGTGTATTGTGTATAAGTGACATGACATATATACAAAACTCAAATGAATCTACTACCTTTAGAGTAATAGAACCTTGAGGGGATCTTGAATATTAATCTTTTTTATTTTTTATAGAGACAGGGTCTGGCTATGTCGCCCAGGCTGGCCTCAAACTCCTGGGCTCAAGTGATCCTCCTGTCTCAGCCTCCTGAGTGGCCAGTACTATAGGTGTGCATCACTGTACCCAGCTTGGATCTCCTTCATTTTCATAGTGAGTAAACACATGTCCAGAGAATTTATTTAGGCAATGAATTAATGGTAAAACCAAAAGTAGCAGTATTTTAAAAGTTAATATATGGATTTATGAATGTTTTGTGTTATTTGGGGCCATGGAAAATATAATGTATTTATCCTAGACCAGGGAGCTTCTCATGAGTAATCAGTATACAGAATACAATATATATATACAGAAATATATATATTTTTTTCTATTGAAAATATCTAAAATTGGCAGATTTGTTTCTAGTATCCAGATAAAGGACCTAATAGACAGACAGTCTGTTAGATAACAACTAAAAACTGATGAAAATTAAAAGTTCAACTACTTTAGGGCTCTACAGAGTCAACAAAAGCAGGCAGATTTTGGAGCGGTGTTAAAACTTGGAGGCAGTAATCTGTAGAAAGAAAGATTCCCCTATTTGAGGTTTTGTGCTAAAGTCAAGCACAACTGTGGCAGAGTGCAAAGTGGCTAAATTACCAAGAAAAAGTCTACCATCTTTCTGTTTAGAGGAACTAAGAGGAGCCAAGGTAAACAGGGCTGCCAGAGAGAAAATATTAGAACAGACAGTGCCAGATAAGGCAAATTCAAAACTCCATGTATAAACTCTGTTCAAATCTCTGGCTGACCCTTGAATGATACATATGCTAAGCTGACTAAAAGGAGTATGAAATCAGATCTGAACTTCCACCATAGTCAAAGCAAAATTTTTTTGTTTGAGTCCAGCCAAATTAACTGCCTACTAAAACAAAAACATCAGCACTCTTTAGAGGAATATAACCAAACCCAGTCTCCAGAACATAACCAACACAATGTCCAGGATACAATCCAAAATGATTTGACATACAAAGAGCCAGAAAATGTGATCTAATCTCCAAGGAAAAGATAATCAGCAAAGGCAAACTCTATAGTGATCAAGATGTTAGAATAATCATGCAGGGCACGGTGGCTCATGCCTGTAGTCCCAGCACTTTGGGAGGCTGAGATGGGCAGATCACTTGAGGCCAGGAGTTTGAGACCAGCCTGGCCAACATGGTGAAAACCCATCTGTACTAAAAATACAAAAATTAGCTGGGCTTAGTGGTGCGTGTCTGTAATCCCAGCTACTTGGGAGGCTGAGGCAGGAGAATCACTTGAACCCAGGAGGTGGAGTTTGCAGTGAGCAGAGATCATACCACTGCACACCAGCCTGGGCAATGGAGTGAGACTCTGCCTCAAAAAACCAAAACAATCAAACCAAAAAAAAAAAAAAAGAAGAAGAAGAATCAGGAAACGACTTTAAAGCAGCTAAACCATGCTTTGTGATGTACAAATATGATGTTTGCATACATACAAATATGTTTGCAATGAATAAAATGATATGAAATATCAGCTGAGAAACTATAAGAAAGAAGTGAAAATTTTAGAACTAAAACTACATGTCTAAAATTTAAAGAATTCATATGATGGGCTCAATAGCTGCATGATAATGATAGCATAAAAATTCAATTAATCTGTGGATCAATTAAAATATTCAATCTAAAGAAGACAGAGAAAATGATAGAAATAAAGTATAAAAAATCTTGGGTACTTGTACTACAAATCAAATGGATAACTGGAGTTCCAGAAGGAAAAGAGTAAAAGAATGGGACAGAAAATATGTGAAACTAAAGGATCAAAAACTTTCCAAATTTAGTGAAAAACATAATTACACATCCAAGAAGTTTAGTGAGTCTCAAACGGTCTAAATATGAAGAAAATCAGGCCTACAAGTATTACAGTTGAAGTGCTAAAGACCAAGCCAAATTGTCTTGGCCAAATAAAGTATTTAATGTTTGTTGATTTTAAAATAAATAATTCTGAAAATATAATTGAGGTGGAAATGCGTTTGCCTTAAATTTTTATTACATACTTATGCACGGCTTTAGGTAAGTATAAAAATGTCATTAAATAATATGTGCAGATAGAATTATATAAAAAACCGAAGGAAAAAATTAGGTTATGGGCATCCTAAAAGTAACACAATTTACTAAAATATATAATAATAAAAAGAAATCCATAAAAGACTACAGGTATATCTCAGAGATATTGTGGATTTGGGTCCAGACAATTGCAATAAAGTGAATATTGCAATAAAGTGAGTCACATGAATTTTTTAGTTTCCTAGTACATATAATAGCTGTGTCTATGCTATACTGTATTCTATTAAGTATACAATAGCTGATAGCAGTGATATTTTGAGAATGGAAAAATAATTTAAAAAGGGAAGAAATAAGAACTTTAAAAAAGTGTACAATAGCATTACGTCCAAAATGCATTGTACACACCTTAATTTAAAAATACTTTATTGCAGCTGGGTGGGGTGGCTCATGCCTGTAGTCCTGGCGCTTTGGGAGACCAAGGTGGGCAGATCACTTGAGGCCAGGAGTTCAAGGCCAGCATGGTTAACATGGTGAAACCCTGCCTCTACTAAAATACAAAAATTAGCTGGGCCTTATGCCTGTAATCCCAGCTATTAGGGAGGCTGAGGCATGAGAATCGCTTGAACCTGGGAGGCAGAGGTTGCAATAAGCTGAGATTGCACCACTGCACTCTAGCCTGAGTGACAGAGTGAGACTGTCTCATAAAATAAAATAAAATAAAATAAATAAAATAAAATAAAATAAAATAAAATAAAATAAAATAAAATACCTTATTGCTAAAAAGGTGCTAACAATTATCTGAGCCTTCAGCAAGTTGTAATGTTTTTGCAGGTGGAGAGTCTTACCTCCACGTTGATGGCAGCTGATTGCTCACGGTAGTGGTTGCTGAAGTTTAGGGTAGCTGTGGCAGTTTCTTAAAATAATAAAACAATGAAGTTTGCCACATCTACAGACTCTTCCTGTCATTAAACATTTCCCTGTAGCATGCAATGTTGTTTGATAGCATTTTACTCACATAGAACTTCTTTCAAAATTGAAGCCAGTATTCTCAAACACTGCTGCTGCTTTACCAACTAAGTTTATGAAAATATCCTAAAACTTTATTGCCATTTCAATAATGTTCACAGTATCTTCACCCAGAAATAGACTCCATCTCAAGAAACTATTTTCTTTGTTCATCCATAAAAACAACTCTTAAACTGTTAAAAGTTTTATCAAGATTGCAGCATTCAGGGACACCTTCAGGCTCTACTGCTAATTCTAGTTATTTTGCCATTCCCACCACTTCTGTAGTTACTTCCTCCACAGAAGTCTTGAAGCCCTCAAGTCATCCATGAGGATTGGAATCAACTTCTTCCAAACCCCTGTTAATGTAGATATTTTTGCCTCCTCCCATGAATCATTAATGTTCTTAATGGCATCTAGAATGATGCATCCTTTCCAGAAGATTTTCAATTTTATTTTGCCCAGATCCATCAGAGGAATCACTATCTATGGCAGCTATAGCTGTGCAAATATATTTCTTAAATAATAAGAATTGAAAGTCATGGTATTCTTCACTGCCATTCACCTGCTGTCAAGAAAAAAAAAAGACACTTCACTTGATGACCATAATTAAGCAGTAATAATTATTAATTTTATCAAATTTCAATCTTTAGTATACTTTTTTAATAGTCTCTAAGATCAAATGGAAAGTACACACAAACACTTCTACATATCAATGTGTCATGGTTATCTCAAGGAAAAGTACTTGGTGCATGCTGAATTAGCTGCTTTTTTTTTTAACATGAAATATCAATTTCACTTGAAAGAATGTCAATATCTGGTTATTTGGCCTAAAATATTTGGTAGACATCATCTCAAATATGATCAAAGTTAATTTGTCACTTCAAGGAGAAAAATGGAAATTATTTTTTGGCAAGGACAAAATTCAAGCTTTCAAACAAAAATTAAAATTTTGGAAAACTTGTATCAGCTATCGGGAAGCTTGACAATTTCCCAAAGCAGTAAGACATTTCTTGAGATCCGTAGTGATAATAAAAAAGGTGATCATATCATGAAATGTGCCAACATTTGGAAGATCTGCATAACTCAGTGAACCTGTATTTTCCAAATAATTGCATGAAGATATTTTACCTATATGTATAAAACCTATTCAAATAAAATGTAGACCAATCAGTTATACAGAGTATGAAAAGTTTATTGGTTTGGTTCAAATTCTACATTGCAACTAACTTTATTTTTCATTGATAGCTTTAACTGAGATATAATTGACGTACGATAAATTTTACATATTTAAATTGTATAATTGGGCTGGGCATTGTGGCTCACACCTACAGTCCCAGCACTTTGGGAGGCTGAGGTAGGAGGATCACTTGAGGCCAGGAGTTCGAGACCAGCCTGGGCATATAGTGAGACTCTGTCACTACCAAGAAAAAAATGTAATAAATAGTACAATTTTATAAGTTTGGAGTATGTATGCAGCCATAAAAACACCAAAAGCAAATAGTGAACATATCCATCAACCCCCAAGTTTCTCTCCTTTGTAATCCTTCCCACTCTCCCCTCCTTTCTTCCCGCATCCTCAAGCAATGACTGATCTACCTTCTGCCAAAATCCATGGCTTTCCATTTTCTGGAGTTTTATATAAGCCATAAAACTATTTTCACCATTTTACCTTCCTAAAGGGAGCATATGAGAGTTCTAGTCCCTCCAGATGCTGCCAACACTGATATGGCCAGTGCTATAATTTGAATATTTGGGCTTCCTTAAAACTCAATTTAAAATTTGATTCCCAATGTTGGAGGTGGGGCCCAGTGGGAGGTGTTTGGGTCATGGCAGTGGATCCCCCCTGGTGGGGGTGAGGGAGTTCTCACTCTATTAGTTCCTGCTAGCCAAAGCTGGTTGTTAAAAAGAGCTTGGCACCTCCCTGCTCTCTCTTGCACTGTGATTTCTATTTATTTAGAGACAGAGTCTCAATCTGTCACACAGGCTGGAGTACAATGTTGTGATCACGTCTCACTGTAGCCTCAAACTCCTAGGCTCAAGCCATTCTCTCACTTCAGCCTCCAAGTAGCTGTGACTACAGGTGCACACCACTGCACATGGCTAATTTGTGTGTGTGTGTGTGTGTGTGTGTGTGTGTGTGTGTGTGTGTGTGTGTGTGTAGATAGGGTCTCACAATGTTGCTTAGGCTGGCCTTGAATTCCTGGCCTCAAATGATCCTCCCACCTGAGCCTCCCAAAGTGTTGGGATTACAGGCATGAACCACCACATCCAGCCTGCCCTGTGATTTCTACATACTGGCTTTCTTTCCTTTTCTGCCATGAATAGAGGCAGCTTGAGGCTCTCACTAGATGCAGATGCTGGCATTATGCTTCTTGTACAGCCTGCAGACCCATGAGCCAAAAAAAAAAAAAAAAAAAAAAATCTCTTTTCTTTATAAATTACCCAGCCTCTGGTATTTCTTTATAGCAATACAGATAGACATGTCTTTTTAATGTTAATCATTCTAATATGTGTGTAATGATGTCTCAGTAGCCCTTATGGAGAAACTCTACTAGGGCAGTGTGGAGGGGAAATGTGGGGTTGGAGCCCCCAACACAGAGTCCCCACTGGGGCACTGCCTAGTGGAGCTGTGAGAAGAGGGCCACCATCCTCCACACCCCAGAAGTTAGATCCACTAACAGCTTGCACCATGCACCTGGAAAAGCCATAGGCACTCAATGCCAGCTCTTGAGAGCAGTCATAGGAGCTGAGCCCTGCACAGGGCACAGCTGCCCAAGGCCTTGGGAGCCCACTCCTTGCAATCAGTGAGGCCTGGATATGAGACATGGAATCAAAGGAGATCATTTTGGAGTATTGAGATTTAATGACTGCTTTGCTGGGATTTGGAATTGCATGGGGCCTGTAGCCCCTTTGTTTTGGCAGATTTTTCCCTTTTGGAAAGGGAGTATTTACCCAATGCCTGTACCCCCATTGGATCTTGGAAGTAACCAACGTGTTTTATATTTTAAAGGCTCATAGGCAGAAGGGCCTGCATTGCCTCAGAGAGACTTTGGACTTGGACTTTTGAGTTAACGCTGGAGTGAGTTAAGACTTTGGAGGACTGTTGGGAAAGCATGATTATATTTTGAAACATAAGAAGGACATGAGATTTGGGAGGGATGGGGACAGAATGATATGGTTTGGCTCTGTGTCCCCACTCAAACCTCATGTTGACTTGTAATCCTCAATGTTGAAGGAGGGACCTGGTGGGAGGTGATTGAATGATGGGGGTGGTTTCTAATGGTTTAGCACCATCCCGCTAGTGCTGTCTTATGATCAGAGTTTACACGAGATCTGGTTGTTTGGAAGTGTGTAGCACCTCTCCCTTTGCTCTCTTTTCTTCCTGCTCTGGCCATGTGAAGGCCAAGCCTGCTTCCCTTTCACCTTCTGCCATGATTGTAAGTTTCCTGAGGCATCCCAAGAAGCAGAAGCCTATACAGCTTGCAGAACCGTGTTAAAACTCTTTTCTTATGAATTAGTCTCCACTAGTTCTTTACAGCAATGTGAAAACAGGCTAATACAGTGTCTTTTGCCCATTAAAAAAATGAGTTGTTTTCTGTCTTATGGTTGAGATTTGGAAGTAATTTATGTATTCTGGATACAGGTCCTTAATCATGATGTAATTTGCCAAGATTTTTCTCTTATTCTATAGGTAGTTGTTTCACTTTCTTGATGGTGTCTTTTGAAACATAAAGCTTTTGATTTAGATGAAGCTCAATTCTTTGTTTTGTCACTTGTACTTTTGGTGTTATAGCTAAGAAACTACTGCTAATTCAAAGTCATAAAAATTTACTCCTATGTTTTCTACTAAGAGTTTTACAGTTTTAGCCCTTACATTAAGTTCTATGATCTATTTTGAATTAATTTTTGTATATGGTATGATATAGGGGGTCTAACTTAATGCTTTGGCATATGGATATTCAGTTGTCTTAGCACCATTTGTTGATAAGACTTTTCTTTCCCCATTGAATGATTTTTGGTACATGCTATGGTTTGAATGTTTGTGCTCTTCAAAACCCATGTTGAAATTTGTCATTTTTACAGCATTAAGAAGTGAGACCTTTAAATAGGCCATGAGGGCTCCACCCTCATGGATGGGATTGGTGCTGTTATAAAAGGGTGACTGGGCCCCTCTTATTCTGTCTTGCCCTTCTTCCTTCCTTCATGGGACGACACAGAAAGAAGGCCGTTGCAAGACACCAGCCCCTTGATTTTGGACTTCCCAGCCTCTAGAATAGTGAGCCAACAAATCTGTTCATTATAAATTACCCAGTCTCAGATATTCTGTTATAGCAGCAAAAACAGACTAAGATAGCAGCCTTGTTGAAAATAAACTAATGAAAAACATTAGTTTAAGGAATACTGAGCTATTTAGGTTATCTATTTCTTGAGTGAGCTTTGGTTATTTGTAACTTCCAAGGAATTTTTCAGTTAATCTATGTTGTCAAATATGTTGGCATTAAGATTGTTCATAATATTCTCTTATCATTCTTTCTGTACAATCTGCAGTGATGTCACCTCTCTTGTTCTTAATATTAGTAATTTGTGTCTTTTCCTTTTTAAATAAATGACTTTTGGAGTCATTCATTTTTCTTTTTTATATTTCGTTAAATCAGCTTTGATCTTTATTGTTTCCTTTCTTCTGCATACTTTTTTATTATGATTATTATTTTGAAATTGAGTCATGCTATATTGTACAGGCTGGCCTCAAACTCCTGGGATCAAGCAGTCCTCCTGCCTCAGCCTCTTCAATAGCTGGGATTACAAGTATGTACCACCACACCTGGCTTTGATTAATTTTAATTCACTTTTCTTTTTGTAGTTTCTTAGACTGAAGGCAGTTTGGGGCCTTTTTTGGGATCTTATTTTTTCAGATAGGTATTTAGCGCTATAAATTTTCCCCTAAGTACTTCTTTAGCAGTACATCACATTCTGTTATGTTTTGTTCTTATTTTCATTCATACCAAAATGTCTAATTTTTTAAAAAAATTTTATTCATGGATGATTTAGAGATGTGTACTTTTCACATATTTAAGGATTTTCTAGGGATCATTTTGTTATCAATTTCTAATAAAATTCCACTGAGAGCAGAGAACATTCTTTGTGTGACTTGAGTACTTTAAAATTGAGAATTATTTTGTGGTCTGGAATATGGTCAAACTTGATAAATGCTTCATGTGCCCATGAGAAGAATGTGTATTCTGTTGTTGGGTGTGGAGTGTTCTGTTATTCACATCAAGTTGGTTGATAGTGTTGCTCAAGTCTATTTTACCCTTGCTTACTTTCCGCTTATTTGTTCTATCAGTTAATGAGAGGGCATATTCAAATCTCAGACTGTAATTGGGATTTGTCCTTTTCTTTTTGCAGTTCTATCAGTGTCTATTTCATGTGTTTTGAAGCTGTTGAGTACACACATATTTGAGATAGTTGTGTTCTCTTGATTGACCTCTTTATTGTTATGACATGGCTTTCCTCTCTGGAAATAATTGCTATAAAATTTATTTTATGTGATATTAATACAGCCAGTCAAGATTTCTTTTGACTAGCATTAGTATGACAAATCCTTGCCACATTTTTACTTTAACCTACCTGTGTCCTTATATTTAGAGTGTACTTCTTGTAGGCACCATATAGTTGTGTACTCTTTTATTAAAATCCAATCTGCCAATCTCTGCCTTCTAATTGGAATGTTTAGATCATTTCCACTCCACATGATTGATATGGTTAGGTTTAACTCTTTCATATTTATATTGGTTTCCTATTTCTTCCACATGTTCTTGTTCCCTATTTTTTCCTGCCTTTTTAAGGATTTTTATTATTTCATTTAATCTTCAGTGTTAAACTACTAGTTATAACTCTATTTTGTTATTTCAGTAGTTGCTTTAGGATTTATAGTATATACTTTAAATTTATCAGTCTTATCTTCAAGTGATACCACTTTATGCATAGTATAAGATGTTGACCACATTATACAGGCTGTTGATGCCTTGCACATGAATGCAGGACCATAAAAATGACTGTGCAAGCTGAAACCATTCAAAACAATCTTAATAATCAATGGGAAAATTTACAATTGTTCCATGACCTTTAAAAATGTTTGTCAAAAAATGAAAAACCATTTCAGTTGTAAATGTATTGAGGAATTAAAACTAGAAAAGCTAATATTTACAATATAAAACATTAGAAATATTGAGTAGTTTTTTGTTTTTTGTAAAACATTTATCAGATAGTTTGAACAATGCTTGCCTTTTTCTTCCTCTCATTAACTAACTTACAATATAAGGTGAGCCTCTTTTCCATGGTATGATGAGTTATACTCCAAGTTTGGTTCAGCTTACAATATTTTAAAATTTATACTCTTAATGTCTTGAAATAGTCCAAAGTCCACTCAATGTGAAGTTTTTTTGCCAATGTCATTTCCTCTGGGACATCTTAAATGTTTTAGTCACAACCACTTTCCCCACTCATATTGTTTACCTTCACTAAGCAACTCTGACTGCATAGACTCTTGAAAGGTGCCAACATTCCCATCAACAGCTATTTTTCCCATACCTCCATTTATGCTGGATTTGAAATTTCACTTTCGATGTTATTGCTTTTTGTTTTTTTGCTACACTTTCATCTTTATTGGTTAGTTCCACCTTTCAAAGATCCATCTTCGTAAAACAGCACATGGGTTTATCAGGAGGCATACAATTACAACCTTTGCTGTGTATGTAATGAATTACAGGTGTGCAGGGACCAATCACAGGCAGATCTTGAATAGAAGTGACATGATTGGTCACTTATGATTCACATCTGTTATTTAGGTAGTGATTTGTGAACTGAGGAAGCTGTAAAGTCTGTACTTCATGCAATTATTCACAGATAATATACTTGTGTTAACAGAAAGTTGAACAGTTTGTTGGGGGAATAGTGTTAGGTAACCAAACCTCATGCATGTCAAAAGTGCAAAATAAGGAATGTCTATTCTTTCATTATTTTCCTTCTGGCCTTTATGCTATTGTCACGTACTTAACTTTGACATGTTATAAACTCCACATTATTATTGTTTAACCAGCCAATTATCTTTTAAAGAGACATAATAACTTTTTGAAACTTATATATTTACCCATGCGTTTATCATTTCCAATTGTTCATCATTCCTTTGTGTAGATCCATATTTCCACTTTCCTAATTGCGCTGATGTATCTTGAAATCCACTTTTTCATGTAGTTTATCTTTTTAAAATTTGGTTATTTCAGCAAGAAGAGTACATGTGGTCCTTGTTATTCCATCTTGGAATACAACTAATTTTTAAGAAATTACTTTTTGAGTGCTGGTGTAATATCAAAGAATATCCACAATTATCTGAAAAGACTATCACAATACTTCATCCTTTCCCAACTACATATCTGCATGGGACTGAACTTTTCTGTATACTTCTACTATAACAATTTTAACAAATTAAATGGCGAAATATATGTGAGAATGCAGATATCTTCTATAAAGTCAGACACCAAAGAGTTGCCAAAAAGTAATGCTATTTTCTTCGCCAGATTTTTGTTTTAGAAAATGTTTTTCATAACAGGCACATTTGTTAACATCTAATGGCTTTTCAAATATACTAATAAATATATCACTTTTAATATGGTAAATATCAACAGATAAAACCCACTGAAGCAAAAGCTTTTTGTAGTCCTCAACTAAAGAGTATAAAAAGGCCCTAGGACTTAAAACGCTTGAATACCAGTACTCTATATAGTGTGCATCTAACCAGAAACCTTAATTTTACTACTTGCATTGAAGTTTTATTAGCAGCTTGAGGTATGCCATTATATCTTGGACTAGGAAATTAATTTTTCCTCAATAGATTCAAAACTAGAACATCCAGAAGTTACTAAATGAAGTGAAATGAAGGCATTTTAAAGTAGCTATGCATTTTATGTATTCTCTATTCTTTTGTTTAATAGTTGAATGAAAATAGGCAACCTCTATGTGGGCTAATACAATCAAAACCTATCCACCTACACACATAAAGTACGGCAATCATCTGTAACAGAAATTGGGATTGGAAAAAGTATTCTCCTGGGCTATAAGAGACCTACAGAATAGTGATGGTATTTTTGGCACAAATGCCCAAAATGCTTTAATTCTTTCCTGATAATTTCCATAGATAACTAGTTCTTATGAATTGTTTCCAGATGATAGTATACTCAGTGGTTAAGGTCACAATATTTGGAATTAAGATTATTTGGGTTTAAACTCTAGCTCCAACTTCTAAATGTGGGATTTTGAGAAAGTCAATCTGATTACTTTCCCTATTTGTAAAATGGGTGTAAAAGTATTATTTTATATGGTTTTGAGAAGTAAATTTAGTTGAAGCCATTTAGCAATGTTATATAAGTCTAGCAATTACATTTATTTTCAATAGTGCCTGCTACAGCCAATGGGCTTTCAAAAGACACATCTGAAATAAAATCCTACATCTACTCATTTATGAGGTCTAAGAGAAGGCAGGAGGACAAGTTTAGTTTTTGTTTTAGGATCCCACAAGTGATTATGATCACACCTGGCAAGAACTGAAATCCATGGTCAGATTCTAAATAATCACTTAACGCTAGTGCTAGGCTTAAATTGTTCCTAGAAACATTTCCCAACCCTAAAACTGAGAGAATCAGAGTCAAATTGTCTCAAGAGGGGGAGGGCAGGATTTCTGCCACCAGATTCTGTCTAAATTCATTCAACATTTAATGAGTAACCACTGGCTATCAGTATCAGGTGGACAGAAATGAGTAAGGTGTCTCTGTTCTTGGTAACTTAAAAGCTGGTGATAATAGGGTAGTATATAAGGCAGTGTTTCCCATGGTAGGATACATGTCTGCATACCACTGTCTGCAGTAAGCAACCCCAATGTTCCTGGGGTCCGAGTCATCTGTCTATAACAGAAAAAGATGAATGAGAGATAAGCTCCGCTTTCAACAGGCTCTTTTTGGAAATAATGGCATTATTAGCATCAGTCTGAGATGCAGAAACAGCAGCGGAACTTTAGGGGGAAATTGCCAGGCTACCAGTTGTCCCTTCCCCAGATTCCCTATAGACTAGGAAAGAGAAAAGCCAGGCAAACTATATAGTCAGCCCTCTGCATGCTCATTTATGGGCCATTCACCCCCTAATGTTTCCAACAAGGGCTAAAGGAAGAGTCAGGATAGGAAAGGAGAGTGGTATGAACAGGAGCAGTGACCCTAAAAACCAGTCATGTGAGGTTCAGATGTACAGGGCCATTACACCTGCCACCACCCAGAAGTGCTATAAAAGTTTTTTTTTTTTTTTTTTTTTTAAAAAAAGGGAGTCACTTAGAGAAAACTATTACGTAAATAATACTATGAGCTGTATAAGAATTTGGCAGAATTACCAGAGACACAAAATGACAAATTATAAAATAAGATTTATACAACTAAACAACACATAAAGGCATTATAGTATTGCTCAATGAAAGACACAATAATTAGTACCATTATGATCAGAGAGAAGCAATCAATTCCAGTGAAGATGGTTAGGTACGAGGTTCAAACAGACTTATTAGGCTGAGTCTAAATGAATGAACAGAATAGGCTAAAAGTACTCTTAAAAAAGCAAGCAGTAAGCAGGGAGGAGCTTAAGCAAGGACAGAGATATCCAAAGCATAGTCAGAACACAGTGAAGCCACTTTTAGTAAAAGATTCTCAGCTCTTTATTTTTGTACATAGAAACTACTTGCATTTATCTAGGTTATTATATATTCCTGGAAAAATAATATAGGTTAGCTAAACTCCAGTACTCCACTGTAGATATGAAAATACCATTTTTGATGTACAGTCTCCAACTTAAAATGGTTGACTTACAATTTTTCAACTCTAACGTGATGCAAAAGTGATATGCGTCCAATAGAAACCATACTTTAAAGTTTGATTCTTTCCCAGGCTAGAGATATGTGGTACAACATTCTCACGATGCTGGGCATCAGCTCAACTGATACTCTACAGTGTGCCGTATTGCCAGATGATGTGCCCAACTCTAGGCTAATATAAGTGATTTGAGCATGTTTAAGGTAGGCTAAGCTAAGCTATGTTGTCTGGTAGATTAAGTGTAGTAAATGCATTTTTAACTTAAGGTATTTTCAACTCATGATGGGTTTATTGGGATGTAACTACACGGTAAGTTGAGGAGTATCTGTATAGCTATAGGGCAGTAACTACCATATTATCACAGCTTTGAGACACTTGATAGTGATAAATGCCACACCATGACAGGTGTTTCATATCTCTAACTTTCTCTAGATCTCCTAAAACCATTTAAGAGGAATAAAGCATCCTCCCTGCCTTACGCCCTCTAGTTGGACTTCTATTACTGGTTTAGCAAATTCCAAATAGGCAAAATGGCAAAAAAAGAAAAAAACAAAACAGTAATAGAGAAGAAAAGATGAGTCAACTAAGTAAATTAATTGAGGGGAAAATTACAGTTACAGAAAAACTGAAAAGAAAAAAGATTCTCATTTTTATATCCTGGAAAGACTAATTCTTTAAAGCAAAATAAGGAACAATGAGCATTATTATCAAACAGTCCTTATTGTGCTTTTAATTACATCTTTTGTTTTATACTAGAAAATAATACTCCCTCAAGTTATTTTATGTACTGATACTTTGAAACAAATAGTATAATTGTTTAGGTGTCCAAATAAATCATTCTAATTGTAGCACAGCATTAACTTGCCTATGACTTTGAAAACAGTATTACTTTTTCTCACCGATACAATAAGGAAGCTGGACCAGATGACATATGAAGTTTCTGCCAGTTCTAAATGTTAATGATGCCACATTACTTTTGTAGACAATCCACTACTTCTTTTCCTCTATGTTAGACTTCTAAAATCAAAGTTTTCCTAAATATGGTGGAAAGTTTCCAAAATGTGTCACATTTTAGAATTATTAAAATTCAAATCCACTTCTAAGAACTGAACATAATTTCCTTACAAATAAAAAGTCCTTTATTTCATATCAACCATGTTCCTAGAAATATGAAAGTATTAATTAAAATCTGGAAGTGTATAAAAACCTTAAGCAACAGTTAATGAAAGTAAAACTACAAAAACAGTCTCTACTAACTTAGAAAGTTGAAGTTTTTTATTAGGAAAAGACATTAGAATAGGAAATAACGTAGATTACCTCTTTTTTGATGATCCTCTGCAATAATAGCATTTAAAAATATAACTACTTTCCTCTGTATAATATCCGTACATAATTGCTAACTTTCCTGAATTTCCAAAACTTTTGTATTTAATGACTTTCAAATACATGTCCAAGGAAATGTTTCATTTACCATTGCAAACATTGATTTATTAAATAAAGTAGAAGTCCAGGCTTTATAAAAGTCAGCATTACATTTCTCACAGAGAAATCAAGAAAAAAAATTTCCTATCAATCACAGATAGTTATCAGCAGTCTTCGTGAAGTCTTCCAACTAATATTTCATTAAAGAAATGAAGTGGGAGCTGCATTTACAGATGAGGCTCGTGCTTTAGCCATTCTCCGAACCAGTGCTTCTTGTCTTTTTCTCTGAATTTCTTCAGGAGAACACTTTCTATTTTTCTCTTCTTCCTCTAAAAATTCAACAAAAGATGAGTTTTACTTTTATAGCCTATAAAGTCATTCAATATGTGCTTTAATTTTTGCTTTTTTTAATCACCCAGATTTGCCATATTAGTTGGCTATTAAATCAAACTAAACTACTGAATATAAAATTCTAAGTACATAATACAGATATAATGCTCCAGTTCAAAAGAAAATCAAGCACTGATGGATCTGTCTCTATTTGATACATTCTTTTCACAGTGTGATAAAATTCAGTTTGATAGAAAACTGACTACCCACCAAATAATTCTTGTGGACAATGACATCTAATTTATATGACCCACGAATAAATATATCTTTAAAAAGGATACATTGGGATTTAAAATGTTATGTAAACTTTAATTGGAAAATAGTCAAAATATAAGGAATTAAATTAGTTATCAATCTCAAACAGTGTATATTTACATAAGATGTTATATTAATATTCACATCTACTTTTCCCTATAGAGCTATAAAATTTTCATTTCATCCACTGAGGAAATATATTTTAGAGTGATAAAATGAAATCTGTCATGTCAAACTGGTTACCTGTGATTCACTGTCAGAAATTATATTTTTATTTGGAGGATGCATTTTGGAGAAACTTTAAAATAATCTCAATTAACTTAGTAAGTTGAGGCTTTGTATTAGAAATCACTTTCTCATTTAAATGATATTTTAAGTTTAAGACTATCACCCTAATACATATTTAAGTATATCATTTATTCTGACATTTAGAAAAAGATACACAATTTATGAGACATTTCTCTTGTTAACTAACAGAGGCATTTTCAAAATATATAATCTGCCTCCCTTTCCTTTCTTGGTATAATCAGAAATGGGAGGGGGTATTCAGGCTAAGAAATACATATTTTAAATAAGTTTCCCAGATGATTTTGATGGCTTTTATTTCCTAAGCTATTTACCTAACAGACTGTAGATATTTTTTCCTAAAGAGAGACACCAGAAGATACTTTCTAATTAGCTTGACTAATTATCTAATACTTTTAGTCTCAAAGCTGAGAAACACAACAAACTCAGACTACACATCCAAAGACTTTACACTGAATTTGACTGTGTGGAAAGAAAACAGGTTAATAATCTGTAACAGCAGAAAACATAACTTCCTAAAGTTGGTCTTACAATTTGCTTGGCAATATTATAGAAAATAATTTCAAATGATAATCAGGTCACACCATGAAAATTTGATTTAGGGACTCATCCATTTTTCCCATCAGTCTTTCCTTTAACTCAATCTATAATAAAAATACACAATGAAGTCTTAAAATATTGTAAAGTACTAAGCAAAAGCTGCTCTTCTTAATCTTGATCTTACAGTGCAAGGGTCAGTAATTTTTTTTTTTCCTGTAAAGAAAGAGTCAGAAAGCAAGAATGTTAACCTTTGAGTATCTTGTTGCAACTGCTCACCTGTACCACTGTAGCAAAAATAGTTATGGATAATGTATAAATAACTGATGAGCTGTATTCAAATAAAACCTGTTTATGGACAATGAAATCTGGATTTCATATAATTTTCAAATGTCATGAAATATTATTCTCCTTTTAATTTTTTTCCAACCATTTAAAATGTAAAAATCATTTTTAGTGTGCTGGCTATACATAAACAAGCTGCAGGCTGGATTTGGACAGATCATAGTTTGCCAACTCCTGCCTGAAATAAATGTGGGAGTTAAGTGAGTTTTGTTTCAGAGATACTTCCCTGGAGAGCAGCTTGCTACATACCAAAGTAAAAGGAAGTAGAAACAATAGAAAACATCAACAAAGTTAATAGTAATTAAGAGATTCAGTACTATCAATAAGTTTAAAGAAAATATTGATAAGGTAAGCTAAAACGCAGATTATCCATAAAAAATGCAGATAGATTGGTAGATAGGAGTTTTGGGAAAACTCAAATACTCCAGGAGGTTTAGTCTTTTATAGAATTATAACTATAGTTGACCCTTGAACAACATGGGCTTGAACTGGCAAGTCCACTCATTTGTAGGTTGTTTTCTGCATCTGACACCCCTGAGACAGCAAGACCAACTCCTACTCTTCTTCCTTCTCGGCCTACTAGACATGAAGATCATGAGGATGAAGACCTTTATGATGATCCACTTTCACTTAATGAATAGTAAATATTATTTTCTCTTCCTTATTTTCTTAATAACACTTTTCCAGCTTATTGTAAGAATACAGTATATAATACATATAAGAGCATACAAAATATGTATTAATTAATTATGTTATCGGAAAGGTTTCTGGTCAACAGCAGGCTATTAGCAGTTAAGTTTTTAGGGGATCAAAAGTTATACACAGACTTTCGACTGCAAATCAGATCAGCGCCTCTAACCCCCACACTGTTCAAGGGTCAACTCTATCTGTAAATAAAGTCATGCTAGGAACATGCTTGATTTAGTTACAATATGCTCACTTTAATACAAATTTAAATACTTAAAATTATTATAGATTGAGAACAATTTTTAATATTTCAAAATATCTAGTTTGGGCTATCATGTAAAGCAAGCTTGTCCAACCCGCAGCCCGCAAGCTACCCGCAGCCCAGGATGGCTTTGAATGCAGCCCAACACAAATTCATAAACTTTTTTACAACATTATGAGATTCTTTTGTGATTTTTTTTTTTTTTTTTTTTAGTTCATCAGCTGTTGTTAGTGTCAGTGTATCTTATGTGTGATCCAAGATAATTCTTCCAATGTGGCCCAGGGAAGCCAAAAGATTGGACACCCTTGGGTGTAGAGAATTATTTACTGTAAGTTTTGATAAGATAAATTGGTATAACTGCTTCGGATAGAAATTTGGTGGTATCCATCAAATTTTAAAACTTCCTCTTGTAGCAATTTTTTAGGAATTAACAGATACAATTATACAAGCATGCGGAAATTTATGCAGAAGGATATTTACTGGAGTATTGTTTGTAATTGCAAAAGACTGCAACCAACCCAAACTTCCATCACAGAGAAACAGTTAAATTATGATACATCCACCATATATATCACATAGTCATTAACAGGACTAAAATAAATTTATATGTACTAATAGGAAAAGACAGCTATAATATATTAAGGCAAAAGCAAGTTGCCAAATAGTGGGTATACAGATTTATTAATATTTAAATAGATCTATAGGTATATATATATGCATACACATATATACGTACATACACACACACATATCTTTTTATATTCATAGAAAATGCTACATCATACCAACTATTAATAGTGGTTTTCCGTAAGGGATGGTTATCAGAAAGGAGAAACAGAAGACTTAACTTTTTCCTTTAAATTATTCTATACTGTTTTACTTTTCTTTTTAAATAACTAGCATATTACTATTGTAAATTTTTAAAAAAAGTCACTTAGATAGGAAAGTTGGAACAGTAATGCCAACAAGACAGAGAAGAGTCACTAAATATTTAATTTCAACTTGTGATGAAAGCAATTAGGAAATAAAAAATAAACAAGGAGATCTATTTATAGACTCTTCAAGGAAGGCCTCTGTGAGAAAGTAGTACTTATACTGAGATGTAAGAAAGCACCAACAAAAGAGTGGGGAAGGGGTCACATGTTGAAAAGAAGTAGTTTTAGTCAAAGGGAAGAGCACGGTCTAAGTTCCTGGACAAGGAAGAAAAACATACACTGTTTGAAAAACTAAAAGATAGCTGGTATAGCTGAAGCTTAGTAGGTAAGGAAAAAAGAGGAGACGCAGGTTAAAGAGAGATAATCCACAGCTTTGTTGGTCACAGTATACAGTTTGGATTTTATTTGAAATATGACGGGCAGCCATTGAAGGTTGTTTTAAGCATAGAAACGCCATTTTTGCCCATCCAATTTTAAAAGGCTATTCCACTGTTTGGAGATAAGAATTGAAAGGAGATAGATAAAAGAACTGCAGTAGTCTCATCAAGAAATGTTAACTTGTTGTAGAAAGAAAAATGGAGTCTGGGGATACGGTTTTTGAAAGAATGAAACTTATTGATAGAATGGAGACTTGGGGAAAAGAGAAATTGGAAGAATCAGAAATGATAGCTGTTATCAAATAAGTAAATCATAATTTTAACCATCACCGCTAGCACGTTTATATCAAATATCACACTAGTAAAGACGTTTAATTAGAATGCTCTAAATTTCTAAATATTATTTACCTCACTGCTTCATCATCTGCTTCCCAGATTACTCAAGTTTTAAAACAATTTAGTAAATACAATCTTAATGAACACTATAATACATATATCTAAAGGTATGATTTTCCAAGAAAGAATAAGTTATTCAAAAAATATTTACTGAGTACCTACTATATGCCAGTCATTGTATTAAGTGCTGGGAAAGAATTCAATGTAATATTTTGAAAAATAAACCAACTACTCTGTATAATGCCGTATAATTATTTCCAAGTATCATTTTAAGAATTCTAGTTAATTCTTAAAATTAACTAGTCATAGAATAGTTTTACCTTATACATTACTCACACTCAAAAACAACAAATAATTATTTTACTACTTTTTAAGATGCTTTTCAAAGAAAACTATTTCATATTTCATACATACCTTTTGAAGATTGTTTCAAAGATTCAGAAAGTTTCACCAAAGATTGCTGTCCAACAGCTTCCTCCAGTAATGGGTTGACACCTTTCTTTTTCTCCACACCCTGTGTAATTTTGGTATCAGACATACTTCCAGTTATACAATTTTGATTAAACTGAGAAAGAATCTGAGAATTTTTCATCCTTGTAAATGTAAACTTTGAAAATCCAACTGTTGTGTTAAGGTTGCTCTGAGCTTCATCTGTTACAGTCTTATGGCATGGCTGATTAGTACTCAATTTCTTCTTATAAGTAGTAATTTCTGTATTCATATGATCTGAAGTTACATTCAAACTTGAACTTCCTGGAAGAACCAATTTGGAACTATTCACTTGTATTGGAACATCAGTGTTAGTATAAGACACATGCAGATTATTTATCTGACAGTTTGAGATCTTAGAATACATAGTCAAATTTGTGGCACCTAAAAATCTTGGAGAATTTCCATACATTTCCCCTTTCTCCATCTTCATTGGCTTATCTATTTGTGAGCTATTTGTCAAAGATGTCTGCACTGAAATGCTGCCTGGATTCAAATGCTTTGATTGTACCAAATTACTTCCTTGTTTAGATATAGCAAACATGTTTTTGGCTCCATGTTCGGAATTATTATTGATCTCACATATACTTTCTGATGTCTTACTGTCCTTTCTAATGTCTTGTTGCTGAGTTAGTTTGGCTCCATGTTCGGAATTATTATTGATCTCACATATACTTTCTGATGTCTTACTGTCCTTTCTAATGTCTTGTTGCTGAGTTAGTCTTTCAATA
Organism: Homo sapiens; assembly: GCF_000001405.40. Classification (NCBI taxonomy): domain Eukaryota; kingdom Metazoa; phylum Chordata; class Mammalia; order Primates; family Hominidae; genus Homo; species Homo sapiens. Next base: position 67,404,529 of record NC_000002.12, on the reverse strand, counting down.
TCATCACATGCTTGGTACAACAAATCATCATCTACATCATCTGCTTCCCAGGTATTATCTAATTGATGACATGCTTTAATAATTTCATTGGCAAATGAGGGATCATTCCAATCATCAAAGAAAGAACCTACTTTTGATGCACTAGTCTGATTTGGGTTACTAACACTGGTTTTACTGCCTAGATTTGCAGAGCCAAAAAGATCAGTATTAACAGGGGCTTTAATAGACTGATTTAAAATGCACTTATTTTTCTGTTCATTAGAATACCTTGTGTTCAAAGCTGACTTCCTTTCAGAAGCTTCAGTAGAGTTAGTAAGAATATCTTCCTTTATTTTTGTCAGATTAGATGTAACTATACAATTTTGAATTTCGTCTTGAATAACAATTTTATTGGAAGAGTTCTCAAATTTCATTTTATTTCCAGTGGATAATTTGTTTGATTTATTTGAATTTGGTGAAAATCTATATTCTGCATCTATTAATTCTCTGTCATATGTCTTTGAAGAAAGATCTTGTAATACTTTTGAATCTCCTAACCTGGCATCTGGACTTGTATTTGCTCTTGACGTATTTTTAACAGTTTTACTATTAAAGGTACAAATTTCCTTTTGATCAGTAACATGGGCTGTTTTAGAAGGAAAGAGTTCAGGCATGTCGATATTTTGCATAGCAAAAGGTTCACTACCTAGTAAGTTTTCCCAATCATCCTCAAAATCACTTGTAGTAAATGCATCAATGTACTTATTAGAAGTTTCTGGCTCCTTAGTACAGGAAGTCACACATGATTTTGTCATTATGGGTGTATCTACTTGAGAAGAAAGTGATCGTGGGGTTTTATTTGACAGTTTTTCAATGACCAGAGTTTCATTAGTAATGATTTTCTCCTCTTTCAAAGCATTTGTCTTTACAAAGGTAGTATTACTGGTGCTCCAAAAAGCCTCTGGCAGTTCTTGGCTTAACTGTCCGCTACATTTCTGAGTAGAACCATCAAAAATAGCATTAAAGGCTGCTTCAGCAATTTGGTCAAATGGCTTCTGACTGCTATTTTGATTATTTGCCACAGATATCTTGGTGTTTCCTTTGATTGGCTTTTTTGTAGCATTATCTATTTCGGGAACTATATTATGTAATGACCACATCTGTATATTATCTTTATAATTACTTAAAATCTCTGTTTCTGAAATCATCTGGGTAAAATCATAATTCCTCTTGTTTTGCTCTTGAATCACATCTAGCTCTTCCATATTTTTATCAAATTGTTTAGCCAGTTTCATAAGTTCTTCTTCTTGACTTTGTGTTTTTAACCTATTAAACAAGATTAAAAAATAACTAAAAATGTTCTGAAACATTATATCCAACTGTTATTTAACATATTTTGATGTTAAAGCTCTAAGATTTTAACAGTTATAATTATTTTAACTCCAAAATTTGATAGATCAAAACTGTGGAAATTTTATTAACAAAAATTTTGATATATTCACAAAACCAAAATGGAGTATTATCAAAAAATATTTGCTTCACTGAATTTCAGAAAAGCTGAAAAGTCTTAACTTACTTTGTGCAGCTGATTTTTGCTCTTGATTTTCCTTTTGCTACACTGGGAGTACAAGGAATAGCAGTTTCACCAATCCACATGTCCAGCATAGAATTTGTTGTTGGTTTTTCATCCTTTGGCAGATAGGGAAAAAAAGAGGTATAAAGTACCAGTGTAGCATCCCCCGTCTTCCAAAAAAACAAAAGAAAGAAAAAAGACAATAAAAACTAATGATTTTGAATTAATTTCCTAAATTCTGGTGAGGTAACACTTACCAAACTCAAAAACAATAGGAAGTTGGGAGATAGCAATAATAAGCTACAATAATTGATCCACTTATGTTTCAGAGAATGAAAACATTCAGAATTACAAATTGCTTATTTTAAAAAAATATTGTTTTAAGAATTAAATTTATCAAATGTACATTTAATAACAGAAGCATGTTTTTATCAAAAGAAAATTGACATTTTAATTGTCCTAAGATACTTATAAAAACATTAGTGTCAGAAACTGTGTGGCAGAAATCATCAGAATTGAGAGGAGATACATATGGAATTCTTTCTGTATCATCTGTTTCTCCAAATTTTCTTTATCCTTATTATAATCTTTATCTAAAGTTGGACAATCCATGTTGACCTAAATTAAGAACACTCAGAATTAAGATCAGGAATGAATTAAGAGATAAGAGCAAGGTTAGAACTGATGCTAAGAATGAGACAGGAATAAGAATAAAAAAATAGAGAAAACAGAAAAGTTTAGCCCAGATAATATACAGAAAAAAGGCATTTTAGACCTGGATACTTTTGCTGTACCTTTCAGTCACTTGATCACACAAAAAAATTACAGAATGAGCTTTAGGCATTAATTGCAAACCAAACCAACAAATCAAATCAAGTAACCATTTTCACTCTATTTTATAGTACCTAGAATGAACATAAATATCACACAATTTAAAAAATAATTTTACTACTAGATTATAGGCTACTCAAAGGCAAGGACTCTTCTTAGAATAACTCAGCATCCAGCACAATATTGGGCATACCAGTGTCAGTATACATTTATTTACTAGAAGATTTAGGTGAAAAGATCCCTACAGTTTGGTACTTCAAATCCTCAATGAATCAAAAAAGTTTTCTTAATGTCAACTTGAACCTAGTTGCCTTTAGCTTTGCAAATACTCAAGAAAATCAGTAATTTCACTTTCAGACTCAATATATTTTCCCTTTTATTTCAACAATCTTGAATTTAAAGACAATCATAGTCTTAATTATGAACTCTGCCATTTACAAAAGTAATTTTAAATTCATTCAATTTTCAGAGAACTAAATTATGACTTTATGTACCCAACTTTACATATACATGGGTCCTATGTATGTTTGTATACTATTTATACATGTTATTACATATTTCTTCATGAATAATTACATAATTTATTGATTTTCAACCATAATCCAGGTGCTGTATAAGGTATCTAAATGCATTACTTCATTTCATTATAAAAAGTATACTGTGCAAAGCTGTATAAATGAAGATACATACCATCTTCAAATAAACAACATTGTATAAAAGTATCCCTGCAAAAAGTGAACTGACTGTCCAACCAAAATAAAAGCGCATATTTAAAAAAATGCTATCTCTGAAAATGTTAAAACTAAATGATTTGAGAATGACTCACCTAAAAATAAACAATATAAGTATTTGTCATTCTGAGAACATGACAAGCTTTCAAACAGACCTTGAAACTGCTAAAGATTTATATGCTTTAAAAGTACTCAGTTTAAGAGGGTAACATTTTAAAGCTACTAATTTCACTATATTTTTTTCTTTTATACAAGTTACCACTTGCGTACTGTTGTCATTTCTTTATATGAGCTATTATTTCTAGCCCACTTAGGTAAAGAGTCCAATAATTTATTCACAACTATCTTTTTATCACTATTTAGACTGGCCCACCCAAACACATTTTATTATGCTTCTTTCATGTGAAACCCACAATTAATGAAGATCTATTGTTAACTTATAGAGTAAGTACTATTATGGCATAAATGCTATTTAACTAATTAACTGTAAGTAAAATGAATTTCTATGACATGCTAAAAATGGAATGTAGAGCTAGTAGCAACAGAGTTGTTTTGACTGTGCTAGGTGTAATTTTGGATATTTTATAGCTGCTAAGAAAAACTTCATTTTCTGTCTCTTCCACCTGGGTGACAGTAATTCTTCAAACCATGTTTTGGGCCAGTGCCATCTATTGTTTATGGTCAACATATAGTAACTATTCAAGCGCAGGTTAAGGAAAAATGGCATACTTCCTTCAGAGAAGACACTAAGCAAAAATGTTCTCTGGATTTAAATGTTAAATAAGAAAAAGAGAACAAAAAGTAAAGAAGTTCAGAACAGTTTCACGTATTGAGCCTTTGCTTCTTAGTAATTATAATATTAGAGTTACTGGATTGCTTTGTGTCAAATGATTGACTTGAACATATTTCTATTTCACTCAAACAATAAAAGAACAGAAATGAAAAAAAGAAACGAAACACTCAAAAAAAAATTTTTTTTAAGAGACAGGGTCTTAAACTCCTGGCCTCAAGCAATCTTCCTGCCTCAGCCTTCCTCCCAAAATGCTGAGATTACAGGAATGAGTCACCATGCCTGTCCAAGAAAAGAAAAAAAAGCTTTGGAGATGGTTCTATTACAGTAACAACCTTAACGTAACCTTACAATTATAGCACTCTATAGTTTACAAAGAATTTTTATCTAGTTTAATTCTCATAATGATCCAATGAAGACAGCAAGAGCAACACAATAATTCTAGTTCATGGCTGAATGAACTGAAGTGGTGGGAGTTTAAATAACTTGCACTGGGTCACACAGCATAGGAGGTTGAATGAGGACTAAATTTGAATTCAGTGCTCTCCACTTTTGTAAGTGTTTCTTGATAATCTTATAAGGAAATGAGTATTAATAGTTTCAATGGGGAAATGTTACAGACAGGAAGTACCAATCACAAAACAATCATAGAAGTATAAACTTTTTTCACTGCCTTATTCTATTATTTTAGCAACTTGAAAAATGATGTCGTATGTTGTTAAGCACAACATTACAGATAAACACAATGCCCTAGTCAAAAATTACTCTAAAAAATTAAAACAAGATATATACTTAAGAAAATATCTTGTATTTTATATTATATTCCTTTTTTCAAAATATGTATTTCAAAAGTAGAAAAGGCAAAACAGTAATCTTTGCTGCCTTATTTTTGGAAAAAAGAATTATAATAGACAATACTTTTCATTTAAAGAAACTACAAAAACTTAGTGGCACATTCTTCACTGTTTTAAAACAAACTGTAAAACTAGTGATATTTACCTGAGGAGCAATACGATTAACAATATGTGAAATCTCATCACTATCTGTGGTGTAAATCTGTTTTTTTCTTCCTTTACCTAAAGAAACAAAGACATTTCTATAAATTTTAAACAAAAAACCCTCCATTTTAAAAAACAGCTGTCACTTCTTAGAAAGTAATTTTATTTAGTGCAGCTTAGAGGATTATGTGTTTACATCACATACTTATACAGATAAAATCATATAACATTCTCAGAGGTTCCCGATGCTATTATCTGACTAGAATTCTAGTTAAATCTGAATCATTTATCAAATATTTACTCACATAAAAAATGTTAATAATTAATTACCTAACTGCTTTGTCAATGGAGAATTCTGATCCCAAAAGATATCATTCTGTCCATCTGGATCATTAGGAGAACTGAAGGAAGATGACAGTGAGTCCATTTTCAGCGCTCTCTTTGGTGTTTCATACCTTTCTATATAAAATATGAGTAAAATAACAATTGTTGCATTTTAAAGCATTACCTTACTTCGTAAGACCCCAAGGTCAAATAGCTGAGACTAACTTTTATAGTCCAAGATAATTTTTTTTCCCAGAGATAATTACCTGAACCGTAACAGAAATGCTTGTTTCACATAAAAATCCACGCGGCACTTCGCAAACTTCACATTGTAAATAGCAAACACTTCTAGATAATCCAGAAGCTTTATGAATGCATAATACAATACTGTATAACCTAAGTCATTCTATTTATTACCATTGAGTCTTGGAGGCTTTGGGGAACCATCTGTAATTTATAGGTACATTCAAAAATCCAAAGTAACCCAACAGAAACCTAAATATGTTTAGCCCCCTTTCACCAACTCTATCTAATCTACATTAATTGCCATTCTTCAAAAACCATTAGTGATCCAATGCTTGGGAATTTTTGTCTAGAATCACTTTCAAATTTTTATAAAGATTTTTGTTCATTCCCAAATTGCTTTATAGGAGTATTATTAAAGACATGTAAGGTGGCCGGGCGCGGTGGCTGTAATCCCAGCACTTTGGGAGGCCGAGGCGGGTGGATCACGAGGTCAGGAAATCGAGACCATCCTGGCTAACACGGTGAAACCCCTGTCTCTACCAAAAATACAAAAAATTAGCCGGGCGAGGTGGCACACGCCTGTAGTCCCAGCTACTTGGGAGGCTGAGGCAGGAGAATCGCTTGAACCCGGGAGGCGGAGGTTGCAGTGAGCCGAGATTGTGCTACTGCACTGCAGCCTGGGCGACAGGGCGAGATTCTTTCCCAAAAGAAAAAAGACACGTAAGGTATAAAAAAAAAAAAAAAAAAAAAAGCACTATTTCAAGAACATGCTCCAGAATAAAGGCTTTTGTATGAGTTTCAGTTCCAACTAAGATTTACTAGAAGTCTTTTAAAAAGTAACACCTAAAACTAATCGAGACGAAAGAGATCCTTAGTATCTTATTTGGAGGGATGTTACACACAGGAACTTCCGGTTTATTCACAATGAGGTGAGACATCTACCAGGCTTTGAGACAAACTTTAACTTTTCCTATGAACTCTTCTCTAAAGCAGGTCACAGGGAAAAAAAGGGTTTAAAGAGAAATAACTTCTCCGGGCAAAAACTGAGGTTAGCGGGCCTATCAGCTGTTTCTTCTCACTCCACCACTGCTGCTGACTGGAGGAGCAGCCTGGAAAGCAGCCGCCCTCCCGCAAACAGGTAAACCACATTACCTATTCCTGTGGCGGAGGCAAATGGATGGTCAAACCTAACGGGGTAGTGCTGAAGTTCGGGGACAAAAGCCCATCGGGGAGTGGTATAGGATTATTTTTGGACTCTCGAGGGGTGAATCCCAGAGACAGAATACACGCTCCAGACTCCACCCCCACCCCAGATTTCCCTGTTGCAAGCTGGGATGTGGGGATGCGGCGCCGAAGCCAAGGCAGGCCGCGCTGCCGACGTCTCACCCTCGGGGTTACTTTTACTGCACAGGGCGGCGGTCGGAGGCTGCTCTCGCTGCCGCACTGGCCCGGGAGGCCCCTCTCTAGCCCCGCAGGGCCACGAACCGCGGGCCGATCTCAGCCGCCTCCTCCCTGGCTCGACCACCGAGCCGCATTCCTCCGCCGCCACTGTTTTGTGCGGCGTTTTCTTCGGGCTAGGGCTGTCATCATGTTTCCTTCGCCGACTCATTGCCTATGGCCCGCCTCCACCAGCCGCTTCTTCTTTCACATTTTGCAAAGGGATGAGTAGGGCAACAGCACTACAAACCGCACCCCGCACCAACGGCAGCCGCCATTTTGGTCGGTGGGGCGCGCGCAAGAGGCGGCCGCTGATTGGCTGGGTCCGGGAGAGGGGCGGAACTGTTAAGGTGCCGAGGGCGCGCGCACTTCCGCAGCCGGGACAGGAGCCTGCTCTGGAGGAGTGTCTAGGCTCAAAATCCTCCAGACTGGTGGGGGTTGTTCGGGTAGTAGTCAGGTCCGCGTAAACTGAGAGTGGGAGCTTGTGAGTTGGAAAGATTGAATACACTAGCAACTTTTTATTGAATTTACAACGAAAATTGCACGTTAGTCAAATTCAGATTATTGAGAGTCTTCGAATTTCTCAAGAAGAGGAAATACAGTTAATTTTTCATAGATGCTATGTGCATAGAAAAATCCAAAAGAAAGTAGAAAAAATTACTAAATTAATTTAAGAGTTGCTGGATACAAAGTCAATATTCAAAGATCAATGTGTTTCAATAGATTAGCAACAGATATAAAATTGAAGTTTTAAAGAGATACTATTTATAATAGTGCATGAGATAGCAAGTAACTAGGAATAAGTTAAAGATTGTCCTTCCTACAAAGAGAACTATAAAACATTTTTGAGGCCGGGCGCCATGGCTCAAGCCTGTAATCTCAGCACTTTGGGAGGCCGAGGCAGGCGGATCACGAGGTCAGGAGTTCAAGACCAGCCTGACCAGCATGGTGAAACCCCGTCTCTACTAAAAATACAAAAAATTAGCCGGGCATGGTGGTGCGTGCCTGTAGTCCCGGCTACTGGGGAGGCCAAGGCAGGAGAATTGCTTGAACCTGGGAGGCGGAGGTTGCAATGAGCCGAGATTGCGCCACTGCACTTGCAGTGAGCAGAGATCGCGCATCTGCATTCCAGCCTGGGCGACAGAGGGGGACTTCGTGTAAAATAAGTAAATACATACATACATACATACATACAAAAATTAGCCAGGCGTGGTGGCGGGTGCCTGTAATCCCAGCTACTTGGGAGCTGAGGCAGAGAATTGCTTGAACCTGGGAGGTGGAGGTTGCAGTGAGCCGAGATTGCGCCACTGCACTCCAGCCTGGGCAACAGAGCAAGACTCCGTCTCAAAAAAAAAAAAAATTTTTTTTTTGAAAGAAAACGAAGACCTAAATAAATGGTTACACTATGTTCATGGGTTGTGAGACTCAATATTGTTACAATGTCAGCTATTTCCAAACTGACCTATAGATTCAACATAAATACATATGAAGGCCCAGTGTGTGACTGTGTGTGTGTAACATGGTAAGTTTTTTCTAAAATTTATATGAAAATGCAAGGGACCAAAAATATCAATAAACTCTTGAAGATCTCTCGAAGAATAATGAGGGTTGATATCTACCAGGTATCAAGACTTATATGGTAATTAAGACAGTGTTATGATGGTGTCAGGATAGACAAAGATGAAAGAAACAGGATAGCACAGAAACAGACTTCCATATAAATGAACACGATTTAAGACAAAGGTGACCCTTCTGAGCAATGGTAAAAGGACTTTTGAAATTAAATAGTGCTTGGTCTATTTGATGTTCATGTAGAAAAAGAAAGAAACATGACCTTTACCTCAAACTTTATCCCCAAATCAGGTGCATATATATTCATTATAAATTTAATTGTAGAAGATAAAATAACATTTTAGAAGGTATAAATTGTCTTCATGACAGAACGCATTTGAAATAAAACAAAGGTCACCAGGCATAATTATAAATGTGACTACACAAAATTGATAATTTGAGAACTTCTGTCCATTCAAAAACAACATTAAAGAGAAGGAAGGGCAAGGCACAAATTGGGAGAAAATATTTATAAGACATATTTAAGGGCCTATATATAGGTTATATGAAGAACTGATACAAATCACTAAGGAAATGATTGACTGTCAAAACCAAAAGTGGATGAGACCCTTGAGCAGGATCTTCACAAGAGAAAATATTATCAACAAACTTATGGAAAAATCAGATTCATTTTTAATCAGGAAAATGCAAATGAAAACCATATCAGAATGGCTAAAGTTAAAAAGACTGACAATATAGGTATTGAGGCAGTAAACCAATGGAAGCTGTCACGTACTGCTGGTGAGAGTATAATTTGGCACAACCACTTTGGAAACCAGTTTTTGATCTAGCAATCCCACTCTGAGGAATATTCTCTGTTTAAATGCATGGACTTGTTCATCAAGATACAGTTTATAAAAATGCTTTGGTGGGATGCAGTGGCTTATGCCTGTAATCCTAGCACTTTGAGAAGCCGAGGCAGGTGGACTGCTTGAGCCCAGGAGTTTGAGACCAGCCTGGGCAACATGGCGAAAACCCATCTCTACAAAAAATACAAAAAATTAGCTGGGCATTTTGGCGCATGGCTGTAGTCCCAGCTACTAGGAAGGAGAATCACTTGAGCCCAGAAGTTGACTTGCTGTGAGTCATGATTGTGCCACTGCATTCCAGCCTGGGCAACAGAAAAAAAAAAGAAAAAACAAAGAAGAAGAAAAATGCTTTTAGCAGTAAAATTCAATTCAAAATTACTTCATACTGTAAGTGGACCAAATGCTTTCCAACAGTAGAATGATAAATATATTGAACTATATTCACACAACAAAATAGCAATGAAAATGAAAACTACAACTCTGTGCGACAACATGGATAAATCTGACAAACATAAAGTTGAGCAAAAAAAAGCTAGACCTCCCAACCCTCCTCCATAATGTTAAATAAATCCCATATAAATTCCATCAGGCAAAGTTCTACTATATTGTATAGGGATGTAAGCTTTAGTGTTAAAATGATAAAGAAAAATCTAGGAATGATTACCATAAAGGTCAGGATAATAGTTACCTTCGGGAGGGGGAAGGGACAGTGATTAGAAGTGGACAGAGGGAGGAGAGAATTTCATGTATTTATTGGCTTTGTTTATTTTCATGTTCTAGTTGTTAATTACAAAAGTATTTGCTTTGTGGTAATCTACTGAGCTGTACATTTTGTTCATTTTCTACACACATGTTATATTTATCAATTAAAATGTTTAAAATGTTAATGTAAGGCAAAGATCTTAGTTCCTACTGAGGAGCTGATATATTTCTTCTATCTTGTAAACTATTCTGTTTTTACTCTTTAATTTTGCTGACAGAAATCCTAGAACTAAATTTGAGATTCAGGGCTAGCAGTTATATAAACCATATAAACCGTTGTGAATAGATAATTCCATTATTTTTCCTCAGTGTTTGACCTTCTACTAATACTTTTTCTTTCCATGATTGTTTTTTACCTACATGTATTTAAACCATTGTTTAGTTTTATTTATTTATAACCGGATAAGACTGGAATACAAGTGATATTACATCTTTTAAAATTCAAATTAATTACTTGAACCTTCACTTGTATAAATTAGCAGGAATATTACTATTTCTCTCAGAGATCTCTCCTACCTCTCAAATGACCAAAAATCCTAGAAGCATTAAAAAAAATGTAAAAAGAACTTAATTTACCAAATAAATATCCAACTCACATTTAGAAAGTAATTAAGGAAGTTTAAAGAATTTAGTGATGTTTATAAGAGAAATAACCATGTAGTAATCCTTTAAAGCATATTAATGCTGCAAATAAAATAACAGTGAATACTTTACCATAACTCCAAATTCTATAGTGCCCAAGTAACCATTGCTGAAATGAACAACTTGAGCCTAAAGTACAGACGTGTTGTCTTAACACACCTAGGATGGCTGTAACCTGTAATCATTATGGGGTAGGAAATTATAGTAAATTTTAACTTGAAAATTACTTACTTTACATAATCTGTTACATTTCTAAGTGTACTTCAAATTAAATTTACTTCCTGACTATAGCTCCTGAAATAAGTATAACACAATTAACTCCTTAATAAAATGTTTTTAATGTGAAACAAAAGTCTTACAGATGTTTGAATGCAATATGATTCATAGCTCAGCATTTCTAGGCATTTGAATAATTTATACATATAAGTAAGGTTTACTGCAACTAAAAACTGTAATAAACCAAAGTGAAACTCTTGCTTGTTTCACTTACAGGGATTATTTATAAACTTGACAATAATTATTAAGGCAAAAATTGTGACACTGAAGGTCTGAGTTACTAAGGAGCTTCTCTGCCAGTGATTGCCTCCTCACTTACATTACAACGATGGGTCAATGCTACTGATCAATGGCTAACTGTGAGCAGTCTTCCTTTCAAGAAAAAAAAATCCATAATTATGTGAATTATGTTTGTGTTTTATATACAGAGCTCCAGCTCCAAATCTGTGAGAGTGCATTTGGCAGAATCTGAACAAGCAACACAATGATTAGAGGGTTTTTGTTTTTTTGTTTGTTTTTAACAGTTTTGTTACAATGTTTCCACCCCAAAATGTACCTGGGTAAGTGCTGGGCCCATTTTTCCTTATTCCTGACATAGCTGCAATTGTATTAGCTAGAACCACCTATTATGCCTAGCTGCTCCATCAGGAGCCTCTGCTGCCTAGGTGACCATGTCTGGCCAGACGGGCCCAATCGGGTAAAAATGACTGGACTAGACATGGGCACCTGATTTTAGGAACCAGTCCATAGCCAGCTTCTCCACCTCTGACTGACACAAAAAGATGCATTGAGACAATCCTATTCTTTCTTGGAGATTTGAACTAAGAATTTGCTAGAGGGCCCTGTGCAAAACCATGGTGGGCAGAAACTACGAAGAAGCTTGCTCAAAGTGGAACTGAAGGAAGTAGCAGAATTATGCAGACTGGGGACCACTGGAATCAACATCTGTTGACTCTGGATACCTTGAAACCCAACCACCATTCAGCTTCAATGTCCGTAAGACCAGATTTTACTGTGATACCAGTCCTTTTTTCTTTCAATGTGAGCCTTTACAGTAAACTTCCTTTGTTAGGTAGGGGCTAGCTAATGCCAGTTGGTCTCTATTTCTTACATCTAAAAAGAAACCTGAACTAAAACATAGAACAAACACCAGAATTGGGTCAAGGGTTGTAGTCTTATTGTTTCTCAATTAAAAGAATATTATTTTTAAAAGTTCAAAATAGAATGAAACAAAATCCCATTTAAATATGGAGCTGGAAGTTAAAATATTTTAGTGACTCCTTTGGACCTGAGACAAATTATACTGGAGACTAGCTGTCATCTGAAATCACTTTTTCTTAAGTTTTTTTGGTTCAATTATTGCATAAAGACCTAACAGTTAGAGAAATAAGGAATGTATTTTTATTTCTCTGTAGCCCCATACTCCTGGGGATGACATTTCAACCTTTGCTCTATCAGTTTCTACGATTTTCTTACCCTCTGAACCTACCAATATACTTTTCTTACTAGGCTCCAGCTTTGAATCAATCATGCTATTTGTTTTCTCAGCTCCTGGGCTGTTATATTGTAAAGATTCTTTACTGCACTAGCATGAACCTATAGTCATCAGCTGAGCTTTCAATGGCACATGACAATGTCACTGAGCAGCTCATGCTTCTCTTCTCCAAAATAGAGATTCCAAATTTCTAACACTTTCTATAAATCCCCTTCCAGCTCAGATTGTTCCTTTTTTAAAAGTTATTTGTATCCTACTTCCTAGAAAAAAAATTGACCTATGAAATATAAAATCCCTCATTAAAATTATGAAGCAGATAAGGATGTCTGTCATATCTAATTTTGCTCAGGGTGGAATATAGCTAGCTTTAAAACCAGCCAACTGACCATGAATCAACTATAGTTGTAAGCCTTTCTTACAGGTAAAGGGGTCCACTTTACAAAGTTTTAAGCTAAAACCCATAAGCAGAAGTCCCGAGGTGGAGCTTCTGGAAAAAATCTTTCTTCCTGATTGAAACAAGGAACTGCAGAGGTCATGATGGGACTATGAGGCCTAAAGCCACACTCTCTAAGGGTAGTAGAACAGAAGAATTCAAGGAGCTGAGGTTCCCAAGGTATCATGCAACCACAGTACCTGGCCTGGGTGGCCTAGCTCTATGCCATCAATCCTTTACCCTTTGATATTCATCAATCCCTTACTTGTTTAAACCAATAATTCTCAAACTAGTAGCATTAGTATCACCTGGGAACTTGTTAGAAATCCATATTCTTGGGCCCCATACTGGGTAAGAAACAGTGTGGGTTTAGAAATCTGAGCTTTTATAAGCCCTCCAGGTGATTTTGACGCATTTTAATGTCTGAGAATCTCTAGTTTATGTCGCTGTCTTTTAAGTCTTCCTAAAGGCCAAATAAAAAATGTATTTTTATGCATATATGGGGCTAAAAAACTGGCTAGCTTTAAAAATGTAACATTTTAATTTTTAATATATTAACGGCTAATATAAAAAAGTAAAAAATTTGTATAACAAAATAAAATACTTATACCGTGGTATGGAAGAAAAGCAAGTTATGCATGTCGTATCTACTATTCATATGCACATGAGTATGTGCATATACTCCCAAACATTTCAAATGAAATATTCCAAATATTGACTATACATTATCTCTAGGTAGTGGGATTTAACTAATGCTTGTTTTGTTTTTTTTTCTTCCAAATTATCTACAATGAAGATGTATTGCTTTTAAAACCAGAAAAATATGCATAAAATATTATATATGAAGCATGCAAATGATAGATTTAAGAATAGACACTAGGTGAGACATAAGGATTTAATTACTAAGGATAAACTTAAGAGAAATTGTACTAAAAGCTCATAATGGGATAAATAAAGTTGCAATGTTTTTTGGCAATCGTTCTACAGTACCAAATATACTCCCTGGAATCTTCACTACGATCAAGATAATGAACCTATTCATCACCCCCAGAAGTTTCCTCGTGCCCCTTTGTATTACTTTTGTTTGTAATAGGTAAGTTGACATATTTACTTTTGATTCATGGCTGTGTTCGACAAGAAGCTTGCAAAATTACTCGGGATTTAATAATCAGCTCTTACAAGCTAGTATGAACTGGCTACAGCACACCACTGATTCTGTTACTGCTCATTCTCCTTTCTCTAGTTTAAGTAACTTCAGTTTCTTTGACAGTTCCTCATCTTACCTATGTTTTCCAGGCTTTCATCAATTTTAAACCTCTCAATTCAGTGGTTGAGCTCAGACCTGGACCTAGAGAGACCTATACTTTAGGTTATAGGCTTAAAAATGAAGCCTATAAATGCTTGGGGCAGTTTACAAGGGCTGAGAAATTGGAGGTTGCTGGGAAAAGCAGCTCTACTATAGAAAGGGTCCCTTTCTAAGTAAGTCACCCTTGGGAGTTCAGTCTGTGAATGTCAGTAGAAGGATGAAGGGAAGCAGGTTACCCAGTTCTGATGTGGGGCATACTATTGCACACTGCTTTCTGCAAGCAGCACTTAGTAGCACTAATTGAATCCAACCCCACTGATCATTTCAGATACCAACCCCCATCTGGCCTATATCTACTCAGGAATAATGGCTGTGGGTGTCATAGAGGTAATTTGAAAGACATTTTCCTCTACTGCTTTAAGTGAAACCTCAAGAATATTTTAAAAAACCCTCAGCAGTCCCAAAATGTCTTATTCAGGGTTAATAACTTTCTTTCCACTGGCCATAATGGAATTTAGTCCTCATTTATGTGTTCTTGCTTTTATGAATCCCAGAAAGATGGCCTGATTTTAAAGCTTGTCCTTGACTCTTCTTCAAGCAGCAGGATCCAGATCATTCACTCTGCCACCATAATTTTAACATAAAACACTCCTAAACTGTGTCTGAGACGATTACAAATTTCTTTATCTTGCAGTAAAAGTAAAATCTCAAAACTTTTACAATTCTTAATAGTATTTAGGTTACCCTAGCCAAGTGCAGGCCTAGGAATGCTAGGAATGTCCTAGATGCAAATAGTTTTTTGGTGAATGGTTATTTATGCAGAATATTCTGGCCCAAGCTGAAAATGGCTTTTGATTGTTTAGAAAGGAAATTACAGCATTTAAAACATATTAAAGTTTAAAATAACATTTTTGAGCAATTAGGATATAAAAGAATAGATGGGGAAGAAATTAGTTAAATTGCAAGACCCGTAAACAAAACTAACACTACTCATTTCAATTCAGTTCCCAGCCTAAGAAAATTTTCATTTCAGCAAGGCTTTTCCTGTCTTTTAGACTACTGGAAAAAATGGTTGGTTCATTTCACATGAAAGTAATGGACCCTGGCTTTGGTCTAGTATTAATAATGTAGATGACAGTGTGAGGCAACACTGGGTCTGGGGGTTATTCCATTGGCAAATATGTATGAAAAACACAGGAATATTTATTCTGCTGAACTATTTTTATAAGCCTGTTATGGCTTCTAAATCATCAAGAGGAAGGTTCCTTTACTTGCTACTCTTCACATTTCCAAACCCTCCCGGTCTTTGAATAGTTGTTGCTGTTCAAAGTGTAGGAGTATATGGAAGAGCAACATGGATATCACCTGGGAGCTCATTAGAAATGCAGAACTTAGGCCCCAGACCTGCTGAAGCAGGATCTGCATGGTAACAAGATCCCAGGCCATTCACAATCACAAGAAAGTCCCACAGGTGACCATCTGCAGAGACTGTCTCTAATAATTTTGGCCCGCAATGTTTAATGCCTCTTTTCTCTGAACTTTTACCTTACCTTCTGTCTGCTCTATATAATTTAGCAGTTGATTATATGATCTTATGTTTCTTAATAATTACTGGAGGTATGCAAATCTTATTTACAAGATTATGCAAGTCTCTGTTACGGAGGTTTGCAATCAATGCTCATTATTCCATTGTTTGTTAAAGCCCTATTCTATTCCTTTCTGCCTTATGTTCCAAAACATTTTGAGGTCAGGTTTAGGAAAAATTATAAAAAATTATCCTAATATTAATAAAAGTAAATACATGCTTTAGAAAGAAGCTGTTAATAAGAGTGGAAGACTGTAAATAACTTCATATATAGTTTTTGTTTTCTTATGAATGCCAAGACATGAAAGTAAACTGTGCTCTTGGCAAATGGTTTAGAATATAACCAATCCTTGATTTTTCATTAAAATCATATCTGTAGCCTGTAATCCCAGCACTTTGGGATGTTGAGGCAGGAAGATTGCTTGAGACCAGAAGTCAGAGACCAGCCTGGGCAACATAGTGAGATGCGTCTCTACCAAAAAAAGTAAAAAAAAAAAAAAAAAAAAATTAGCTGGATATGGTAGTGCATGCCTGTAGTCCTACCTACTCAGGAGGCTAAGGCGGGAGGATCCCTTGAGCCCAGGAGTTCAAGGTTGCAGTGAGCTCTAATTATGCCATTATGCTGTAGCCTACAGCCTGGGCAACAGAGCAAGACCCTGAATCAAAAAAGAAGAGAGAGAGAGAGAGAGAGAGAGAGAGAGAAAAGAAAGAAAGAGAAAGGAAAAAGGAAAGAAAGAAAGAAAGAAAGGCTTAGTACGAGTACATCAATAGCAAAAGAATTAGAGGTACTATGGCACAGTAGTTAATTTAACATTTTTTATGGCAATATCTACTTTGTGAATTGACCATAATATTATTTAATCTCTATGAGCTTGTAAGATCTCAATTTAATATCATTACAAGCCATCCCTTGTGTTTAAAGTACATCTCCATTAGAATTAGTTCCCAGATTGTATTAATGCTTAAAGAATTAAAATAACTATTAGCAAGAGAGGAATGAAAAATCTAGGAAAACGAACAACATAACACGTATATTGTACACACACACATACACACACACACACCCACACATACACACACAGGCTGACCTGTTGACTGCTCCAGGCAATGTTGGAATAGGAAATAAGTTTTCTGTTGAGGTTAATATTTTTGTGGATTTTTTTAACCATTGTAAGAAAACCTGTAATAAATTTAAGAGTAGAAAAAAATAGTTTTGCTGTTAGGAAAGATAAAAGAAAGTTATCATATATTATGTTCTGTAGATTGTTTCTTTCGGTGGTATCAAAAGAATTGGCCCATGTTTGAAGATCTGAATTTAATTAAGTCTACACAGAATATAGTTTAAAGGTGTGAAGACTTTGCTATTAATATGATAAATACTTTTTCTTAAGACATTGTTTATCTACAGAAAGACTACCATATTCAAGATTTAAAGGTAGATTGTTTTTGTTCACATCATTTTGATCTTAGGTTTTGCTGGAAACATTCACAAGAAGGGGGCCTTTAATTTATGTATGCTTTAAGAATACTTAATAGCTAATCTACAAATTAAAAAAAAAAATACCTGGCTAGGCACGGTGGCTCACGCCTGTAATCCCAGCACTTTGGGAGGCCGAGGTGGGCAGATCACGAGGTCAGGAGATCGAGACCATCCGGGCTAACATGCAGAAGCCCTGTCTCTACTAAAAACTCAAAAAATTAGCCGGGCGTGGTGGCACATGCCTCTAGTCCCAGCTACTCGGGAGGCTGAGGCAGGAGAATCCCTTGAATCCCGGAGGTGGAGGTTGCAGTGAGCCGAGATTATGCCACTGTACTCCATCCTGGGCAACAGAGCGAGACTGTGTCTCAAAAAAAAAAAAAAAAAAAAATTCCTTTTTTGTTTTTCCACAAAAATTTTTTCTGTGTTTTCCTTGAAGTTTTTCCAAGGAAAAACTTTGGAAACCATGTCCTGCCTTGAATTACTTTTAATAATCTCAAGACAGCATGGATTGGCTTGCAAAGACTAATAGTTGACTTCATGTTCCAGAAGCATCAGAGAATGCTGATCATGTTGAGAGCTGGCCCCTTTGCAGGCATCTACTGGGTTTCCTGGAAGTAAAAACTTGTAATTTTCAAGTATGGCATGGGGATAGTTGCTCTGAAATGCATTCCAGAACTGTCAAGATTAGGTCTTCATGAGAAGTCAGGTTTGGAGAAGTCATTCATTCAAGATGATGTTTAGGTAGTAGAAATCAGTGAAGGTGATTGCAGAGGTCAAAGGGCATGACCCTACATTCTAATGACAGGAATTGTGTTTGGAAAATTTCAGTTTTCTTCTTAATGTGTCCACTTGAATGCATGCAAGCTCTGTGGAGATAAGCAGAGTCTATGGTAGTTTTGTCCTGTGGCTATCTTGGGCCCACTAGAATCATAGCAGATATGACAGAGGCACAGCTTGCCTCAGTTTCTGCTTACACACAGAACAGCTTCTTCTACATATAAAGCCACATATAATTTAACACCTAAACTAGGACACTTGTGACAGTGAAAAGAGATGCTATTGACAATTTCAGCTGGAAAACAGGTGGATACCATTTGGCTAATGGATCAATGAGAAATGTTGAAGAATGAATGAACCAGCATCTGTGTGTTTTATTAATGGGTTTTCAAAGACCCTGGGTCTTCAGACCTAAGAAGAAGGTGGTATAGCAAAGCACTGGCTTTGGGGGTACACAGCCAGTTGAAATCCTACTTTAACATTTACTGTTTGTGTGATCTTGGGCATATTTGCTAATTACTTTGTGTCTCTCTGTTTTCTTGTTATAAATGGGAATAATAATTCTCACCACACCGGGTTGTTTTAAGAATTAAAGAAATGATGTATATATAGCATTTGGTGTGGTGCCTGGCACAGAGTAAACATTTGGCAAATAATCATTATTATTCTTAATTATTGTCCCTACTTGACCAGAACCTTGTTCTAGGTATAAGAATAATGCTACAGCACAGTCAAGGTGGAGAAGAGCCATTTTGGCCTCTTGGTCGAAGCATCCATTGTAACAAAACAACTCAGCCTGATGTCCCATGATCATGAAAGGAGCTCATGGTAGGACTGAATGAACACGGTGTCTTACAAATATTTAGGCTGAATCATGAGGACCAGGGCCCAAGCCTTTAGTATAGGCCTACTGCTTGAATAGGAAGGCCTTATACAACCAAAATGACCTAGATTTCCAGCACATCTTCCTGATGCTCTGCAATATTTATCTTTTTCTTGGAAGAGCTCATTAGCAAGATGGAAGGTGTTCAGGTTACTCACGAATGTACATATTATAGACTTCTCTTTATGAGTATATGTGTTAGTTTATTTTTGCATTGCTACAAATACCCGAGGCTTGGTAATTTATAAAGAAAAGAGGTTTAATTAGCTCACAGTTCTGTAGGCTGTATAGGAAGCATGGTGCTGGCATCTGCTCAGCTTCTGGTAGGGCCATAGGGAGGTTTTACTCATGGCAGAAGGCCAAGGGGGAAAAAGGCATGGTGAGAGAGGGAGCAAGAGAGAGAGAAGGGGGAGGTCCCAGACTCTCTGAACAACTAGGTCTATTGTGAACTGAGTGAGAACTCACTCATCACCAAGGAGATGGTGCTAAGCCATTCATGAGGGATCTGCCCCCATCATCCAATACTTCCCACCAGGCCCCACCTCCAACATTGAGGATCACATTTCAACATGAGATTTGAAAGGGACACACCTCCAAATCCTATCAGTATATGAATAATGTTGAAATATACTTTTCTGGGGGAATATAGGGGAAGTAGGGCCAGTGGTTTGCTCATAAAAAAATTTCAAAAATTGTGAAAGCCATCATTAAAAATTAATTTATATATAAACCTGTACTAAATAAAAGATCTTAAAAACAAAGTTTATAAATACTCAAAACTCATTACTTCATAATTATTTTACTACATTTTACTAATATCTATGCTTTTAAGTTTGTGTCTGTTGTGTCTGTATGGGAGAAATATTCTACGGTGGTCTGCTGTTGTCATTATATATCTTTTCTCAGTTCAGTGTATTCAGTGATGTCACCCTGGTAGCTTGAAATTAGCCATGATGGGAATAGTTACACCATGGAAACTGGTGAGCACTACAAATAAAGGCTTGATTTATTGTTTTTTGATTGTTGATTGCCTCGACCTTAGACAGTTATACAGGAAATGCACATTAAACTTAAATGTATGCCTTGACTGTAACCAGCACGGTGTGAATGGACCAAAAAATGAGGAAATATTCTTCAAGTATTCAAAAACAATTCTCTGATAGAGCAAAGAAGTCACTTCATCATTGAGAAACTACTGAAGTTCCTATATTTATCTTCATTGTTTCACTTTCTTGTTAACATAAAAAAATGTGTTAACCAAGATTTATGTCAGAACTATACTGTGGCTCATCAATTGCAGCCATAGGTTGGCTGTGAATGCAACAGTTTAGTAAAAACAAAAACATTCTGTGAGATTCAATTAGCTATATATAATTTACAGTAACAAATATTGTATATATTATTATTTGCAAATTGTATGCCAAGAATCCTTCATATTAGTCACAATTTATAATAATTGTATGTATATGTCCATCTATCTATGCCTATATTGTTTTTTTTTTAAATTATTATTATACTTTAAGTTTTAGGGTACATGTGCACAATGTGCAGGTTAGTTACATATGTATACATGTGCCATGCTGGTGCGCTGCACCCACTAACTCGTCATCTAGCATTAGGTATATCTCCCAATGCTATTCCGCCCCCCTCCCCCCACCCCACAACAGTCCCCAGAGTGTGATGTTCCCCTTCCTGTGTCCATGTGTTCTCATTGTTCAGTTCCCACCTATGAGTGAGAATATACGGTGTTTGGTTTTTTGTTCTTGCGATAGTTTACTGAGAATGATGATTTCCAATTTCACCCATGTCCCTACAAAGGACATGAACTCATCTTTTTATGGCTGCATAGTATTCCATGGTGTATATGTGCCACATTTTCTTAATCCAGTCTATCATTGTTGGACATTTGGGTTGGTTCCAAGTCTTTGCTATTGTGAATAGTGCCACAATAAACATACGTGTGCATGTGTCTTTATAGCAGCATGATTTATAGTCCTTTGGGTATATACCCAGTAATGGGATGGCTGGGTCAAATGGTATTTCTAGTTCTAGATCCCTGAGGAATCGCCACACTGACTTCCACAATGGTTGAACTAGTTTACAGTCCTACCAACAGTGTAAAAGTGTTCCTATTTATCCACATCCTCTCCAGCACCTGTTGTTTCTTGTTTTAAATGAGAGATGGTTGTTAAATATTTTCCAGAATACTACTCATTGCAACCTATGGATCTAACCTTGTCTGATGTCAGTACTGCCCCTAAGGGTAGTATGTAATCATGTGGGGTAGTGGGCTTGGCCATTGTGATATTTTAAGTCCATGGAGATGCCACATCAGTAGTGATTAAAGCCAGAGAGGTAAAGCTTGAAGACTGGAAAATAAGAGTGAATGGTGACTTAAATTGGAGGCACACACTTGAAAAGGGACAGAGAGTAAGTCAGGATGGGAAACTAGACAGCCATAGAAAGAATGAGATGAAGGATGGAGGTGGTTCCTGAATTCTCTCATTAAAGGAGGCCCATCTTATGTGAGGCTGCCAGATGATTTATTGTTCTGGGCACATGTGTAAAGGTGTGTGTATTTTATGTACATGTACATACATTCACATTTATATACATATGTATATACATATATGTATGCATATATATGTGTAATTGTGAATCCATCTGAAGTTCAATTTTTTGTATGAAGGGAAGACCTGGCTTAATTTATTTTCTGAAAGTCTGCCAAATTTTATTAGCATGCTTATCAGTAAAATACATTTTTAGTGAGAGAGACACTTGAAAAACAGTGGCTTAAACCAGAGGCTCTCAGACTTTTAAATAAGCATCAGAATATCCTGGAGGACTTGTTAAAACCCAGATTTGCTGGACTGCTTCTCCAGAGTTTTTGGTTCAGTAGGTCTGGAATGGGGCCAAAGAATCTGGATTTCTAACAAGTTCCCAGATGATACCAATGCTGCTGGTTTGAGGACTACCTTCAGAATTACTGGTTTCAACAAATAAAAGATTGAAAAATATCAATGGTGATATGGTTTGGCTGTGTGTCATGGGAGAGACCCAGTGGGAGGGAATTGAATCATGGGGGCAGGTCTTTCCCTCGCTGTTTTCATAATAGTGATTAAGTCTCACGAGATCTGATGGTTTTATAAAGGGGAGTTCCCCTGCACATGCTCTCTTGCCTGCTGCCATGTAAAACATGACTTTTCTCCTCCTTTGCCTTCCACCATGATTGTGAGGCCTCCCCAGCTATGTGGAACTGTGAGTCCACTAAACGCCATTTTCTTTATAAATTACCCAGTCTCAGGGACGTCTTTATTAGCAGCATGAAAATGGACTAATACAAATGGATACAAAAAACTGACTGTCTAGAGTTAGGCCACTCAGGCCTGGGTGTGGTGGTTGTGTGATACTTTGGGAACCTCATCTCCTTGTTTTTTTCTCCTCCATAATCCTGCAAGTGTGGCTTTAGGCCTCATGGCCTTGCAAGGCTCCTGCAATTTCATGTTTCTTTCAAGAAGAAGAGGAACAGTCTCCCCTAAACTCCCCTCCCCTTCCCCTTCTTCAGCCTCCATCTGGAGATTTCTGCTCACAGGGTTTTGGCTAGAACTGTGACACGTAGCCACTTTTACCTTTAATAATGACTTGAAAATGTAGATTATTTTTGCTTTTCAATTTCTTAAACTAGATACATTTCTACCGAAAACAAAACTGGACATGGTAGACATTTATGTGTTCTTTGTAATTTCAGTGGCAGTGTTTCTAGTGTCTCATCATTAAGATGTTGGCTTCTTATATAGATGAAGATTCTCTCTTGACCAAACTCTGCTTAGGCCCCCATGAACTCTTTTTCAACTAGGCCTCAATTTTTGGACTTTCATGTCTCTGCATTGTACAGTTTTAGCAAGAATCCCGCCAAGTTAGTTTAACTAAAATCCCCCACCATCAATATCTGATCACCTTCAATATCTAATGGAGTTCCTTCCTCATCCTCCACCATCCCCCTGGTGATATCTGAATACCTTGGCCTGCCTTGACAAGAATTCTGTTAGGTTTGTTCAGCCAGAATCCCCTCTTACCCCTGATGTATTCTCTTACTAGCTTTCCATCCACTGACGACCCACGCTCTGCTCCTTGGCTATAGACTCCCACTTGCCCATTCTATATTTAGAATTAAGCCCAGTTCTATATTGAAGTCTCATTTCCTGCATTGTAATAGTCCTGAATAAGATCTGTTTTTATTGCTTTAACTACGATCCAGCTCTGTTTTTCCTTTGACAATATGAAGGAGATATCTTACTTTCCTTTCTCACTAATAAAAGGATATCAAGGCCGGGCATGGTGGCTTATGCCTGTAATCCCAGCACTTTGGGAGGCAAAGGCGGGTGGATCACCTGAGGTTAGGAGTTTGAGACAAGCCTGTCCAACATGGTGAAGCCCCATCTCTACTAAAAATACAAAATTAGCCGGGTGTGGTGGTGCATGCCTGTAATCCCAGCTACTTGGGAGGCTGAGGCAGGAGAATTGCTTGAACCAAGGAGGCGGAGGTTGCAGTGAGCCGAGATTTTACTATTGCACTCCAGCCTGGGCAACAAGAGTGAAAAAACTCCATCTAAAAAAAAAAAAAAAAAAAAAAATGGATATCAAGAATAGATTCTTTAAATGTGATTATATGCTTTTCTTATTTCGTGTATTGATGTAGCTGGACTCATTGCATTGGCACATGTCCTAATAATAGATTATCATTGTATTTATGTATGATTATTTTCTTATGGTGTATTAAATTTTATTGCATATATTTTGTTTAGATTTTACATTGCTTTTCATTAATTAAATTGATATGTAGTTGACTTCAGAGTTATATTTAACAAGTTTTATATCAGGGTTATTCTAGCTCTACCAAAAAATAGCTATTAAGTGTGCAGTGTGTCCCTGGGAATCTACTAAGCTGAGGTTTACATGCATTATCCCATTTAAGTTTCACAGCAATTTTATGAAATCTATGCCTTAATTGTTATTCTTGTTTAGATGAGAATACTGAATTTGAGAGAGCTCATCTAAG
The DNA here is from genome assembly GCF_000001405.40 of Homo sapiens. NCBI lineage: Eukaryota > Metazoa > Chordata > Mammalia > Primates > Hominidae > Homo > Homo sapiens. The sequence goes on along the minus strand of NC_000002.12, from coordinate 67,380,502 downwards.
GCCACTGATCTAGGATATTCTAAGGCTCTTATTCCCTAGACTGATTTTTTATTTATTTGTTTCACTAGGAAGCCTTCCATCTTTTGTTACTTTGTAGAATAGTTTATGTTGTGTGGAAATTATTGATTTCTCAGATGATTTAAGTAATTTATCCATAATATAAATCCAGGTACCTATTATCTGATTCTGTAGTCACTTGATGAATTTGTTTTGTGATAATTTAGCATTTTATTTATAGTTGAACTAGATTTTCTTTTCTTTCTTTTTTTTTTTTTGAGACAGAGTCTAGCTCTGTCACCCAGGTTGGAGTGCAGTGGTGCAGTCTCGGCTCACTGCAACCTCCACCTCCCAGGTTCACGCCATTCTCCTGCCTCAGCCTCCCAAGTAGCTGAGTAGCTGGGATTACAGGCACCTGCCACCACGCCCAGCTAATTTTTTGTATTTTTAGTAGAGACAGGGTTTCACCGTGTTAGCCAGGATGGTCTTGATCTCCTGACCTTGTGATCCACCCGCCTTGGCCCCCCAAAGTGTTGGGATTACAGGTGTGAGCCACCGCGCCCGGCCTTGAGCTAGATTTTCAATGTCTTCTTTGTCATAAAAATCACCTCCATAGTTGTCACAATCTCTTTCTATTAAAATTATTAAAGAATTATAATTACATTATATTTTTCTCAATTAGACTATTGCTTTATCTGTCAGTTTTCTCTATTTTCTAATTTACTGTATTATAAATATAAGATCATTACTTTCTACCTCCTGCCTACCTTAAATACTACTATAGTTATTTCTTCCTAATATCTTAAAAGAATTAGCAATGGCTTAGTCTATTTTGTGTTTCTATAACAGAATATCTGATACTGGGTAATTTATAAAGAAAAGAGATGGGCCAGGCATGGTGGGTCATGCCTGTAATCCCAGCACTTTGGGAGGCCAAGAGGAGAGGCTAACTTGAGGCCAGAAATTCAAGACCTGCCTGGCCAACATGGCAAAACCCCATCTGTACTAAAAATACAAAAATTAGTCAGCCATAGTGGTGCACCCCTGTTATCCCAGCAGCTACTTGGGGGGCTGAGGCATAAGAATTGCTTGAACCCAGGAGGCAGAGGTTGCAGTGAGCTGAGATTACACCACTGCACTCCACTCTGGGCAATAGAGCGAGACTCCTGTCTAAAAAAAAAAAAAAAGAAAAGAAAAGAGATGTATTTGGCTTACAGTTCTGGTGACTGCAAAGTCCAAGGTTGGGCAGTTGCATCTGTTGAGGGCCTCATGCTTTTTCCACTCATGGTGGAAAGTGGAAGAGAAGTGGGCATGTGAAAAGAGAACACATGGTGAGAGAGGAAACAAGAGAGATAAACTGAGAAAGCCAGATTATTTCTTAGCAACCCACTCTCAAAGGAACTTATCCATTCTTGAGAGTGAGAACTCATTCACCCATGAGAGTGTATTAATCTATTTACGAGGGATGTACTTCTATGATCCAGACACTAGGCCTCACCTCCTAACATTGCCACATTGGGGATCAAATTTCAACATGAGATTCAACTGGGACAAACCACATTCAAACCATAGAAATCTAATTTCTCTATATATTTTATTATTTTAAAAAATTGATGCAAGCTTTTGAGTCTATCCATTTATTTTCAAATATGGCTGAAGGTTGAATTCCTTACCTTTTTGTATATGTTATTTTCCTTTTCATTATTCTCTGTTAGTCTCTCATTTTGCATTTGATTTCTTGTTTAGTCATCAGTTATTTAGAAGAAATTAGTTAGTAAAGGGTTATGAATATTTGTCTGAATTTTTACTATTAACTTGGTTATTTTGTATTTCGTTTTATGTTATGATTAGAGAAAACCAGTACAATTTTCATTTTCTAAATTTACTGAGGTTTTGTTTCTAGACAGTGATGGAATAATATTTTTCAAGGATGTTGTAAAAAAAGACTATATATGTTTGTCATAGATAAAAATATGTTATATAACTTAGCTTTCTAAATGAATTTGTTATCAATTAAATACTTGACACTTGATGTTTCATAGGCTTATAGTGGTTTATGAAGAATCCCAATACAGCCTATTTCTGTCCATTTCTTCTATTTCTATTAATATGAACTTTTTATATTATTGTAACCTGACAAAATTTTATAATTCTTATCTCTCCTTTTAATCTTGTAAATTCATCTTCTTTAACTCATATATGCTTTTATTCCTCCATGGGTGTTTTCTTGTCAATAGTAATATCACTCTTCTACTTTTTAAATCTTTAAAAAAACGTTTGTTGAAAATATTGTTGACTATCTCATTTTCTTAAGGTTTTTGCTTACTTTATTTTCAGTATTTTTCATGTAAGCAGCAGTTATTTGGATTTTTATAAAGCTGAATCTAAACATTTTGTTTTTCTTAATAGGGATTTTTTTTTTGGAATGGGGTCTTGCTGTGTTGTCCAAGCTGGTCTGGAACAGAGATCCTCCCTCAGCCTCCCAAGTAACTGGGATTATAGGTGTGTGTCACTGCATGCAGCAATAAGAAATTTTAATCCGTATATGTTAATTATCACAAGTAATCTTTTAAATCTACTTTTGAGATTTTGTTTTATTTTTCTAAGTTTATTCTTCTTGTTCTTCATTAATCTGCCTTTTACTAGATGAACTATACATTTTTCAGTTGTATTTGTTTCAGGGATTTGGAAGATACAGTCCCACTTTTAGTTCTTTCAGTTTCTTTTATTCAGAGTTATTTCTTAGTTAATATGTGAAAGTATGTAAAACTTTAATTGTCCATTTAGCAAACATTTCTGATTGGATTTTGTAAGTGAGACACTATTGTAGGCCATGAGATAGCATGGTTGGCAAATAAATAATTCAAATTCATTGGTTTTGGCAATGATTTCTTGGATATGACACCAAAAGCACAGGCAAAGAAAATGAAAACGGACAAGTGGAACTACAGCAAACTGAAAAGCTTCTACACAGCAAAGGAAACAATAAAGAGAATGACAAGTAAATCTGTAGAATGGGAGAAAATATTTACAAACTACATATCTGATAAAGGGTTAATATCCAAAATATATAAGGAAGTCCTACAACTCAATAAGAGAAAAACAAGTAACCCAATTTAAAAATTGGCAAAGGACTTGAATAGACGTTAATTCAATCAAGACTTACAAATTACCAATGAGCATATAAAAAAATACTCATCCCTAATTGTTAGGGAAATACAAATCAAGCTACAATGAGATGTCATCTCACATCAGTTAAGATGGCTATTATAAAAACAAAAACAAAACAAAACAAGATAACAACTGTTGATTAGAGTGTGGAGAAAAGGAACTCTTGTACACTGTTGGTAGGAATGTAAATTGGTTACAACCACTGTGGAAAACAGTGTGGAGGTCTCCTGAAAAATTAAATATAGAACTATCATATCATCTAGCAATCACACTTGTAGGTGTATATCCCAAATGATTAAAATTATAATCTTGAAGAAATATCTGTACTCCCATGTTCATTGCAGCATTATTTACAATATCAAAGACATAGAAGCAACCTAAATGCCCATCAACAAATTAATGGAATAAAGAAAATGTGGTTTATATATACAGTGAAATATTATTCAGCCTTAAAAAAAGAAGAAACTTCCGGCTGGGTGTGGTGGCTCATGCAGTCACAGCACTTTGGGAGGCTGAGGCAGGCAGATCACCTGAGGACAGGAGTTTGAGACCAGCTTGGCCAACATGGTGAAACCCCATCTCTACTAAAAATACAATACTTAAGCCAGGAATAGTGGTAGGCGCCTGTAATCCCAGCTACTTGGGAGGCTAAAGCAGGAGAATCACTTGAACCTGGGAGGCGGAAGTTGCAGTGAGCCAAGATTGCGCCATTGTACTCCAGCCTGGGTGACAAGAGCGAAACTTCATCTCAAAAAAAACAGAAGAAGAAGAAACTTCTGACATTTGCAACAACCAACTACATGGATTAACCTGGAGAACATTAGAGTAAGTGAAATAAGTCAGGCATAGAAGGACAAATACTGCAAGATTCTATGTATATGAGGTACCTAAATTAGTCAGATTCACTGAAGCAGAGAACAGAACAGTGGGTACCAGGAGAAGGGAGAAATGGGGGGGGGGGGTGTTCAATTGGTATAAAGTTCAGTTATGCCAGATAAATTAGTTCTAGAGATCTGCTATACAGCATAATGACTATAATCAACAATGCTGTATTGTGTACTTTAAAATTTGTGAGAAGGGTAAATCTCATGTTAAATATTCTTACCACAAAACCAAACCAAAACAAAAAAACAGAGAGACACAAATAAACTTTTGTGGGTGATGGATATGTCTGTTGTCTTTATTGTGGTGATGATTTCATGGGTATATGCATATATCCTAACTCATCAAATTTTATACATTAAATATATGCAGTTTTTATATATCAACTATATCTCAATAAAGCTGTTTTTAAAAAAGACTATTAAATATGTCTTTCCAAATTACAATTATGTAAAGTGTTATAAGGAGAAGTACATAGTATCATAAGGTTGAATAAGAGGAGAAAAATTGACTCAGACATGAAGGCCAGGCAGGCCTTGGCCCGTTCATTGTCCATCTTGTTGCGTGGCTTGGCATAAAACTTTGTAACTATTTGGGGGTCATGGGTCCTGTTGAGTTTTCAGGTTGGCTAAGGCTTGGTAGCAACAACACAGTGACTTTTGTCTTAAAAGAAAGCATTTATTTCATTTATATACATCCGATTATCTTCCAAGTGACCAAGGCCAAAAGATAGCTTTCTTTAAAATGATTCTGAGACTGTTTTTTTTTTTTGCTTTTAGATGTACATAGAAGCAAACAAGCAATCCATCAACAACAACAACAACAACAAAATCTATTTTTCAAAAAAGCATTTTATGACTTTTCTGAAATCTAATGCACTTTTGTGCAGTTAAGAATTTAATATTCTGCCTTTCATTCTTGGCAAAACTTCTTGAAAAGGTGATACATTTGTCCCTGATTTTGATAAAATGACTTCAATTGCAGGAGACAGTATTCATGTAGGATGCAGACGGCCCCTTAATGTCAGTGTAGTCCAGTAGAGAACATAATAAGGCTCAGTACTGTGTGTACAGCTTTCATCTTCAGCCATGAAGCAAAATTAAACAAGTAGTTCATCATTTCAGGCACTCCTTCTGCACCTTAGGTACCAAGATGTTTTGTTCAATTGAATTTTTACTCAACAAATAAACGTTTTACCATTTCAAATGTCCTGGCAGCCTTTAGAATTTTCAAAAAGTGTTCATAAACTAGGAATTTTTCTTGGATGTCATCAGTGTGAATATACTGGATAAAAACCAGGAATCTGGAAGCACAGAGGAATATTAGGATCAAATTACATCCTGAAGATAAAGGGAATAATTGTCAATTCCTCTGTATCCTACTTCAAAACATAAGAAGACCAACAATTCTGGACTGGATAAAATCATTTGTCAGAGGTGTCACCTTACTTTTTCCCCTCTTCTCCAAGACAAAACCAGTTCCATCATTTCCAGGGTACTTGGTTTTACCATGGTCCCCATAGCTGTGAGGGTCTTCTTTTTGTTTGGATTTGAGATAGGCAAATTTGGAAGATGCTTTTAGATAAGGATTGTGTGTTAGAAACTAATTCAACTTTGCTAAAATTATCTAGTGTTTGCACAATGAATCTCCTTTTTCACAGATTTGTGCTAATGTATTGTTAGGATGTACAGCTGTAAGGTCAACTTTACAATCCTTGTGTTTCATAACACATAACAATGTGATGCATTTCCTTGAATGCCTTTACGTTGGTCTTGAAACCGTCTTGAGGCAGGAATCAGCAATCTGTCCTACCCCCTAAAATGAAACTAACTTTAAACCCCTTGTCAAAGAAAGACTATTTCTGTGTCTTTTTCTTCTCTTTCTTTACTCTATTTTTTCTTAGCAATTAGCCTATTTATCTCAAATTGTGTTCTCCACTTAGCAAAACAAAACAAAAAAATCTTATCTGCAAAACTATAGTCTGAGAGAAGTATAAATCACAGCAGTGTGACAAGAAGCAGGCATGTCGAGGATTGCTGGCACCATTCTCTTTGCAGTTGTACGATCTTTAACATGAGAAGGAAAAAAAAAGTGCTACTGGAGACCAGGTTCCACCAAAATGATGGAAAACACCAAAAAAGCAGAAAATCTTGAAATTCATGAGATGTATAATCTAAATTAGGAGATAAGCAAAGGGAATTCCTACAACAATTAGGAGGTGATGGTGCAAGACATTACTGGTGCAATTTATTTCTACTCCAGATAAAAGCAGAATAAAAGTTCTCAGAAGGGAAGTCTTCAAAAATAAAACATGAAAACAGAGAACTTATGTCTGATGAAATATTATTCTGACAACTGGCAAGTGTGTGAAAATTAGCAATAAATATAAGTAAAAATGAAATAAATGAAAACAGGCAGGAATCAGAGATGCCAGGTGGCCTAGATAGGGATTCCCGATTATGGCAAAGTGAAGAGGCTGGCAAATATTCTCCCACTAAAATAAGTATGAAACTGGACACATTTAAGTATAAACAGACAAACCACACATATTTCAGGTCTCTGGAAATTAAACAAATACAAACAACAAATTGAGAATTTATTAATTAAAAAAAATCACTGAACTTCAGTTAAGCACGATGGAAGTCTGTGCCATTCTTGTCTAGGGCGATTTCCATCCAATCCTTCAGTCATTTGGCATGACGGTTCTGTCTGGTGGGGCTAGTCATAAAACTATTAAGAGCAGCTTTGCTGCTGCAGAGGCTGACTTGATTTGGAGTGCAGAGCAAAAAACTCCCATATCCAAATAGGAAAAGAATAATGAAAGCCATAATACTACAATACAAGCCTGAAGTTGTTATCCTTGGTGGGGTGAGCAACAGAACCGAGAGCACCGTAGAAGAGCTAGCTGAGGTCTTCACAACACATCACTGGCAGACTGGAAGGCCATGCATATGTACAGAGAAGACCTGTAAGGACACTGCAGGAAGTAAAAGTCTGATATGTGGATGTGCTCCCATTGCACAAACAGATCCATCAATGGGGTATAAGCCCTACTGGCTCAAGGTGCTGGAGCACAACATCTGGCTAGTCTTGGGCTGACCACTAAGCTATACATACTCTGTTGATCCCCAATTTAGTCTGATGGAGAAAAAGCAAGAGAAGACACTAATTATTGTAGCAAATTCAAGAATAAAAGCACATCACTACCACCCCTCAAAAATTAAAATAATTGTAAGAAAATATTATCAGTTATGTAATGGCCTTCTTTGTCTCTTTTGATCTTTGTTAGTTTAAAGTCTGTTTTATCAGAGACTAGGATTGCAACCCCTGCCTTTTTTTGTTTTCCATTTGCTTGGTAGCTCTTCCTCCATCCCTTTATTTTGAGCCTATGTGTGTCTCTGCACGTGAGATGGGTTTCCTGAATACAGCACACTGATGGGTCTTGACTCTTTATCCAATTTGCCAGTCTGTGTCTTTTAATTGGAGCATTTGTCCCATTTACATTTAAGGTTAATATTGTTATGTGTGAATTTGATCCTGTCATTATGATGTTAGCTGGTTCTTTTGCTCATTAGTTGGTGCAGTTTCTTCCTAGCCTTGATGGTCTTTACAGTTTGGCATGTTTTTGCAGTGGCTGGTACTGGTTGTTCCTTTCCATGTTTAGTGCTAATATCCAGAATCTGCAATGAACTCAAACAAATTTACAAGAAAAAAAAAAACAACCCCATCAAAAAGTGGGCGAAGGATATGAACAGACACTTCTCAAAGAAGACATTTATGCAGCCAAAAGACACATGAAAAAATGCTCATCATCACTGGCCATCAGAGAAATGCAAATCAAAACCACAGTGAGATACCATCTCACACCAGTTAGAATGGCGATCATTAAAAAGTAAGGAAACAACAGGTGCTGGAGAGGATGTGGAAAAATAGGAACACTTTTACACTATTGGTGGGACTGTAAACTATTTCAACCATTGTGGAAGTCAGTGTGGCGATTCGTCAGGGATCTAGAACTAGAAATACCATTTGACCCAGCCATCCCATTACTGGGTCAAATGATTATAATCATTTGATTTATAATCCCAAATGATTATATCCCAAATGATTTATAATCCCAAATGATTATAAAACATGCTGCTATGAAGACACATGCACACGTATGTTTATTGCAGCACTATTCACAATAGCAGATTTGGAACCAACCCAAATGTCCAACAATGATAGACTGGATTAAGAAAATGTGGCACATATGCACCATGGAATACTATGCAACCGTAAAAAATGATGAGTTCATGTCCTTTGTAGGGACATGGATGAAGCTGGAAGCCATCATTTTCAGCAAACTATCACAAGGACAAAAAACCAAACACTGCATGTTCTCACTCATAGGTGGGAATTGAACAGTGAGAACACATGGACACAGGAAGGGGAACATCACACACTGGGGCCTTTTGTGGGGTCGGGGGAGTGGGGAGGGATAGCATTAGGAGATATACCTAATGTTAAATGACGAGTTAATGGGTGAAGCACACCAACATGGTACATGTATACATATGTAACAAACCTGCACATTGTGCACCTGTACCCTAAAACTTAAAGTATAATTTAAAAAAAGAAAATATTGTCAACAATTTTATGTCAGCAAATTAGACATTTTAAGGGAAGCAGACATTTTCCTAGCACAAACTACTGAAACTGACTCTAAAAGAAATAGAAAACTGAAATAGACCAACAAAAAATAAATTAAATTAGTAATTAAAAATTCACTAAAAAAAACCGCAGGCCCAGATATCTTCACAAGTGAATTCTAACAGACATTCTAACAAACATTAAGTAAGAAATAATAGCAACCCTTCACAAATTCTACCAGAAAATAGAAGATAGTTGGCATTTCACATTCCATGAAACCAGTATTATCCTGAGAGGAAAGGCTCATGAAGATATCTCACGAAAACAAAACTGCAGATGAAACCTTTGTTGAAAACAAATGCAATTTTTCTTTGAAAAATTAGCAAACAAAATCCAGCAACATAAAAAGATGTACCATGACCAAGTGGGATTTATCCTAGAAATGCAAGGTTGTCTTAACATCTGTATATAAATCAATGTAATACACCATATTAATAAGGCAAGGTATACAAAATGCATGGTCATCTCAGGAAACAGAAAAATCAATTGAAAAAAATATCCTGCACCCATAAATAAAAACTCTCCACAAATTGGGAATAGCAGAGAACTTTCTCAGAGTGCTAAAGGACATTTACAGAGGCCTATACTTAACATCATAAATTGCTAAAAAATAGTGCTTTGTTCCTAAAATCAAGAATAAGGTAAAGACATCTATTCTTACCCATTTTGCTTAATATTATACTAGAGACTCTGACCACCGCAATCAGATAAGGCAAAGAAATTAAAGGCATATAGATTGAAAAGGAAGAACTAAAACTTTTTTTTGAAGACAACGTAATCTTGAACATAGAAACTCCTAGGAAATCTAAAATACAAACCAAAAAACTAGAACTAAAAAGGAAGTTCAACAAGGTCACAAGATATAAGATAAGTGTGCAAAAATAAATGTTTTTTTCTTTATTCTAGTAATGAACAATTGGAAAATGAAATTCCATTCCTAACAGCATCAGAAAGAATAAAATACTCAGCTGGGCCCAGTGGCTAATGCCTGTAATCCCTGCACTTTGGGAGGCCGAGGCAGGTGGATCGCTTGAGGTCAGGAGTTTGAGACCAGCCTGGCCAACATGGCAAAACCCCATCTCTACTAAAAATACAAAAATTAGCTGAGTGTGGTGGCAAGCGTCTGTAGTCCCATCTACTCAGGAGGCTGAGGCAGGAGACACTCTTGAATCTGTGAGGTGGAGGTTGAGATGGTGCCACTGGACTGTAGCCTAGGTGACAGGGTAAGACTCTGTCTCAAAATAAATAAATAAAGTAACATAAAATAAAATAAAATACTGAGAAATAAATGTAACAAAAGTTCGAGACTTATTCACAGAAAACCACAAACCATTGCTGCTGAGAAATAGTAAGACTGAAATAAATGGAGACATATTATGTTCTAAGACTGAGAGGCTCAATATTGTTAAGATGATAATTCTCTGTAGATTCAACACATTTTCTCTCAAAAATCCCATCAGGCTTTTACTTTTTTTTTTTGTAGAAATTGACAAGCTGCTCCTAAAATTATATGGAAACACAAAGAACTAAGACTAGTCAATACAGTTTTGAAAAAGAAAAACAAATTTGGATGACTCAGAATACCCATTTATAAAACTTACTGTTAATCCATAGTAATCAATATGATGGAGTATTTGGGTAAGGATAGACATATGAATCAATGAGACAAAATTGAGAGTTGAGAAATAAAACTTTCCCTTTATGGTCACTTAATGTTCAGCGAATGTGCCAAGGCAGTTCAATGGGGGAAAGGAGACTGTTTTCAACAAATAACTGACTCTAGGACAACTAGGTGTCCACCTATTCAAAAAAAGTGAACTTAGACTCTTATCTCAAACCATACATATAAATTAACTCAAAATAGCGAATACATCTAAACTTAGGAACTAAAACTATAAATATCTAGAATAAAACACTGGAGGAAATCTTTGTGACTTTGGATTAGGCAAAGATTTTTAAGATGTGATACCAAAAGAAAAAAAGACAATAACATGGACTTAATAAAATTAGAGATATGTGCTCTTTTTGTTAGTTTTCCAGGCTGTATAACAAATTGACACAAATTTAGTGGCTTAAAACAACACATACTTATTCTACTATTATTTCTGTGAGTCAGGAATCAGGGCATAGCTCAATTGGATTCACTGCTTAGGGCTGCAGTGAAGGTGTCACCAGGACTCAGGTCTCATATGAGACTCGACTAGGAAAGGTCCATTTCCCGGATTGTTGGCAACATTCAGTACTGGGGTCATAGGGCTCATGGCATCTCACTTTTTCAAAGGCAGGAAGACATGAATTATTATAGCAAATTCAAGAATAAAAGAGGATGGAAAGAGAGAGACAAAGAGGAGATAGAAAAATGGCAAGATATGTGCTACACTTTTATGTAATCATGTTCCTGGAACCACCTTTGCTGCATCCCATTGGTTAGAAGCCAATCACAAAGGGTTCAACACACTCAAGGGGAGGAATTATACCAAATCACCAATACCAGGAGACAGAGTTATGAGAGCCATCTTCAAGTCTGTTCACTACACTCTTCCAAAAGCAACAGTATGAAAATAAAAAAAGATAAGCCACAAACTTGGAGAAAATATTTGCAAAGCACACATCTTAGAGGTTGGCAAACTATGGCCTGAAGGCTAAATTTGTCCTATGATCTGTTTTGGTAAGGCTCATAAGCTAAGAATGGTTTTTACAGTTTTAAAGTGTTTAAAAAAGCATATGCAAAAGGGATCCTTTGTAGCCTGCAAAACATAAAATATTTATTATCTGTTAATTGACAGAAAAAATGTGTGAGCCCCTGATAGAACTGTTAAAGAACTTATATCCAGAATATATAAGAAACTTTTACAAATCATTAATAAGAAGACAACTTTCTTAAAAATGGTTGTTTTAGGCTGGGCGCAGTGGCTCACACCTGTAATCCCAGCACTTTGGGAAGCTGAGGCAAGAAGATCACTTAAACCTAGGAGTTTGAGACTAGCCTGGGAAACAAAGTGAAAGCCCCATCTCTAAAAAAAATTAAAACAACAACAACAACAACAACAACAACAACAACAACAAAAACTTAGCCGAGTGTGGTGACATGTACCTGTAGTTGTAGCTACTTGGAAGGCAGTCTGAGATGGGAAGATCGCTTGATCCCAGGAGCTGGAAGCTTCAGTGAGCTATGATTACACCACTGCACTCCAGCCTAGGCAACAGAGCAAGACCCTATCTTATAAAAATAATAAAATAAAATAAAGGGTGTTTTAGGCAGAATTCACCCCCTTGCCTGGAATGTCCATGCCCTAATTCTTCTGTTGAATATGTTATGCAACATAGCATAAGGAATTTTTGCTGATGTAATTCAGGTTAGTTATAGACTTTAAGACTGGGATACTATCCTAGGTTATCTGGGTGGTCTCAATTTAATAATGCTAACCTTTAGAAGCTAGAGACAGAAAGATGAGGTAGAAAGAGATGAGCTAGCTAGAAAGATACAAATGATCTTTTCTTTACCTAGAAAAGGTAAAATAGAGTCAGAGAGAGATTCAAAGTGTGAGAGGCACACAACTCCTTGTTGCTGGAGGTAGCCACATAGAAAGTAAAAGAAGAAATCCAGGTAGCCTTTAGGAGCAAAGATTGGTCCCTAGATGATAGCCAGCTAGGCAATGAAGATGTTAGTCCTAGATAAGCACAAGGAACCAAATGAAGCCAACAACCTGAGCAAGCTTGAGAGAGGTTTCTTTTCCAGAGCCTCTGGTAAGTCCCACTGAGACCTTAATTTGTCTTATGAAACCCTAGGCAGAAAATGCTGCTGAGCTCACCTGGACTTCTGTCCTACAGAAACTGTGAGATGATAAATTTGTATTGGTTGAAGCAACCAAATTTGTGTTAATTTGTTATGGCAGCAATAAAAAACCAATACAGTGGGTAACAGATTTGAACAGATATTTCACCAAAAAGATTATACTAATGGCTAATAAGCCTACAAAAACATGCTCAAAATAATTAGTGATTAGGAAAATGTGAATTAAAATGAGATACTGCAATGTACCCATTAAATGGCTAGAAAAAAAGACTGACGACATCAAGTGTAGGTGAGGACAGGGAGTAACTGGAACTCTCATACATTGCTTTTGGGATGGTAGAATGAGACAGCTACTTTGGAAAAAGGTTAGCAGTTTTTAAAAAGTGAGACATTGTGCAATTGAGAAATTCCATGCCTAGATATCTACCCAAGGGAAATGAAATCATAAGTCCACACAAAACTTGTACATATATGTTCACAGCAGCAATATTTCTAGTAGCCAAAAAGTGGAAACAATTCATCAACTGGTGAAAGGATTAACAAAGTGTTGTATATCTATAAAGTAGAATACAATTCATCAATAAAAAGATACAGACTACAGATACATGCTATGACATAATGAATCTCAAAATATTATGCTAAGTGAAAGAAACCAGATGCAAAAGACTATGTATTGCATGACTCCATTTATATGAAGTTTCCAGAAAAGGCAAATTTATAGAGACAGAAAACAGATGAGTGGTTGCCTGGGGCTGGGAGTGGAAGTGAAGATTGACTGCAAACAGGCACAAGAGAGCTTTTTGGGATGATGGAAATGTTTCAAAGCTAGATTATGATGATAGTTGCATTACTCTGTACATTTACCAAAGTTCACTGAATTGTATACTTCTGATGGGTGCATTTTATGGTGTATAACTTGTACCTCAATCAAAAAAGATGGTAATAATTAACTTTGGTGAAAATATAAGAAAGGAAATGTAATCATAGTACAATGCTCAGCTGTGAGTAATATCTACACAGACTTTACTGAGTATTGATTTAATCTAAAAATGACTACAACTGAATTGGAATCATAGAGGAGGGAAAGCAGAGGCAATGGGAGTCTAAGAGAGTAAAGTGCTAAACTACCATAATAGGAAGTAATTAGATAATGCTCAACATTCATGTATCTAAGAATAGCAAATACACATACTATTTAAACATTTAAAGTTAGGTAAATGTCAAAAGAAACAGCTGAAAGAATCAAAATGACTGCTTCTGAAATTACCAAGCAGGGAGTAGAAAAAAGTGGGTGGGAAATAGATAATTTTATGTTACAAATATTTTAGTACAATTTGAAATTTTAAAGCATGTGAATTTAATAAGAAAGACTTTAAACATGCAAGCTTCCTTATTTTTTTTTCTCTCCTCTTCTCATTTTTCTTTCCTCTGCTTTCTGGGAGATTTTTCTAACCTTTTTCTAAATTTTATTTCCTAATAAATCTATTGAGTTAAAAAAATTGAAGCTCTCATGTTTTCAATTCCATACTCTTTCTTTTGTTCTTTGAATGCTCCTTTTTATAGCATCTTATCAATGCTCTTCTTTCTCTAGGATTGTTGTGTTTTTCTTAAGGTTTTTTTTTTTCCCTGCAGTCTTTGTTTCCTTTGCATTTTTTTTTTCTGTTTTCTTGTTCTCAATTATTCACATTATAAGGTTTTCTCTGCTGTCTGTAGATCTTGGTAGCTCACTTATGTTTAAGAGTATCAACCTAAGATTAATATCCACAGAATAAACTCATGGTGTTCTGCCTGGTGATGGGGGAGAATTTGCCCAACTTCATAGAGTAGAAGAGGGGATTTGGTATTTGTTCCTTAAACTGCTCTTAACCAATTTTCCTTATGTTAGCACCCCATTTCTGGGAGCACTTAGTCCTTCTGATATCTGAGTCTTTGGAGGAGTCTGTGAACACATTCAGGCTTCCCACATTACTAGATTAGGATTCATCTTCTTCCAGTTTCCTGTTAGTTACCACTGGTTCATCTGCTTTCCCTTTCCACAAATGTGGTTGAAGTTGTATCCTCTCCTGTTCTACTCATACGTTGAGATTTATGTCTTTAAAAGCAAAAATCCCTTTATTGCCATTTTTAGTGGAAGGGAGAAAAATTATAGGCATATGTTCAATCTTCCATTTTACCTACATAACTGACATAGATATTTTGACTGCTGGGTCAATTTTGGTGTTGCATAAACAAAGAAACAATTAAAATCTCGATTTCCAAGGAAAGTTGGTAAGTGATGTTTGAAATGGACATCCTTACCTTGGACCAGAGCATGTCAACTTCTGGGAAAGACATGAAATTGATAAAAATTAAGTCTGAGGATAAGGGAGGTTGGGATGGGCTAGGGTTGGCACATATAGTGGGGGATGAGGTGGGTGTCAGACAACATGCAGAAGCAAATTGTACAAAACCCAGACTCATATGTCTACTCAATAACAACCTTTTTTTTTCAGAACCAGTCTAAGCAAAATATTTGCTCCTTTTCTAGTATCCTACATAATATGCATATCAAATCCTCTCATTTTTTTGTTAAAGTAGCAACAGTCATACTCATTTAATTTTAAATAATACATGCATTTATCAGCTTAATGATGGCACATATTTTTCCATTGGAAAATTTAAAGGAATCTTCTGCTTTTGGTAGTGTTCTTGATTACAGTTCCCAAAGCAGAGTTTGAATAATTCAGAAATGCATTTCTTAACTCCTATTGATCATATAAATAGGGGAAATTTTCCCCAAGTTGGAAGTATCTTATTTTTTCTTCAGCCAGAGGTGATATCAATTTGTTTCATTTTACATAAAGTTTTAATTTTGATTGGGCATTTATTATAAAATGACTGTAAGGGAAGGGATATTTGTGTTACATTATAATCTTATTCTCAGCTCCAGGTTGTACAGGACATTGTCACATCTCTTTTCCCATCAGATCTTTTAGTATTCAATATTATATATATATTTAATTGAATTCTTTAGGCTATTGTATAATCATTTAAGAGCTATTTTCATATCTTTAAAAGTTAACTTAGTTATGACACTTAAAAAATTACTGTTAGTTCTAAAAGTAATATATACTTGTAAAAAATTTATGTCATATCAGAATGAAAAAGGAGTGAAAGTGTCCCTTAATTGGAGTGGTTATGTCTGTTAAGCATCTACCTTGCTAAAATAATAATATGCTAGTAACAAAGCAGTGATTTTACATTCTGACAGACTAACCTGGATGTGAAAATAGCCAAGACAATAGTCTCTTTAGTCATTATGTGGGGATCAACAAGTTTGTCTCAAATTGCACTGTGCATTTGATTAGTGGTACTGTTGGATCTTGAGAGGAATGGTATCTGGATGCAAATGGAAAAAGAAAAGCCTTGGAAGTGGTGAAGAAAGAGAAAGATGTTGATTGATTAGAAAATAATTGCTTTGGAGAACAGAGGTGGATTTCAGGTAAATGAACCCAGACATCTTTGGGTTGGGTGTGCTCAGTGATGTGAGGCAAAACCGTTTCTACCCTGCAGGTACCTGTTCTTAACGTTCTGATTCACAGATTAAAGTCTGAGGAAGTCAGGAATGTACTTCTTAACTCATCCTTATTGTTTGCAGAGATATTGGAAATTCCTTGAAGAGTAGGATGTGCTCTTTGGCCTTCAGTCAATGTAGTTGCCAGATTTTGTCTTTTTATAAATCCTTGTCATGAGGTTAAGAACAGAATTTAAATGGAAACTTGTAGGATATTTATACAGACAGGAGATTCAAATACACTGTATTTGCCTTATTTCTGCTGTCATTTATATTCTACAGCTTTCATATGATAGTTGATTATGGCATAGGAAACATGGTGCTATGGTTTCCAGAGCAAAACTTTATAGGACTATATTTTTATTAGGGAGGAGTGGTGGTTCAAAGGAAAGAGGATTGGACTTCAGAAGATATGAATTTGAGTCCCAATCTGTCACTCACTAGTTGTGTGAAATGGTGTTAAGTTACTTAACTTCTCTGAGCTTCAGTTTCTTCATCTGCAAAATGAGATGATACCTGCTGCTTGGGGTTGTTGTGAAACTTAGACACTATTTAGAAAAGTGCAACATCAACTGTGTAATGGTGAACAAAGATAAGTGTGGTACTTGCCTTCACAGAGCTTGCTATCAGGAGGGACAGTCAATATTAGATAATCAATATCACCAGCAAATGTAAAACTGCATCTGTGACATGGTACTCCACTCCACATCCCACCTTCCAAAAAATCCTGTTGTCTCTGTCTCTGTCTTCATAATATAGGGAATCCTCACTTTGTGGTTGGTAGGCTTGAATTTCAGTTACCACAGTTTAGTTAAATAATACCAGTTCACCAAAAACATGGTTCAAATTTCAGTTACCACAATATATTAACTGAGTAATACTAACTCTTCAGTTCGTAAATCTCTACAAAAATAATAGCTGCTCATCATAATCAATGATCAATCATGTGACTTCTTTCAGAGCTTGTCAGTGACTCATCATAGCACATCTCTTATGCCCAGCAAAGTGTGCAGTTGTGTTGACTCCTTGTCTCTTAGTGATAAATAGATATGACATTTTACAAAAATGTGTAATTGAAAGAAGAAATTGACCCATAAAGATGAAAGTGTGGCAAAAAAAAAAAAACCCAAAATGATAATAATGGTGGAAGTGAAATGCAAATCAAATGTAAATGGAGTTATAGAAGAAATACTTATCCATGGGAATGTAAGTGCTACCATACTTCAAGAGACTCTAGATTTGTAGCCAGAAGGACTTCCTTCATTCAGATGGACTTACCAACAAAAATGAAGAAAGTAGTTGCGCTAAAAAGGATGAAGATGCCCCAGAGGAAATTACAGAGAAATTAACTGCACATTAAAGAAACTCTCAGAAGTATTTCATGATGTTGAAAGTACAAACATTAAATGTTGGAAGTTGACACAAATTTAGATAGAAGTATGATAATTCACCAAGGTATATAGGAAAGAGGTTGCTCATTATTGTATGTTATATGGCAATTTTAAAAAGGCAAGAACTGTTCAAACCACTCTTGTTATTTTTTTTTTACAAAGAAATAAAACACTATTTTTTTTCTAGTGTTTCAATTTACTGTGTTCTCATAAATAATAGTTTTAGTAGTTTTTAGTATTTCATTTCCCTATACATTTTAACTGACAGAGAGTTTTTAATGTTTTGAGAAAAATTTTAAAGGTTGTAGAATAATCATAATTATTCCTATTGATTATTAGGATGAGATTATTTATTAAGTTGTACAGTCATGTTTACTGTTCTGCAGTATATTCAAACCAAAGATTGCCTGAATATATTAAAAAAATTCAACCATCATCATCTCATGCTTAGATTATAGCTATAGTCATCCGAACTATTTTTTCTGCTTCTTGCCCTGTTCTCCTGAAGTTTATTCTGAATACAGAAGCCAGAGTCATCCTGAAAAACACATGTTAGATCACGTCGTGTTTCCACTACTGGTTTCTGATCTCACTCGGAAGGCAGCATGCCTACTTTTATAAGGACTCGTGTGATCTAAGTTCCAGGTTCTTTTCTGTTTCTGACCTCATCTTCTGTTACTCTCTCTTGTTTCTCTCTGCTTTAGCCAAAGAGTCCGATCACTGTATTTCTTTATTTTATTTTATTTTATTTTATTTTATTTTATTATTATTATACTTTAAGTTTTAGGGTACATGTACACAATGTGCAGGTTAGTTACATATGTATACATGTGCCATGCTGGTGTGCTGCACCCATTAACTCGTCATTTAGCATTAGGTATATCTCCTAATGCTATCCCTCCCCCCTCCCCCCACACCAAAACAGTCCCCAGAGTGTGATGTTCCCCTTCCTGTGTCCATGTGTTCTCATTGTTCAATTCCCACCTATGAGTGAGAACATGCGGTGTTTGGTTTTTGTCCTTGCAATAGTTTACTGAGAATGATGATTTCCAATTTCATCCATGTCCCTACAAAGGACATGAACTCATCCTTTTTTATGGCTGCATAGTATTCCATGGTGTATATGTGCCACATTTTCTTAATCCAGTCTATCATTGTTGGACATTTGGGTTGGTTCCAAGTCTTTGCTATTGTGAATAGTGCCACAATAAACATACGTGTGCATGTGTCTTTATAGCAGCATGATTTAAAGTCCTTTGGGTATATACCCAGTAATGGGATGGCTGGGTCAAATGGTATTTCTAGTTCTAGATCCCTGAGGAATCGCTACACTGACTTCCACCATGGTTGAACTAGTTTACAGTCCCACCAAGAGTGTAAAAGTGTTCCTATTTCTCCAAATCCTCTCCAGTACCTGTTGTTTCCTGACTTTTTAATGATTGCCATTCTAACTGGTGTGAGATGGTGTCTCACTGTGGTTTTGATTAGCATTTCTCTGATGGCCAGTGATGGTGAGCATTTTTTCATGTGTTTTTTGGCTGCATAAATGTCTTCTTTTGAGAAGTGTATGTTCATGTCCTTCGCCCACTTTTTGATGGGGTTGTTTGTTTTTTTTCTCGTAAATTTGTTTGAGTTCATTGTAGATTCTGGATATTAGCCATTTGTCAGATGAGTAGGTTGCAAAAATTTTCTCCCATTTTGTAGGTTTCCTGTTCACTCTGATGGTAGTTTCTTTTGCTGTGCAGAAGCTCTTTAGTTTAATGAGATCCCATTTGTCAATTTTGGCTTGGGTTGCCATTGCTTTTGGTGTTTTAGACATGAAGTCCTTTCCCATGCCTATGTCCTGAATGGTAATGCCTAGGTTTTCTTCTAGGGTTTTTATGGTTTTAGGTCTAATGTTAAAGTCTTTAATCCATCTTGAATTAATTTTTGTATAAGGTATAAGGAAGGGATCCAGTTTCAGCTTTCTACACATGGCTAGCCAGTTTTCCCAGCACCATTTATTAAATAGGGAATCCTTTCCCCATTGCTTGTTTTTCTCAGGTTTGTCAAAGATCAGATAGTTGTAGATATGCGGCGTTATTTCTGAGGGCTCTGTTCTGTTCCATTGGTCTATATCTCTGTTTTGGTACGAGTACCATGCTGTTTTGGTTACTGTAGCCTTGTAGTATAGTTTGAAGTCAGGTAGCATGATGCCTCCAGCTTTGTTCTTTTGGCTTAGGATTGACTTGGCGATGTGGGCTCTTTTTTGGTTCCATATGAACTTTAAAGTAGCTTTTTCCAATTCCATGAAGAAAGTCATTGGTAGCTTGATGGGGATGGCATTGAATCTATAAATTACCTTGGGCAGTATGGCCATTTTCATGATATTGATTCTTCCTACCCATGAGCATAGAATGTTCTTCCATTTGTTTGTATCCTCTTTTATTTCCTTGAGCAGTGGTTTGTAGTTCTCCTTGAAGAGGTCCTTCACGTCCCTTGTAAGTTGGATTCCTAGGTATTTTATTCTCTTTGAAACAATTGTGAATGGGAGTTCACTCATGATTTGGTTCTCTGTTTGTCTGTTATTGGTGTATAAGAATGCTTGTGATTTTTGTACATTGATTTTGTATCCTCTGACTTTGCTGAAGTTGCCTATCAGCTTAAGGAGATTTTGGGCTGAGACAATGGGGTTTTCTAGATATACAATCATGTCGTCTGCAAAGAGGGACAATTTGACTTCCTCTTTTCCTAATTGAATACCCTTTATTTCCTTCTCCTGTCTAATTGCCCTGGCCAGAACTTCCAACACTATGTTGAATAGGAGTGGTGAGAGAGGGCATCCCTGTCTTGTGCCAGTTTTCAAAGGGAATGCTTCCAGTTTTTGCCCATTCAGTATGATATTGGCTGTGGGTTTGTCATAGATAGCTCTTATTATTTTGAAATATGTCCCATCAATACCTAATTTATTGAGAGTTTTTAGCATGAAAGGTTGTTGAATTTTGTCAAAGGCCTTTTCTGCATCCATTGAGATAATCATGTGGTTTTTGTGTTTGGTTGTGTTTATATGCTGGATTACATTTATTGATTTGTGTATATTGAACCAGCCTTGCATCCTAGGGATGAAGCCCACTTGATCATGGTGGATAAGCTTTTTGATGTGCTGCTGGATTCAGTTTGCCAGTATTTTATTGAGGATTTTTGCATCAATGTTCAACAAGGATATTGGTCTAAAATTCTCCTTTTTGGTTGTGTCTCTGCCAGGCTTTGGTATCAGAATGATGCTGGCCTCATAAAATGAGTTAGGGAGGATTCCCTCTTTTTCTATTGATTGGAATAGTTTCAGAAAGAATGGTACCAGTTCCTCCTTGTACCTCTGGTAGAATTCAGCTGTGAATCCATCTGGTCCTGGACTCTTTTTGGTTGGTAAGCTATTGATTATTGCCCCAATTTCAGAGCCTGTTATTGGTCTATTCAGAGATTCAACTTCTTCCTGGTTTAGTCTTGGGAAGGTGTATCTGTCGAGGAATTTATCCATTTCTTCTAGATTTTCTAGTTTATTTGCGTAGAGGTGTTTGTAGTATTGTCTGATGGTAGTTTGTATTTCTGTGGGATCAGTGGTGATATCCCCTTTATCATTTTTTATTGTGTCTATTTGATTCTTCTCTCTTTTCTTCTTTATTAGTCTTGCTAGTGGTCTATCAATTTTGTGGATCCTTTCAAAACACCAGCTCCTGGATTCACTAATTTTTTGAAGGGTTTTTTGTATCTCTATTTCCTTCAGTTCTGCTCTGATTTTAGTTATTTCTTGCCTTCTGCTAGCTTTTGAATGTGTTTGCTCTTGCTTTTCTAGTTCTTTTAATTGTGATGTTAGGGTGTCAATTTTTGATCTTTCTGGCTTTCTCTTGTGGGCATTTACTGCTATAAATTTCCCTCTACACACTGCTTTGGATGTGTCCCAGAGATTCTGGTATGTTGTGTCTTTGTTCTCGTTGGTTTCAAAGAACATCTTTATTTCTGCCTACATTTCGTTATGTACCCAGTAGTCATTCAGGAGCAGGTTGTTCAGTTTCCATGTAGTTGAGTGGTTTTGAGTGAGTTTCTTAACCTGAGTTCTAGTTTGATTGCACTGTGGTCTGAGAGACAGTTTGTTATAATTTCTCTTCTTTTACATTTGCTGAGGATAGCTTCACTTCCAAATATGTGGTCAATTTTGGAATAGGTGTGGTGTGGTGCTGAAAAGAATGTATATTCTTTTGATTTGGGGTGGAGTGTTCTGTAGATGTCTATTAGGTCCGCTTGGTGCAGAGCTGAGTTCAATTCCTGAGTATCCTTGTTAACTTTCTCTCTCGGTGATCTGTCTAATGTTGACAGTGGGGTGTTAACGTCTCCCATTATTATTGTGTGGGAGTCTAAGTCTCTTTGTAGGTCACTCAGGACTTGCTTTATGAATCTGGGTGCTCCTGTGTTGGGTGCATATATATTTAGGATACTTAGCTCTTCTTGTTGAATTGATCCCTTTACCGTTATGTAATGGCCTTCTTTACCGTTACATAATGGCCTACCATTATGTAATGACCATTATGTAACGTCTCTTTTGATCTTTGTTGGTTTAAAGTCAGTTTTATCAGAGACTAGGATTGCAACCCCTGCTTTTTTTTGCTTTCCATTTGCTTGGTAGATCTTCCTCCATCCTTTTATTTTGAGCCTATGTGTGTCTCTGCATGTGAGATGGGTTTCCTGAATACAGCACACTGATGGGTCTTGACTCTTTATCCAATTTGCCAGTCTGTGTCTTTTAATTGGAGCATTTAGTCCATTTACATTTAAAGTTAATATTGTTATGTGTCAATTTGATCCTGTCATTATGATGTTAGCTGGTTATTTTTCTCGTTAGTTGATGCAGTTTCTTCCTAGTCTCGATGGTTTTTACATTTTGTCATGATTTTACAGTGGCTGGTACCGGTTGTTCCTTTCCATGTTTAGCGCTTCCTTCAGGAGCTCTTTTAGGGCAGGCCTGGTGGTGACAAAATCTCTCAGCATTTGCTTGTCTGTAAAGGATTTTATTTCACTTCACTTATGAAGCTTAGTTTGGCTGGATATGAAATTCTGGGTTGAAAATTCTTTTCTTTAAGAATATTGAATATTGGCCCCCACTCTCTTCTGGCTTGTAGAGTTTCTGCTGAGAGATCTGCTGTTAGTCTGATGGGCTTCCCTTTGTGGGTAACCGACCTTTCTCTCTGGCTGCCCTTAACATTTTTTCCTTCATTTCAACTTTGGTGAATCTGACAATTATGTGTCTTGGAGTTGCTCTTCTCGAGGAGTATCTTTGTGGCATTCTCTGTATTTCCTGAATTTGAATGTTGGCCTGCCTTGCTAGGTTGGGGAAGTTCTCCTGGATAGTATCCTGCAGAGTGTTTTCCAACTTGGTTCCATTCTCCCCGTCACTTTCAGGTACACCAATCAGACGTAGATTTGGTCTTTTCACATAGTCCCATATTTCTTGGAGGCTTTGTTCATTTCTTTTTATTCTTTTTTCTCTAAACTTCCCTTCTCGCTTCATTTCATTCATTTCATCTTCCATCACTGATACCCTTTCTTCCAGTTGATCGCATTGGTTCCTGAGGCTTCTGCATTCTTCATGTAGTTCTCAAGCCTTGGCTTTCAGCTCTATCAGCTCCTTTAAGCACTTCTCTGTATTGGTTATTCTAGTTATATATTCCTGTAAATTTTTTTCAAAGTTTTTAACTTCTTTGCCTTTGGTTTGAATTTCCTCCTGTAGCTCGGAGTAGTTTGATCGTCTGAAGCCTTCTTCTCTCAACTCGTCAAAGTCATTCTCCATCCAGCTTTGTTCCTTTGCTGGTGAGGAACTGCGTTCCTTTGGAGGAGGAGAGGTGCCCTACTTTTTAGGGTTTCCAGTTTTTCTGCTGTTTTTTCCCCATCTTTGTGGTTTTATCTACTTTTGGTCTTTGATGATGGTGATGTACAGATGGGTTTTTGGTGTGGATGTCCTTTCTGTTTGTTAGTTTTCCTTCTAACAGACAGGACCCTCAGCTGCAGTTCTGTTGGAGTTTGCTAGAGGTCCACTCCAGACCGTTTGCCTGGGTATCAGCAGCAGTGGCTGCAGAACAGCGGATTTTCGTGAACTGCAAATGCTGCTGTCTGATCGTTCCTCTGGAAGTTTTGTCTTAGAGGAGTACCCAGCCGTGTGAGGTGTCAGTCTGCCCCTACTAGGGGGTGCCTCCCAGTTAGCCTGCTCAGGGGTCAGGGGTCAGGGACCCACTTGAGGAGGCAGTCTGCCCGTTCTCAGATCTCCAGCTGCGTGCTGGGAGAACCACTGCTCTCTTCAAAGCTGTCAGACAGGGACATTTAAGTCTGCAGAGGTTACTGCTGTCTTTTTGTTTGTCTGTGCCCTGCCCCCAGAGGTGGAGCCTACAGAGGCAGGCAGGCCTCCTTGAGCTGTGGTGGGCTCTACCCAGTTCGAGATTCCCCGCTGCTTTGTTTACCTAAGCAAGCCTGGGCAATGGCGGGCGCCCCTCCCCCAGCCTTGCTGCCACCTTGCAGTTTGATCTCAGACTGCTGTGCTAGCAATCAGAGAGACTCCCTGGTCGTAGGACCCTCCCAGCCAGGTGCGGGATATAATCTCCTGGTGCGCAGTTTTTTAAGCCCGTCAGAAAAGCGCAGTATTAGGGTGGGAGTGACCTGATTTTCCAGGTGCTGTCTGTCACCCTTTTCTTTGACTAGGAAAGGGAACTCCCTGACCCCTTGTGCTTCCTGAGTGAGGCAATGCCTCACCCTGCTTTGGCTCGTGCACGGTGCACTGCACCCACTGACCTGCACCCACTGTCTGGCACTCCCTAGTGAGATGAACCCAGTACCTCAGATGGAAATGCAGAAATCTCCCGTCTTCTGCATCGCTCATGCTGGGAGCTGTAGACCGGAGCTGTTCCTATTCAGCCATCTTGGCTGCCACCCCCGATCACTGTTTTTCAACCCACCAGGCAGGCTTCTATCCAGGGCCTTTGCACTTGCTGTTTCTTTCCTGGAATGCTCTTTCTCCAGATATCTACCTGACATATTCCCTCATTCCCTCCAGGATTTTATTCAAAAGTCACCTTCCCCATGTGATTATTTATTTCCCTGGGCACCCAGTATCTGAAGTTTCAGCCCTTTCTTTCTCATCCCTCTTTTCTTCTTCATTTTTATCTTTCCCTTACCAAGTATCACTAACACTATATTTTTCACATTTTAATCTTGCTTATATTTATTTCCTTCACTACAATGTAAATAGAAAGAAGAGAGGGATCTTCTTTTTGTTTTTATTCTCTATCACATATCCCCAGTGCCTACAACAGTGCCTGACATGTGGTATGTGGCCTCTGAATATCTGCTAAATTAATGTAGAGTACATGATTGAAAGTCTATACTTTTAACAGTTTTCAGAAATAAAATTATTTCTGGATCATAAAGGAGCTATTGTATGATATTTCACAAGTAAATGAATATTTTTACCATCTGAATATTAAATTTTACAAGAAGATAAAAACAACTAAATACAGCTTTGTCTTTCATGACAAACATGTTATAATTTAGTTTCCTAAATGTTGGTAAAGGAGGGATGTTTGTTTGTGTCGTTGGCATTGAGAGCTGTGGAGTTATACAAAAGATGCCATTCATCAAAGTCCTGAAGGAAATATTCAGTTGCATTTGACCAGCTAATGCAATTGGGAGGGAGATATTTTGTTCAAAAGAGATCATACTATAACTAAAGAAAAAAAGGAACACTCCACATAATAATATCTTTAATTCTCCATAGATTAAAAACAGAGGATAAAATAAAGTAGCTCTTGATGATGTTAATTTTCAGCTATATCCTCCATAACAATCACACTATTTCTCTCCTTGAAGTTTCTGCAACTGCTTTTAGTGGTCAAAACTTAAAAAATTTTTTACCTCCTCTTTTTAACACTTTTACCCAATGTATGAATCTTTCAATTTTTACATTTTTGTTTCTCACTTTTATTTCTATCTTTTCCTCTGCCATGTTCCCTAACCTTGAAATTGCTTTTCTTTCTTAAATTAGCTTTCCCCCAATTCTCTCCTTATACTTTTTTCTATGAAGCTTTTAAGATGCTGATAGAAAATTCTTTTGCAGAGATAAAATATGGATATAATTGAGTTAGATTGAAAGAGCAAAGTAAAATGAAATTTCGAGAGACAGTTTAATTGTCATTAGCTGAGGGATTTTCTTGCTTTCCCCAGTGTGTTCAGGGCCTAGTCTTTATTTGTGGGATGAGTAAGAAAATATCATGTGATCTGGATGGGCACGGTGGCTCACGCCTATAATCCTAGGACTTTAGGAGGCCGAGGCAGAAGATCACCTGAGGCCAGGAGTTTGAGACCAGCGTGGCCAACATGGTGAAACCCCGTTTCTACTAGAAATACAAAAAACAAATCAGTCAGGCCTGGTGGTGCATGCCTGTAATCCCAGCTATTCAGAAGGCTGGGGTCCCAGAATCACTTGGGCCTGGGAGGTGGAGGTCTTGGTAAGCCGAGATCACACCACTGCAATCCAGCCTGGGTGACACAGCAAGAATCTGTCTCAAAAAATAAAATAAAATTAAATCAAATAAAGAAAAGAAAATATCCTGTGACCTATGTCAGTCTAGGAGTCTAGGACTGTGTTGGGCTCAGCATCTTCCAGCTCCCTCAGGTTTATGAGATCTTCTGTGACCTCAGCCTGTGTAGGACTGAAAACCACACTTGGTCCTGGGTTTCCACCTGGACCCTTGGGGCCAGCTAATTGCTCCAAACCTCTCTCTTTGAGCAGACTCAGCTGTGCTCTGAATGCCAGCCTCTGGTCATCTGTTCATTTTAGCTCTGTCCCCCCGGACTCGGCATGTTCTCACTGCCCATCCTTCTGTCACTGCCCTTCTCCCAACACTATCCACTCTGCCCACTGAAGCCTCTGCTCCATGGTAAATAAACTTTCTCCTTGGTCTTTAGCTTTTCCTAGACCTCCCTTAGCTTTATGACTGAAATGAAATCAGAGCCCCCTGAAATGTGTGATGGGAGTAAGGTGGAAGCAATATCTAACTCTCATGCCTACGTGCCTTTTCAGTTCTACTCTAATGTAAAATTATTGTGGTGTTTTTCCTTTTTTCTTTTTATAGAGACAGGATCTCACTCTATTACCCAGGCTGGAGAGTGCAGTGGTACGATCACAGCTCATTGTAACCTGGAACTCCTGGGCTCAAACAATTCTCCTGCCTCAGTCTCCCAGGTAGCTGGGATTACAGGTGCTCACCACCACATGTGGCTTATTTTTAAATTTTCTTGGAGCAATAGGGTCTTGCTGTTTCTCAGGCTGGTCTCAAACTCCTGAGCCTCCCAACACACTGGGTTTATAGGCGTGAGTCACTGTGACTGGCTAAAAATTGTCCTCTTTTGAGGCTTCTCTCTTCAGATGCTAACCATCTACCTTACCAGTCATTGTCATTAACTGAACTGTGGGCCCATAGAGCTGCCTTCATCAACAGCACAGGCCCCCGGCTTAATCGTTCCTTTCGCTTTAAGTCCACATCCATTCTTGGTCATGCATGTCTACTTTGGAGGCACTTTTCAACCATTAGGAGATACGGCCATGTTAGGCTCTAATTAATTTTTTAAAGCAGCGAGACAAACATTTCATAATACTAAAAATGGCAGTCTATGTAATTGTTTATAAATATTAAGATCCTGTAGAAGAATGAAACACCCCACCTCTTTGAATTGAAGAATGACCAAGTGACTCTCTTTGGCCTATGCAATATGAAAGGGCAAATCACGTGTTACTTCCATGCAAAAGTCGTAAGAGCCAGGGAGGGCTTCATTACATTTTCCCCACCCCTGTGCTCACTGAGATATAATAAAAGTGTGCAATCACCTGTTATTTTAAGCTGCTGATATTTCCTTGTGCTGATTCTCTCAGCATAATTTAGCATATACTGATGGATATATTAAGAAACAGATTACTCCTCCTCCACCCACATAAAATAAGGTTTTATCTGTAAGGTACTTTATTTTCTATCCAAAATAATCTATGCTTGTGTGTGTGTGTGTGTGTGTGAGAGAGAGAGAGAGAGAGACACACACACACACAGAGACAGAGAGAGAGAGAGAGACAGAGAGAGAGACATACTCCATATCAAACTAGTCTAGACCCTTTGTGTTCCTAAAGAAAACCATGGATCAATTTTCAAAATACCACCATAGCATATAATGTTCCCCCTTAAAAATAAAGTGAAGTATAACCCAAAATAGGAATAATCCCATAAATCCCTAATGAAGATTACTACATGAAAGACAATCTTTGACACAATCAGTGGCAGAGATATGTTCTTAAGCCCCCCACCCATTCAGATACGGTAATACCTGAGCACATGGCAGACTATTCCACAACAACTTCATGATTTCTTGAAAGAGCCCCAATTGTGAGCACTGAGCCCGTGAGTGCCAGAGACCTTCTTGTATTAATGGTTCTAGAAAAAATATTTAGACTTTTTGTAATTTCATAGTTTGCAGATGAGGGTCCCTCTGCCTTAAAGGCTCTTTTACCACATTCATCCCCTTCTTTACCTAGGTAGGCCCTGCTTCTGGGATTTGTGGATTAAAGTATACAAGCAGTAAAACACTTTAATGGATATCCAAGAAATATTTGTCAGAAATTTGTATCAATTTAAATTCCTACTAGCAGTGTGTGAAAGTGTCCTTCCCACCAAAAGGAGGACATATTTTTAATATTATGTTTCAAAATAATGTTAAGTTGTTTCAAAAAATGTTTTAAACCACGTAATTGTATACATGTCCAAACCCAATGCTTTATTCTGTGAACGTTTGATACATTAAAATTATAGTACTAATAACTCCTATAATTCTTTACCTTGGTTTATTCTATGGAATTATTTCAGCACTTCAGGAAAAATCATTCTGGGCATGTTGTAAAATTTGTTTTATTAGCCGTGAGTGGCACCTCAAACTGTAGGTATTTAAGCAATTGCTTCTTGAGAAGTGTTCATCTGAGTGCAAATGAGTTTGGCTCTGAACAGATTTTAGCAGGCATTTGACAGCTTGGATGACTGGCACATTGTCATCTTCATAACACACCTAAAATGCAGAGTGCCAAAAATCACAAACAGGTTGGATGTAGTTAAAGATCTGAGACCTTGTCCAACTTAGTTAATCTTTTAAATCATAGCAGCAGAAATATGCCAACTTTAATTAAAATTGCAGATTATTGTGTAAAACATGACTACCTGATCCACAAATATGTATTTTTTTATATTAATGTTCCATATTTGTGTTATAAGACTCATGTATTGTGTGGACTTGGCAGCTGATGGTAGTGGGAACCCACTTGGGCAATGATGATTTTGGTATAACAAGCAGCATTTTCTTTCTCTGATCCTTTTGATTTCGTGCTCTAGGGCTATATAACTTGGGTAATTTTTATGATGAGGAACAAAATTCATGTTTTTATATCATATATTGATGATAAACATTTAATAAAGGACAGTGAAAGGACTCAGAGAGTCAGTGGTTCACACCATATAACACATTCTTCTTGGGAAGTGCTGGGTTTTTTCATTAAAGGGATTTTGGATCATAGTGTGTGTGTGTGTGTGTGTGTGTGTGTGTGTGTGTGTGTGTGTGTTTTAGTTAATGTTCTGCTGTTGGTGAAATACAAAAAAGAGAACAAAGTTGTGTCCCCAATGAAATCTCATCTCGAAGCGTAGTTCCCATAATCCCCACATGTTATGGGAGTGACCAGGTAGAGATAGTTGAATCATGGGGGGTGGTTTATCATGTTTTCATGGTGGTGAGTTAGTTCTTATGAGATCTGATGGTTTTATAAGGGACTTCCTTCTTCACTGGGCACTCACACTTCTTCTCCCTGCTGCCATGTGAAGAAGGATGTGTTTGCTTCCTCTTCCACCATGATTGTAAGTTTCCTGAGGCCTCCCCAGCCATGCTGAACTGTGAGTCAATTAAACCTCTTTCCTTTACAAATTAGCAGTCTTGGGTGTGTCTTTATAGCAGTGTGAGAACGGACTAATACAGTAAATTGGTATCAGGTGGTGGGGTTCTGCTGTAAAGGTACCCAAGAATGTGGAAGCAACTTTGGAACTGAGTAACAGGCAGAGGTTGGAAGTTTGGAGGACTCAAAAGACGATAAGAAAATGTGGAAAGTTTCAGAAATTCCTGGAGACTTGTTGAATGGCTCTGATGACAATGGTGATAGTAATATGGACAATGAAGTCCAGGCTGAGGTGCTCTTAGATGGAGATGGGGAACTTGTTGGGAACTGGAGTAAAGGTCACTCTTGCTATGCAAAGAGACTGGCAGCATTTTGCCCCTGCCCTAGAGATCTGTGAAACTTTGAACTTGAGAGAGATAATTTAGGGTATTTGGCAGAAGAAATTTTTAAGCAGCAAAGTGTTCAAGAGGAAGCAGAGCATAAAAATTTGGAAAATTTGTAGCTTGACAATATGATATAAAAGAAAACACCATTTTCTGGAAATAAATTCAAGCCTGTTGCAGAAATTTGCATAAGTAACAAGGAGCCAAATGTGAATCACCAAGACAATGGGGAAAATGTCTTCAGGGCATGTCAGAGACCTTCATGGCAACCCCTCCCATCACAGGCCTGGAGGCCTAAAAGGGAAAAATGGTTTCCTAGGCTAGGCCCAGGGCCCCTCTTCTGTGTGCAGCCTAGGGACTTGGTGCCCTGAGTCTCAGCTGTCCCAGCCATGGCTAAAAGGGACTAAGGTACAGCTTGGGCCATAGCTTCAGAGGGGGAAAGTCTCAAGCCTTGACAGCTTCCATGTGGTGTGGAGCCTGTGGGTGCACAGAAGTCAAGAATTGAGGTTTGGGAACCTCTCCCTAGACTTCAGAGGATGTATGGAGACACCTGGATGTCCAGGCAGATGTGTGCTGCAGGGGCAGAGCCCTCACAGGGAACTTTTGCTAGGTCAGTGCAGAAGGGAAATGTGAGGTGGAAGCCCCCACACAAAGTCCCCATTGGGCTACTGCCTGGTGGAGCTGTGAGAAGAGGGACGCCATCCTCCAGACCCCTAAATGGTAGATCCTCCAACACCTTGCGTTGTGTGCCTGGAAAAGCCACAGACACCTAACACTGGCTGAAAGCAGCCAGGAGTGGGGCTGTATCCTGCAAAGCCGTAGAGGCAGAGCTGTCCAAGGCTGTGGGAGCCCACCTCTTGCATCAGTGTGACCCGGATGTGAGACATGGGGTCAAAGGAGATCATTTTAGAAATTAAGGTTTAATGACTGCCCTTTTGGATTTCAGACTTGCATGGGGTCTGTAGCCTCTTTGTTTGGCCCATTTGGAATTGGTGTATTTACCCAATGCCTGTACCCCTATTGTATCTAGGAAGTAACTAACTTGGTTTTGATTTTACAAGCTCATAGGCAGAAGGGACCTACCTTGTCTCAGATGACACTTTGGGCTTGGATTTTTGATTTAATGCTGGAATGAGTTAAGACTTTGGGGGACAGTTGGAAAGGCATGATTGTGTTTTGAAATGTTAGGACATGAGATTTGGGAAGGGTCGGGGTCGATTGATATGGTTTGGCTGTGTCCCCACCCAAATCTCATCTTGAATTGTAGTTCCCATAAACTCCACATGTCATGGGAAGGACCAGATGGAGATAATTGAATCATGGGGGTGGTTTCCCTCATCCTATTCTCATGAGAGTGAGTGAGTTCTCATGAGATTTGATGGTTTTATAAGGAGCTTCTTCCTTCACTGGGCACTCACACTTTTTCCTGCCACCATGTGAAGAAGGATGTGTTTGCTTCCCCTTCCACCATGATTGTAAGTTTCCTGAGGCCTTCTCAACCATGCTGAACTGTGAGTCAATTAAACCTCTTTCCTTTATAAATTACCTGGTCTCGGGTATGTCTTCACAGCAGTGTTAAAAGGGACTAATGCAGGCTCTTTTTTATTAAATTTAGTTTTCAAAAAATTTTTATTATGTTGCAAAATATTCACTAGATAGATGTTTTTATTCCTAGAATAATGTCACCAAAACATATTGAGTACCTATTTTAAAATTTCTTCTCAATGTTTTTCTTTCAAAGAGGAAATACAGGAATCCTGATCAGAGAATGGAGAGAGTAGGGCATGACAGGTAAAAAGAGAAGTCATTGAGGAATGACTATCAGGAGAATCAAAACTAGAGTGTTAGGATGAAGTGGAGAGGAAGAAACTGCATTTTGTTAACAAATAAATTACTAGTAGTTCTGACAATTAGCACCTTGAGGAAGATATCATAAAGCCATGAGTTTCAGAGCTGCAAGAGACGATGGTGAGTTTTAATTCCCCCATTCATTTTTCCGAGCAAGAAAATTGAGATCCAGAAACTTGTCTAAGATCTCACAAAGTGGGGTGGGTCTCAGGGGATGGGGGGTGGTGGTTAAAGCTGAGATCAGAAGGCAGATTCTTGTATTTTCACTTCTGTGATCACTCTTCGATGCTTCAGCTAATATGTCCACTTTAGAGTTTAAATTCACTGAAATCTGGAGCATCTGTGACTGATTTTTTTTAAAATGAACATACTAAAAGTTATACAATGAATCAGTTTTATCCCTTAATAGAATCACTACAAAATTATACATTAATTCCAAAACTGATTTATGACCTGTGTAACCTTGGGAAATTTCTTCATCTTTCTACTCTTTCATTTTCTCATCTGTAAGATGAAGATATTGACCTTGCAAAATTATTATAAGGTTTATAGAAAATGTATGTAGCACTACACCTATTCAAGAAATAGTAGCTAGTGATTTAAAAATAAATCACAGCTAGCATTTATTGATATGTGTTTCTGTTTAGTACTTTATATGAACTATCTCATTTGCTCGTTTACATTATTTGTATGAATATTATCATTTAAAATTACAGTGCACTGTGTAACAACATTTTGGTCAGTAGCAGACTGCATGTAGGAAGATGGTCTCATAAGATTATAGTGGAGCTGAAAATTCCTATCACCTAAGTGACATTGTCGCCATCCTAATACCATAGGATAACACATTACTCACATTTGTTGTGATACTGATATAAACAAACCTACTGCACTGCCAGTAGTGTAAGTCTAGCACATACAATTATATACAGTATATAATGCTTGATAATGATAATAAAGTACTGTTACTGGCTTATGTGTTTACTATATTATATTTCTTATCATTATTTTAGAGTATACTCCTTCTATTTGTATATATGAAAAAAGTTAGCTGTAAAACAGCCATAGGCAGGTTTTTCAGGAGGTATTCCAGAAGGAGGCATTGTTATCATAGGAGATGACAGCTCCATGCATGTTACTGCCCCTGGAGACTTTCCAGTGAGACAAGATGTAGAGGTGGAAGACAGTGATATTGATGATCTTGACCCTGTGGAGGCCTAGGTTAATGTGTGTGCATGTGTGTGTGTGTCTTAGATTTTAATTACAAAGTTTAAAAAGTAAAAAAAAGAAAGAAAAATATCTTCAAGAGTAAGGATATACATAAAGAAAAAAATTTTGCAAAGCTGTACAATGTGTTTGTATTTTAAACTAAATATTTTTAGAAAAGAGTCAAAAGAGTTAAAAAGTTTAAAAGGTTTATAAAATAAAAATGTTTCCGTCATCTAAGGTTAGTTTGTTATTAAAGAAAGAACAAAATTTTTAAATAAACTTGTTGTAGCCTAAGTATCCAGTGTTTATAAAGTCTATTATAGTGTACAGTAATGTTCTAGGGCTTCACATTCACTCACCACTCACTGACTCACCCAGAGCAACTTCCTGTCTTGCAAGCTCCTTTCATGGTAATTGCCCTGCACAGGTGTACCATTTTAAATCTTCGATATGGTATTTTACTGTACCTTGTCTATGTTTAGATATGTTTAGATGCACAAATACTTACCATTGTGGTACCATGGCTTGCAGTATTCAGTACAGTAATGTGCTGCATAGGTTTGTGGCCTAGGAGCAATAGGCTATACCACATATCATAGGTGTATAGTAGGCTATACCATCGAGGTTTGTGTAAGTACATGCTATGATGTTCACACAATGGAATCGCCTAATGACACATTTCTCAGAAGGTATCCCTTTCATTAGGCAATACATGACTGTATATTAGCATTGCTCAAAGTATGTTCTAGCTATTCCTTTGGAATTCTTGCATCTGAGTAATTAGAAGAGCCAGATTTCTGAACATAAAGCTGCTACTTCCCTGCTACCAGTGCCTGACATTTTATAGGTGGAGCTGGGTCACCACAGGCAGTGCCTCTAGTCATGACACTTTGTGTTGTTCTATGTGGATGTGTATTAGATTCCTCTTGCTCCTGTAACAAATCACCATAAACGTAGTGTCTTAAAACAACACAATTTATTATCTTACAGCTTTGGAGGAAAGGAGTCCAACATGGGTCTCACTGGGCTAAAATCAAGAGGTTGGCAGGGCTGCATTCCCCCTGAGGCTGTAGGGGAGAATTTGTTCCATGCCTTTTGCAGCATCTAGAGGCTTCCTGCATTCCTTGGGTCATGGCTCCATTCTTCCATCTTTGAAGCCAACAACATTAGGCCAAATCTGTCTCACACTGCTATTTCATTTCCGCTTATAAGGACCCTTGAGATTCTACTGGGCTCACCCAGATCATTTAGGATAATCTTATTATAAGGTTGGCTGATTAGCAACATTAATTTGATCTGCAGCCTTAATTTTCCCTTGCCATGTAACAAAGCACATTTGTAGATTCTGGAAATTAGGTTATGGACATCTTTATGGTTTGGAGGGCATTATTCAGCTTCCTACAAAAAAAGAAATAGAAATCTCTAGTTAAGAGCTGAATAATCTCACTATACTATATCTATATCTCTGCAGGAAAGAATCTGATAGCATTGACATATTCTTCACCAGCTTTGTTTTGTCTTCAGTGTTGCCTTGCAATAGTGAGATTTTTTTTTTTTTTTTTGCCAGCAAAATGGTTTCTTTTATGTAGAATTTATATGCAGCAATTTCTTTAAGATGTGTTAGTATTGGCCAGGCGTGGTGGCTCACGTCTGTAATCCCTGCACTTTGGGAGGCCAAGGCAGGCGGATCATGAGGTCAGGAGTTTGAGACCAGCCTGACCAACATGGTGAAACCCTGTCTCTACTAAAAATACAAAATTAGCCAGGCATGGTGGTGCATGCCTGTAATCCCAGTTACTTAGGAGGCTGAGGCAGGAGAATTGCTTGAACCTGGGAGGTGGAGGTTGCAGTGAGCCAAGATCCCGCAACTGCACTCCAGCCTGGGTGACAGAGCCAGACTCCATCTCAATATATATGTGTGTGTGTGTTAGAATTATTATTCCTAATATTTCCCAATTACTTGTTCTTGAAGAGATAGTGTAGTATTAGAAAGGCATTCTTGGTGGGGGTGGGGACCAGGAGGGAGTACAGAAGGGTCAGAGGGAATGAAGTATCTACTATGCCTTTACCTTATGCATCCTGATTGCCACGCTGCAGCTAGGAGCACAGGTGTTGCAGGCAGATGAACCTGAGTTTGAATCTTACTGCCTCTTATTAGCCAAGTGACCCTGGGCAAGTTATTTAAATTTTATAAGCAGCGATTTTCTTACATGCAAAGCAAAAATGTTAGCACTTATTTTACAGGGTTATTGATATTAAATGAGATAATGCACACAAAGCATTTAACATACTACCTGACTCATAGTGAGGACTCCATTAACATTAGCAGCTGTTGTGGTGGCGGTTGTTATTTTCATCTCTCTGAACTTCAGTTCCCTTGTTTGCAGGGGACGGTTGTATCAGATGCTCTCTAAGATTCATTCAGTTCTAATAGTCTATGATGGACCGGGCGTGGTGGCTCATGCCTGTAATCCCAGCACTTTGGGAGGCCGGGGCTGGCGGATCACGAGGTCAGGAGATCGAGACTATCCTGGCCAACATGGTGAAACCCTGTCTCTACTGAAAATGCAAAAATTAGCTGGGTGTGGTGGTGCGCACCTGTAATCCCAGCTACTCTGGAAGCTGAGGCAGGAGAATCGCTTGAACCCAGGAGGCGGAAATTGTAATGAGCCAAGATTGCCCCACTGCACTCCAGCCTGGTGACAGAGCAAGACTCCATCTCAAAAAAAAAAAAAAAAAAAAAGGTCCATGGTGTTAGATATTATTCTCCATGTATGAAACGCTTGATTAACTTTGTTTCATTTTGTTGCTGAAGAGTGAGCTGTGTAGATTTTAATTAGGGATTCAATATCTGTGTTCTAAAGGTTATATATCCATTGAAGTTATTTATTTCTGGAGATGGGTCAGAGAAATTATATTTTTTCAGAGACTGTCCTTTTAATCTTAACTTTCAAATTTCATGGCATGAATTTGGCCATAGTATTCTCTTTTGATTAAAAAGAAGTCTCCACTGTTTCTGTAGCTATGTCCTTTATGTCTGCTTTTAAGATTATTTTCTATTTGTCTTTTTTCTTTTTTATTCTTTATTGCTTTGGCTAGTAGTTTGTCTAACTAGTTTTTTTTTGTTTTCAAATCAACTTTTTTTTTTTGCTGATTCTTTTTAGTTTTATTCTTGTTTTTAAACATTTTATTAATTTCTGCTTTTACTGTTATTATTTTATTTTATATACTTTGTAGTTGATGCTCTCCTAATTTTTTGAGTTGCATAGGTGAGTTATTGATTTTTACTCTTTCTGAAAATGTATATAGCATTGAGAATATAAATTTTTTCAAAATATTGCTTTAGCTTTATCTCATAAGTTTTGATATGTACAATTTTCATCATTCAATTAATTATAAATATTTTGAAATGGTCATTGTAATTAGAATACATAAATTATATAAATTTTAAATTTCTAAATATATGGGATTATTTTTTGTATTTGACTTCTAATCTGATTGTACTTGTTCAGAGGCTGATCTGAATGACAGAGATTCTTTAATATTTGTTGAGAATTGCTTTTTGTTCTAATAGATGATCATTTTTTATAATTTTTCTACATAGGCTTGAGAAAAGTATGTTTAATTGGTGGATGCATTTTTATATGCAAAATATGAAGCAATGCATAGTAATATTTTGTTTTTGATTTATCAATTACTAAGAAAGATGATAAAATCTCTCATTATAATTTTGCCATTATCAATATATCCTTGCATTTCAACTGATTTTTGCTTTTCATGTCTTGAGGCTATATTATTAGGTACATACAAGTTGCCATTTTTACATATTCCTGCTAAATTTTGATGCTTTTAATATATAATGACCTTCTTCATTTCAATATGCTTTTTTTTTGCCCTAAATTGCATTTTATCTGCTATTAATGTAGTGAAAAAAGCTTTTTTTTTTGATGGTGGTGGGAGGGCAGATATCTTGTTTCTTTCTTTACTTTCAAACTTCTGTGTCTTTATGTTTTGGGCGTTCCTCTTTCAAACACATACAAACAAATTTCTATGTTTATTCAATCTTAGAGTTTGTAATCAACTTGTATTTTATCTTCACTGAAGATCTTTTAAACTGGAGAATTTAGTTTTTTAATATTTGCTTTTATTAATGGCGTTTGGGGATTTATTTCTACCATATTATTTCATCCTTCCCTTGCTTTCCTCTTTAGTAGTTACATTAGGGCTTAAGTTTGGAAATTATGTACCTAGAGGTGATTGTAGAAGCCATTGGAATGAGTATATTGTCAAGATGAGTATATAGTCATGTCATATATACATAAGTATATATGTCAAGTATATTGTCAAGTCGAGGCGGCAGAACTTGGAGGAAAGTTTAACAAGCTGGTAGAAAGAGATCCTACAAAGAGACTGATGAATTCTGAACAGAGAGACAGGAAAAGGATCTGGAAAGGGTAATGTCTTAGAGTCCAGCAGGTGAAAAGGTTTCAAATAAGAGTGCATGGTTAGCAATACCAGATGCTACTGAGTCTATGAAAGGGAATTACATTTTGTGGTTAGAAGATTATTGAAGACTTTTGAAATAAATATTTCAATGAAGTAGTAGGAACAGAAATTTTATGGACAAAGGAAAGGCATGATGTAGAATACAATCTTTGACTGAAGGATTTGTAACAATGGGGGAACTTTAGCATGAGAAAGAAAGTACCCGTCAAGATGTAGAAGAAATAATGTAACAGAACAGGAGCAACTGATGAGCCAAAGTCATCAATACAATAAAAATCTCCACACTTTCTTCTGATGTAGGTTTCTTTTCAAGAATCCACTTAGAGACTGCACAGATTACATGCCTAATTACGAGTTGGAAGAAATGCAATATAAATGACGAGGGTGTCTCAATAGGCAGCACTGATGAATCCATTAATTTGGGTATCATTGATCAAGCACTGTGAAGTTAGTCCTGCAATGTGGGTTAGATCAGAGCATACATTAATAAACGCACTTGCATTTGACCTATAAAATGAATGATCAACATGTCCCATAGGGCTGGGAAACTCATGAGCTCTCTTAAGAATCATCACTATCACTAAGCCATTTTAAAGGCCTGGTTTTAGATTTTCATTAGCAGAAATATCTCTGAATGCCTCTGCTAATGAAAACCAAGTGCCTAATTTCTGCTAAAACAGACTCAAGGCAATTATTAAAGTTTTTGCTCTTAAAGTGAAAATAAAGTAATTTTACTTTACTTGTACCTTTTGTCTTCTTTCCTTTGGGAAGTGACTGCAATCACCAATTTATTTAGCAAATATTTATTGAACAACATCAAGAGTGTGACACTCACCCTAAGTGGCACTAACTTGTCAAATAGCTCAGGAGGAGCTATTTCTATTTTATTTTTAAAAAAGAATATTTTGACTAGGATATCCTTCCTCTAGGCATCTTAAATAAAGCATTGTTTTAGGGTAAGGGCAGTTATCCACACTGCTGAGAGCTTTGACTGCTTAGACAAGGCTCTATTCACTTTCTAGAACTCTAAAAATTGTGCAGTGAGAAAAACATAATGGGTGGCTTCATTTTGAAGTGGCCACCCTTAAAAAAGAGGATTTCTCTTTTTGTAAGGAAAACCTTATTTTTTTTTTTGTTTTTTTAGAATGAAAAGTAAGTGCCCCAAAATTCACCTAGACATTGGGAGGGTGCTTTATTTGCTCTGTATCATCAAGTAACAAGAGTTTGATGATTGTCTTTTGGAAGCTCAAGAAGGAGTTGTTTAGGGCTTGAGTAGTATATAGAGTAGAGGAGACAGAATAAAAGGGTCTTAGTAGGAAGATGACATGGATAACAGTCAGGACCTAAGCGGGGAAGAGGGTTGGTAAGAGAGTTATTGTAGAAGAATGGCTGAATATATTTATGGTGTGGAATATTCCATTTGAAGTTAGTTTTTGACCTGTGGTGTAATTTAATTTCCTTCTATAATCCTCAATACAAGTCAGTTTTACATGGCACCCTTATTTAATGGTGCTTTGGGTGATGCAGGAAGAGGAGCTCTCCCATGCTTGGGACAGAGGGGGAATGAGGAAGAACTCACCTGGAGGTGAGATGGCAAGGAGAGGGATTTCAGAAAGAGTAGGAATCGGACACAGGGAACCTTTTGGGAACCCATGGAAGTATTGTGGTGTGGTGAGATTTTTCACAGAAAGTGGAATGATTACAGAGTGATTTTATTTATAAAAACATGGTTCCTGATTCTTCAATGCCAGAGAACTTGGGGATAGCGAGCTTACTCTTGAAACACTGACAGCAATGCCAGTTGGTCATAAGAATGTATTCCCTCAGGCAGCACAGATAAATAAAAACAGTGAAAAAAAAAGGTGGATCTTGAAAGTTCTAGGACTCCAATTGGAAATAACTTTTCACAGAGAAATGAAGACATCCTAGCTTTGCTCTCACCTGCTGGGACTCTGGATAACTGACTTATCCTTGCCAAGCCTTAGTTTCTCAATGTATAAAATGAGAGAATTAAGCAAGTTACCTATTAGAAGAGTGCCTGCCACATATTAAGTGCTTAATAAATGCTAGCTTCTAAAGAAGGTGACTCTGATGCTACATAAATAAGTCATTTATCCTTTTAACATTGCATACCTAGAGTGTGCCAGCATCTGTTAGACTAAGGCTAAGACTCACCCTTCTCTCCTCTGGTTTTATTACCATTGAGAAATAGGAGAGGATGAATTGGGATCCAAACTTTATATTTGGAAGCCCAATACTACCATAGTGCAGGGCCCCTGGCAAAAAGAGAAGGAAAAATGGGGCATCCTATCATTCTTTTGTAAACTGAGCAGCAGAGGGAGTGCCATGATGTGCTTGCCTCTTACAGACAGAACATGGATGAGGAAACATCACCCCTTGGGAACAAGCAGCCCTGGGAGAGCATGGAAGGGGCACTTGTCCCAGTTGGAAATAACGTAATCTCACCACTTGTGAGTGGGACTTGGCCCAGTGCTGCTTGGTCTATTCTCACCATCATATAAATGATTCCTCTTCTAGTCTTGCAAACGTGCATGTGTGTGCAGTTTTAAACGTTTGAGAGAATGGATTTTGTATTAAAGGCGTCTCCGTTCATGTTTATTAATGGAGAGGTTGTAGAAGCAGGACTGGTGTTTGTTTCATTTATTTAGCACTTGTGACAAGATGGCTCTGAGCCTGGCCAGTGCGAGGACATTACTTTATTGATTAAATAATGTGATGAAAGGGAATGGTGCTTATGTGTTGAGAGATTATTGCCAGAGACACTTGGCCAACGAAGTGCTGAAAGGAAAGCAGTGTGACACTTCCACTGTGAGTAAGTAATTAGCAGCCAGTTGGAACTGAAATGAAGTGTCCTGGGGAAAGTTCCCATTAATGTTGCAGGTTTGCATTTTTAAAGGCATACAGAAACATACATCTTACTTCTTCATGTTTTGACTTTGAAATAATAAAAAATAAACATCTGAAACTACAGTGATATAGAACAATACCTTTGAAATGGCACAAAATAAAACTGCCCAATTTTATATAAAAGGGACACAATTCTAATCTCAGGTATCATATATAAAACAGGAAAAAATTCAAACAATGCATTTATTACATTACTTTATTGCAGTTCTAAAAAATGTCTACTACTTGTAGAAATATTTTAGGGTCCATATGAAGAAGACGTCCTATGCAGGCATTTATGGGAGAAAATAGGACTGTACTATTCAAGAGTGTAACCTGACATTTGTTCTTTAACCTGTGGAATGATTTGAAGGATGGATGTTTTGCCCAGAAAGATGGGGATCTGTAAGAACTCGAGGCACTTGTAGGTCTAGTTTGAGTGATGGCATCAGGATTTACTCTCTGTCTCATGCAGATAGTCTAGCGCTCCTGAAAGGGCATACATGGGCATTTGCAGCTCCTTTTGACAACTTGCTGTTTATTCCATCATGTCTGTAACTCTTCAGAATATTGCTCCTTGCTTTTTGTTCTTCATTATTTATCTTTTTCTCTCATTAACCTGCCTGTCTGTATTCTTTATTTTCTTTTTTTCTCTCTTCTTTTTCTTCTTGGTAGAGCAAATAATTAAAACAAGGACTCTGAAGGCTCTCTTCCTAGATCCAAATACTGATTCTGTGACTTACTTGCGGTATGACCTTGGGAAAGCCACTTGACATTTCTGTGCTTCAGTTTCCTCATTTGTAAAATGATGATAATAATAGTGCTTACTCTTAAGGATGCTACAAGAATAAAATGATTTAAAATATTTAAAGTTCTTAAGCCATTCTTGCCACATAATAAATGCTATTATAATTTGTATGTATTTATACGATGAATTAACACATTGGTTTGATTCCCACTGACTCAAAAACATTTAATCACTCTGTAAGACCTCCAGAATGATGCCAAAATTATTACCAAGAGATTTGAGGTGCCCTATTATTTGGCTGTAACCTTTTAAACCTCTTTCATGATATACTCCACCACATCCCATATTCAAGTCACTTGAGTGTAGTCATGCTATAGTTTAGAAGTTCGAACCCTCCAAATCTCATGTTTCAATTTGATCTTCAATATTGGAGGTCGGGCTTAATGGGAAGTGTTTGCATCATGGTGGCAGATCCCTCATGAATAGATTAATGCCCTCTGATGGGAGCTGGAGATGAGTGAATTCTCACTCTTAGTTTCTGTGGGAGCTGGTTGT
Organism: Homo sapiens; assembly: GCF_000001405.40. Classification (NCBI taxonomy): domain Eukaryota; kingdom Metazoa; phylum Chordata; class Mammalia; order Primates; family Hominidae; genus Homo; species Homo sapiens. The sequence continues at coordinate 67,338,869 of NC_000002.12, read as the reverse complement.
TAAGAAAAGCCTAGCACCTCCCTTCCCTCTCTCTTGCTTCCTTTCCCACTGTGTAATCTCTGTACATGCAGGCTCCTCTTCACCTTCTACCATGTGTGCAAGCAGCCTGAGGCCTTAGTGACAAGCAGATGCTGGCACCGTTCTTCTTGTACAGCCTGCAGAACTGTGAACCAAATAAACCTCTTTTCTTCATAAATTACTCAGCCTCAGGTATTCCTTTATAGTAACACAATTGAACTAGGATAATTCATCATAGCTTGAATTTACCATATATTTTCTAACTTCTCCAAACTACTCACTCAGTAGAAATACTCCCATTTCTTCTTGTTTTCTGCCACTTAAATGCTGAACACCTATGTTTTTATCACTTAAGAATTTGAACATTATCAGTATATGAAAAGTTCCCTGTGTAGACCTCTCCTATTTACTACAGTTGTGGGAGGCTGAATGATGGCCTCATACTCCGAATGGCCACATTCTAATCCCTGGAATCAGTGAATATTACCTTATATGGCAAAGGCTGTCTAGAGTCATTAAAGATTCTTGAGATAGGAGATTATCTTGGAGTATTCACCTGATCTCTAATGCAATCCTAAGTGTCATTATAAGAGAGGGGACAAAGGCACAATTCACACAGAAAAAAGAAGAGAAATTAATATGACCATGGAAACAGAGATTGGAGTGATGCAGCCACAAGCCAAGAAATGCCAATGGCCACCAGTAGTTGGAGGAGGCAACCTCCAGGAGGAGCCTGGGCCTGTCTACACCTTGATTTTAGCTCTGTAAGACTCATCTTGGACTTCTGGCCTCTAGAACTACGGAAAAGTACATTCATGTTGTTTAAAATCACCAAGTTTGTGGTTACTTGTCACAGCAGCCATAGGAAACTAATACAATGGTATTGCGGTCTATGATTTTATTTTCAATACATTTTCTTAATTTGTTTTAAAATTTACATACTGCAAAAATCACTCTTATTGGTATATAGTTCTATGAGTCTTAACAAATGTACAAACTAATATAACCATCATCACAATCAAGAAATAGAACAGTTCCATCACTGTCTTACCCCCTGCATACCCAAATATCCTGTGCTACTCCTTTGTTGTTGAACTCTTTCTACACTCTTTTTTTAAAAAAATAATTTTTTGAACTGGGTTTCACTGAGTCACCTAGGCTGGAGTGCAGTGATGCCGTCATAACTCAGTGCAGCTTTGACCTCCTAGACACAAGCGATCCTCCTGCCTCCACTTCCCAAGTAGCTGGTTTCACACACGTCCATGTGAAGAGACCACCAAACAGGCTTTGTGTGAGCAATAAAGCTTTTAATCACCTGGGTGCAGGCGGGCTGAGTCTGAAAAGAGAGTCAGCGAAGGGAGATAGGGGTGGGGCCATTTTATAGGATTTGGGTAGGTAAAGGAAAAAGGGGGGTTGTTCTCTGGCAGGCAGGAGTGGGGGTCACAAGGTACTCAGTAGGGGAGCTTTTGAGCCAGGATGAGCCAGGAGAAGGAATTTCACAAGACAATGTCACAGTTAAGGCAGGAACAGGCCATTTTCACTTCTTTTGTGGTGGAATGTCATCAGTTAAGGCAGGAACCGGCCATCTGGATGTGTATGTGCAGGTCACAGGGGATATGATGGCTTAGCTTGGGCTCAGAGGCCTGGCATTCCTGTCTTCTTATATTAATAATTAATTTATTTATAAAATAAATATATATTCTTAATAATTAATTTATTTATAAAATAAAACAAAACAGTGGTAAAGTGTTGGGATGGCGAAAATTTTTGGGGGTGGTATGGAGAGATAATGGGCGATGTTTCTCCGGGCTGCTTCAAGCGGGACTAGGGGCGGCGTGGGAACCTAGAGTGGGAGAGATTAAGCTGAAGGAAGATTTTGTGGTAAGGGGTGATATTGTGGGGTTGTTAGAAGAAACATTTGTCATTTAGAATTATTGGTGATGGCCTGGATACAGTTTTGTATGAATTGAAAAACTAAACAGAATAAGAGAAGGAGAAAAACAGGTGCACATGTACCCTAAAACTTAAAGTATAATAATAATAATAAAAAAAAAAGGACTAAGAACTGGGAGGACTTAGGACATCTAATTAGAGAATGCCTAAGGAGGTTCAGCATAGCCTTACCAGCAAAGCTTATTTATTTACTTTAACAGTTAAGAGTGACGGTTTGGGGATAGCACCAGGAGATATCAGCTGTGATAGCTTGGAGAAACAGTGTAAACCGGCAATGTAAACAAGAGCAGGGCATGTATGAGTAGTTGAGAATGGTGAATAGGAGTATGACTAGACAGAAGACAGTAGGGATGACAAGTTTTTTGCGGCACAGTCCAAGTTGGTCTGGTGTCTGGAATGAGACTGGGGCCTAATAAAAAGGAGCATCTATACAGGAGCTTAAATGAGCTGTACTTTGTAGCATTCTGAGGACAGGCCTGACTTCTGAAAGGGAAAGTGGTAAAAGTATTGTCTATTCTTTTTTAAGTTGGTGGCTGAGCTTGGTGAAGTGTGTTTTTAAAAGACCTTTAGTCTGTTCTACTTTTCTTGAAGACTGAGGACTGTAAGGGATATAAAGGTTTCACTGAATACTAAGAGCCTGAAAAACTGCTTGGCTGATTTGACTAATAAAGGCTGGTCTGTTATCAGACTGTATAGAGGTGGGAAGGCTAAACTGAGGAATTACGTCTGACAGAAGGGAAGAAATGACTGCGGTGGCCTTCTCAGACCCTGAAGGAAAGATCTCTACTTATCTAGTGAAAGTGTCTACTTAGACTAAGAGGTATTTTAGTTTCCTGACTCGGGGCATGTTGAGTAAAGCTAATTTGCCAGTTCTGGGCGGGGGCAAATCCCTAAGCTTGATGTGTAGGGAAGGGAGGGGGCCTGAATAATCCCTGAGGAGTAGTAGAATAGCAGATGGAACATTGAGAAGTTATTTCCTTGAGGATAGATTTCTACGATGGAAAGGAAATGAGAGGTTTTAAGAGGCAGGCTAGTGGCTTGTACTATAGCATAGCCTGCTTTTGCTGGTGTGTGGTGATTAGGCCTGGTGGAACTGCCGTCAATAAACTAAGTGTGATCAGGGTGAGAAACAGGGAAGAAGGAAATGTGGGGAAATGGGGTGAACGTCAGGTGGATCAGAGAGATACAGTCATGAGGGTCAGGTGTGGTATCAGGAATAATGTGGGAGGCCGGATTGAAGTCCAGGCCAGGAACAATGGTAATTGTGGGAGACTCAACAAAGAGTGAGTACAGCTGAAGGAGCCGGGGAGCAGAAAGTATATGCTTCAGGTGTGAGGAAGAAAATAGATTTTGGAAATTATGAGAGCTGCAGAGAGTGAGTTGAGCATAGTTTGTGATTTTAAGGGCCTCTAAAAGTATTAGGGCAGCAGCCGCCACTGCACGGAGACATAATGGCCAGCTTAAAACAGGAAGGTCAAGTTGTTTGGACAAAAAGGCTACAGGACGTGATCCTGGTCCTTGTGTAAGAATTCTGACTGCACAGCCTTGCACTTCAGCTGTATCTAATGAAAAGGGTTGGGATGAGTCAGGGAGAGCTAGAGTGGGGGCAGCCTCTAAAGCTGTCTTCAAGGAATGGAAAGAGGAGTGGGGAAAGGATTTAGGATCTATGGGGTCAGCTAGGTTTCTTTTTGTGAGTTTATATGATGGTTTTGTTAGGATGGCAAAACCAGGTATCTAAAGGTGAAAGTATCTAACTATGCCCAGGAAGGAAAGGAGTTGTTGTTTTGTAGAAGGGGTTGGGGTTTGACAGATTAATTGGACACAATTGGCAGGGAGAGCACGTGTGTTTTTATGAGAATTATGCTGAGATAGATAACAGATGAGGAAGAAATTTGGGCTTGACTGAAGTAATGGGGGCTGTCTGTGAAGCTTTACGGCAGTACAGCCCAGGTAATTTGCTGAGCCTGATGGGTGTCAGGGTCAGTCCAAGTGAAAGCGAAGAAAGGGTGAGATGAAGGGTGCAAAGCAATAGTAAAGCAAGCATGTTTGAGATCCAGAACAGAATAACAGATTGTGGAGGGAGGTATTGAGGATAGGAGAGTATACGGGTTTGGCACCATGGGGTGGATAGGCAAAACAATTTGGTTGATAAGGCGCAGATCCTGAACTAACTTGTAAGGCTTGTCTGGTTTTAGGACAGGTAAAATGGGGGAATTGTAAGGAGAGTTTATGGGCTTTAAAAGGCCATGCTGTAGCAAGCCAGTGATAACAGGCTTTAATCCTTTCAAAGCATGCTGTGGGATGGGATATTGGCATTGAGCGGGATAAGGCTGATTAGGTTTTAATGAGATGGTAAGGGGTGCATGATCGGTCGCCAAGGAGGGAGTAGAGGTATCTTATACTTGTGGGTTAAGGTTGGGGAATACAAGAGGAGGACATGAAGGAGGCTTTGGATTGGGAAGAAGGGAGGCAATGAGATGTAGCTGTAGTCCAGGAATAGTCAGGGAAGCAGATAATTTAGTTAAAGTGTCTCGGCCTAATAAGGAAACTGGGCAGGTGGGGATAACTAAAAGGAGTGCATAAAAGAGTGTTGTCTAAGTTGGCACCAGAGTTGGGGAGTTTTAAGAGGTTTAGAAGCCTGGCTGTCAATACCTACAACAGTTATGGAGGCAAGGGAAACAGGCCCTTGAAAAGAGGGTAATGTGGAGTGGGTAGCCTCCGTATTGATTAAGAAGGGGACGGACTTACCGTCCACTGTGAGAGTTACTTAAAGCTCGGCGTCCGTGATGGTCTACGGGGCTTCCGAGACGATCCGGCAGCGTCGGTCTTCAGCCGCTAAGCCGAGAAGATCTGGGAAGGAGTCAGTCAGAGAGCCTTGGGCCAGAGTTCCAGGGGCTCTGGGAGTGGCTGCCAGGTGAGTTGAACAGTCCGATTTCCAGTGGGGTCCTGCACAGATGGGACACGGCTTAGGAGGAATCCTGGGCTGTGGGCATTCCTTGGCCTGGTGGCCAGATTTCTGGCACTTGTAGCAAGCTCCTGGGGAAGGTGGTTCTGGAGGAACGCCTGGCCGCTGCGGTTTAGGCGTTTGGAAGTTCTTGTGTGCTGGAGATGTGGCTGGGGTTTGTCTCACAGTGGAGGCAAGGAATTGCAACTCAGAAATATGTTGCTACTTGGCTGCCTCTATTATTGTACACCTTGAAGGCGAGGTTAATTAAGTCCTGTTGTGGGGTTTGAGGGCCAGAATTTAATTTTTGGAGTTTTATTTAATGTCAGGAGCATATTGGGTAATAAAATGTATATTGAGAATAAGACGGCCTTTTGACTTTTTAGGGTCTAGGGCTGTAAAGCATCTCAGGGTTGCTGCCGAATGAGCCATGAACTGGGCTGGATTTTTATATTTGATGAAAAAGCCTAAACGCTATCTGATTTGGGATAAAGAAAAAGGAGTATTAACCTTGACTATGCCTTTGGCTCCAGCCACCTTTTTAAGAGTAAATTGCTGGGCAGGTGGGGGAGGGCTAGTCACAGCACGAAACTGTAAGCAGGACCAGGTGTGAGGAGGGGAGGTGATAAAAGGATTATAGGGTGGAGGAGCAGAGGCTGAGGAAGAATTGGGACCTAGCTTGGCCTGGCGAGGAGGGGAGAGGTCAGATGGGTCTGTAGAAAAAGAAGATTAGAAAGACTCAGCGATGCTTGGGGTTGGGACTGAGGGGACAGGCAGGAGGGAAAGAAGGAAGATTTGGGAGGAGTTGCATTGAGAACAGAGACTACAGAGGGACTGATGTGTAAAAGAGTGCCTGGACGTCAGGCACCTCAGACCATTTGCCTATTTTACGACAAGATTTATTTAGATCTTGTAGGATGGAAAAAATGGAAGTGCTGTTTTCTGGCTATTTGGAACTCCTGTCGAGTTTGTATAGGGTCAAGCAGCATTGTAGAAGAAAATAAGGCATTTAGGTTTTAGGTCAGGTGTGAGTTGAAGAGGTTTTAAGTTCTTGAGAACACAGGCTAAGGGAGGAGGAGGAGGAATGGAGGGTGGAAGGTTGCCTATAGTGAAGGAAGCAAGCCTAGAGAAAAGAGAGTAGAGACATAGAAGGAAGGGGTTCGGGGGTTCTTAAATTCCAGAAAAGTGGGAAAGGGGTCGGGGTGTGGAAATAAGGGGTTGGGGCACAGAGATAAGAGGTCAGGGCGTGGAAATAAGGGATTGGGGTGCAGAGATAGGTCGGGGTGTGGAAATAAGGGATTGGGGTGCAGAGATAAGAGGTTGGGGCATGGAAATAAGGGATTGGGGTGCAGAGATAAGAGGTCAGGTATGGAAATAAGGGATTGGGGTGCAGAGATAAGAGGTCGGGGTGCGGAAATAAGGGATTGGGGGTTCTTGCCCGCTAGAAAAGCTGGACTTGCCACTAAGGGTGAAGGAGAAGGGGTTGAGGGGTTCTTGCCCCTCCTCCAGAAAAGCAGAGAAGGGGTAGAGATATGGAGAGAATGGATTGGGATATTTGCCCCTCCTCTAGAAAAGCGGCACTTGCCACTAAGGGTGAAGGACTAAGGCAGGCATCCCTGCGTGGTCTGACACCTGTGAAACCTGGGTGAATAATCAGAGAGGTGTCCCTGAAATGATTAAACACAAAGGGAAGGCTGCCTTCCCTAGTCCGTGACTGGCGCCGGAGTTTTGGGTCCACAGATAAAACGTGTCTCCTTTGTCTCTACCAGAAAATGAAAGGAATTGAAGTTAGGAGAAGGGGGAGATTGAAGTGTGGCACCAAGATTGAAAGGAGAAAGAGGTTGAGGGATAGTGAGGGAGGTTGGAGAAGAGAGTAAAAAGAGGCTGCTTACCGGATTTGAAATTGATGAGATGTTTCTTGGGCTGGTCGGTCTGAGGACCTGAGGTCGTAGGTGGACCTTTCTCATGGAGCAAAGAGCAGGAGGACAGAGGATTGATCTCCCAAGGGAGGTCCCCCGATCCCAGTCACAGCACCAAATTTCATGCACTTCTGTGCGAAGAGACCACCAAACAGGCTTTGTGTGAGCAATAAAGCTTTTAATCACCTGGGTGCAGGTGGGCTGAGTCCAAAAAGAGTCAGTGAAGGGAGATAGGGGTGGGGCCGTTTTATAGGATTTGGGTAGGTAAAGGAAAAAGGGGGGTTGTTCTCTGGCAGGCAGGAGTGGGGGTCACAAGGTACTCAGTGGGGGAGCTTTTGAGCCAGGATGAGCCAGGAGAAGGAATGTCACAAGACAATGTCATCAGTTAAGGCAGGAACAGGCCATTTTCATTTCTTTTGTGGTGGAATGTCATCAATTAAGGCAGGAACCGGCCATCTGGATGTGTGCGTGCAGGTCACAGGGGATATGATGGCTTAGCTTGGGCTCAGAGGCCTGACAGCTGGGACTACAGGTGCATGTCACCATGCTATTTTTTTAAATTAATTTTTTGTAGAGATGGGGCGTCTTGCCATGTTGCCCAAGCTGGTCTTGAACTCCTGGGCCCAAGTGATCCTCTGGCCTCAGCTTCCCAAAGTGCTGGGATTAGAGGTGTGAACCACTGAACTTGGCCCCTTTCTACACTCTTAATCCCTGGCAACCATAGATCTTTCCAAAACTATAGTTTCGCATTTTCCAGAATGTCATCTAAATAGAATATTTTCATATGCATCTGTTTGAGTCTAGCTTTTTTCATTCCATGTAATGCATTTGAAATTCATCCCATGTGGTTGCATGTATCAATAGTTCATTCTTTTATATTGCTGAACAGTATTCCATTTTATGAATATATTAAACAGTATTCCATTTTATGAACGTACTAGTTTATCTGTTCCTCAGCTAAGGAATATTTGGGTGGTTTTTAAATTTCACTTGGGTAAATACTTAGGAATGGAATTGCTGAGCTGCATGGTAAGTATATGTTTAATTTTTTCTTTTTTTTTTTTTTTTGAGACAGCATCTTACTCTGTCACTTAGGCTAGACTGCAGTAGCATGATCATAGCTCACTGCAGCCTTGAACTCTTGGGATCCAGCTATCCTCCTGCCTTAGCCTCCCAAGATCTGGGACTACGGGCACACTCCACCATGCCCAGTATATATTTAATTTTATAAGAACTTGTCAAACTGATTTCCAAAGTGTCTGTACCATTTTCGATTCATATCAGCAATATCTGAGAGTTGCAGTTGCTCTGTATCTTTTCCAACACTTAATATTGTCATTTAAATTTTAAAAAATGTGTTTATTTTGGTCATTCTGATATTTGTGTAGTGGCAACTCATTGTAGTTTTAATTTACATTTTTCTAATGACCAGTGATGCTAAGCATATTTTTCATGTGCTTGATTTCCGTCTGTGTGTCTTCTCAGATGAGCTATCTGATTTTTATTTTTTTTTAGCAGTCGGGAAACCAATGTAACCTTAGCAATAGTGAATGTCAAGTTCAGAATTATACGTTAGTTATTGCTTTCAAATGAAACTTTTTGTCTTAATCAGTTTTGGCTACTGTAACAGACTACTATAGATTGGATGTATTAAACAACAAATAGTTATTACATTTATTTCTCACAGTTCTGGAGGCTGGAAGTTTGAGTTCAGGGTGCCAGCATGGTGATGTTCTTGGTGAGGGTCCCCTTCCTGGTTTACAGATGGCTGACTTCTCATTGTATCCTTACATGGCAGAGAAAGAAAAAATCTCTCTTGTTTCTCTTCTTATAGAGGCATTAATCCCATTCATAAGGGCTGCACCTTGTGACCTAACTACCTCCCTAGGGCCCTGCCTCTTACTAGCATTGATTTGGAGGTTAGGATTTTAACATATGAATTTGAGAGAGACCCAAACATTCAGCCCATAGCACATCCTGTTTCACATACATTAAATTTAGAAGCATTTAATTTTACTATGAGGAGTCAACCTCAAATATTATTTTACATAAAACAGTTCTGATAAATGTATGATTTAAGGTAACAATAACTTTGTGAAATTAGATAAAATGAGCAATATAACACTAATTCAGGTTCTAGTTACTGTTGTTCTTTAGCCATTATATAGCCATAACATGATCTGCAGAGCAGATTGATTTCTTCCTCATTAGGATTTTCTTGAATTGGTGCCTTGACTTAAAAGCTGACCCAAGTCACTGTGTTATTGGTCTTTTGGTTTTCCTCTGCAGGCATTGGCAGCTCCATCCCTTTGTGATTCACTTGCAGTTTTATCACTTGAAATAGTGAGTTTGAGTTAATCTTTTCTTCTTAAGTACTACCCATTTCCTTAGAATTCACATTTCAAGAACTCCCTGGATATTCCAAATACATTGCCATTTTAAGAGGTTCTCCATTTCATTTTTCAATTATCCACCAATAATCCTGCCTTTAATCCTAGCAAAGAACTTTCTCTACAAAAGACCCCTAAGCTGCCATCATTCCCCCAGAGAAAATTATTCTCCAATCTTCCCCTCAATTTCTTCTTGTAAACATTGAGCCTTTGATGCTCTTCCCAGAGAGTTGTTAGCCTTTTGTCTCTTCTTCCATATGAATGGGCTTTTGCAATCAGACTTGAGTATAATCTTGAGTTGAACTCAATGAACAAATGATTTCTGCACTGCTGTTGTATTTATAACTCTGTAGTGGAAAAAAAGGGGTTTATAATCTGTTTTCACTACTGAAAATAGGTTAAGTAAGGGTCTGCTGCTATTAATCTTACTCCAGGAGCACTACCTTATTTTTAAGATAGGTACATAAAAAATCAACTCAAGAAAACGTTTCTTGAATGAAGCGAAGTGTTTTGTAGCTCCAGCTATAGATTTAGATGCCCTAGCTCGCCCCATTTGGGAATATTCTCTTCCAGGCTATAATTTCTTCCTTCTTTTTCATAAGACTGGAGGAGGGAGAGTCAGTTACAAATTTGGTTATAACATAACTGCAAATAACCACGTTGTCAGGTAACTTCTCTTTCATGTGATAGAATACATTGGTTTGAAAACATATCAGAAAATATTTTACTGAGATCTTTCAGAAAAAAAAAAAAAGTTGTAAGACACACTTGCCCATACCTTTTTGGAACAATTTATTCCTTGCTAAAGTATCCGCTTGTTGCTATACAGATGCAGTCTGAGAGATTAAAAAATTAAAACCATCAATATGTCCTACGTAAAAGCAAATGAGCTTCTCAGGCTTTAGAGGACTTTTATATATGTGGATTTTTTGTAGGCTAATTTAAATATTAATAAAAAGATAAGAGAATTGATCCAAATGTCTTTATTCTTGTACTCATAAGCCAAATTCTGCACATTGGTTCAGAAATAATGAACCTTTAACCAATTCTAAACATCCCCATTCTAATTATTTACTTGAAGTACTTTTAAAGATTGCATCTAAGCATGCAGTGATTGAAACAAATGTTTTTGTAAGTTTTTTTCTATAATGTCCCACATTTTTACAAATGTTTAGAATATTTAGAAATATTTCAGATGTTTTGGGATGTTCTTGTTGCTATTCATTGGCAAGAGATGAGATGATTAATAACAAACTGTTGGATCACCTAGTTCTCCAGTTGGCCCTTCACATTTGTGGTACAGGTCAGGATGTCTAAGAGAATAGTGAAACATACTCACACCTATTATCCCTGCAGGAGGAAGGCTGCAAAGGCAGGACGAATCCCACTCAAGCCACCATCCATACAAATCCACTGGCTTTGGCATGATGTTTCCTCTCTTAATATGTTTTACTGAAGACTGATATTAACAGCATTCTGCCAGGAAAACACTAAAGGACTGTCAGAATAAAGAAGACTAAAGAGAAATGACAGCTGAATTCAGGGCATGACCCATGACATTTGATTTTTTTTGACCATAAAAATAGTATTGAAATCTGAATAAAGTCTATAAATTAGATAAGAGTATTATAGCAATGCTAGTTTTCTGATTTTGGTAATCTTTTGTTGTTTCATTGGGGAATTTCTTCTTTATTAGAAAGATACACAAGTATTTAAAAATAAAGGGGTTTCATGACTGTAACTTATTCTCAAAGGATTAGAAAACTCAGAATCTATTAAAAATATGTGCATATATACATACATATATACACAGAGATATACATGTGTATATAAGGCATAGACATTCTGTGTATGTCTGTGCATATACACACAAAGAGATAGATACAGCAAATGTAGTAAAATGTTAACATTTGGGGAATGAGGATGAAGGCTGTATGAGAATTCTTAGAGCTATTCTAAATACTCCTTTTTTAATAATTAGGTTGGTGAAAAATAAAAACTCTTTACTATGAGTCTGAAATTTTGGCAAGATATCTAGTTAAAAGAAAAGAAAAAAATCCCAGCTTGCATGTTTTTGAGAGGGGAACAGGTGGCTCAGAAGCAATAGGATAGCAGGAAAAATGCAACCAAATATGGGAAACTGTAGGCATTATTAAAAATTAATAAACACTATTAGTCTACATATTCTTATATGATTGTATTTCAAAACCTAAAACTAAATTTTCACTTAGGAAAATATGTTAAATGAATGAGAACAAACCCACCCAGGAAGTTGGAAGTAGTAAATTCTGTAGTGTTTTCTCTGTAGTTGTTGACAAATGCCAACCTGGCTTTAGTGTATACACAGGATGATTCCATTTATTTTTATGAGTGTTGATACTTTCCAGATGTTTGTTTTATTAACCTACCTAATTTTCTTCTTTCTAGTAATGAAAGCACTGGGTCCTGTTGATTTCAGAGCAAACAGCAAATGCATAGTGGATTCTTACAGATACGTTTCCTCATTACGTTTGCTAATTTTTATGAAACATTAAACAGATTAAATAATGGGAAATAATTCTACTACTTTATATTTTACCAAATCTTCCTGTCAAAAGAAATATTTTTCGTCTTTGTATCAGACACTGCTTACTCAGTATATATATTTCCCGCAAGACCCCTCTTCCTGACCACAGATCCATGTGCTTCAGGGCAAACAACATCATTCCTAGTTCCAGGAGGCAGAGCTTTTCTAATCCAATCACAGTGATTCTACACCCTAACAGTGACTAGTTTAGGAATTGGCATATAACTCATTTTTAGCAAAGGAAATTTGCTAATCAGGATTTAAGGGACACTTAGTAGACTCCTGAGAAAGAGACCTTTGTTCTTGTCACTATGATGCTGGATGTGACACCTGGATCTGTGCAGCCCTCATAGGACAAAGCTGATGAGGGATGGGAGAGTGGAAAGGTGGAGAGAATCTGAGTCCCCAGTGACAGTGATAAGCTGCTGAATCAACCAGCCCTGGCACCGTGATTACATTTGGACTTGCAGATATTATTATTATGCCTGGAAATTTGTGTTTTTTGAAGGTGAATACATACTGATTTTTCATTAAGTATTCTGAAAGTTTTCTACAAAAAAATTTAAATTTCATGATTATTAAAAAGCTAGTGAGATTTATCAAGCCAATTAGATGATACAGGCTTTTGTATTTTATTTAAACCAAGCATAGAAATACGTATTTCTTGAGTCATAGTCACAATCTCATTCATTTTCTGAGATGTATATTAACAGTTTAGAATGAGAAATTTATGAGAAAGAAGATAAAGGAATTCTGGCTGTAAAGTGAAAGTAATATTTACCTACTTCATAAAGTGATAGTGAGAACTGAATGAGTTATATTGAAAGCTCATAGAGCAGTGGCCGGCAGGTTGTGAGTTCAACAATTATTACTAACAATAGCAATTATAATTATTATTCTTTTTTGTGGCTTTTGTTGCTAAAATACTTGCTATCTTAATTTTAATTGTCTTTATTTTAAGTAACAGACTCTCTGAGAGGCAATGAATACCTCCAGTGAATTCAACTGGAGAATTTTGGGGAATAAATGTTATAATTTCTAATTCTTAGATGAAAAAACTGAATCATAGGATGGGACTTTCTATGCAACATCTTCAAATACAATCTTGATCATCACATGGATACCAAGTCCAATATAGCATCATTTAAAAATGTGAAGGGTACCAAGGTGTACTCCAGTGTGTATCAAACAGTGGGCCATGTTACAATGGTAGATTATGAGGCCAATTTAGTGGGGTTGCAACCATAATTTTAAAGAATTGAATTATTATGGAGTAGGACTGGTAAAATAAGAGTAAATTGCCTGTGTAAAGGTAAATATTGTTTGTGAAACCTTGTTTTGGTAATGTGTGCATGTATTGGTTTAACCTCTCACTGTGAGTTTTGATTATTGGTAGAGTGGAGAAACAGGGGCTCCATAGCCAGACAAACTTGGCTTCCAATATCATTGGCCTGTTTTACAGAAAAGAGCATGGAACTGTGCCTACAAGCTAACAGGCACTCAAAACAATGTCCCTTCTTTCCTGCCTCTGTCCACAGGCTGCCCCCACCTTCTCCAGTGTGGACTTGAAGTTTTGGAACCACAGAGTAATGCAACACTGACATTACACACAAGGTGTCCTTAAACAAACAGGTATCACTGTGTCATATTACAAATTCATCCAAGCTCGACACACCAGGAGCTCCGTGAGTGATCTGGGTTCTGAAGCAAGGAAAATCAATTGTATTTAAACAACGAAAAATAGTGTCTCCTGAGCTGCTCATAGCCAAGAAATCACTCTGGCCCCATTCTTAAAATAACAGGTATTTGGGTAGAACTATTGATTGTTTTCACTTTTGTTGCCTTAGCAGAATGACGCATCATCCATAAAAAATGTGAATGTGAGGACGGTGGGACCATCCTGGCACACTGAGCAGCAGGGACCTCCGAGCCCTCAGATGTCATCCAGCCAGGTGTGTGGGGGCCACTCGCCATGCACAGCTTCTCTCAGCAGAGGTGAGCTAAGAGGAGGGAGAGGATAAATGTGTTATCACATGCTGCCCATTGCTTATCACACAGGGAGCCCACATCTCCAAGTCCAGTGCATTTACTTGATATGACTTACCTTAGTTCCTTTTTTACCCGGGTGGAATGCTCAGGGGGAGGAACCGAGACACATTATTTGGTTTCACTGACATAATATTGAGCAGAAAAAGACGAATTCTCCTTCCCACCTCCTTTCCTTCTCTTCTTTTCTTCTTCTTCGTCTTCCTCCTCCTTCCCTTCCCCCTTCCTTTTCTTCTTTAATAAAACATCCATTTATGTACCAGAACTTAGTGAAACTGCTGAGGTAGTCAAGCCTGTAAATTGAACCGGTCCCTTTTACCTCCAGAAAATATGAACGCATCCTTCTGCCACGGGGCTGGCACACATGGCGGGATTATGCTACCGTTAACAGGAAGGCAGGAAAGTACATTATCACTTCAGGGCTGTCATTACCAGAGGGTTTCGCTGTGAACTATAGCATTCAGGGCAAGGCAGGCAGTGGAAAAGGGGGGCTGGGTGGGCAGGGAAGAAAAAAAGAAAATGTTGTTGTTGTTTTTCTTCCCTTAACAGGCTGACCAGAATGGTGGTGATATGAAGAGTTGGGGAATTCGACTTGAATACAAAACATAACACTGCTTTCACTTAAAAAGGTGATGACAACAGCTACCTCCTTCCATTATCCTGTAGGTACATATTTGGAAAAAGACAGGCTCAGCCACACCTGATGGCTTCAGCTAATCAATTCATGTTCATCTTAAATCTGTCAAGACAAGATCACCTATTTAGTGTTAAGCTTAAAGGGATATATTTTGTGCCAGTGAAATCTCAAAGAGATCAGTTCACTACACATTTTTTTTTTCTTGCTCCTCATAGAACAAACCCATTTTAAGATTATTTTTCCTCCTTGGTATAAATTTTAAAATTTATTTTAAACAAATCACTTATTTAATATCATAAATTACAGCAATAAAATGACCAAGAGATGAGAGTGCGTTTGACTTTTTAGGTTAGTTCATAAAACAGTTGCAAAGTTCTATATCTAAGTAGCGTTATTGCGATCTTATAACGGCAGAACTTGGGGATAGGCAGTGGAGTGAAGTTCAGAATCTTGGGCTTTGTTTTCTTCAGTCCTTCTACAAAGTTGCTTAGCACAGATACTGAACTCTTAGAGAAGTTACAATCATTTTTAATCCGTTTCTTCACAGTCTGTTTTTTGTCTGGATTCTGTTGTACAGCATAACAGATAAGCAGATCCCTAATGAGTTCAGAGCCAGCCAGTTAGTTCCTGGATATGTTACAGGTCCTTGTTAATCCAGTTAGGTATAGCAGGTTACTCATTTTTCCCATTTCTGCCCTTCACCTTGCCCTCCACTAAGATTTCTAATTTTATTGCAGAAAGATCTACCTTTTAGCAATGAAGAAATCATTATTATTTTTAAAAAGCAATAGTGGTGAGAGTAATTCTAGGCAAAGTATTACAGAAAAAGTAAACAGCATGAGATGGTGGTTCTACGATTCCCTACAAGACCATCTGTTTTCCCAATGAAAAATCTAGTGCTTCCTCGAGTTATGTTTTAAAAGGCTTAAGCAATCATTCAGATAATCAGACTTCATTGCTATGAAATTTCATCAAACTGTACTCAATCCTTGAACTCATATCTGGGTCCATTTTGCCAATCAGATAAAACTTCCTAGGCTTTTTCCTAGAGGCATGAGTGGTTAACTTGATCTTATTGCACTGCAAAAGATTTTGTGCTACACATCATTTTTCATAAAAGCTATTTGTTGTGTTAGGAGAACTCCAGAGAGACTGCTTGTTAGAATAGATTTTGGGGGTGGGGGTGGGCCAGCGCTGGTTCTGCTATGTCACTTTGGACCAAATGAAAATTCTTAGAAATTCTTACAAATTAACCTCAGAGGACATGAGGAGGCAAAAAGGTGATACAGAGGAAATTAGTGTCTTGGTAAGTAAAGATGTTATTTCTCATGAACAGACCAATAATTATAAAAAAAAAAAAACCAAAGAAATCTATAATTTGGAAGCACTGAATTCCTTTGTCTTAAGATTGTCACTTGCTTCTTCTTTCAGTTGGCATAGGGGTTAAAGCCACCTGACTCCTTTTTTTTTTTTCCTTTGTAAAGGTCAGCCAACGCATGCCCACTCTTGTCCACATGAGCACAAACAGCCTTTGCGTTGAAAAAGCACTAGGTGGTGCCCATTTTCTTTGCTGGTGAAAGGGCTGGATTCCCCAAGGGAGTCACTCTGGGCAAGTTCACCAGGCCCTGGCCCACATAGCACAGTGCACTTCTCTCACAGATGACCAGGAGCATGGTGTCACAGTCTGTCCCTTCCCTGATGCATCCTGGGGCTTGCCTGTTTTAGGAAAGAGCTTTGATTTGGGGATACAGTGTTTTTACATGTGAGGATAGGAGTAGAGGAGGGTGGTGGCAAAAAGCTTCGAGTGTTCCCTTTGAAAATGAAAGATAAGAGGAATAAAGGCTGCAACACTGCCATCTGCATTTGTAAAAAGTCATAGTATATCTCTGCCAAGGCTCTCCTCCTGCCAGATCATCTGGACAATGCAGTGCACATGCTAATTTTATTTTTTCCCACTTTTGCCTGTAATCAAACTGTGGAAATAAGGCAAATGAAGGTTAATCTTAAATTTCAATTTGTCTCTTCACAAAAATAATTATTTGTTGAATAAAGCATGGCTAAATTGAAGATTTTGCATGCCCATGTCTCCCCCCCAATACCTACCATTTGAAGAGGTGGCTTTATACTACTGAGTTCTTTCCTTTAAAAAAAATCTTATTAGGCACGCTTAACAGATTGTTGCTTTGTGTTCAAGGAGAGCAGATAACTGGCTAAGAAGATTTTTTTTTCCAGAATAATTTTATCCAGGCGATATGCCCATCGGATCTGTTTTAGAATGTAGAACTATTTAGAAAGTTTTTGTTCTTGTAAAGATCTGGTAGCAGCAATTGAGCATAATCATGTTATTGTCATAAAAAGAAAAGAAAAGAATATAACAATTTTTTTCTAGTAGACATATGTCTTGTCTGTCTATAACCTATTCCCTGAAATTTGGCCTAGTAGAGTTAGTTTGTTCAAATATATTTATTTTGTTTTAGAGAAAGCAAGAAAATTGTTTTTTTGAATGCCAAAGAAATAGATTCTTGTAGTAAAATCTTAATCTTGTTTCACAGGTTGGTGAACCATACTCCAACAGAAAGGGGACATAAGACTGTAAGTAGTTTTAAAAAGTTGAACTAAGAGAAAAGCTTTATTATGAAACTATGAGGATTATTTCTGTGCACTGGCTGCCCCGTCATATGTCGTGGCATGTGGCGGGTTGACTGCTCATTAATTCTATTTATATCAGTATGATAATCCACCCCACTGAGTATGCATGTGTTAAAATATTCATAAATTATGTTTATTGTGACCAAATATACATTAAATGCCAAAAGAAGACCATTATTTAAAGACAAAACCAGTCAACAATCAAACAAGCAAAGCCTTTTTACTGTCAGTCCAGTACATTATGTTTTATCAAATTCACATGAATTGCTTCTCCTTCCAGTGCCCCATAAGGAATGTTTATCCTTTGTTTTTAAACTATGCAAAGAAATAGACTTCACTGAAAGGAACAGATTTGGAAAACAAAAGCTGTTACATGATCTCAGACTAATAATAACATCGGCTGGAAGAAACCATCTAGGGAAATGCACTTTTGGCTTCCAAAATTATTTGATCCCTAATATACCCTTGACTTGAATTTGATGGCATTTCATAAAATCATAGACTAAGTTAAATAAAGCAGCTAACTTTTTTTGATAAACTAGGCTGCCAATAGAATTTTAAGTTTGTACATTTTTTGTTTGAAAACAAAAAAAGGATAGTTAAGAAAATCTAGAAGGTTGAGAATTGAGACCAGTAATTAAACTATACTGCGGCAGACCGTTTTGGAACTTATTACTTCCAAATGAAGCAATCCTTAACTACTCTGTTTTGAATGATTCCAGGAAGTTGAAAAAATTGAGGTGATTATTCTTTTTACAGGCTGCTTATGCAGCAACACAGCACAGTTGAAAAGTTTGAATTCCTTGTCAAAATCCAAAGTGGTTTTAGTTAAAATATATTGCCTAACTTACCCAATTCATCATATTCTGAATTGAAGCCATGAAAACATCTAGGATTATTAATTATGAGGACCATACTTCAGATTTAACCAAAATAATGATCATTTTAAAAAGTGACCTGTATGCTGGCTTAATAGTCACTTGTAATATCCTCCAGGAAACTGTTAAAAATTTCAAAACTTAAATTATACTTGAAAGGACTTTTTTTCTAAATCAAAACAATAAGTGAGGAGTAAAACAAAATAGAAAATTCTGAATTTATTTCATTGTCACCATATGCTTATTTTAAAGAAGAACACAACATTTAGAGAACAAATTAAATTTAGAGAACAACATTTAGAGAACAAATTAATTTAGAGTAAAAATTAAATGTTTTTCTCATGTCGCCAATACTTACTATAGGAGTGAAGTCATCACTTAAATTGCATGTTAATTTCAAGTAAGATTTTTTTTTTTTCCTGTATAATGACACCATTATAGAATGTTTTACTTTCTACTTTTCCTTGGAAGAAAAATGTCTTTACTTCTATACAATCTTTTAAGAAACCTAAACAGTATGGCAACCTGAACAGGTATAGGAAATCTCTCCAGGGAAATAATTCAAAATGTGGAAAAAGCCATGTATATAAAAATTTTCTTTATAACATTGTTTATAATAGCAAACATTGGAAGGCATTTTAATATCTAGCAGTGGAAGCTTGGTTAGGAAAAGATGACAACATTCATTTGATGAAATATTATGCAGTCAATAAAATTGGTATAAAGCAGTATGAGAAATATGGGATAAAATACTAAGTTAAAAAAGGATACAAGATGAAGGTGTAGCATGATTATAATAATTTTAACACATGCAAACAAAACACTAAAAGAGGATGCACAAAAGTGTTAATCATCAAATTGAAGATTGAAATGGATTTTTTACCCTCTTTTCATACTTTTATTATGTTGTCATGCAATTTAAAATGCATTTTAAAATTTCAAAATTATTATCAGTAATCAATTTATACTTTTTCTTTAGATGTCATAAATAATCACCATAGATTTTTGAGGGGAAAAATTAGACAACTCCAATTTCCAAAGATGTTAATTTTAAAACCAGTATCCCAACGTGTGGTTTTAGTATTCAAACCTAATTTGATTTCTATGGAATCATAGTGCACTTATATTTTATTAAATAATAATTCCCTCTTTTATTAAAAAAATCCTGCTTATTATATTTAACTCTAAACGACAGCTTTTTCGCCTCTCAGTTCTCAAAAACCCTGAGCAGCCATTTCAGAAAACAAAACAAAAGAAAACCCCACATATCAAAACACCACAAAACCCTCTCATTAAGCTCTCTGCAAAGTTTGAGATGTACTTTCATGTGAATCTTGGCCTCTGTACAGCACTGCTGCACAATCATTTTCATCTGAGATTTGAACATATTGGAAGAACTAGAGCCTTCCTTTCTTTTATCCTGTCATTTCCCCCGCTGGAAGTGATGGGCATATGGCAGGCACCCTCCCTAGATTCTCAAACAACAGGAGGGACCTGATTTCAATTCCTACATCCTGTCATCAGTGACTCTCGGGATATTTTGTTCTTGCAAGGCTAAGGATGTGATTCGAATTTGCCATACGGACAGAGCTTAATGCGATGCCATTTTTACCACTGGCGCCCTCAATCAGTTAATTAAACATGATATAAATCACCACATGTATTTGTTAAGTAAGATTAATATGGCAAAGTCAAAGTAAAAAATGAGGAATCCTCCCCATCCTAGGAGTGTGAATCACTGATAGGAAGATTACACTTTTGGAAACTCAATACTTTTGAGCAGGCTTTGTTGGTTTAATCCCTCAGACTGCTTTGTGCAACTTGAAACCTAGAGCTGTCATCTTTAGCCAAAATTTCAGCCATAACTTCCTCAGCTTTCACCCCATTATTGAAATCAGCATTCACAATACTTAACAAAGATCAAACCTTTCAGCGGACCACGGGGCAGCCTCTTACCACCTGGGACACCAGAAACATGTTTAATAAATATTTCATTTTGTTTTAACATGAAGACTCCCTGGTTTCAATTTTTTTTTTCTTTCCTGGGGAGCTAAGGGCTACCACCAAGCTGCACATTCCGTCACTATGGTCAGTTAGGTTTATAGCCTTAATAAAAGGATTTGCCCCCCTTCACATGCTAGGGAGCCTTGTTAAACCACAGCAATTATAGAAACACAAGATAGGTGCTCTGCAAAGATCAAAGCTCACTTAAAGACAGCTCTGTAGGAATTTGGAGCTCTCTTTGAAAAGTGCTCAGTTTACAAAGTATAGAGGTATTAAACCCTAGGAATTAAAAACTTATTTTAGAATAATGTTTAAAGTCTGACAGTAGTTAATATGGGATCTCCTTCAGTCACTCTTTGTGTATTATTTCTAATATCTATTCACGGCATACCTATAATAGCTCCAAAGGAACCATTACGCTCAGAAGACATACGCATATGATGGATCCTTAATACCAAATGCATTACCTACTCAGTAGGTACATTTTAACCTCAATATCCCAGCTCAGGGACAGGGTAGAAAAATAGCATGTAAATTTCTTTAGGAGGAAAAAAATGCAGCATGCCTGGGTCTTCAGCTTTGTGGCTCAGTGGAATCCCTAGAGGCTGCTTTCCATGCAGGAGGGATAGGTGATGGCCTGTGCTGGGCTGCACCAGGTCACTTTAGCATCTGGCCTTTGGGGCTGCCGCACAACTCACCCAACTCTAATTGGATGTTGAAGTACCCAGTCTTAAGCATTGTAATGTTTCCTCTACCTCTGTAGATTGTATCATTCATCCAGAAACACATACACACACACACACACACACACACACACACACACAGAGTAATGCATGTGGACTCCATTTCAGAAAAAGAATGCTAAACCCCGAGTGGCCTAAACTTAATTGTGTGGCTATGGGAGCTTTCGGGTGACAAAGGGTCTGCAAGCCAAATAATTACTTTTGTGTGCAGCATCTTACAACAGGGCAGTATAAATGGGCTTAGCCTGGGATTTTGAACTCTGTGCTTCAGCCTCGGAAAATGAGTTATTTAAAAGCAGCTATTGCCAGGAACATTTTAATATCTATTTAGAGAAAACTATTTGGGGTTTTTGGTGTCCAGGAGTCTTTAGCTTTGAAACATGTAGGTATAAATGCAAACCCCTCATTTCACGTCAGCATATCCATTTTAAATAAAAGGTTGTAATGATGATAAAAATAAGAGCTAATATTTGTTGACTGCTTGCTATTTGCCAGGCTGTATGCCCAGTACGTTACATGGAGTATTACATTTAATCTTCATGACAACCCTATGAGATAGGTTCTATTATCGTATTTATTTTCTAGACGAGGAGACTGTGGCTCAGAGGGGCAAAGATCACATCACTAGTAAGAGGTGGGGTTGTGATTTTAATCTGGGTTATATGACCCTAGAAGCCACGCTTTTACAGCCTGTTACTATCTGATTTGAAGTTTATTTTGTGCTGTGATCTAAAGTTTCTATTTTATGGTTTCTTTTTATTTAGCTGTAACTTTTAAGAGAATTCTAATCCTTGAAAATAAAGGTAACAGAGTCTATTTTTCCTAATTAGCTTTCTGCTTTTAATTTTAGTGTTAAATGGGTAATGTAACTTCAGGTTTTGTGTTTCTAATAATTTATTTTGGAAAATGCCATACCCCAAGAGTTACCTGAAAGAGTTTCATGATAGAAACTCTTTTTATTTGCCTTGGAATCACCATTTTATAATTAATCTAAGAAAATGCCCTCATTGAAAATAGAAGCAATCAATTATCTTGTTTGCCTTCCCTTTGAATAAAGCTTTTCCTTTGACTAGTTCAAGATTCTGATACGTTGTTTAATGTGAAAGAGATGTTCCAGATTTAGAAGTATTATAGTGCAGCATGAGTCAGATAGGCCTGAATTAGAATCTTGGATTCACCAAGTTTTGGTTCTGTCATCTTGGGCAACTATTTCAATTCTCTTAATCCTATCAGTTTATTATTGGTAATACAAAAAAATAATGCCGATCATACAGTGTTATTACGAAAACTTTATGAAATATATATGTGTAAATATATATATATATATATATATATATATATATGTCTGTTTTCTGAGCATAATAGTTCTATTTCAAGGGCCCCCTTGATGTCCAACTATCAAGCAAAGCCCCACCAAGATGAGTGAGTTCCCCTGTGTTCACAGTTTCAGGCCTTAGCAGACATGGTTAAAGTGCTTCCTGACAATACCAACACTAGAGCTTGATCCAGGCCTCAAAATAAGGCCCTTTTTTCCCAGTAGAGTTCCAAACTGTGAAAACAGTATTTCTGCAGCCTTTCAGAGACGGAGTCTTGCTCTGTCGCCCAGGCTGGAGTGCAGTGGCGCAATCTCGCCTCACTGCAAGCTCCGCCTCCTGGGTTCACGCCATTCTCCTGCCTCAGCCTCCCGACTAGCTGAGACTACAGGCGCCCGCCACTACGCCCGGCTAATTTTTTTGTATTTTTAGTAGAGATGGGGTTTCACCGTGTTAGCCAGGATGATCTCCATCTCCGGACCTCATGATCTGCCCACCTCGGCCTCCCAGAGTGCTGGGATTACAGGCGTGAGCCACCGCGCCCAGCCAAATCTAGATTATTAACACAGTCAAAGGGAAGGGAGAAGAATATATATACATATATATGTACGTAGATGCGTGTGTATATATACACATATATAGAATATTTGTGAGCTATACATATATATGTGTGTGTATGTGTATATATATGAATATATACATAATGCCTCCCTTTGTTGAAATAGCAGGAAAAGTTCCAATTTTAGTTTTTAGATGATAAACTTAGTTTTAAGGATTTTCTATCGAGCTATCTTTTGTGGATTGTCAGATCTCATTTGAACAAATATCTCAACTCACTGCTCGGCAACAACATATGTCATCCTGACCTTTTAAGACCTTGTAACCCACCACTCCAAGATAGGCTGCTTCCTTCCTAGGCCATGGAGACCTGGCCTGCATGTTTGAATAGCCTCTAGCTTCTTACTGGTACGTAATACATATTAATAATCAATCAATCAATCTGCCACCTTTCATAAACACTAAATTTCTTTCACAGTATAATAACACAGTTGACATTATATCAAAATTCAAGACTTTTTGAGAGGTCATTTTTATCTTTGATCTATCTGAATATAAGTTTATAGAAACATATAAGCTACCAATATCCTCTTAAAAGGGACTGTTAATGTAAAAAATGTTTATTCTGCCTTTTGACATATTTTCTGTCTTTGCTTTCTTCACTTTTCATAATCTTTCACTGTCTACATGTAATGCTATCAGTGTCTTTAGAAGCGTTATTCAACTTGTAGCATGGCTGCAAGATAAAGGTCTTTAAAAATATCATTTTAGTGAAGTACGAAAAGTTGGCCATCACTGAATAATGGATCAGGATAATTGTGCCATTGCTTCTTACTCAAAGGTTCACCTATCCTACCAGAGTCTGGATGTATGGAAACAACTGGTGTTTAGTCAGAACATTTGCTTTCCTTCTGGGGTTGCCAGATTTCACAAATAAAAATACATAGTACCAAATTAACATAGACTTTCAGATAAACCATAAGTAATTTTTAGTATAAATATGTCTCATACAATATTTAGGACAGACTTATACTAAAATATTATTCATGGTTTATCTGTCGTTCAGTCTAATTGGGCTTCCTGCATTTTATCTGGCAACTGTATTTCTTTTACCTCTTAAGTTAATAAAATAACAAACTCAGTCTTATTTCCATTAGCTCTTGTGGGATTCAGTACCATGCCATTTGATGGTGGTGGGAGGAGAGACCTGCCTTTGCATAAACACCTGGAAGACTTGGAACCAGTGGTTGAGAACCAAGTCAGAAGAGATAGTTTTGTAGTCTGTATATCAAACAGCTATAAAGCCACAGTTTGTAATTCAATTTTCTAATTTGCTTTACTCATTTCTCTTAAAGACAAAAGTGAAAATAACTCTTTTAAAATTGTATAGAAAAGCAGACTGCCTATGATATTGTTCATTATTTATTCCTTCATTCATTCATTCAAAAAATATTTATTGAGGGCCTACTATGTGTCAGGTACTGCATGACAGTTATAATAATATTTTTAGATTTATGTTATACTTATGTTCAGGTTCAAGGGTATTGTGTGTACCTGGATATTAATGGTGCCTGTTTTGAATAGCAGTGGTTGTAGATGTCTAAGTCATGCTTCCTGCCTTCTAATCAAACAGCAACAGTAGACATCATCTGTACTCCTGACAACTAATAACATATATTTTGTTAGAAGTCTTTTGGTTTTGCCTCGAAAAATAGCTGTATACTTAGGCGACGATGTTGTCAATACCTATAGTTTTATAGCTAGAGCTATATCTTTGAAAGGTCCCTGCTTTCCTATAGCACTAAGTTAAATTATGATTCATTCCATATTTTTAGAAACCAGAAGGTCAAAATATTGTTTAGGTATATTGCTTCATCTGCCATATATAAAAAAGACTCCTATCAATTGCCCTTCTTAATTTTTAAGTCATTTTTACCCATTTTGAGGTTATGGAGTATCTTACATGTGTTTGATTGGATTCAGTCAAATAGGCTGTACAGCTTTTACTATGCCTTGTAATTTTTTTCACTACAATAAAAAGCCTTTTAAATCACCGCTACTTAGAATTATATTGAAAATACTTGTGATACTTTTATATACAGTGAGTTTAATGCCAGGATGTGAAAGCAAATTGATTGTCAGCAATTCTGTGCTTGAGCACCCCGGAGTAAAAAGAATTACACTAGTAACCCTGGGGACCTCCTGCTCTCAGAAAGACTGTCTGCACTCAGACATCCACTGGCAGGTGAAAAAGAAGGGATTGCCTAATTCTTGTCTGAAATTCTATAAACACATTTTAATTCAGAGAAATAATTTTTGAAGGGAGAAAAAGCACCTCAAGAGACACTTATGTTTAACGTTTTTAATGTAGTAAAATGAGCTGCAAGGAAAGTATGTCATCTTTGCAATAAGCATTTGAAGATCTTCTAAGAGTGACTTAAAGGTAGACAACTTGCCATCTGGAGGTTGTGTGGCTGTGGAAGGCTTGGCTAGATCAGCAGATAAAACCCTCATGGACTTTTTACCTCTGACACCCTGGTCAGAGTGAGAAGTACTTGGGGCTTTTAACAAGAGTCTCTAATGACACATACCTCCATCAGCTTGAAGAGCAGCTGACATGTTTTAGGAGTGACCTTAGACTGTCATGCAAGCATTAGAGAGAATGAATTAATATTTTGGGGAGGGGCCTTTGGTCAGGATTATGATCCCTGAAGAGTCACTCTTGATTCTTCTTTCCCAGATCTTCAAGGTGAAATGTTCAGGAAACCAAAGGGTTATTGGCTTTTCAAGTATGCAGAAAGCAGATGTGTCAGGTTTGATTTCAGAAGGCAGACTAGCTGCATACACTTTTTCACTCTCTCCCACCCCAAGCTAAATTTGACTGGGACAAATATTGAGGAAGGGGACAGAGTGGGAAATAAAAGGCTAAAGTGTTTCTGCTGACATGGGCCGTTAATATCTGAAGAGGTCCAAAGGGAAAATCTCTACAGGCTAGTGGGACTGGAGACAATATGGTTCTAAATGGAAGTCAGACCTCACATATGCAAGCAAATTGCTATCAAGGATATGGCCTTGAACAACTTTTTGGGGGAAACTTGTAACACATTGGCCACAAGCACTCATTGGAAATGAGGCCTCTTACCACCAGTTCCCTTAAAAAGGATGTTTTATCCAAGACATTATCTTGAGTTCTCACACCAGCCCTGGCACAGCTCCACAATGTTTAGAGAGGCAAGACTTGCAGAGAGGGTAAGACTGCATACCGTAAGCCCCACAGCTTATCTTCTAATCCCAGCTCAGTCACTTATTAGCTGTGCAACTTCAGGCAAATTATATAATCTCTCTATGCCTCAGTTTCTTTATCTGTACCATGGGAAGGATTGAGTTAATACATATATAGTCCTTAGTTACCATCATCATATGCATCTTCCCTTGCTGGATATGAGACTGGAACACTCAGACTGGGGGTTATTTTTGCAGTCATATATGTGCTTAGAAAATAAAAGTGTATAAACATAGATAGACAATGAGAGCATTTTTCAAGGGCATTTGTCAGAATGATGGCTCCTGACTGCAGTGAGGTTCTGACCATCAGCATAGGCATGTTTTAAAGTGTCATGTGTAAGTGTTGTACAAAGATGAGTCCTCAGGAATCATCTGGCCCAACATCTTTCTTTTATGGATAACTGCAGTCCACGGAAATCGGTCCTGAGCCAGGTGTTGGCAGTGCCAGGACTAATTTCCATGTCCCCTGTCATCCAGTGCAGAACCCATTCCATGACACTGTACTAACTTTGAGTCTTTGTTGCAAAGCAGATTGTCTAGTCGTTATAAAGAAGCCCATCTTACCATTTTTTCTACCTGAAAAATATTCCCTCTTGTAAGTTTCCTGATCCATTCTCCAGATTATCTATTTGTGTACTCTGAAAACTGTCTGCCAGAACAATGAGGTTCTTTGCCAATATCTAGCCTCCTCCAAATAATAATGCCAATCATCCTATCATTGTTTAGTTACAACAGGCCTTGCCAGCCTTTCTAAAGGAGGATTGCTAAATTGTTTTACTTATGGGCTAAACTTGACATTTTTGTCTTTTACCATTCTCAACATCAATTTTATTCTTTCACTTAGCAGAGGTGGTCAATTTGCCTCAAATACACCTTATGAATTCTCACTGTGATAGCTTTGTTTATGCTGTATCTCTTATCCAGAATGGCTTTTATGCTCCTACCAATCTTACAAGATCCCACTCTGTTACCTTTCCCATGGAGACATCATTAAATATTCCAGCTGTTAGCTGAATCAGATAAGGGTTAATGCCACACTTCGTTTTGATAAACTGGAGCCAGTAAATATCCATGAAACTTCACTATCCTTTTATGAATATTGCTCAACCTAGACCTCTGCTCTTATAGGCCAGAGCTGAGTATGCTTCTACATGCAGTCTTACCATCTGCATCTGTGGACTAATGCAACTTCTTGTTGTCTGGTCTTCCTGAGAATGCATTATATAGATTGCAGTTCATTTAGAATGCAGCTGCCAGGGTCGTGACTCACACAGAGATTAATCATTATGCCTGGGTTAGCTTCATTACTTTGACTACCCATTACATCTTGCCAAGATTATAAAATGTTGCTTTTAACTTACAAGGCCTACACTAGCACCCACTTAGCTCCAAGACACATATTTATGCTGTTTTCTTTTGTATTATCAGGTCACTGGAAATTGCTGCTATTTCCCATAAGCTTTGACTTCAAAAATTAAGTCATGCTGAAGCTTTCTGATATCAGATTGAGTAACATATCTAGAAAAGAAAGTATATCACATATTTTATTATAAATTATATAAAAATTTATAGGGCATATATAAAGTGCTGCTGTGAAAATCTTAAAGAACCAAGTATTTGTTTGACTTTTCTTTAAAATAATAATGTCATCACAAAAAAATTAAAGATTGTCCAGCAATTGTAGAGTTACTAGTTAAACTATTGCCACACTGGTGCAAGCCATCTGTATCATCTGTGGTATTATTTAGTTCCTTTCATCATTTGATTCAACCCAAACCTAAAAAAAGAAAAGGATTCTGAAAAGAAATGTTGCCACTTCTCCCAGAACACAGTTAGCATAAGTGGAAAAATAAAGGAAAAGACATTTTCCAATAAAAATTGCTGCATACATTTAGTTAACAGAAATTAATAAGAACTACCAATAGGGGTGAACTGTATTAATTTCCCCAGATCTATATTCATGTGAAGTCTTCACAGGAACAAAAAGAAAGAAGGTTAATGTAATAAAATTTTTGAAGGACAATTGTAGAAGTGTGATTGGTATACTTCTCCAATTGTATTTCTTGATGATTATATTTTAAGGGAGTTAGAATTAAATCTTAAAATATATGTGACATATATTCAGACTTGAAGGGAAAGTAGAAAATTGAAGATGTGGTAAATGGTTATGTTTAAGAGCAAAAGGTCTGTATTAGAGTTTCATCCTTATATGAAATTTTGCAGATCTTGTTTTTGTAGTGGGAACTTAAATCTATCTGTGGTACTTGGTGCAGGTAATGAGGCTGAACTTGTTATTGATTGATCTCAAAATTTTTGTGAAGTCTTTATACAATATGACTGCCACGTACTTTAGAAATATATAATTACTAATGACAACAAAAATATAGAAAGGATTTGTTCTGTGCCAAGTTTTATTTCAAATACTTTAGATATAGTAATTTGCTTAATCCTCACCACAGTTCTATGAAGTTGGTATTATTGTTATCTTTATTTTATAGATGAAGAAAGGAAGGCCCACAGAGGTTAGGAAACTTGCCCAGTTACATAGTTTATAAGCGATGGCACAGGATTCAAACTCAGCTGATCTGGTGCCTGAATTCATGTTGAGAACCACTGCAATATACTATTTTTTGGAGTCAATGTAGGGAAACATGGATGATCACACCAAAAATTATCATTTTTGATAATTTTTGAAAAAGGTGATTATTATCAAAACAACAATTTGAAAGTGAGAAGTTGAAAAAATGGTTTTGATGATTTATTGATTGAGATCCAGTGGTCAAATATCTTCTACTAAGAATCAAGGTCCATCCCTTGGTCTAAAATAGGTGACTTATTTTGATAATAGATAGATGCTAAGTGACTTAGTTTGGTGGGTAATGGAGAGCTTTTAGAGTAAAGAGTCATTTGGAAGGTAGTCTGAAAGCATTCCTGCAATCCCTCTCATATGTCCCCCAACCCCAAATCTCTAATAAACATTTTGTCAAAGAGTAGAAGAGTTATTTAAACTTGAACATATATAAAATTAAAGAACAATGAGATCTTAATATCTGTGATCATGTGAATAGAATGTACGTCTTGACTGTTTTAAACCAGCAGAACTTGCAGTAATCAACCAAGCATTATCCAAAAAAAGCAGCTGAAGCACTGAAAGAAAAAAGCATGCAAATTCTTATTCCAGCTCTGGAATCAATATGTTCCATGGATTCAATAATATTAGACTTTCTTCATAGTTTCTTGGGAACATTAAAAAGAATTGTATACAACAGTGCCTTAAAATCTACAAAAGAATCATTCAAAAATTTTAAACTGTTATTAAGAAAGCCAATGTATTTCTCTAGTAGTGCGAAATATTCTCTTGTGTTGTTCTTTTCTGTGCCATCAGATTGTAATTTGCTTGTGACCAAGGACATTTCCTTTTTTATTTACTCACCATGACTCAAATAGAGCTTTTCACTCAAGAGGCCTTCAGTATGTGTTGGACAGTAAATATAAAAACTGGAATTTGGTCCTGGTTGCTCAACATGCATGAGGTGCTTACTGAGGAATAAGAGCTGTGCTAAGCATAGAGACACACAATAACTTAGATGTGGGCCTTTTCCTTGAGGGGCTTAGTCTTGTGAGTTCCCAGTAAAATACTGACCTGTCAGGATCATTGGTGTGGAGTCTGCCAGTCATCTCATAGATATCCTCTCCAGTGTCATATTCTTGTTAGAATCACAGTTGTGTGTCTCACCCTCAGCCACTAAATACTGTGAATTGGTGAAAACATCTGTCACACTTCATTTAGAGACCTGCTAAGTGCCATTAAAAAAATTAAAAACAACCTCCTTAAAAATACAAAACAAAGCAGTAAAACATCAAATCTCACAATAATTTGATATCAACTTATAAAAATTGATGTAAAAATGCATTCTGAGTATTAATCTTTCTTTCCAGAGAAAGGGGAAAGACCCTAGCTACAATCTTGTGGACATACTTGCTTAGTCATTTGTATTGTTTTGCCAAATGGAAAACACAGCTAAGAATTCTTTATTTATTTATTTTTTTTCTGAGATGGAGTTTCACTGTGTTGCCCAGGCTGGAGTGCTGTAGCACAATCTCAGCTCACTGCAACCTCTGCCTCCCAGGTTCAATCAATTCTCCTGCCTTAGCCTCTGGAGCAGCTAGGATTACAGGCGCCCACCACCATGCCCGGCTAATTTTTGTATTTTTAGTAGAGATGGGGTTTCACCATGTTGGCCAGGCTGGTCTTGAACTCCTGACCTCGTGATCTGCCCGCCTTGGCCTCCCAAAGTGCTGGGATTACAGGCGTGATCCACCGCACCCAGCCTAAACACAGCTAAGAATTCTTATTCTTACTTTTTATGTTCTTGGTTTGTATCCCAAATGGAACATAATTTGGTATTTACCATTAGAGTGATTGTACTTGAGGCAGATTTGAAAACATTACATTTATAACTTAGCTTAGAGGCTTTCTGATAAATCATACATCAGCACTATGGAGCTGAATACAGTTCAAACAAGTTAATTAGGCAGAAGAGTGTCAACATGAACCTTTTTTCCAATCTGGATTAATAGAGCTTAATGAAAGGGGGAAGAAATAATCATTTCGTAGTGAGTTATTTCACAAACTATGTGACCCATATGTAGTACCACAAAACACAGTCTCTTACACAGATCTGGTTGAATCTGGTTGGAAAAACTTTCTAAGGGTTTGCTGCAGGGTATAGGAAAGGAAGTAATTAGAAACAGGACAGGGACTTTATGGAACACAACAGAAAGCTAATTAAAGTGCTTAAGTTGCTTATTAAACTTAAGTTGCTTGTTAAATGATGATCCAGTGTCCTGGTAGTCACTTTCTATTTTGCATTATTTGGATTTAGGCAATAGAAGTGAGTTGAACAATTCTAATTTGGAAGTAATAGGCTAAGATGTATGGGAATAGAAGGGTGACTAAGAAGAACCCTGAAATACGCTTATATTCTGGGAGTAGTGATGACATACATACCGAGTAGCTATCATATGCAACTATGATATTATATTAAAGATCTACTGCAATTAGCTGTATCTGAGGAATGAATAAAATATTGAGAGGAAGAGGAAATGGTGAGAATGTTTCATGAACAAGGTAACAGTTAATCAACATCTTAAAAATCCTAAGGACTCTGCCAGCAGAGTTGAGGAGACAAGCCATTCTAAGTGGGAAGAAGAGAGAGCAAAGACATGGAGTAGGAAAGCATATAGTGCTCTGGGTATGAAAGCCATATTTAAGGAAGAAGCTTTAAATTTTTTTTTTTTGAAATGGCATCTCACTCTATCTCACCCAGGCTGGAGTGTAGTGGTGCCATCTCAGCTCACTGCAACCTCTGCTTCCTGGGTTTAAGCAGATTCTCCTGCCTCAGCCTCCTGAGTAGCGGGGATTACAGGCACCTGCCACCATGCCTAGCTAATTTTTGTATTTTTGGTAGTGATAGGGTTTCCCCATGTTGATCAGGCTGGTCTCAAACTCCTGACCTCAAATGATCTGCCCGTCTTGACCTCCCAAATTGCTGGGATTACAGGTGTGAGCCACCATGCCTGGCCAGAAGCTTTAAATTTTGATGGAAAGTGTTTATTCTTTATTTTAAAAACCAGTGCAAGAACTAACAGTTGCACAATGAATTTAAAAGGGAAAGAAGCCATGATACTTTATACGTAGAAACTTATACTTGAGTTAGAGAGATTCAAAACTAAAGCCCATGATAAATTTTTCAGAAAAAGAAGTGCTTAACTTGTACACTGAAAACTTTAAAACATTACGGAAAGAAACTAATGAAGACCTAAATAAATGGGAAGACATCCATGTTTATGGATTGTAAGATAATATTATTAAGATAGCAGTACTCACCAAATTGAGCCACAGATTCAATCTTTGTCAAAATCCCAGTTGGTTTTTTAAAAGAAATTGATCCTAAAATTCACATGGAAATGTAAGAAAACCACAGCAGCCAAAGCAATGTTGAAAAACAAAAGTTGGAGGATAAAGTAGATTAGTGGTTTTAAGGGTCTAGAAGGAAGGAGAAATGGGGAGTGACTGCTAATGGGTATAAATTTATTTTTGGAATGATGAAAATGTTCTGGAATTAGATAATGATGATGGGTTCACGAGTTTGGGAATACTGTAAAAACCATTACATTGTCCATTTTAAAAGTATGAATTGTATAGTATGTAAATTATACCTCAAAAAAGCAAAAAACAAAACAGAACAAGGAAAAGAAAGCCTGTGAAGCAATTAGCTAACTGCTTATGGTGAGTTTATGGGAAATGGAAGTTTAGACAAGAGAAAGCTCTTTATGTCATAAATGGGCGAGAGAGGTGAGAAAGGTGGGTAAGATAGCCTTGACTGCAGCAGATTGAGAAAAAAAATGGAAGTTTGTTTGGAAATATAGCTGTGGTCAGCTTACTAAGGGACTTTAAGAATCAACTGGAACAATGTTATAAAGAATTATACATGAAAAATAAGGAATCAGTCATTGCTAATTCAAGATGTTGAAAGTAGAATAAAAAAGAAAAGCCATAAGAAAAGTCAGAGATGAAAAGAGTAGAATTAAAATGCAAAAGCAGCAAAACCCCTTTAACTGGGTGCAGTGGACTAAATATTTGGGTTCCCCCCAAATTCATGTTGAAATCCTAATGCCCAATGTGATGACATTAGGATATGGGGCCTTCTGGAGATGATTAGGTAAAAAGGGTGGAGCTCTCATGAATGAGACTAAGGCCCTTATCAAAGGGACCTCAGACAGCTCTCACCCTCTTTTCACCACATGAGGATAAAGCAGGTAACTGGCTGTGAACCAGGAAGCAGCCAGACATCAAATATTCCGCCCCTTGATCTTGGACTTCCCAGTCTCCAGAACTGTGAGGAATAAATGTTTGTTGTTTAAGTCACCCAGTCCATGGTATTCTGTTACAGCAGCCTGAATTAAAGCTGCTATATATATATATTATGTATATATTTATACGTAAATATATATAAATATATACATGAATATATTTATATATATTTATATATAAATATATAAATTTTATATATAAAATTTATATTATATTTATATATATATATATAATATATATTGGTTGTAGAATATATTTGACTTCCTAAATTGGCTTTGTCCCAATGTCTTAATTCAGGCTGCTATAACAGAATACCATGGACTGGGTGACTTAAACAACAAACATTTATTCCTCACAGTTCTGGAGGCTGGGAAGTCCAAGATCAAGGGGCTAGAATATTTGATGTCTGGCTGCTTCCTGGTTCACAGCCAGTTTCTTGCTTTATCCTCATGTGGTGAAAAGAGGGTGAGAGCTGTCTGAGGTCCCTTTGATAAGGGCCTTAGTCTCATTCATGAGAGCTCCACCCTTTTTACCTAATCATCTCCCGAAGGCCCCATCTCCTAATGTCATCACATTGGGCATTAGGATTTCAACATGAATTTGGGGGGAACCCAAATATTTAGTCTACTGCACCCAGTGGACTAAATATATATATATTTATGTAATATATAATATATATTTATATAATATATAATATTATATATAATATACATTTATATATAATATATTATACATATAATATATATTATATATAATATATAATACATATAGTATAATATATATTATATATAATATATAATACATATAGTATAATATATATTATATATAATATATACATATAATATATATATATTATATAAAATATAATATATAATATATAATACAACATATATTTATATATATTATATATAAATAATGCATATATAATATTAGTTGTAGAATATATTTGACTTCCTAAATATATATATAACTTGTGATATATGTGACTTCATGTAATAATAATGGAGTACATTAAATGCAAGCACATGTTGATAATGAGCCCAAATTCTATTCTTCTATTTAACAGCTATTCAGAAGTTTTTAAAAAAATGACAGGTGTTGAAGCTCACTGCAAATAAAAGTGATTAAATAACATTTTTTAGTTTATTGATTTTGCCATATTTAGTGTTTGCTGTGACTATCCGGTGTACCTTTGTAATAAACTAAATGACTCTCTTTTATTAATATGTAACTCCATGTTTCAACTGTATTACCCATTGAAGCTCACAAAAGAAAGATTTTATCTTGTTTATTAGCTGCCCTCTTGAGAGTCATCACAAATTTATTTGATGTTCGGTAGGCCTGCTGATGGAAAGCTCTGATAGAGCAAAGTACTTCCAAATCCATCTCAATTTTATGAGGTGACTAAAACCCATGGGCAGAACCAAACTTGTACCCTTGATTTTGTGACCAAGAATGCAAGACTCACACCTAATCCTTCAGCGTTTTTGACCTAAATGAATCAGGGAAGATTTGGGGTTTGAGTTTAGTGCTATGTGTCTAACAGCTATAAACGAGCTTCTTCATTTGGGTGGACTTGTCTGGTTGAGTGATTTTTAGTAGCTATCAACAGTGAAACTCAACAGAGCATGCAGAACTATCCACAAAGAGCGTGTGTTTGTCAATAGTCAGGTATTGTATAAGTCACTTAGACACTGGCTTGATTCGTTGGTGTGAGCAAAATATGAATAAAAGAATGTGGGCATCCTCGTTCACCTACTTTTATGTTTTTCTATGCATCCATAGAAATGGGTTTTACTTTCATTTATATGTTAAGGAAGAAATGATAAAATGTTTATAATAGGTATAGATTTCCCAGAGTGATTCATAATAAAGTATTTGGCGTGAAATTGCCATACTTTTCAAGTAAGTTGTGGCATATGAAATTCTGAGTAACTTTCCACCCATTCTTTATTCATTTGAAGAACACTTACTAAACTTCTGTCAGATGTAAAGTACTGTATTAGGCTCTTTGGGCATGTTGTAAAAGGCTCAGTCTTGATCCAAGTATTTCAGGAAGAAATGCATTGAAGAATGAATAAAGAAATTCTGTACATAGTGAACATTTCAGACTAAAGATGCAATCAATCTTGGTGGTAGGAGTTAGTATTTTTTTCTGTACTTTTAACGTTTTCAGTACTTAAAAAATTTTCTGAGTACTTGTTACTTCTATAATCAAAACGACAGAACAACAGCAAAAACAAACAAACATTTAAGCAATCTGTCCTTGAGAGAAGAGATAAAGGAATAAATAGAGCAAGGTCAGTGAGGAAGCTCAAAGGATCACTGTAGACAGAAGGGCAGGTTGTAGGAAGGAGTTTTATAGTCTCCAGTAGAGGGAATAAGGAACGAACGTACGGGGAGAAATTTGGAAAGGACATTCCTTCCCAAGAAGGAAACACTAGTTGCCAGTCCCTGGTCCTCCTTGCTCCGACCCCACTTTTCTGACATATTTTTTAAATGTCTGCAGTCCACCTTTCTTTTCTCCTGCTTTCTCCTGTTGATTCTAGAGGGTTCTACTGTGCCTACCCTCAAAATCTTCAAATGTTTTTCCTTTGTCTGGTGAATGAATTCATCTCCTTATCCCGACATTGAAGACCTCTGGCCATCT
The DNA here is from genome assembly GCF_000001405.40 of Homo sapiens. Classification (NCBI taxonomy): domain Eukaryota; kingdom Metazoa; phylum Chordata; class Mammalia; order Primates; family Hominidae; genus Homo; species Homo sapiens. The sequence continues at coordinate 67,303,439 of NC_000002.12, read as the reverse complement.
GACTCCAATTGTCCTACCCTAACATTTTAATTATTAGAAACTTCCATTAACCTGCCTGCCACACAGGCCTACTCTGTGTCCTCCAATGAACCTTTGTCATTTCCATTATACTTCCAGCTTTATTTTTTGAATATTTTTTCCCTTTTTGATTAAATAACTCCTGTATATCCTTTAAGTTCAGTAGTCCAGTTCAGTAGTTCAATTCAGAATGCTTCCACAAAGGAGTTCAGTTTATTATCTCTTCCTTTGGTACTATTTTGACACACATGGCACAAGTTTTTTACTTAAAATGTCACTTAACATTGGTGCTACTGAGTGTGTACACATATAAATATAACTTACACACACATACGTGAATATATTGTCTCCTCAATTAGATTTTAAGTTCCTTGAAGGTGGAAGCGATGTATCATGTTTGTTTCTTTCTCAATAACTTTATCATACTAGTGGTTCTAGTAATACTAGTGATACTTTATCACTAGTGTTCCATAATAGTAATTGTAAATACTTACGTAGCACTTGCTAGGTACCAGGTGCTGTCCTAAGTACCTTATATGTACATATTTATGTGCATATATGTATATGTGTATATATGTATAATTTGTTTCTTTTCTGTTTCTGTTTCTGTTTCTGTTTCTTTTTCTTTTTCTTTTGAGTTGAAGTTTCCCTCTGCTGCCCAGGCTGGAGTGCAATGGCTCACTGCAACCTCTGCCTCCCGGGTTCAAGTGATTCTCCTGCCTCAGCCTCCTGAGTAGCTGGGATTACAGGTGCATGCCGCCATGCCCGGGTAATTTTTGTATTTTTAGTAGAGATGAGGTTTCACCATGTTGGCCAGACTGGTCTCGAACTCCTGACCTCAGGTGATCCGTCTGCCTTGACTTCCCAAATTGCTGGGATTACAGGTGTGAGCCACTGCACCCGGCCTAATTTGTGTATTTCTAACAATACTTACATAAGGCAGGAACTATTATTATTTCTATTTGGCAGGTAAGAAAACTAATACATCAGATTTGTACCTCCCAAAATAATAACTGTGAGCTATATGTGGTTATTTTAATTTAAATTAATTATCTCTCATATGTAACATTAGCCACATAGCAAGCGATCAATTGTCATATATGGCTAGGGACTACTATATTGGACAGGACAGATTATAGAACATTGCCATTGATGCAGAAAATTCTATTGGCCAGTATGGTCAATATAGTTAAATGACTTCCTCAAGGTCACATAGCTGGTTGGTGTCAGCGTTGGAAGTTTGCACCCAGTCAGCCCGGTTTTATGTTAAGATGCTGCAGAGCCCTTCCCTGAACATAGGTGTATGAGCAAACACACACACACACTGCACACTCAGACACAAGCATGCTCACTGAGAGCTGAGGAACAAAAGGGCTTGAATAAGATATATGTGAAAGCAGACTTTCCTCTCCCAGATGGAGGTGCAGCAGAGGAAAGGGACAACTGCTCTGCCCAATCTCATGCCAACTGTTTTAGGTAGAAAAGCAAGGGAATGTAAAGGGTTCTCAGCAGGGCGCACAAAGATATTCAATGCTTGGTGGCAAGGCTCACTCATCACACACAAAAATGCACAACCTTTGGATTATCCAGAATAGAGGTTCTTAATCTAGAGCCAAGCTTTTTGGGGCTATGAAACATCCAGTGAAATGTAAAAGTTCAGTATATTTGTGCCTGTGTGTTTTTTTTTCTTTAGACAGAATCCATAATTTTTATCAGGCTCTCAAAATGATGTGGGACCCCAAAAGGTTTAAAAATTATCAGTCTAGGGTAGTAAAGCAAGTATATAGTAAATTATATAGTAAAGCAATTATATAAATAGTCTAGAATTTGAACCTGATTATTACTTTAAACTTTGAGTTATTAAAGAACACTCACTCATTTTTGATGGTTATGTAACTTGGTACCAACTTTTCAGAGGCCAACTTTGCAGAGTCTGTCAAAAATTAAGGTTATATTCTTTTAAGCAGCAATTCTCTTACTGAGTATCTGACCTGCAGAGATAGATATCTAACCATATATATGTACAAAAGCATATGTAGAACAATCCATTGCATTCTGGTTTATAAAAATGAAAAATGGGAAATAACCTAAATGTTCATGAATAAAATGATTAATGAAGTGAGGTAAGGAATAACCATATCTGGAATATTATGCAGCAGTTAAAAGGGATGAAACAGATCTATTGTACTACATGTGAATATCTTTAAATATATTGTTAAAGAAAAATTTTAAAATGGGCAGCTTAAAACTTTTATGTACTTAAAATTATAAGTGTTTAGAAACAAGCTTGGGAACACTTGTCTAAATCATAAACTGTGAATTAGACAAAAGTGAGCCTGGGAGCTGGGAGACAGGGAGCTTTCATTTTTTAAATTCTATTTGCCTCAGCAGTTGTTATATTTTTATGACCAGAATGCATTTATCTATTCCTTATATAGCTGGAAAACAAAAACTGCCAACACAATTTTTACTGGCCATAACACGGATCTTTACTTTATCTGGCAAATTGATCTTTCTTTTCTGTAACCTAAATTTCCCCTATTTCTGGTGGTAGTTAAAAGCCATGTTCCTTTTTGACATAAATTCACTAAAGTCATCTTCATAAAGTAGTACTTTGACTATGCTGTAGCTTTGGATCACTGTTTCTTCTGTAGAGCTCGAATCTCCAGCATGGCATCTAAATATCCCTAAAGGTAATATTAATGATGATGACAATGACAGTGATGGTGATACCCACCAATTACTGAACTCTAACCATATCCCAGGTACTGGTCTAAGTGCTTTATAGGTAGTAACTCATTTAATTCTCATAACCACCCTATGAGATAGGCAACTGTCATCCCCGTGTTATAAATGAGGACACTGAAGTACAGAGAGGTTAAGTAATTTACCAACATTGCATGACACCAAAGACGCAGAGCTGGTATATCTGTGGTCTGGCTCCAGAGTCTGCACATCTCACACTGATGCTCTTCTGGCTCAAACCCACCTTTCCAGCCTCATCTTTCACTAATTGCAGTCTTCCCACCTCCCACGCACTGTTGCTCAGCCTCACAGTGCTCTTCAGCACTTGCTAATCTGCCCTTATTTCTGAGGGGCATGGGCTTTTACACAGTCCTGGGACACACAGCTTGGAGCTCCCTGGATCACAGAGGACCTGCCACTTGGATCTTTGCCCACATCATTTCCTCCAATTTCCACATCCTTTCAGGGCTCAGAGCAAATGCCTTCTCTTCCATGAAGACTTCTCTGCTTTCCTCAGCCTGCATTCCTTCTCCTGCTCTGTTCCCACAGTCCCTCTTTGTCATCTCTCTTCTAGCATATACACCACACTCTGTCTTTTATAAGCCTCATTAATATTCATATCTTTCTCTCCCACTAGACTCCAAGGTCTCTGATTGCAAGGGTCGCTTTTTTTTTTTTTTTTTTTTTTTTTTGAGCCAGAGTCTCACTGTGTCGCCCAGGCTATCACAGCTCACTGCAACCTCCACCTCCTAGGCTCAAGTGATCCTCCCACCTCAGCCTCCTGAATAGCTGGGAATACAGGTGCTCACCAGCACTCCTGACTAATTTTTGCATTTTTTGTAGAGATGGAGGTCTCACTGTGTTGCTCAGGCTGGTGTCAAACTCCTGGGCTCAAGCTATCTGCCCACCTCGGCCTCCCAAAGTGCTGAGATTACAGGCGTGAGCCACCATGCCTGGCCAACGGTCACTTCTTGTTTATTTTCTACAGTTCTTCACTTACTAACATATTTTTAAATTTATTGGAATTTGAAAAATTGTCAAGAAGCAAACTTAATATTTAGATTATTAGAATCAGATAATTAGAAGATTGCTGAGCAAAGTTTTATGTCCATATATTAGAACTTAGAATTTCCATTTTACCAAAAAGTTTATTTGAAAGTTACTAGTGGCCAGTCATGGTGGGTCACACCTGTTGTCCCAGCATTTTGGGAGTCTGAAGTGGGAAGATTACTTGAGCCCAGGAGTTCGAGACCAGCCTGGGTAGCACAGTGAGACCCCCATCTCTATAAAAAAATTTACAAATTAGCTGGGCATGGTGGTGCATGCCTGTAGTCCTCAATACTTGGAGGGCCGAGGTGAGAGGATTGCTTAAGCCTGGGCAGTCAAGGCTGCAGTGAGCCATGATCTCACCACTGCACTCCAGCTTGGTTAACAGAACAAGACCATGTCTCCAAAAACAAAAACAAACAAACAAACAAAAAGCCTTGCAAAACTAAGACTATCATGTGTCATTTGTTTGAAGAATAATAATTAATAATGATCTAATAATATTAGTAATGGATGACATTTATTTAGCAATTACTATGTTCCAGTATTTTAAATTAAGTATTTGATATTTGAACAAATGTTTGAGGTTGATACCATAATGTATACATATATATAATATTATGTATATATATATGGATTTTTTTTATATGGGGTCTCACTCTGTCATCCAGCCTGGAGTGCAGTGGCATGATCTTGGCTGTCTGTAACCTCTGCCTCCTGGGCTCAAGCAGTCCTCCCACCTCAGCCTCTCAAGTAGCTGGGACTACAGATGCTTACCACCATGCGTGGCTAATTTTTGTATTTTTCTAGAGACAGGGTTTCACAATGTTGCCCAAGCTGATTTCAAACTCTTGGACTTAGGGGATACACCCACCTCGACCTTCCAAAGTGCTGGCATTACAGGCATGAGCCACCGCGCACAGTCGAGGTTGGTACTATTAAATCTCATTTTATGGAAAAAACCTCTTAGGCTTACATAAGTTAAAGTATGTTGCCCAGGCTCATAAAGGCAGTAAGTGTGTAGGCCAGAACTTGAAGTCTAGTAGTCCTTATTCCAGAGCTCTGATGTCTTCCTGCCTGTGCTGACTCCCATAATCTGCAGTGAAGCAGCAGGGAGGCAGTTTTGTAATGGGCTTTCCACTGGGCTGGGTCTGAAATAACAAGGGTTCTGGTCTTGTTTCTTCCATTAATAATGTAAACTTTAGATTATCCTTCAATTTCTTTAGGTCTTGTTTGCCCAAATTGCTGGAGTGAGGTGGGGTGGTGGATCAGTCCCCCTCCAGTGCCAGAGTCTATGATTCTCCGAAGAAGTCAGAGCCTCTTTTTTGATGTTTCCCAAATGTTACATATGGCACATGTCAAGAGCTGTGCAAATTTTATCTAATCCACTGTGTTTATTTTCTTCAACATAAAGGTGAAATATTTTTACATTTTCCCAATGCATTTCTCAGTAATAACATAGCCAGTAAAAATAGTTTTGTTCATGTAGAGCAGTGCTATTATATCTTAGCCAAAGAAAAAGAAGACTCATATATGGGTGGAGGGGAAAAAAGAAGCTGCATTTGTTACCAAGAAGGAGCCGAAAATATTGCAATTACTATACTGCCCTTTCCCTAATTTGACTTAAATTAGTGACTTCAAGTTATCAGAGGATATGAAATATACAATATGTGCACATAGGAGACAAAAATATTGCTTGCTAGTACCTACGTTTATGACATTAATCTATCTCTCAATGATCTAATATAAAATAAACCATTTGAAAGCAATTTCATTGAAATACTTTCAGAAGTGTTGAAATGAAAATATTAATCTTTTGGAAGTGTCATTTTAGATGTCTTTTTTTTTTCTTATCCCAGGAAGATGGGTTGGGGAGTACTGAGAATAACGAAACAGCCAAGGAGAAGCAAAACCAAGAGTGCTACTTCCTTTTTACCTTTCTTCTTTCCTCTCACTTTCTTTTTCCCCTCCCTCTCTTCTTCCTTTCATTTTTCTTTCTCTCCACAAATATTATGGAAAGGCTGCACTAAACAAGATACTGGCTAGGCATGGACACACAGATGTAAAACAAAACAAGACTCTGTCCCGTGGAGCCCAGGGATTTTCCATAGAGGTGAACTGGATTCCTTGAGGTGGGTGCAAGTGTGATGGGGGAGCTGCAGGGTCATACTGAGCCCACTCATGGATACTCACTTTAGGCTGTTGCCTGTTCAACAAGTCTCCCTCCCACTTCTTGTGCAATTATACTCCTGCACTCTTTATTTTTACTTCAGTCTACTTTTTCCTTAACCACAAATCAATAAGTCAATAAATAATAAAAAGAGTGGATTTCAGTCTTTCAAGAACATTGAGATATGTTTCATATACACAATTAAAATTATCCTAGAGAAATAGAATTGGAGTTGGGAATTATATGAATTTTTCTATCTCTGGCATACAGGTGTATTTTATGCCTACCTATGTAGTTTCTTTACAATAGGAACAAAAGACAGTTCTACCTCAAAAATGACAAACCCTTAAGAATTTATCACCTCACTTAAAATAGAATCCAGTCTGTTCTATGTGTTTCAGCATAATCCAGCCCCACTCTACCTCTGCTTCATCTCATCCCCTTCAGTATCTTGAAAATGTTAGGGTCTTTTATAATTTAATTTTCTCACACTAGTGTTGGTTTCCTTTGCTGGGATAGGTAATATTACAAACTCTACATTGTTTGTGCTTGCTTATTTATTTAGTCTCCTCTACAAAACGTAAGCTCCCTGAGAAATCTTATCTGTCTTGTTTGTTATTATACTATATCCACAGAGCCTGGCATAGATGCCTGACACATGTTTGTTGGATGAATGAATGAATGAACAAGGGAATGGGCATACTAATTTGAAACTTAGAGAAAAATAGAATAGCCAGCCTTTTAGAAGATGGAATAAAGTGTTAAAAATATGAGTTTGGGGTGACATAGTTTGGCTTCAAATCAGTTTTATCACTTACAAACTGTGTGACCTTTGGGAAATTACTTAACCTCTCTGTGCCTGTTCCTAGAGAATGAAGATAATCATAGTATCTATCTCAACACTTACTGTGATTGCCAAACAACATAACACATGCCAAACAACATAACACATCTGAAATACTTTCATCAGTAAATGCTAAAGAATGGTCAGGAAGTCCTGTATTCAAGACCTTCAGAAATACGATCACCCACTTGGATTTGAGTGACTAATGAAAGTTGGGAAGTAGGTTGTTCTGTTGCTCTTTGCTTTGCCTAGTTTGTGAGCCTGAGAGCTGGTGGCCACTGTGAGAGCTGGGAAGACCACTGTGCTTCCTCCTGTATGGTTGACCAGGGCATCCCAAATGCACATAGCCCTGTCTGACTTTACTGATAGAAACCAAGGCCTTTCTCACATAGGTGCAGTGTGGAGCTGGTTCTCAATGACAGTATTTCACTAACAGTGCAGAGGAAAAAATTAGAGTGCACAACCCAGGAAAATCCCTGCCCAACTGCCAGCCTCATAGCATCAGGGGTTTGCTCGGCAGAAATGACAAGGCAGTGAGAATTTTTAGACTGCACACTAGAATTTGATTCAGAATCAAGGTTTGTAACAAGCTGAAAGTGACTCGTCAGTTCAGTTTTGCAGATAGATGAGCAGTCCCTTGTTTCCTTGGAAACTCGGACCTGAGCATATGCAGCTTGGAATGTGCACCTTCATGTTTTCAATCGAGCAGATACAGGATGAGTTTCTCCCAAGAGATTCAATATGTTGCCTAAAACAGAAGAATCAAGAATAGGAGAGAATTGCCATATTAAAATCGGACACCACAGACATAGCTGGATTTCATAAAACACAGTAATTCCAGATAAGAGAAACAGATACTCTCATAATCTGGCCCGTGATGGGTTAACCATTTTCTTTATTTGCATAATTTATTTTTATCTGAATTGAAAAGGTGAGTGTGTTTCTTGAAATATCCTTTTGTGTACATTTAGAATGTCTAATATTTACACTGCTTACTCCTTGGGGATCTTCATGAGCTAAAAGTAAGCAGAAGCTCCTAGTTTTGCACCGTGGCATTCAGAGAACAAGATAAATTCTTGCCCTGGAATGTTTATGACATATATGATGTAATGTTAGTCTTTTCAAATAAAATCTTAAATTTAGGATAATCTTTAGTTCCTAAAATGCTCCAAATGCTGCCTCTGCCTTATGTGTGGGTCTTGGAATGCTCTGGCACTTGCACATTTGCACATGGCACATTTAAAACGCCTGCTACTTTCTACTACTAATAATAGCTTCTTAATGTCAGGCACCATGTTGGACCCTATGTACCTTCTTTCAGATTCTCAGGCTTTTTTCTCTGTTTAGCAAATGAAGAAATCAATGTTCAGAGAAGTTAAAGCAATTTTTCTATGGTCAAACCATTTTTTAGTGGGGAAACTGTAAGTTGAACACAAGTCTCTCTGATTCCAAAACCTGCATTTGTTATTCAAGAACAACATTATCTACTATGATAAAGCAGAGTGGAAGGATGGAATGCTCTGCTTAATTAATATTCTTGTTAATAAAAAGCACAGGCCGGGCACAGTGGCTCACTCCTCCCAGCACTTTGGGAGGCTGAGGAGGGCAGATAACTTGAGTCCAGGAGTTCAAGACCAGCCTGGCCAACATGGTGAAATCCAGTCTCTACTAAAAATACAAAAATTAGGCCAAGTAGCTGTAACCACAACTACTTGGGAGGCTGAGGTAGGAGAATCACTTGAATCTGGGAGGTGGAGGTTTCAGTGAGCCAAAATCACGCCAGTGCACTCCATCCTGGGCGACAGAGTTGAGACTCTGACTCAAAAAAAAAAAAAAATATCGATATTCTGATATACTAACAGTCAAAATATTATAATAGGGCAAATGAGTGGCAAGGAAAGAGATATTAACTCAGTGTGGGGAAAAAACAATCCAATCAATAGTAAAAGAGCCACAGCTGCCATGAACTAGTATAGCTATTATGAGAAGTTGCTCACCTGCTTCCACAGGGTCTATAATTACAGACTGAAAGCCCACATGTAAGGCATATAGTGGAAAAGATTTCCACTTTTTTTGTGTGAAAGATGATGCTGAAGTTCCCTTTCAATTTTAAGTCTATGAATCTGGACAACAGAGACCCATAGTGAGTGAGATTTAATCTTTGCTGATTCAGAAGGTGCTTCAAGGCTTTTCAGTGCCTCATGGACATCACTGTCATCATCAATTACAAGTCCTGGGATGAAACGAAATGTTGGATTCCTAGCTAAAAGAAGACCAGCTAAAACAAACTTGTTAAATATTTTTTTTAAACTACTGCCAGGAACCAAAGTTCCCTCTAGCTCAAGGGTCTGTAAACCTTTTCTTAAAGGGCCAGTTAGAACATCTTTTAAGTTTTTCAAGTTTTTTTTTTTTTTTGCGCTACATAGCCTCTGTCACAGCTACTTGACGCTGCCATCAAAGGGTGAAAGTGAATGTAGGTGATATGTAAATGAATGAACAGGGCTATGACCCACTATAGCATTATTTATAAGCAACTTGGTGGCACTGATTTGTAATTTTCCAACCTCTGCCCTAGATTAAACATCTCCCAATTTTTCACACATTTTTCCTCATCTGGTGACTATACAAAGAGCCAGTCTCCAAACCTAATTACAATGGTTTAAGACCACCTAGGATTTTTTTTATCTTAATGTAGACCATAGATAATGAAATAAAAGAAGAACCAATAAAATAAGTGAATTTGCAAGGGATTTCCAACACTAAAAAAAGAAGAAAAAAAAACAAACTTTGAAAGAAGAGAGTTCTCACAATTGCCTATGGGAAATTAACTAGGACCATCAATTGAGCTAAAATTCTCTCCAAGGATTTAGTTGACATACAGCCAGTGTTCACTATGATGATCATAGCCAAACATTATTTGTGCAAGTATCTACAAATGAATTTAGAGGAAATTGTAATTTTTCTCCTTCATCATTTAAGTGATGAGAAGCCCATCAAAATAATGGCACATGGTAGGGCTGACTGTGCTGCGTGGAAATGATGTTTAAATAATACAGTGCCAGAGCGCCTCTGTCTAATTACCTAAGCACTATTGTGATGGATAGTTTAGAAACATTGAGGTAGCTATTGATAAAGCAAATGGAAAATGTGAATGTTCTTCAAGTTTCTGACACCAGAGATGGACATTGAACTGGTTTAAATGGAAGGCTCATGGCTTCTTTCAATTGCTTGAAGCTTCCTCTGGAGTTAGATTATTTCAATTTCACTGAGTGAAAGTTAGAATCAGCACAGGCCTTTCTGTAGGACATTTTAATTACTCCTAATTTAAAATATTAAAAATCACTATTTTTTTTCCTTTTTAAAGAAAGAAAGTCTGTCATTGACTCACTTCTGATTTTAAAATACCGAACTTATGAAGAATGCATGCCCAAAACACCCGGACAATTCTGCAGAAAGGAGATGCTTGTGTGGGGACATCTCTGGAGTTGCTATTTATGCACTGTGAAAATCTGCAGGAGTCGTGTGATCTCTCAGCCTCATTTTTTAAAAAATTAAGTCTACAATATGAGCTCAAATGCCATTGTGGTAGTTAAGAATATAACCTATGGGGAAGCATTCTATAAAACAAATAAAACTGTGACTGTTATTGATGTTGTTAAATGATTACAAAAATAATAAGAATATTTAAGCTGAACAAAAATTAATTCATTGAAAAAATCAGTCAACTCTCCTCCTGTCTTTAAAAAACTGCTTTAATTGAATCACAATAATTAATGAAGTGGCCAAATGTCAAGATAGCCACAATTTTTTTACTAATAAGGATTCTACTATATGAAATTTCTCTGGTGTTCCCTTTAGAAACCTTACAGAGAAATTGATGATTACTTTCTTGATGGAGTATGTGGGGCCTTTGTCTCCTCACACTCTTTCCAGAGGGTTTATTGGTCTTCCACTATCCATTTCAGTGGCTACTTTGAAAAATGTTTACCC